>NC_000005.10:144453659-145078659 GCF_000001405.40 Homo sapiens
CACTAATTAACTATTCAGCATTGAGTAATTGTTGTTAGAGTTATTATTTTCATCATGGTAGAATTCTTGACCAGCTAGTGAAAGAAGTATTTTTTTTGACATAGAAGAGGGCTGCCTCCATCAAAGTTCTAATATCGTATCTTATAGTAGCTACCTATTCTACTGGTTTTAGACTGGCCTTAATCTGAGACTGAGATTAAAAGATGTACCAACCCTTTGTAATAGTTAATTTCCCTACGGCTTCAGAAGTGAGGCCCCGTTTACTCTAGGGTGACCTCATGTTCAGACTATCTGTGTAACACCGAGCCCAGTCAGTAAACTTAGCAGATGGGGAAAAGATAAGGGATGGAATAAAGGGTGATTAACCTCTCAGATTTCTTTTGATGAGAAAGTTGACACCACATTTTTCTAATTAGTGTTCTAGACTGGCTAGATAAATCAACAATGAATCAACAGTCTTTAAGCACATATACAGGTATGATAACTCTGTAGTTAACTCAAATCCTTGTGCTATGTATTATTTTGCTGCGTAACTCAGAATTCAGGAAGCTACCCACCCAATCAGTCTTTAGCTGTTTTATTTCAGTAACAAGTTTATGCAGAACCTTCCATATCTCTCATAAAACCAGAGCATTCATAGAACCAGAAACACCCATATCAACTTTATATATATTGTTTTTGCTTTTTTCACATGGGAATGGAATAAATCAACTCTGTTTTCTCAGAAAGTATCTGTTTGTTATTACCAAGACTACACCATTTTCCACCCCTGATAATATATACAGAATATTGATTCTTCTTGAAGCCAAATTCTTAAGATTTCCAAATTATAAATTGGCCACATTTCTGGAATTATATCAACATGAAATCGGAAAGATATTTCCTCATAGATATAAGGCTAAAGTTTGTGGTTAGGTTTCTAATTGGAATCAGAAACTTTTTTATATCATTACAGTTTCTCTGGGAAGACAGGATGCATAAAGCTCCATCATGGATAGCTCAACTTTGAGAAGGAAACGCTTCATCCTATTATCCTCTCTTCTTTACCCTATGGGTATAGAGTACTTTTTACCAGGAGGGTTTTTTTTTCCAAGAAAGAAGAAAGTATCATTATAGGTATGATGACTATTTTGGAGAAATTTAGACCTGTAAAAAGCGGTTGAACTTAAGTTTTCCTGAAACGGAATAGGGTGATAGAAATATAATGGCCAAATCCAGTGCAATACATTGATTTACTCAAAATATATTTTGAGGTTGGTATCTACATGTGCAGACATTCTTCTGGGCACTAAGGCTACAGTAGCAGACAAAAAAGACAAAAATTATTGGTTTCTTAAAGCTTACATTCTAGAGCATATCAGGGATCTTAAGCTTTGAAATAATTGGTACAAGCTTTGGTGCTTGAGAAAGCCCCAGGGGGTCACAGACTCCCTGTTGTCGGTGGTGTCCTTACCTCCAGCTTCTGTCTGTGAGTCAGGACAGGCCTTTTCTCCTTTCCCCCAACAGAGGCGCATTGAGGAGTGTGCACACCCCTAACTTTAGAGCAAATGGAAGAGAGGCAAGTGGAGAGTCTCACCCAACTTCCTTCTGCTTCCACATGGCCCCTTCTCTGTAAAAGTGACAGAGACTCCTCTGTGCTTAGCCAGAATCTGTGCCATACTTAATGGGTCACTTGGTGTGGTATCCAGCATCATATGACGAAGCGGGGGCACATTCAATTTTTGCAACAGTACTTATTTTTACTAGATAACAAAGCATTTTCTTGTGGTGAATATCACATTGGCAGATAATTTGGGAACCAAGAGAAAGTGGAGTGGAAAAGTCAAAGAAGAAAGTTCAATGAAGACTTGAGTGACAGAGTTCCATGTGGGGCAAGACACAACTACTGTGTTCAGTCTTATTAAGCAATGGGATGAAGGCAGGATTAGTTGAACCAGTAGTGGGATGGAGAGAGTTGGGACTGAAGGATGGGTTGACTGTGATGAGTGGCCAGGAAAGAAGTAATTGCAGCAGTCCAGAAGGTTAGCAGGAGGGTGGAGGAATGTTTCCAGGCAAGACTGCCAAGTTTAGAGAGGGCATTTAAGCACTGAGGTGAAGGCTTGACAGCCTCTGATTTTTAAGAAAGGACTTCCATAAATTGGGAGTGGACTGTCTGCAAATGTCTGAGTATAGCAGGCATATTTATCCTAGTGCCCTGGGATCATTCCTGATTCTTCTACAATGGCATCACAGAAGTGAACACTGTGCCCAGTATTTGAAATGTGAAAAATGCAAATACGATTCACAGATAGACAGTGAGCCATTACTGTGTCTCATACTATGCCACTTAAAAATTGTACTTCAATAAATAAAAGTAAATAAAATTGTACCACACTTGCATGATCTTCTACTTGTAGCTATAAATATCTGATTCACACACCTCCCTCAAATGATAGGAATGGGGTATGATTTTGGAGCTTAACCCTTTTCTCTAGGTATATCTAAAAAGGCTCTTATAATTTAATGTTCTTTAATTCTTTATATATTTTCTGTCTCCCCTCACAAACCCCCCCCAACAAAATATAATTTTGCTGGAATTTTGTACAATAGGGATAGAATGAGAATAGTGTACTGTTGTTTTTACCTTTAACACTAAAATTTTAATTTAAAAGAAAATATTAATACATAAAGAAAATACATACATGCTTTTTAAACTAAATCAACTGAATGAAAACACAACCTCTCTCTCAGCTCACTAAGCTATGTACTCTTTTTTACTTCTCTGACTTGCTCTATCACTTTGTTCCTTTTCATCCCCCTGCCCCAACACACACAGACGCACACAGGGGGGTCAGGGGTAGGGAGGACTTAGCCTAAACTAAACTCATTAGGGCCATCTGACAGTGCAATTTGAGTATCAGACTTCTGCTTACTTTGCATTCAGTTGAGGAAGGTAAATTGCTATGGTCTCAGGTTTATTATTCATTTTGTTAATGCATGATTCAATGACTTCATTTAACTGGTGAATGTATTTTTGACTGATAAATTTGTAGTTGTGTCGATCTGGGCTTTTGAATTCATTTTGACACACTATCTTTGAGACTATACCACAGAACTCTTTTTTTTTTTTTTTCTGGTGGGTGTAAAAACAAGCAAACAAAACAATAAAAATCCTTCCATAATGACTATAAAGATGAGTATTTGAAAAGATAGACACTTTGAAATTGTTTTTCCCTCAATATTCTGTCACACCTAGCACTATACAGACTGTTTTTATTCCGAAGTAGTATTTAAATATCTGAAAGGTGGGGGAACACAGAAATGTTTTAAATAAAATATCCACATTGCCATAGATGGAAAATGAAGTTTAAGCTTCAAGTGAGGTAGCTGAGGAAACAAACTATATTTGAATAAAATACAAATTTGTAATGGAGAAGTGATAATCCCTTAACTATATGTATTTAAATGTAACGCACACTTATCAAATCTGTGATCAGGTACTTAATCAACTAAAAGTTGTTTCATTTATTTGCTCCCTCCAATGACTCGGGCCAGGTGGCCCTTACATGCCAAATACTTTGCTCTGCTGTCAAGAGAGAAGATGAATAAGCATGGTCTCTGATAAGATGGTCAGGAGCTCACAGTCTAATGTAGGAGCCATTTACAAAGCAATGCTGTATCGCAAGAGAGATGTGCCCCACGTGAATGGGAGGTCAGAAGGGTGGTGGCCTCTAGGGGCACTGGAGTTAGGAATGGTAGAAATGAAGAGAAGCCCTGGAGAAGGAACAACTGAGCTGACTCTTCATTGACAGGTTGCCCAGGTTAAGGGAGGAGGGGGATTGGAAGGGCATTTTAGGCAGAAAGGACAGTAAGTTAATGAGGTGAGAAACCTAATGTACAAACACTGAGAAGTAAAACAGGGGGTGGAGGGAAACCAGATTAAGGAGAGAATCAAATATCTGATCAAGAGCCTCTTCTCTCCTGTTAAGGAGAATAATTTAGTGCCAATGAGATTAAAGTGAAGACTGACAATAACAGGGATACCAATTTTATCCCAATATATATGTTGTGATATTGTTATTATTTTGCAAAATGTTTTCATGACAGTCTCATTTGATGTAAAGAAACTGGCAAGGTGTAGGCCAATAATCCTGTCAAATTTAGGGGTGAGAAAAACAGAGATTTAAAGAATTTGGCCATGGTCATATAACTTGACAGTACCGGATTAGGCCTGGGATGCTGGTCTTATACCGTAACTGGTGCATACAACTGCCCATTGGTGTAACAAGGCCACATTTGCTCAAGGCCTTGCCTGTTTCCAGAGATCCAGGCCAGCCATTTTCTGACACACGGGGTAGTCAGAGGAATTTCCATTTCACATTTTATGTGCAAATTCATTCTCTTCACATGAGAGAAACAATAAAGAAAAATCCTTAAGAAACTGGAAGTCTAGTAACAGTCATAAGAAGAACTGGTAACAATGACAAATTTATTTATTTAAGTGGTTGTAGGAGGCCAAGCACCAAGCAGAGCACTTTCCATTTATTTCTCAAACAACCTCATAGGCAGGTACTGCTATTGCCCCCATGTTACAGGTGAGCAAACTGAGGTTCAGTAACTCGTTCAGGTCACCCACTGAGAAGAAGCAGAGTGTAGTGCGATTTATAGTGAGATCCATCTGACCTCGCAACTGGGTACTCAATTCTACCAGGCAAAACCACCTTTCTTAGTACTGCCACTTGATTTACACAACACCTGTACTGCACCATATGTGAATTGTTGGTACTTAATAAGCCATATGGAGACTTTCTCTGTTCCAAGATTTCTGTCGCAGAGGCTGTTGTTCTATAGATAAAGGAATCCCATCCTAGAATGTTTACTAACTACTCTTTGGTCCTGTTGTTTAGAAAAAAGAAAAGAAAAGCCAAATGTCTTAGACTCTAGGGGAACTCAGTTTACTATTTGCTTACTTATTCAGCTTCAGGTGCTGGGGTCCAATAGAAATCTATTAGAGACTCTCAAATAAAAACCTAATGTACAAACCAAAGGAATGATATAAACCTGAACATACTGAAAACCTGTTAGTTTTTAATAATGTTTGAGCTTCAGGCTTTCCTCCTGTTCCTAAGAGCCCATCAGAGTACAGGGCTCTCTTCTTGCATTTCAATGTATTTGCAGCTATACTTTCTCTCCCTGTTGTAGAGAACCCACAATCAGGTATTAAGATGTGACAGGATGATGGAAATGAGAAAGTGAAGACAGCACATGGGAAGGCAGTAATTAACCAGAATGCATATTTATCATAGTCTGTCATTGTTTACAAACAATGTAATGATTCCTGATTGTAGAATTAAACTCCAGGCTCTAGTTTGCAATGTCAATCAAGTAGCCCCAGCAGGTGCAGATCAGCAGAAGGACTAACCAAGTAAGTGTTCTGTATAGAGGATGTACAGGAACTGGAGACAGCCGGAGCATCTTCTGTCAGAAAGTAATCTTTGTTGAAGACATTTGAACAATCATTTTATTGGGATGGCTAATTTATGAGCCTCACTTTTGTCATCTGTAAAATGGGAATCTGGAAATCTATGTCAGAAAGTCCCCATTCTCCATCCTCACTCCTAGAAGTCACTATCATCTCTTGCCTGAACACCTGTAATGGCCTCTTAACTGGCCTCCCTGGCTCAATTCTTGCTCATCTATAATCCAGACTGGAAGTTTCTTTTCTTTTTTTTTAATGGAGTCTTGCTTTGTCACCCAGGCTGGAGTGGAGTGGTGTGATCTTGGCTCACTGCAACTTCCGCCTCCCAGATTCAAGTGCTTCTCCTGCCTCAGCCTCCCGAGTAGTTGGGATTACAGGTGTACCAACACGTCTCACTGATTTCTGTATTTTTAGTAGAGACAAGGTTTCACTATGCTGTCCAGGCTGGTCTCAAACTCCTGACCTCAGGTGATCTGCTCGCCTCAGCCTCCCAAAGTGCCGGGATTACAGTTGTGAGCCACTGTGCTTGGCCTTATAGTCCATTCTCTAGATAGCAGCCAGAGGAACCTTGTAAAAAACTTAAATTAAATCATGCAATTTCCTGGAAAAATCATCATTTTTATTGCACTGGTTAAAAATTATAACTCCTAACTGTAGCCTCTGAGGCCCTATATGATTTGGCTCCTGTCTCCCTCTCCAATATCATCTTTTTTTTTTTTTTTTTTTTTTTTTGAGATGGAGTCTTGCTCTGTTGCCCAGGCTGGAGTGCAGTGGCGTGATCTTGGCTCACTGCAAGATCCGCCTCCCGGGTTCACTCCATTCTCCTGCCTCAGTCTCCCGAGTTAACTGGGACTACAGGCATCTGCCACCACGCCTGGCTAATTTTTTGTATTTTTAGTAGAGAAGGGGTTTCTCTGTGTTAGCCAGGATGGTCTCGATATCCTGACCTCGTGATCCGCCCGCCTCAGCCTCCCAAAGTGCTGGGATTACAGGCGTGAGCCACCGCACCCGGCCTCCAATCTTATCTTCTATCACTCCTTTTTGATCATTCAAGCCATGCAAGTCCTCTTTCTTTTCCTTGCGTATGCCATCTTGTGTTTCTACCACAGGATCTTTGCATCTAGTGTTCCTTTTCCCTGTAAAGACTTCTATTAAATACATGATCTTCACAGGTTGGCTTCTTTTGAATTCTAGTCCCAATCAAAATGTCAATTTCCCTGGCCATGGCATCTGAACATTATCTATTAACTGCAATCTTCTCAGACCAACTCACTCCACCATATATTCTGTTTTATTTTCTTCATAGCCCTCATCACTACTTGACATTTTATTTTATTTTTTTGAGGCAGAGTCTCACTCTGTCACCCAAGCTGGAGTGCAGTGGCAAAATCTCAACTCACTGCAGCCTCTGCCTCCTGAGTTCAGGTGATTCTTGTGCCTCAGCCTTCTGAGTAGCTGGAATTACAGGCATAGGCCACCACACCCAGCTAATTTTTGTATATTTAGTAGAGATGGGGTTTCACCATGTTGGCCAGGCTGGTCTAAAACTCCTGACCTGAGGTGGTCCACCCTCGGCCTCCCAAAATCTTGGGATTACAGGCATGAGTCATTGCACCAGGCCCATCTTTCTTACTAGAATGTAAAATCCCTGTGGCCAGCTGTGTAAACATTGCCTAGAGAGTGTCTGGCAGAGATCAATCAAATCTTAGTTTAGTGCTTAGTGAATGAATGTGAAGATCAAATGGGGTGCAATTAATAAAAATGGTCTATAATCTAGTAAGCATTATTATACAAATACCAGATACCATGATTTCTCTTCTTCTGTTAAGCCACAGCTCTTCTCAAATCTTTGTCAGAATGAAAGGAACATAACCTTCAGCCAGGGACTCTCTTTCAAGTGGGATCTTACTTTCCAGGAACTTAAATAACTTATAGTGTAATGAAAGTCAAGATTAGCACAAGAATAGAATTAAATTTCTTACAAAAAATGTAAGATATTGAGCATTTATTTTGCTAAGGTCAATTTTCTGTTTTCCACCGGGCTGCTCTATATAATTGCATGGATGCATGCATGTCACAAAGAATTATTGAACAAAGGGATCTTTATGGAATTACAGGAAAAGCATGGAAAAGACTGATGGACTTGGATGTTCTACAGGCCCACAACAATTCCAGAATTGGACTCATCACCTTTCTTTATCATCTTCCCATACCCCCACTTCCCAGCCTCTTTCCCTTCCCAGGTCGCCTACCTCAGAGAATGAAAGCACCGTGTACCCACCAGCTGCCCAAGCTAGACATCTCTGGGACCACTCTGAACACTTCTCTCGTCTTCTCACTGATATCTGTAACTTCTACCTCCTGAGTGCTGTGGAATCTGGCTTCTTCTTTCCATTTTCAGTACCAGTACCCTTGGCTATTGTTTCCTCTCACCTGGACTATTTTAGCAATCTCCTAACTGGTCCCTGACTCCTCAGTCCGTCCTTATAGCAATTCAATCTCCACTCTTTCTAGACACAGTAATGATCTGGTCGCTCTGTTGTGGCTCCTCATGTCCTCTTTAACAGAGAGACAAGACTCCATGTGATCTGGCTTTACTTATGTCTCACCTTTGCCACCCTCACACTCACTCTTTAGCCACCCGTGAACTACTCTTAACTCCCCAAAGGCAGTATGTTTTCTTTCACCCCCGGCTACGGAACACACTATTTTGAATGTCTCATACAATATTTATGGGTCTTTTTTCCCTTGACTCACCTTTATTTAATTATCACTTTTGTCTAAAGCCAGATGCTGCTTCCTCCAGAAAGACTGCCAGAACTTCCCCGCTCTCCAAAGTCACACTGGGTGCCCTAGTTTTGCAGTCTTAAGAATTATACTTTGTTTTCTTATAATACTATTCTGGTGTTTCATCATTTGTTTTCCAGATTCTGCTTGGGATTTGATTCCGTTGTCATGGCCTACCCTGGCATTTTTTAATTTTACCTTTTTTTCCTTTATCTTTTCTCTTCCATTGCTAACTCCTTCTTTGCTTCCTTTACTGTCTCACATTTGCTCTCTTAATCATTATTATGGCACTAGTATTTGTAATTGCATTTCTTTGTCTTCAGGTTTTCATTGTCTTCCCCGCCGTCACTCTCCTCACTTCCTTTGTCTCTACATCAGTCTATGACTCCCATCACTTTTGGCCACATTCATCAATATTACAGTTTTTAAACAGAATGATTTAATATTTGCCAGCTAATCAATCTGCAGAAGATCTTCCACCACCTTTGAGTTTTTAACTAAAAATTTTACCGTCTCTTAGGAATTCTCTTTGCCATTACAGTCACCATGATTTGATGAGAAAGAGAAAATTCTCTCCCTGGTTAAGATGGGAGAGAAGAAGGGGAAAAAGTCCAGCCATCAGAGCTATTATTTTTTTTTTTGAATAATTCTCTTTTGGTTTCTTAAAAAAAAAAAAAACAAAAAACTCTTTTTCATTGACTTTTCCAAATGTTAGCAAATAAGAGTATATTACCCAGTAACAATTACATCAGTGAAGATAGAAGAATATATTAAAAAAACAAAAAACAGACACATCTCTGTCTGGCTTCCAATGGTTTCCACAATGACCATGCTATTTATGTTCCATGCCGTCTGGTCTTGAAGTTCTTAGTGCAAATTTATGCAAGTGGCACACCCTTGCTTTCACTGGTCATTGAATATATCTGTTAACACTCGAAAGCCTGTGTTAAGTGAATAAACCATGGAGATAATAGTGGATTCCAACTTGAAGGGTGTTTTTCCCAATCAGAGGGAATCAAGCAATCTTGTGAGGTTATGCATTTGTATGAAATTAATGTGATTTAACAATCAAAGACAAATCGTATATAAAGGAATAGCAGTCAACTGTTATCACAATGCACAATTTATCCCCTCTTTTAAAAATTCTACTGCTCTTAGAGTCACTGCAGGTCAAATATGGCAATCTTTGTCCCTGAGCCAAGAGGAGGAGACTTTTATATTATGGACTTGTGCATCAGTGGTGTTTTCCTAAATATTATCAATCTATGCAAATGAGATTAATTCTTTGGTAGAAAGCCCATGATGAGGGTACAAAATATAGATATTAGTTAAGTGATATGAAGGTGGGTTCTGAGTAGACTGCCTATTGAAAAAAAGCAGAAGAAACAAGGTATTATTTATATAGTTCTCTCTATTGAATTTGCCTTTTATTGTTAAGTGTTTACATACTGTGGTTAATATTAAACATGCCAATGTAGGTATCAAAAGCAATCAATTGTCTTCTAAAAACTTATTATTCAGTGGACATTGAATATTTTCTAGGCACTGTCATCATGCTGTGGACAAATCATATCATTCAATTCTCACTCTCCTATCAGAGAAGCATTGTTATTTCCAACATTTTTTGATGAAGAAGCTGCAAGTTACCAGCAGAGCTCATTCCTGTTTCTTTGATTCAAAGCCCAAGCTCTGAACCACTTACTGGGCTTTAGTGCCTGCTTCTCTGTGGAAATTCTGGGGTCACACTGCCAGAGTATTCATCACAGCTCCACTTCTTAAAGATTTGGGTTAGTTGCTGACCTCCCTGTGCCTATTAGCTTTTCTGAAAACTGTGCATGACAAGAGAGTCTGATTCATAGGGACATTATAAATCTCAAATAAGCCTCTGTAAGGAAAGTGCTTAGAACACAATTGACATGTAGTAAACATTCAATTTAAAGATGTCTATTATTATTACATAATATCAACATAGGCTCTGCCTATATGGGAAAAAATATTTGGTTAGCTCAATCTGTGCTCCATTTAAAAATCCTAATTAAAGGAATGACGATTTGTTAGTGGCTACTCAGCAGAGATACATGTTCGGCACAGCTGCTAAATTTTGTCAGTCTTCCTATTCTGTTATCATGTGAAGATAGTGTGGTGAAAATGAGGTGTTCTTTCCATTTCGTGAAAAGTGAAATGACAGCTCAATTTCCTTCATCTACTTTCACTGGGCTTCTTTTGGAAGTTATTGTGAATATAATGGCTGGGTCTTTGGCCAATACATTCCTGTCAGAAAGGCACCATTTTTCTGGAGCATTACAATATAAGTGATGGAACAAGCACTAATCTTGAAGTTGGATCTACCAAATTAAATCCTGCTTTTGCCTTTTACTAGTTTTCTGAGCCATGAGCAAATTAGTAAAATTTTATGAAATTCAGTTTCCTCATCAATAAAATAGGAATATTTATTTGAAAGCAACAGTTCTTAGCTGGAGGCAATTTTACCCCTAGGGGACAGCTGGCAATATCTGGAGACATTTTTAGTAGCCTCAACTGAGGAGGGGAGGTACTAATGGCAATAAATGGATAGAGGCCACAGATGTTGCCATACATCCTACAGTGCAGAGGATGGCCCCACAAGGAATGATTCAGCCCAAATGTCAATAGTGCCCTGACTTAGAGTGTTATTAGAATAAGATAAAATGTTTGTAAAGCACTTACTATCACACATGACATGTGATAGGTGCTCACGGTTCATTAATCCAGCAAGTTCCTCTTCCTCCTCCTCATCCTCCTCTTACTCCTCTTCTTCCTCCTCCTCTTCTTCTTCTTCTTCCTATTCCTCTTTCTCCTCTTCCTCTTCCTCTTCCTCTTCTTCTTCTTCTTCTTCCTCTTCTTCTTCTTCATAGCTGCGAATTGTTAGGCATTGATCACTAATGTGAGTTTCCAGGTTTCCCTCTCTGTTGGGCCCAAGTACTGTGATAAACTAATTCACACTGAGTTGTCTGAGATTTATTCTTCTCCCAAAAATATATGCATTTTAAAAAGAAAGTCTTTTAGATCTTGATTATGAGTAAATCCCTGTGATGGAAGGTTACCCTTTCTGGCATCTGGTAACATTTGTTCTTCTCTAGCTACCTATTTGCCCTAGAAGGTAGAGATTAAGCATTGTAATTTTTACCTCCCTTTGCTGATTGCAAAGATTCAATGAAATAATACAAGTAAAATGTCTAGCATAGGATAGGTGTTTGATAAATGTAGATCAGTCTTATCACATACATAGTCTCTCTCTCCCCCCCCTCTCTCTCTCACTCTCTCTCTCTCTCTTTCTCTCTCTCGCCTTTCTGGACATTAGGCATGTGATCATATTTCAGGAATCTTCTTTCTTCGAAGTACCCTGTCCTGTGTTTATCTTCACTGTAATCAACAATGTACTCTTCTTCAGAGCTTTTTAATTCCTTTTCCCAGATGATAGACTGTCCAGATGTGAAACACTATCCAGCGGGTTTTGCTGTATTTACCTTCTGTCCATGTGGCTTTGTACCTTCCCAACTGTATACCTGACACCCTTTCTTTCTCCAGGCTGTGTTTCCTCATTGTAAAAATGAGGGCACTCGTGGCCTCTCAGGTCTCTTCTGGGTCTCACACGATTCTCTTTTCAAACCACTACTGTGGTCGTGTAGGTCTGCCAGCACTGAGCTTCTGCATGAGCATCCTGATTGGCCTTATCATGGACATGCTTCTGATGCATTCTACATTTTCTGGTCAACCCTCATTCCCTTCCAAGTAGTTTATGACTCATAAATGTTTTAAGATAGTTCTTTTCCACCTGCGTTTCTCATAAAATTCACAGGGTTCTGTAGCTCTTGAACAATTGCTCCAAATTTAACTTTTTTGTTTTTTTTTTTTTTTGCCAGGAGGATTAATAGAAGTTTAAGTTTGCATTTGCCAATAAACTATAGATTGTTGTAGACCGGTTGCTCTTGTCACCCAGGCTGGAGTGCAATGGCGCAATCTCTGGTCACTTCAACCTCCGCCTCCCGGGTTCAAGTGATTCTCCAGTCTCAGCCTCCCAAGTAGCTGGGATTACAGGCGTCTGCCACCATGCCTGGCTAATTTTTGTATTTTTAGTAGAGACGGGATTTCACCATATTGGTCAGGCTGGTCTCGAACTCCTGACCTCAGGTGATCCTCCTGCCTTGGCCTGCCAAAGTGCTGGGATTCAGGTGTGAGCCAGCCTACCCGGCCATATGTTTTTTCTCTGTTGGAGGAGATATCACATACTGATTGGTTGTTGAGTATTCATTAAGTAATATTAGCAAATATTATATCTTAGTTCACTAGCTAGGGTTTTTTTTTTTTTTTTCATGAGCTAATTAAGTGCACACTTCACACACTGGTGATTGCTACCAAGGCAGCCCTGGTAGAACTAAATAATGGTGGAAGGATACAAGATGTCCCACACATCAGGAAGAGCACCACTGACACTGTGTCCTTCATGTAGTCATTTTCAATTATTTCCAATGGGCAGAGGGAAAGGAGGTTAAATTTTATATATAAATATAATGATAAAAGACCTCAGAAAGCCTGGATTTTTAAGTTGTTCAAATAGCTGGTTACTTTTAGAAGTTATTGAAGGGCTGGAATCACTGGGGCAGTCATGTTTAATGTCAGTATTTAAACTCTTTCACTCTGTTAATACTTTTAAATATCCCTCATAGAAAATTTTCATGTTTGAATATTGTGTCCACTAAATAAAAACCAGATGCTTTGTATTTAAAAATATCTGAGTTTTAATTCTCACCACTTGTCAACTTTATAACTTTGGATCAAATAATTAACCACTTTTAGCTACAGTTTCTTCTTCCATGAAAAGAAAAGAATAGCATCCTAATTGACTAATGAGATTATTACAAATTCACCATTCACTAATAGGATTATTGTGAAGATAAAATTATGTAAAGTGCTGAGCACAATAACAAGACATAGGGAGTTCTCAATAAATAGTATCTATTATTAGAATTTCAGCAAGTTTCTGGTTTGGAAGAGTTAACCGTTACTATATATATTATATATATTATATATAATATATATAACACTATATATATTATATATATTATATATAATATATATAACACTATATATTATATATAATATATATAACACTATATGTATTATATATAATATATATAGTGTTATATATATTATATATAATATATATAACACTATATATATTACATATACGTAAAACACTTTAAAAGTTCTTGATAGGCCTGTAGATTTTGCCATTTTTCTCTCTGGGTCAGTATGTTTTTGTCATATGTATATTAACTGTCTAGCAATATGCCTAAATATTTTCCATTCTAATGTCTTTTGCATGTCAGAATTTTCAATCCATTTTTCTTTTTGGGTGGAAGGTTTACTCTGTCACACACACATTCACACACTCTAACTAAACTTTGCTGTCTGTACACAGCAGGCTTCCTCCCCCATTCATTTATCATACAGATATTCAATGAGCATCTGCTACTGTATGCCCTGGCATGCTGATCTGTGTGTGCCCTGGAGCACACTCTAGAATTCAGAAGGAAACAAGCACATCCCTTGCAGTCTAGTGTGGAAAGCAGACATTAAGCCAATAAACCTAGAAACCCACCCGTGTTTACACATTATGGTGCCGTGAAAGCAACGGGCAGGAGGAGGTTGGGACTAGCCTGAAAGTAGAAAGATGCGTGGCTGGCAAAGGGAAGATCACACACAAAACATTGAGGTATAGAAAAGGGCTGGCAGGGCAGGAGCTGAAGTGAGGTGATTTTTTGTTTGTTTGTTTTAATTTTCATTTCCTAGCTTGTGCAGTAGAGCACACATTCCTGCAGGTCAAGAGTGTCTTTCATGTCTTTTGCATCCCTCGCAGGGAGTGTCCTGGTTATTAAGGTGTTGTCTCTCAGCTCCAAACACACCCCTTTATACTCTATTTGTGATGCCAGGACTGGGATTTGGGTTAACCACACAGGCTAACTACACTTTTCCTTTGCCCAGCTGGCTTTCTGTTAGGCTCTGTCAATAGAGGGTGCTAGAGGGAGACACTAAAACATGGGAAGAATTCCTTGCTTGCCCCTTGCTCCTATCAGCGGCAGCCCAGCTTTTGTTTACTCCAAAAGCAGTTGGTTTCAGCTTCCCTTTTTTCCCCTCTATAATCCCCTGAGCCAGGCTGCTTCAGAAACATCAGCACCAGCAGGCCACATGCCCTCCTCAGATGTCTGGGTCCAACCTCCACACAATGCCTCCTCTAAGCTTTTAGGTTCTAATAACTGCATTTTCTTTTACTTGTCTCCTCAGACTTAAGGATGGTAGCCACCTCCTGCAGCCACTATCTTTGTCTCTTCACTGTTACCTGTTTGCATTTTCACTTCTCCCATGTCTGTCTAACCAATACTTACGTTAAATTCTTCCCGTTCAGGTAACTGGTGAGGTGCCTGTGTTCCTGACTGACTCTGATGGATGCGTGGCTAGTTTAACTGTCTGTTCTTGCCCGTACTAACCATCTCTCAATAGAAGCCCCCACTGGGCCCCTCCAAGACCAACTGCTCATGAGTAAAAACGGTCAACTGCAAGCAAGAAATGATGATTGTCAAGCTTGAAGACAAACTTTTTTCAGAAGCTCTCATAGCCTGCCTATTCCCAATCTCCACTATGCAATATCGTTTTCAAGGTTAGCAGAATTATAAAAACATCAATTTGGCCATTATTGACTTTTCAACTGGGATACCAAGAAAGCCTTTCAGCAGCCTCGATAAATTAAATCTGGCCACCTAGCTCCCAGACTGGCAGGCTCCTACATCATTGACAGAGAAGACAGGGGAAAGCAGTTTTCCCAGCTGTTGCAGTAAATGATGTGCATTGTGCTCACAACCATTAGCAGGCGGAAAATTTGAAGTGTGGGTACATTGCAGAGCTTTTAAAAATGCATAAGCACTTTGTGAGTTTGCTAAGTCATGTTTCACTCAGCTCGGTTTGAATTTTTCATAGAGGAGAAATATTCTGTAGTCTTTTCTGTTTAAGTTCTTCTTTATCAGTAAGAACTGCCACAGTGAGGTCTATAGTGGAAGGGGGCCAAGTCTAATCATACAATTTGCTTGATTAGTCCTCAGTTTTTCTAAGTTGTAAAATGCTTGAAGATTTAGGGCTTTAAGGACTTAATATAACTTAGTTTCCTGCCTCTCCCTGTTTAATCCAAAATGCAAATTCTTTCCCGTTCTGGATTTAAGTTTATTTGATGTGTTTTCAAGTCAATCTTTATCCTGAAGGGCTTATCCATTTGTGAAATTTTAAGCACTGCACTATAAAGACTCCTTTTTTTCCAAAAACATCCTCTGTTCACACACCATGTCCCAGACACAGTATGCGCTTGTGGTCACTCACTCACCATTCCTGTGCTGAGGCAGACATTACTAACTACTGAATACACATTTTCCTGAGGCATCCAGCTGTAACATCGGTGTCATTACTAATGTGATATTCCAGCTAGATCTAAGTATTAGCTGTGTAGTGTATTGATGGAAACATTATAATTATATAGCAAGCCCCTGATTTGTTTCCCTTATATGGAATAGCGTCAGCATTGTAGTAAAACAAAGATGTGTAATTGAATGGAATACTTAGTGTGCCGCAAATTATGAAACATCCTTTACATTAGCTATCTCATTTAATTTTCTTCAAAGCCCTGTGAAGAGAATGCTGTTAACAGCCTTATTCTTCAGATGAGTAAACTGAGGCTCAGAGAGTTGAAGTAATTTATGTAAGGTCTCATAGGTGACAAATTGTGAAGTCTGACTCTGGCGCCTGAGACCTGCACTGCCATGTTATCAACTTGATACAATTCAACATATGTGTTCAGCTCATTCACTGATTATTCATCAAACATTTATCAAGCCACTGTTATGCAGCAGGCACCAAAAATCATATAATATTCAACAAATTCAGCAATGACTTATTAAAAAACAAGGTAGAGCTATTAGGCTCTCTGACCAGCAACTAGATAATAACTCCCCAAACAGGCAATAGATTTCCTGCTTTTTTAATATCAATAAATCAGACTTTTCTTGGAATGAAATGGTTTTCTTCCCACATCTGGCTAATCAATTGTAACCTATTTTCTCCCCAAATGGAGAGAATTATTCCAGCCAGTATTGAAACTTCAGCAAATTGGAAGCAAAATACATTGCAACTTGAAGTACTAAGGTATTTATGAGATCGTTATTTGGTATAATTGGGGGGATTCTAGAATACTTTGTGTTACAGAACTGACCTTTCATAGATCTTTCCACACTTCCCAAGACTTGTAAGCATATCACAGTGGGACTGCAAGGTCAAAGGGGTCTGGAGCTTACATGTGTCATTTCTGTGTTCTGATTTAAAACCTCTTTGCTTGTAATTAGGTTCTTGGGAAGAGGGTAGTCAGGCAGACAGTGCTCCTAGAAAAGATATGGGGTGGTTATCTTCTCACATTTGATTATTTTTCAAACTTCACAACAACCCTTCATGTAGGACTACAGTTGGGCTGTAGTACTATTAATCCTATAATATTGGATCAGCTGGATGGGGCCCTTCTGATCCTATCTTTCTTTTTTGGTTTAATATAATACATAGACTTCAGAAGCCATCTCATAAATTATCTTGCCAAAATAAATGGCAAGTAAAACAGTCAAATGTTCTCATAAAATCTGGAAACATGGTAGTATGACAACCTCCACTAGAATTAAGTTGTTCAATTCCCCTTTGATAGTGATAGTGCCCAGAATAAGTGGAAAGCAATACTTCTGTTTGGTAGCAGGAGGATCCCAGATGACATTTAAATACATGATCATCCCAGCAGTTCAGGGAGGAAATAACTGCACCATTGCCAGGTTCCTGGCTTGGCACATAGTGAGGGCTTCATGCAACTTTCCACATGAATATACAGAAATTTTTCACATGATGGTGTTTGTGTTGTTAAAATAACTTTTGGAAGACTGAGTGCAGTGGCTCACACCTATAATCCCAGCACTTTGGGAGGCCAAGGCGGGCAGATCACTTGAGGTCAGGAGTTCAAGACAAGCCTGGCTATGGTGAAACCGCCTCTCTACTGAACATACCAAAAAATTAGCCGGACGTGGTGGCAGGTATCTGTAGTCCCTGCTACTCAAGAGGCTGAGGCAGGAGAATCACTTGAACCTAGGAGGTGGAGGTTGCAGTGAACTGAGATCGTAGCACCACTGCACTCCAGCCTGGGCGATAGAGCAAGACTCTGTCTCAAAAAACAAACAAACAACAACAAAAAACCCCAAACAAACACTTTTGTAGAAGACTCAAGTTTCCTTCTGGGTCCATTGAATGAAATAAGCTTACCATGGGGAAGGTGACTGACTCTTGGACAAAAAGACAGCAATTGCTTCTCTACTTGTTCAGCAGGGTTTATGGCCAAAATATTTTGTAATCTTGCTTTAAGGTAATAGGTGTATCCCAGCATATATTTCTTCTCTTCTTCCTTTTTGTATTTCCCCTCTTCCTGTTCTTTTTGTAAAAGCTAAATTCAATTTCTACACTTTTCCAAAAAGGTTTAAAACCAGATTGTCTCTGGTTTGATGTGATTACTTTTCTTCAGCGCAATTCATTGGAACCATTTCTCAGTTAAGTCATTTTGGTATAGGGGTTGCCGAGTTTGGGGAAGCAGAAGCATATTCTGCCTAGTAAAGGTAAAAAATGATCCCCTCAAAATGTATGCTGGCAGACAGAAAGCATTTTCTATTACTGATATTTTCAGTCACCAGCTGGTATATGCTGAACAGTTTCTGTATTGCATGGAAAATGTATAATAGCATGACATAACTAGAACAATACAGCTGTTGTGATTCCTTTTTGGCTAATTGGATTGTTGCATTTAATTTAATGGCTCTATAAATACGATGATTACTCAGTCACATTTTAGAAAATGACTTGAAAGAGTGGGTATAATTTAGGGATACTTCTGGAGTTGTGATTTATAGAAACTTTTGTTTTACTTTCTCTTAAAAAATTATATGGAGATAAGTTGGTATGTATGTTTAAATCATTTAATATGTAAAGAACAGACTTTATACAAGAAGATAGGATGTAATTTTCCTAATAGTTTTCATTCTAAGTTTTCTCTACTTTGACTATATTAGAAATGGCAATAAGGTAACATCCTGTATAATGTGACCTATTATTCATGAGAATAAGATATAGTGTAAATCAAAATGGGGTCTCCTTTAAAACTGTATAAAGGTACTACGTTATCCTTGTCCTCAATATCATAAGGGAATTTGTTCTCTTTACTTTTATGGATTAAGTACAAAGAATTGTAGAAGTGCCCAGCATGTAATACATGATCGGTAAATAGTATTAAGTTTATGACTCCAGGAAGACTGTGGCTGTTCAGAGGGTGGAAGTGGAGGGCAGTGATTTATTTTTAGGAAGTTGCTTTGTGCCATGATTGTGGACTTTTTCTTCCTGGTTCACGGAGCCACTGTGCATCTGCAACATTGCTCTGCCTTCAAATTGCTAAATGCAGCATTATGAGTCAAGACTCAGAGGAAAGGGAGAAGAGGAACTCATATTGGCTTAAAAAATGACACAGAATATAGTTTATCATATAAATGAAAAGCTCACTGGCAAGACTAGCTTCAGGTGTGGCTAGATCCAGGTACTTATAAGTTATAATATGGTCTTTTATTGAATTTCTACATTGTTCCTTGGCATATTTGCTGGTATTACAACAACGGATACTTCACTATGCTCATACTAAGGAGCTCATGGCCTAGTAGCTAATATGATATATAACAAAATGTAACATGTGCAATAATAGAGGTATTTACAAAGTAGAACTATAATTCAGAGAGGAGAAAAAAGCAAACACTTCTGAGGAGAGGTTAACAAGAAATTCAGAGAAGTTATAACTTGAAAATTGTTTTGAAGTAGAAGCAACGATTTTACTAACAAGGATACTGAATAAAATGGTTAATTGGCATGGTTATGGCCCTTGCAAGATCTGTATTCAAATCTCAGCTCTGCCACTTTCAAATTGTACAAACTCTGGCAAGTTTCTCAAACTCTTAGGGTCTTAGTTTCCTTGTATGGAGACTGAAATTGGAACTACTGAATTAACAGAGTTTTTGTTAAGAACCAAGGAGCTGAGGGGTACCCAGTTAGGGACAGGCACAGAGTCAGTCCCCTTTCCCTGGTTACTGTCATTCTGCTTTCATAGTCTCCTCCTGTTGTACCTGACTGTTGTCACTTGGAGCTTTCCATCAGCTATGGAAAATTGGCCAGCTTTTATTGAAAGCTGACTGTGAGAGAGATACTGCATTAAGAATTTTGACTTATCTAACTCCTTCCTATAACTCCAGATAGTAGGAAAATTATTACCCTTATACCACAGATGAGGAAACTGACTGAAAATCTAAGGGATGTGCCAAGGTGACAAGCTTAATAAATGATGTTAGCTGGGTATTTCTGACTCCCGTGCTCATGGGCTTAAGCATTATACTATATTTCCTCTTATATAGCATGCCATCATTAATTTCCTCCCCTCGTGGACTTGGCTTTTGGGTGCACCTGTTGCAGCCCACCCTGGGTGCCACCCCACTTTTTCTAAAAGCATGGTTCTGCGATGCTTCTCTTATGTGTGTTTCTGTGTATGTCCAAGTGCTATACTGCTACTCCAACTGACCTGGCTGGCATTAATCCTTTGGGTCCTTTGCTTTCTTTTCAGGTGAGCCTTCCAGATGGTCACCCTCACACTGCGATTGCTGCTGCAAGAATGGCAAAGGTGACAAAGAAGGGGAGAGCGGCACGTCTTGCAATGACCTCTCCACATCTAGCTGCGACAGCCAGTCTGAGGCCAGCTCTCCCCAGGAGACGGTCATCTGTGGTCCCGTGACACGCCAGACCAACATCCAGACTCTGGACCGTCCCATCAAGAAGGGCCCTGTCCAGCTGATCCAACAGTCAGAGATGCGGCGGAAAAGCGACTTACTCCGGACTCTGACTTCAGGCTCCAGGGAATCGAACATGAGCAGCAAAAAAAAAGCTGTTAAAGAAAAGCTCTCAATTGAGGAGGAGCTGGAGAAATGTATCCAGGATTTCCTAAAAATCAAAATTCCAGATCGGTTTCCTGAGAGAAAACATCCTTGGCAATCTGAACTTTTAAGGAAGTATCATCTATAAGGGAGGGCTGGGGGCGGGAAAAGAAAAAAAAAAGTCATTTTGAAATTAACCTCCTAAAAGGAATTCATATTTTAAAGGAAAAAAATACAACTAATGATGCACATTTCTTAGAACACAATAGTCCATTGATATACTACTGCCTACTTTACCTAGTTCACCTTAACATGTAAATCCACAGGGTAGATTTCTTTCTAGATGTGGAAGTACAAGAAAATCTTTTTTAGTTATTTGTTTGTTTACTTCGTCCCATGTGCTAACTATCTTATATATAATGAGAGCCAGCTACGTAAAAGTAGCTGAGAGGCCTTGGGAGTCATTTATCCCAAACTGGGTTTTTTCTCTCATCCTTCTACCTCCCTCCTTTGAATGAGGGTATGGTAGAAAAAGATCTGGCCCAATGGCATAAGTTTGGAATTTTTAATTTTGGTTTTTCCTTTTGTTTATGGGGTTGGGGGGAATGGCAGATTTATATGACTTTTCACTCAAATCTATATGTGCCAGTTTATATTGACTCCGTATGCATGAGTATTTGTGCAACACAAGCACAACTAAGTATGTATATACACATGACGCACACGATGCCAGGGCCTAGACCTCCCAAGGGCTGTGCTCCTGCTCCCAGCAGCCCTCTCTTAGAATATTTCAGATGGATGAGCTTCTGACTCTTTCTTAAAATTCTTTTGGGAAGATTTCCCAGCCTTTCTTCACAACACTTTCTAACATCAAATGACTCTCATCATCAACAAATTGTATTCCTTATTGTGAAATTAATACCCTCAGGCTCCATTTTACTGCTTTGCTCTTTGTCTGCATTAAGAGAGGATGAGGAGAGCTGGTCAAACATTCCTTGTGTTAAAAAAATCAAACATTCATATCCACAAAATTTTCTGCTAAATGACTCCACACTCAGCCTTCTCTACCCTGAACTGAATTATCACCCTTTTCTCCATGTTTTCAGAGTTCTTACTGCCCACAGTTTAATGGTGTGGCCTTTCCACATAATCCACATTAAGTTCTGTGTTCCTGTGTTGTTGTGGAACTAAGGACAACACACAGTACTTGAATAAGGGTCCGGCCTTTTGTTTGTTTTAGAGAAAGTTGTATTCCACACACAACCTAATAATTTCTTATAAAAATTTTAAACTACAAAGCTACATTTTTACTTGCTTGTAGCCGTTTTTGTTTGCCTTTGGGATTCGGGCTTTGGCTGTGCCCATGCTAGGATTTAGCTGTGTCATTTTTATGATGTCTGTAACAACCCAACAAGGTAACTGAAGCTCCAGAGTTAAGGTTTCAGATTTCTAAATGAAACTATCTTTTTCAATTACATCCTGACTTGTATAGACACAGCCAAAAAGAAACTGTTAATAGCCATCCGTCCATGTAACTCTGTATTTTACTAAGGTACCAATAGCTCTTTCATAGACTTGTGCTACAAGAAGGTTAAAAGACCAGTTTTATTTTCAGCATTCCTCATGCATTTCAGTGGTAACCAAAAAATAATTTGTCAATTAATAGTTGTGTGCCAAGCACTCCTAATTTGTTTTATTGCGTGTGTGTGCATGTGTGTATGTGTATCACAGGTAATAAAGGCAATTGGATGATATCTGTAGGAGGAAAACAATGACTAATTTCTTCCTTTTGAAATCTTTCATTGATGCACATTTATTATGTAAGATGTTCTGTCTTGATTTCTGTTCTTAGTGATGATTAGTATATGAATATCTTTCTGAATTTTTGTAATTCTCGCCTTCACACTAGGATGACAGACTCAGCTAATGTTTCCTTGTCCTGAAGGTTTGAATGGAGTTGAAAGTTTTACATAAGTGAAAAAGAAAGTTTATCTTGGGAGTTGAGTTGTCAAGAGAATTATAATTTATGAATTTAAGTGGTATTCTTTTCTGTATTAATATATTAGCAGATATTTGGTCTTAACTACAACATAGCTTTGTTTGTAAACTTACCAGTATGTCTTGATTCTTTTCAATGTTTCTTGATAGCACATGGCAATACCATCATCCTAATAACAGAAGATCTTGCAAAGAATCACAGAGCTTAATGGGTCAAGAAGTTGAATTTGGGGAAAATATCCTGAAACTCACTTTGGTCAAATGATTATTGTGTTGTCACTGGAAGTACTGTCAAAGACTTTGGGGGTCTAACTAAAATGGCCAAAGTTCCAACTTCCTTAAATTTCAGACCTGACTGTAATGGCCTCAAGATAGAGAGATACCCTTATAAGAGTAAAGAATTAAGATGATAGTCAACCCAATATTTCTACTACATTCTTTAAACAGGAAATTAAACACTGCAAAAGGAGTGTTCGTGGCAGTGTTCCTCTGACCCCTGACCTGTCATGAGTTTTCTCTGCTCTGACATTCCTTATACATCCAGTGAACAAAGCTGGAATAGAAAACCTGTTTAAAACCATCACAACAGCAATATTTTTATTCTGGGCCACCTCTCGACTGGCACTCATCCCATGGTAAAATATTCAAGTAACTAAGACAACAGCATGGCATTTATTTGTGTGAGTGTTTATATAGAAATGAACATAGACCTGGCCAGTAAAAGGCTCTGAGGAGGCTTAAAGTACCTAGTTTGAGTGGAGTTATCAAGTGAGGTCCAGGTAGCCTGCAACACTGGAAATGAGTTCTGGGTAAGTGAGTTATAAGAGTACATGCTCTAGTAACTCTGGTAGTCACTGTGACTCGGGCATGTTTCCCTGAAGTTAAAATAGTTTTTAGAACTTTTTGTTTAATTCTGAAGAAAACAATATATATGGTTTACTTCTCGAACATTGGTTATGACAAGGGCCATAAATTGCTAATATAAAGAAGTTAGTAGTATTGAGTGGATACAATGAATGGGGAATCACATGTGTAGAGCCCCAACTTAGATTGCCTTCTGGGAAATCCCGCGATACTAAAATCCAGTGAGCTTTGGGAGATCATTCCCTAAAGGTATGTGGGTTGTCTGAAGTCAGAAACATATTTACAAAGTCCTTCTACCCACTATCAAAAATGAACTGATCTGCATTCAGCAGGAAAAGGGGAAGACAGGAATGTAAAACTACTAGATCATATGGTATTGTGATTTTCTTTCCCCTGCTAGGAAAAAATTGCACTGAAATGCTGACAAAAAATAATGAAATGAAGTGGCTTCCAAAATATGCACTGATGTTATCCTTTGTATTTATAGGCACAGTTATCTTACTGAAAATGCATGCATGGTGAATTAAAATAAAAGGGGGAACAATGCACAAATAATAAGCGTTCCCTTTGCTCTTTATTCCTTTATAGTTGTATCTATTCCAACCAATTCATTTTGGGGGAACACATTTATTAAGGGATGTTGACATGGAATTTTTCTCTTTTCAATTAGCCTTGTTAGATTCAGAGGAATCTTTATCCATAGGCACAGGTGTGTTGCTTGTTCTGGGCCCCATTACTGCCTGCGCTTCTGGATTACTTTTGCTTTCCTGGGCTTTAGATTCTTCTCTGAGGATCCTTTGTTGGTGTCAGACAAAACATGTTACAATGAGACAAAAGGAAGGCATGTATGGTGTTTTGTAAAATTACTTGACACCAGCTCCCACAATGGGAACCAAATTTTGATTCTTATACATTTTCCTTTGCTACAATTCCAACCTTCAACTTTGTATCTACTATAGTGTAGATCTGTGAATTTGAGTGCTGGTATTTTCTGCCACTATATACCATGCCATGGAATTTGACTAGCCTTGGTCTTCTAGATGATCTTTACTAGAATTAATAATACTCTTTCTGTGAACTTTTAGGAAGAATTCTTTGTCACCTCCACCTGACATACCAATTTTCAAAAGAAAAACGAAGGGAGTTTATTTTTCCTTATGGTGACTCTGTGGCAGATAAATGTTTTTGCCAATTTGCATGCTGGTTTATAGGTTTAGCATGGGCCATTTCTCTCTTTAATGTCTTGGTATTGTTGGTGTCTTGCAATCTTGATGCCCCACAGTTTCAATTTATTTATTTTCTTTTATATTGTCAAAATAGCACACTAGAGAAAGAACCAGAGTGAACATTCTGTATCCTGAGTTACAATGGAGTTACATGTCATTTGTATAGAACTGTATAATGATTAATATCTGCAGAGAAATTAGACCAAATGAAACCTGCTGGAATAGGTTTGATTTATATTGCCTTCATCATTCTGGTTTCAGACGAAATGGTTATTGCTCTCTACCCCTGCTGAAAGAATAGAGTCTTAAACTTTAATAATCACAGCCTTGTGATGCAAACACAGAGCTTATTTGTTTGAAATGCCTATTATTCTCATCTTGCTGTATACGTTGGAATGGAGATTCTTTTTCCAGTGATCTCCATTGCAAACTTTTTAATAGTGTTTTTTAATACTCAGTATGCACAAAAATCATGTGTAGCACTTGTAAAAATGCAGATTCCTTCAACCTAACTTCAAAGAGTCTGATTCAGAAACTTGAAGCAGGGCAAAGAAATTTGTATTTTGAGCTAGTCTCCTTAATAATTTTGATGAGGATTGTCTATAGACCTTACTTTGAAAAATTCTGCTGTTTAGGGAATATGCAGAGGCCAAGAGTTCCTTTACTCCTTAGAAGCACTTCCTCATTTTCTCTTACTTTCTTCCCACTACAAATAAGTCAAAGCATGCATTATTCATTATCTTAAGAGAAAACACCCAAAGAAAAATATCCTAAGACTAGGGCAGAATAGATTTTCATGAATTCTTTGCCATTTCATCTGCTGTCTGTCAACCATAACCCTTTCTCCATATTGTGTGTGTATGTGTATGTGTATGTGTATGGGTTTTTTCCCAAAATAAAAGCCTGCATTATTATAGTCTTAGCTCTGGGTAGATGGGAGCATATCTCTGAGTGAGATGTATTCTAATGATACCCAACAAGAAATAAAAATAATGATCTTTCCCAAGGAGAGTTGTTTATTTCTAGGCCCTTACTTAGTATGAGTGGGAGGAAATTGAAAGTGATCCATAATTTAATGGTGTATATGGCCCCAAAGGTGATTCCATTAACTGCACATAAAATATAACCAAAATGAATATGGAATGATTAGTGAATTCAGCTATATTTAACCAATCAAATCCTGCGCCATTGAACTGCTAAATTTGTCCAATTTGACTCAATCAGGACTATGAAGCTCTCAGATAATTGAAGATCCTGAACCCTGACATTAACTAAAAACTTGAAGCCAAACTGATGTGTAAGAATAAATGCAAAAAAAAAAAAAAAAGAAAAAGAAAAAGAAAGCAAGAAAGAGTGAATTCAAAAGGGTTTCAATGATCCAATTGACCCTATTCATTTAACAGAGTAACTGGATACATACCAAATTCCCACGTTATAAGAAAGATGAAAATAGAGATCATGCTTGTCATGATCATGAGTGAATATTTGAGTAAATATTGCCAAAGGAAAGTGAAGGATGTTTAATGAAACTGATGAACATGAGCAACTAATTATGTTAAATTGGCCAAGATTAAAACAAAAATGGTTAAATTTGATTCAGTTTGTTGCCCTCTCTCCTCTACTTCCTAAGTGGGATCCCTTTTCTGTCCCGGCTTCCTAATGTTCAAAAAATGTTTCTCTTGCTTGTGAACAAATTTTGTTGCCAATTAGGTAAAAAATGTTAAGTTCCCAGACTGTCATCCTTGCATTATTTAGGAAATTTACTTTTAAAAGGATAAAGAAAAATGTGCCTGGCCTAGCAACTATCAAGGGCTTGTCCTGGAGGAGGGTGGGGGTAATCTTCCTGTTAATCAGCTTTGTAAAACACTTATATGCCAACCAGAGGGTTTATTAAGTCTCTTGTCTCCAGCAACCTCCTCCATCTTATCAGTTTATTTTTAGAATTGACCTTTAGATAATTTACCTGCATTTGCACAGTGAAAAATCAACATAACTTTATATTCTCTTCCTGCTGATGTGGTCTCCATCCATCACAAATGGAAGCAGAACTGATGCTTAGTAAAGTAATGAGAGTTGCTTTCAAATTACATTAGTGTGCATGTGTGTGTGTGCACATGGCCATGTGCAATTTTTAGGTTTATGTCAGCTCAGTGGATAATGTGCGTGGGAGTGCTATCCGAGTGCATGGAAAAAGCCTTTGGTTACATAGTTTAACAGCTTTTTAGTTCAGCACAATAGTTTGTCTCTACTGTGGATGTCAGTCCTTGAGAATGTTAAGTAAAGCTTGAGCTTGTCTCCTCATGTGAAATTCAAACAATACTAATTTCTGGGGAAAAATCAAACTCATATCCATGTATATAGTGAAGAGTAGCATCTTATTCAAAAAAAGAATGTATTTTTGAAAGCTAAGATAGACATAGAATACATATTAATCATCAGTAGTCTTTTTTAATTGCAGCCAGTGATCAGTGGTTTATCTATACCCTTTAGGTGAGAGACAGAGAGAAACAATTTCAGGAAACTCTCCTTGATTCATGTGGGTTATGTGCATTTAAGGCCGTGGCTCTCAACCAGGAGTGGTTTTGCATACCAGAGATCTTTTGGCAATGCCTGGAGATATTTTTTGTTTCATGATTTGAGGGGTGCTACTGACAATTAATGGGTATAGGCCAGAGATGCTGCTAAAGATCCTACAGTGTACTGGAAAGCCCTCCATAACAAAAAGTTATCCAGCCCACAATGTCAATAGTGCTTAGCTTGAGAAACTCTAAATTAAGCATGAGTTTAAATTTGTCAAGGCATTTTTTTTTCTGTACCATATACGGGAAGTCTTCCAGGTCAATAAATAGGATAAAATAGAAAAATAAAAATCGGAACCAGTTTAAATGTGTATAGAAATTATATGTATGGAAATTATTTGAAGTTAGACATAATTATCTCTTTATGCAGATGTGAAAGCTGAGATTTACAGAAATAGGAAACTTTTTCCAGGGATCTGGTAGTGATGAGGAAGGCCTGTAGTTTAGGTGTCTTGTGTTCTTCTACTTCAGTCTTTCTGCCTCAGAAAAATTATACTTCAGTGATGTTGTCAATCTTTCAACAGCTAAATGTGTTTGTTGTGAAGCACTCTGGGATCCTTTTCAGTTTACATGATCCTGTTAAAGATGTTTCCCAAGCTGATCAACAGTAGACCACAAAGTGCTCTCAGAAATGAAACTAGTAAGGGGGAGAAAGTGTTTTGAGCAGGCCAATGATTTCATTGTCTGTAACTGCTTATCATACCCTTTGTTACTTTGAGTTGAATATTCCCTCTCTGAGGATGGTAAAATCTTATTGGAAAATATGTTTCCTAGACTCACCCAGGGGTGGCTCCCAAGTCCTTGTTTCCAAACATGTGACAAGTCTAAGCACAAGTCCTTGCTACTGAGTCTTATTGTTTAGTTTATATACACTGACTTTATTAGAACACAATTTGTGTCTGAAATGATTTGACATTTTTCTTTTAATGTATCATACCAATATCCCAGGGATGGAATTATGGTAGGGTCATTCTAATTCCATTTTATACAAGGGAAACTAAGGACCCAGAAAGTTTAAATCGGTCATTTATTTGTTTGTTTATGCATATATCCAGCAAATATTTGTTGGGTACATACTATATATAGGTCACTGTCGTGAGCATTATAATGTCTAAGCAATCAAATTTGGAGTAAAGAACTTGAATTAAGTTCATTCAATTCCTAGACTAACATTATTTCTATATGTAGTTCTGATCAGTATTCTAGAATTATGGTTTAAATATCCAGTTATAAATAATATATATTACAGATTTATTATTATGTACCTGAAACTCTACTGAGTACTTTTCATGCCTTATCTCATTTAATCCTATCATAATCCAATGAAGTAAGCCCTACCACTATCCTCTCTTTACAGATGAGGTCAGTGAGGCTCAGAAAGATAAAGTAGCACATAAAGGCTCATAGCTAAAAAGTGGCAGAGCCAGATTTTCCTCTGAGTTTATTAGACTCTAAAGGCTGCTGGCTTAACCATCTCTTTGTACAATCTGTTCTCTCTGTTCTCTGAACTTTGCCTGTTTCTCCTCTCTCCTATGCTAAACAAGGTGAGATCCCAGCCTGACATCCTTCCTAAAAGTCATCAGTTTTTTTTGTTTGTTTGTGACTTGTATCTGCCTAGGAGGTAAAGAAAGGGCAGATTTGCTACAGCTTGTACTTTATGCCACAAAAATTTTCAAGGGGGCAATAATGTTGTAGAACAAGTATCTGGTGAGTACTGATACCCTAAGAAACTCACCGTGATAAGCTAGCTTCCACGTCTGGAGAAAATGACACCTGCAATTGCTTGCTGTGCTGCACACAGGTCACTAGGGCAAGCTTCAGGAGAAGTAAAATAGGTGTATGAGCGTGTTTATATGTGTTTATGCATGAGTGTATCTAGGTATCTGCTATTTTCATCTTTTGGCTTGTTAAACAGTCTCAGGTTTTTATTCAAGACAGGTCAAAAGCCCAAATGTGATTAACTGCCCTCAGCATCTCATTGTTACTGTTATAAGTTGGGAAAAAGAGAGGCAGCTTTAGAAAAGAAACTTCACCGAAATACGTGCATGCATGTGTGAGTGTGTGTGTGTGAGGAGTGTGTGTATTTATGTGTGTTTTGTGTTTATGTATAAAATTATGTATATATATGTACATATGTGTGTACATCTATCTTAATGTGTATATATAAATATATATCTATAGCTGTACATATGTATACACCCATAAACAAAGCTCATAGTTTAAAACTTTGGAATTTTCAGTTTGGAGAACTTATTATTATTACAATTTATATTTGGTTTCCTAGACGGTCTAATATAGTTCTAATTTCCAAAATTCTCTTCCACTAAAAGTGGATATATTTATTTATGGTGCCGAGAACATTAACAAAATATTTAGATTTAATATCTATGAATAATAAACCAAAAAAAGTGCATTTAAGGAAACACCAAACTTGTAAAAACTGGCTCTCTTATCCAAACCATTTGTTGGAATTTCAAACTACATGTTTTCACACTTCTTCATTCCAAAAAAAAAAAAAAAACCAAACCAGAAAAAACCCAAAACACTACCAAATGAACAGTGATAATGTTTAAGAAGAAAAAGAAAAATGTAGGTGTATGATAGCACAAATTCAATGGTTATTGCCCTAGTGGTGCTTCACTTACCTATTGGTTAATTTATTATATCCTGGTTAATTTCACTTTATCACTGATGAGGGTTCCTGTGTCCCTACATGATTTATCGGTGGAGCTAATTATCTATTTATTTAAAGCTATAGTAAATAATTTATAATATGCATATTGTAAATAGATACTAAAAGTCATGGGCACATTGTAATAATCACAAAGTTTTAGTCTCCTGCAAATAACACTTGAAGTCTGTTTATACAATACCCAAATAGTTGCTCAAAGAAAGAACAATGTAAGTCAAATACAAGAAAACCTTACTTACCTATTTTGGCATTTTACAGACATAACAACCAAATTAACGAATTTTGGCCATCTTAAGAATACAGTAAGTTGTGTACTCATTCATAGCCACATGCTTTGCATATTACTGGGGAATGTGAAAAATATTTAAAGTCAACCTATGCAAACAGAGATTCCCTGCTGCTCCTTGGGATCAGTTTGTATGCACACAAGCCCATGCCTTCAACTGATAGTCCTAGCACAGATCCCTCCTCCCAGAGATCTGTCAGGTGTGCCCACACAACAGAAGCACTTGTAAACTAATTAAGCACGGTCACTGAATCCTTTTTTCACCAGCCTTCTAAAGATGTTGTCTTAAAAACATAAGAAAGAAAATCCATTTTTTTAAAGCAATGAAATGTTCTAATTAGGTTTGAGGACATTTGAAGGAGCGATTGTTTTTTCCCCAAAATTTTGGAGCAGAGGGGACGTTTTACATCATCCTAACTTCATGTTCCTCTGTCATTTTATTTTATTTATTTATTTTTAATTCCAAAGGAGAAAGTTGAATCAGGAAAATTTGTCTTAAAATATACTGCTTAGTTTAGAGACGGACAAACTAATGTATTTTTGTAAATCATGGGTGGCGGATGTCAAAATCTCTCATTAATTACCCTGTTTTTTTCTTTAAGGAAATTGATTCATGAATAATTGGAAAGGTATTCTAGTTAAGACACACAGAAACACAAACTTAGCGGAGCTGCACTTCAGAGAGTCCCACTGTAATCTGTTAATAGAATCTGCTTTAAATGAGTCACTCCTTAGACTGGCAATGACACCCAGCTTAGTCTGTAAAATCAGGAATCTTTGTGTTGGCTGAAGGAACTTAGTAATCTTAGTTGAATTCCTCTTCCCCATGTCTTTCAAAACCAGAGCACTGGGTCGAACCTAACCCACAAAATAATTCGTCCAAATTAAATTGACTTTTTTACATAACATCAGCACCACCCCTTACACTTTTAAAGTTAAAGACCCTGTTGATCAGGTTACCTGGAAATTTCAAGTGCATCTGACCAGGGATTATCAAGCTCCTTGTGACATCTGTTTCTGATGCTGTGAATGTGATGTCACCACAAATAGAGGATTCTGAATTTTGCTGGTACTAATGCTGAGTGGTGACTTATTGGGGCCTTGCTCATGTTACTTTTTCCTGACGTCATTCAAGCACTTGATGACTTGGGTCAGTTTGTTGCACATTGATGAATAACAAGTGACACCCAATGAAATTACCTCTTCTCCTTTCCAATGCAGTTCGCTTGTACATAAATGTAACGTCATATTGTTTACAGGTTATTTTTGTGCGTAATTGTGATAGCAGATTTAGCTCAAACTTTAAAGGAATTTGTTTACTGACTGGTGTTAAAATGAATGTGCTTATTACAGTATAAACATCATTAATTATGGACTCACATGAATGCATGTCTACATGTCGTCAGTTCTCAGCAGCTCAGTTATTCAGCAAAAAGTCTGCAGTCTGTGAATAGCAAATATACATAAACTACTGTGACTCTAATAACTCTAACTGTTTTTACCTTGGGATGTAACACTGTAGATCTTCGCCTGCTGTATTTCTTTCTTACCTATTTGTTTTTGCGAGAAAAACATGATAGAAAATGCTACTACTAATTGTCCCAATGGAATTGCACATCATTTTGGCAATCATTGGTTCACTCAGAAGGCAACCGCCTATAGATGGAACAGCCCTGAGCAACATATAAATATATACATACATATCTATGTATGCAATATCTACACTGCGAATTACTACCATCTATTCTCACTGCCAATGGAAACAAACTACTCTTTTCTTTGGATTCATTGATGGATATAAAAAATTAATTTGCTATTAACTGCTTTCATATTCTGTTTAGTTCTTATAGTATGGTAAATGATACAGGTGCAGTATCAGTATTGTAAAATTGTATGGTGAAAACTACAAAAGTCATTCTGTGGATATATTTTAAAAGGAAGAACAGAAACTATATTTCAGATTCTTGTGTGAATATAATTACAGAATAGGTAACTATTTTTATGTGTTTCCATAAATGACTCCATTTCATATGCATTGTAATTTAGCACAAATCATAATAAATCATTTGGTAACATTTAGTTGTTATATATATCTATTTCCAGTATACCTAAGAGACTGATGAGTCAACATTATTTTATGCTAACTCAAGAAATTTAGATGAAATATAATTACCATTGCAATTAGTTTATTTCTGGTTTGTTGTGGCAGCTTGCTGAGTTTGGGTACAGAAAAGGAGAAGACTTAATGAATTGGTTATTTATTATACTTAGAATTAAACTGTAATAGGCGGAGGCGTTGCCTCTGTCTCTTGCTAATTGGATGGCTTTGTACTATTTTTCAAACCTCTTGAAACACCAGTTTCCTTATCTGTAAATAGGAAATAGAAATAATGGATATATCACAAGGTTCTTGTGAGAGTTAAATTAGATAATCTATATAAAGCACTTATCACAGTATCTTGTACATTAAATAGCTGCTTAATAACCCTTATCCATTCTTATTACTATTATTCCAAAATGCAAATTTTAAAAAGGAATTCAGCTTCAACACTGAATATCTGAATCCTTTTTTTTATACTTTACCGTTTTATGACATTGCTAATAGTGTTAAGCATTATGTTTTTTAATCAGAAGGGAAAATTCTACAAAAAATAATTTTACAGCTTGGGGGAGCTTTAGAAATAATTCAGCCTTTTGCTGTTGTGAAGTGTTTTTGGTGGCATACTTGCCCCATGATATGCACTGAAAAAATGGAAGGAATTGGGCAACGTACAGTTTGAGAGATGTAATCTCTTTTACACTTTCCACCTTGCACTTTTAAAATGCTCTTTATTATATTTAAAGTCCTGGGAGTTTTGCAGTGAAAACAAAACAAAACAAAACAAAAACTTTCAAACTTTAACCCAGAATCTCCCAGACTGGTCTCACCAAACTTTCTTCCGGTTTTGAGAAACACACTTTGGGAAATGTTTATTTAACCCATTCCCTTCCTTGTATTTCTTGTACAGAAAGGGAAAGTTAAGACCCAGAGAGGAAGAGATGGTTCTGGGTCTAGAACTGCATCTGTGGAATCAAGCTAGGACACTTCTCATATGCTATCTCATGTAAGTGAGATAACAGTTACAGCTTTGTCTTGAGAAACTATTCTAAAGTCACAATATCCATACTGCATGGACCCAAAGTAAAAAGTCCCACAAGGTACAGAAGGCCAAGCAGGAGAAGGTGAGGATCTAGTCTACAGTAATCCTCCTTAAAACTCTGTTACCACTGAAGTCACTTAGGAATGAGATAGTCTATTTTGCCTCAATAAGCTGATCCTTAGCAATAGTGGCTACAAGGATGCTGTACCGTGCTGAATTTCAGTCCACAAGAGGGATGGAAGCTTAGACAGACTGAAGTGATGGAGGGGTTTGGAGAAAAAGTTTTCCCATGAATTCTTTTGTGGAAAGCTGTGGGCTTTCCTCTGAAAACTTGAGAGAGAGAAAGCAACTGTGATGGAGATTTGTGAAGTTAATGACCTCCAAAGCCTTAGAAATTGCTTAAATAGAGCCAAAACTTCATTAAATTTAGGCACAGGGAAAGTCTATGCCTCCACTGTTCCAGAATGACATAGACAAGTAAAGAACCAACATTAAGAGAAAAAGTTGGCTGCAGACTTACAGAATGAACAGCAGGAAGGAATTTATTTGTCACCATTGTTCTGCCCAGAACAGCAGCTAGTTTCCCCCAAAAATCAAGGGTCCTGAGAACACTCCCTAAAGATTCTGCGATGTGGGTGGTGAGGACACAAGGGGGCTCTCTCTACTTGCTGGGGAGCATGGGTGGAAAAAGGGTGTATGGGGAGCCCAGGAAAGCACTGGTAGTAGATCAGGAGAAAGACTCCTCTTGAGATCTCTGGAGAGATTTGGGGAGATTTGTACACAGCCACTGATCAAAAACTCACCCTTCTGATAAATTGAATTGAACAGGACTTGATCAGAAGGATCATAATTTTTGCAACGAGGACAGTGAAAAAGGAAAAAATACGAACTGCTTAGACAATACTTCTTCCCTCCAATTTCAACCCAAAGGCAGCATTCCTTCCCATGACTAAAAAAATATTCAGAGCCCACATCAATCTTGTCCCAAATGGCAGCTGCCACTGAAACAGGTCATGATAAGTCTTCATTTCAATAAGGGGATGATAAAAACCCTTAGCCAGGCAGAGCAGCTTCAGCCTTCAGTAAGCCAGCCTCATGTTGCAGAGCTTAAAAAAATCAATAGGTCAGCAACAAAGGCCCAGGAGGAGGGCAGGGTTTTCAAATGCTAAGATTGCCAAAGAGCTCCAGGCACACCCCATAAACCCCTTGCTTATTCTTATTACCATGTTATGAAAGCACCAAAAATAAATTCTGAGGACTAAACTCAGTCTTTGACTTGTTTTTCTCTTTCTTCTGACTCACCATGTGAGTCTTGCTATCTTTAGGGTAGCAAGAAACAAAAACACCCTACATAACTGGAAGATAGCTAGTATATTGAAATGGTATTGCTCTTCCTCTGTGGATAGGTCTGAGTTCAAACATGCTCTTCAAGGCTGTCTGCTTCCTGATGGATATGCAGCAATTAAATAGGATGTCTCCAAGAGACAAAATCACAGACACATAGGTACCTTTGATACAAATAAAGCTTTTCTCCTCTCCATCCTCCCTGAATGTTCTACTTTTTTTCTATACATTTCTTTCCCTCTCTTTTTATTCTGTTTGTTCTTCACGCGTCTGGAGTATAGGGTAAACATATTTAATAAATCACAGCATCCTTTATCTAACAGTGCCCCTTTCCCCCACCATACGCTTTCCTTGAAGCCTCAATTTCTTCATCTAGTCTGTGATTGGGGACATTGAAGGAGATATATTTTTTGCACCATTTTGCCATCCCTTTCTCAACTGATTTTTACCTCAGCTCTGGCTGGTCTCCTATTTGAAGGAAGAGGTGGAGGTGGGGAGGATTTGGTGGGTCCCAAATATTGACCGTTTTAGATTGTCTTTGAGAGAAAACAGCAAGTCTATCTAGGAGGAAATGAAAGACAAGGAGAAGGTGAGTTGAATGCTGGTGGACTGTGGTCTGTGGTCCTAAAGCTATTGCAAATGGGTGAGCTACCTTAACTGTTTCTTCCCTGGGGATGAAGTGGGAACCCAAGACCTTTCCCTGCTAATTTCCACATATGCCCCAGTTTAATGACTCATTTTCTGCCTTAACCAGAGCTTGCACCCTTTGCTCCAGAAAGTCCAGCATGAATTTCTGTTTTGTCTTTAACATGGATAGACGGGAAGGGATTGGAAATGGTGAGAAAGTAGTGAACTTATTGGAGTTAGACAGAGAAGCCACACAGTTAGCAGCAAATCATTCTTTCTCCCTTTGCCCCTGGGAAAGAGTGGCCCTTAGTACCTAGAAATAATAGACTGTCAGTTTGTTTGTTTTTTTTTCATTAAGGAGATGGATGTCCTGGTCTCTCTGTCACCTGATATTAACAAATGTGAGAGAGTGTGAGGAGGGAAAAAGATGTTAATAATAATCAGTTTTGTGTACCTGAGGCATAAGAGATTTTTTTCCTGATAGAGTAAATGAATAACATGGTAATTAACTTGATCTACTCTTTAGGGAGCTGCTACCTGCAGGTCTCTTTGCAAAGCCCAGGCTTTATGCTCATAGTGCAATGATGTTCACAATGTCCTCTGGCACCTTGAGGTTTGCAGTGTGTATTCTCATTCATCTATAGTTTCTGAAAGCTGAAGCAACAGTTGGGGACTTAGAAAGGACTGCATCATTTTCCTCTTAGTTATTTTCTATAACATAACTTCTCGTAGGTCTGTACAACTATAGAATATCTTACATTGCTATTTATGATGCTTTGAGGAAGTGCTGGAAATATAGCAGATTAAAAATTAGCCAAAATAATATACAAACATGTTAATATCAGCTGTTTCCCATATTTTGTGGTACTCTTTTTTTAATAAGTAAATAGCAACCAAAGACAAAAACATACAAGGAAAAAGGGTGTCTTCTTGTTTGAATAGGAAAAATTGATTGTTTACTGTTTTATGACATACAGCCTATACAAATCCCATCCTTTTAGTCTCAAGATTGTGAAAACAACAAAACAGAAAAAGGTCTCCAAAGTACACAAGACCCAGATTCAAGGATTCCTATATGTATGCCAACAACCTTAAGGGAAGAGCTGGAGAAAGTCTCAACATAAATACAGAGCTCTGATGATATATGTTTTTAAAGCCTGGGAAACAGAGTAAAATGACAAGAGGTAAAACAATTATATATCCTACAGGTACAAAATTTTAGTACATTTTTTATAGATCCAACTTCATTGATACAATCTCTTGATTTTTTCTTTCTTCCAGACATTTCCCTCCCTCTGACACTACTTGTGTTTCTGCTCTGATTATCTTATTGGAATTTCTCAGAGTACCTATAAAAGAGGCATAAAGTAGGTGGCAAGGAGTTGAAGTGAAATAGGTCTGGGAGTGGGGAGAAAAATGGTCTTGAGCCTTGTTTCTCAAAGTCCATTCTATAAACAGGCAGCATAGAAATATAGAGTCTGAGAACCACTCCCACTTCCAGTCTTACTGGATCAGAATCTGAATTTTAACAAAACCCAGGGACACATGTCACATACACATTAAAGTCTGAGAAATATTGGCCTATAAGATAGGGCAGAATTAATAGGGCTATCCTCAGAGGCAAAAAGGAGAGATTGAGACAAGGGGTATATGGAAGGTAGATTCTTCCAAGTGGGGCCATGGCATTAGGTAATGTGGAGGTTGACATGTGAGCAATAAAAACACCACTGGCCTCAGGAAAAACCTAACACTCTAGTAGAGATTGGGGTCCTACTTTAGCTTCCTTAAAGAGAATAATTGTCAGCCAAGAATTTTGTATCCAGCAAAACTAAGTTTCATAAATAAAAGAGAAATAAAGTCATTTTCAGACAAACAAATGCTGAGGAAATTTGTCACCACCAGTCTATCCCTACGAAAAATGCTAAAAGAAGTTCCAAATCTGGAAACAAAAGATGCACCAGAATAAAGCCTCTTCAAAGCATAAAACTCTAAAACAATAAAGGGCCTATAAAATAATAACACAATGAAGAAAACAAAGTATCTAGATAACAATCTAACAAACATGATGACTGGAACAGCACCTCGCATCTCAATATTAACATAGAACATAAATAGTCTGTTGATCCACTTAAAAGATACAGATTGACAGAATAGATTAAAAAATCACAAGTCAAATATCTGCTATCTTCAAGTGACTTACATAATATGTAAAAATTCATATGAACTCAAACTCAAGTTAAATAGGTGGAAAAAGATATTGCACACAAATGGAAGCCAAAATCAAGCAATAGTAGATATTCTTATATCAGATAAAATGGACTTTAAAGCAACAAAAGTAAAATAAACAAACAAACAAGAAGGTCATTATATAGTGATAAACAGATCACTCCAATAAAAAAAATACTAAAATCCTAAATATATATGCACCTAACTCTGGAGTTTCCGGATTTATAAAATAATTACTAGTAGACCTAAGAAATGAAATAGACAGCAACACAATAATGGGGTGTGGGGGACTTCAACACTCCACTGAGAGCACTAGAAATATCACCATGGCAGAAAGTTGACAAGAAAACAATGGACTTAAACTACACATTAGAACAAATGGACCTAACAGATATTTGCAGAACATTCTACCCAAGAACTGCAGAATATACATCTCATCAGCACACGGAACCTTCTCTAAGAGAGGCTATAGGCAACAAAACAAGATTCAATAAATTAAAAAAAAATCAAGATCATATCAAGGTTCTTCTCAGACCACAGTAGAATAAAATTAGAAATCAACTCCAAAAGGAACCCTCAAAATTATACAAACGAAAGGAAACTAAACAATCTGATTCTGAGTGATTTTGGGAGTTAACAATGAGATCAAGATAGAAATTTTAAAACGCCTTGAAATAAACTGTAATAGTGACACAAGTTATCAAAATCTCTGGGATACAGCAAAAACAGTGCCAAGTGGAGAGTTTATAGCACTAAATGCCTACATCAAAAAGTCTGAAAGATCACAGATTGACAAACTAATTTTACACTTCAAGGAACTAGAGAAACAGAAACCAAATCCAAAGCTAGCAGAAGAAAAGAAATAACAAAGATCAAGGCAGAACTAAATGAATTTGAAAGAAAAACAATTATAAAAGATCAATAAAACAAAAGGTTGATTTTTTGAAAATATAAACAAAATTGGTAGACCATTAGCAAGATTAACAAAGATGAGAAAAGATTCAAATATGCTTAATTAGAGATAAAAATGGACACATTACAACTGACACTACAAAAATGCAAAAGATCATTTGAGACTACTATGAACACCTCTATGCACACAAACGAGAAAATCTAGAGGGAATGAATAAATTCCTGGAAACATACAACCCTCCTAGATTAAATCAGGAAGAAACAGGCACACTGAACAGACCAATAATAAGCAGTGATATTGAATCAGTAATAAAAAATTGCCAACAACAACAAAAAAGCCTAGGGCCAGATGGATTGACAGCTGAATTCTACCAGATGTTTAAAGCAGAATTGGTACCAATTCTACTGAAACTATTCCAAAAGATTGAGAAAGACAGAATCCTTCCTAACTCATTTTATGAGGCCAGTATCACCCTCATATCAAAATCAGGAGCAGACATAACAAAAAGATAAAACCGTGAACCAATATCCCTGATGCACATAGATAAGAAAATCCTCTCTCTCTCTCTCTCTCTCTCTCTCTCTCTCTCTCTCTCTCTCTCTCTCTATATATATATATATATATATATATATATATATGCTAGCTAGCCAAATCCAACAACACATCAAAAAGATAATACATGATGATCAAGTGAGTTTTATCTTAGGGAAGCAGGGATAATTTAACTTACACAAGTCAATAAATGTGATACTTCACATAAACAGAATTAAAAACAAAAACCAAGGCCAAGTGTGTTGGCTCACACTGATAATCCTAGCCTTTTGGGAGGCTGAAGTAGGAGGATTGTTTGAAGCCAGGTTTTTGAGACTAGCCTGGGCAACATGGTAAGAACTCATCTCGACAAAACAAAAACAAAAATTCAAAAGCAAAATTAGTCAGGCATGGTGGTTCACAACTGTGGTCCCAGCTACACATGAGGCTGAGGTGGGAGGATCAATGGAACCTGGGAAGCCAAAGCTGCAGTGAGCCATGATTTTGCCACTCCACTTCAGAGTGAGATCCTGTCTCAATCACACACACACACACACACACAATCATCCCAATAGATGCGGAAAAAGCATTTGATAAAATCTGATATCTCTTTATGATAAAACATCTCAAGAAACTGGGAATAGAAGAAACATAACTCAAAATAGTAAAAACCATATGTGACAAACCCACAGCTTCATAATGAATGGGGAAAAGTTTAAAGTATTCCCCATGAGAACTGGAACAAGGCAAACATGCTCACTTTCACAAGTTCTATTCAACATAGTACTGGAAGTGCAAGAGAAAGAAATAAATAAAGGTCATCCAAATTGGAAAAGAGGAAGTCAAACTATCTCTGTTTACCAATGATATGACTGTATACTTAAAAAAACCCTCATGCCTTCTCCAAAAGACTCCTAGATTTGATAAATGAATTCAATAAAGGCTCAAGTTACAAAATCAATGTACACAAATCAGTAACATTGCTATACACCAACAACATCCAACCTGAGACTCAAATCAAGAACTCAATCCCCTTTACAATAGCTACAAAAAAAAAAAAACCCAGGAATATTCCTAACCAAAGAGGTGAAAGATCTCTACAAGGATAACTAAGAAACACTGCTGAAAGAAGCCAGACGACACAAACAAATGAAAAGAAGTCTTATACTCACAGATAGGAAGAATCAATATCAGGAAAATGACCACACTGCCCAAAGAAATCTACAGATTCAAGGCAATTCCTATCAAAATGCAATCATATTTTTTCATAGAATTAGAAAAAAAATCCTAAAATTCATATGGAACCAAAAAAGAGACTCAATAGCTAAAGCAATTCTAAGCAAAAAGAAGAAATCTGGAGGCATCACACCACCTGACTTTAAGTTATACTGCAAAGCTACAGTTAGTAAAACAGCATGTTCTTGGTATAAAAGTAGAAACATAGACGGGTTGAATAGAATGGAGAACCCAGAAATAAAGCTAAATAATTAAAACGAACTGGTCTTTGACAAAGCATTGAAAAAACATACATAAGTGAAAGGACACCCTGTTTAATAAATGGTGCTGGGAAAACTGGATAGCCACTTGTAGAAGAATGAAAATGGATTACTATAACTCACCTTAAACAAAAATTAACTCAAAATAAATCAAAGGCTTAAATCTAATATTTGAAGCCATAAAAATTCTAGAAGATAACCTAGGAAAACCTCTTCTGCTCATTGGCCTAGGCAAATAATTTATAACTAAGACCCCAAAAGCAAATGCAACAAAACCAAAAATACATAAACGGGACCTAATTAAACTAAAAAGCTTCTGTGCAGCAAAAGAAATAATCATCAGAATAAACAGACAACACACAGAATGGGAGAAAATGTTTGCAAATGATGCATCTGACAAATAAATAATATCTAGAATCTCCAAGGGAATCTACAAACAAGTCAAAAAAATCAACACAAGAAAAAAAAACCCATCAAAAAGTGGGCGAATAACAGGAATAGACATTTCTCAAAAGAAGATATACAAATGATGAACAAACATATAAAAAAGCTCAACATCACTAAACATCACTAATCAAAACCACAAGATATGACCTTACCCCAGCCAGATGTCTATTATTAAAAAGTCAAAAAACAATAGGTTTTGGCATGGATTTGGTGAAAGGGAATGCTTATGCACTGCTGGTGGGAATCTTAATTAGTGCAACTTCTATGGAAAACAGTATGGGGATTTCTTAAGAAACTAAAAGTAGATCTATCATTCGATCCAGCAATCCCACTACTGGATATCTATCAAAGGAAAAGAAGTTATATCAAAAAATGTCCTCATGTGTATATTTATTACAGCACAGTTCACAATTGCAAAAATATGGAACCAAACTAAGTGCCCATTGACCAATGAGTGAATAAAGGAAATGTGGTATATATCCACCATGAGATACTACTCAGCCATAAAATGAATGAAATAATGTCCTTTGCAACAACTTGGATGGAATTCAAAGTCATTATTCCAAGTGAAGAAAATCAAATACCGTATGTTCTCACTTGTAAGTGGGAGCTAAGCTATGGGTATGCAAAGGCAGATAGAGTGATATAATAGACTTTAGAGACTCAGAAGGGAGAGGTGACACATATTGGTCATAATGTACACTAATTTAGTGACAGGTGCACTAAAATCTCAGACTTCACCACTATACAGTTCATCCAAGTAAGCAAAACCCACTTGTACCCTAAAAGTTATTGAAATAAAAAATTTAAATGACAATAGAAAGAATGCAAAATTAAATCTACAATCATCTCATCTGCAAACAGGGACCATTTGACTTCTTTTCCTTTTTTTAAATTTTTTTATTATTATACTTTAAGTTCTAGGGTACATGTGCACAATGTGCATGTTTGTTACATAGGTACACATGTGCCATGTTTCTGGGCTGCAACCATTAACTCATCATTTACATTAGGTATATCTCCTAATGCTATCCCTCCCCCCCTCCCCCCACACCATGACAGTGTGTGTGTGATGTTCCCCGTCCTGTGTCCAAGTGTTCTCATTATTCAATTCCCACCTATGAGTGAGAACATATGGTGTTTGTTCTTTTTTGTCCTTGCAATAGTTTGCTGAGAATGATGGTTTCCAGCTTTATCTATGTCCCTACAAAGGACATGAACTCATCCCTTTTTATGGCTGCACAGTATTCCATGGTGTATATGTGCCACATTTTCTTAATCCAGTCTATCACTGATGGACATTTGGGTTGGTTCCAAGTCTTAGCTATTGTGAGTAGTGCCACAATAAACATACGTGTGCATGTGTCTTTATAGCAGCATGATTTATAATCCTTTGGGTATATACCCAGTAATGGGATGGCTGGGTCAAATGGTAATTCTAGTTCTAGATCCTTGAGGAATCGCCACACTGTCTTCCACAATGGTTGAACTAGTTTACAGTCCCACCCACAGTGTAAAAGTGTTCCTATTTCTCCACATCCTCTCCAGCACCTGTTGTTTCCTGACTTCTTAATGATCGCCATTCTAACTGGTGTGAGATGGTATCTCGTTGTGGTTTTGATTTGCATTTCTCTGATGGCCAGTGAGGATGAGCATTTTTTCATGTGTCTGTTGGCTGCATAAATGTCTTCTTTTGAGAAGTGTCTGTTCATATCCTTTGCCCACTTTGTGAAGCGGTTGTTTGTTTTTTTCTTGTAAGTTTGTTTGAGTTCTTTGTAGATTCTGGATATTAGCCCTTTGTCAGATGAGGAGATTGCAAAAATTTTCTCCCATTCTGTAGGTTGCCTGTTCACTCTGTTGGTAGTTTATTTTGCTGTGCAGAAGCTCCTTAGTTTAATTCGATCCCATTTGTCAATTTTGGCTTTTGTTGCCATTGCTTTTGGTGTTTTAGACATGAAGTCCTTGCCCATGCCTATGTCCTGAATGGTATTGCCTAGGTTTTCTTCTAGGGATTTTATGGTTTTAGGTCTAACATTTAAGTCTTTAATCCATCTTGAATTAATTTTTGTATAAGGTGTAAGGAAGGGATCCAGTTTCAGCTTTCTACCTATGGCTAGCCAGTTTTCCCAGCACCATTAATTACGTAGGGAATCCTTTCCCCATTTCTTGTTTTTGTCAGGTTTGTCAAAGATCAGATGGTTGTAGATGTGTGGCATTATTTGTGAGGAATCTGTTCTGTTTCATTGGTCTCTATCTCTGTTTAGGTAACAGTACCATGCTGTTTTGGTTACCATAGCCTTGTAGTATAGTTTAATGTCAAGTAGCCTGATGCCTCCAGCTTTGTTCTTTTGGCTTAGGATTGTCTTGGCAATGCAGGCTCTTTTTTGGTTCCATATGAACTTTAAAGTAGTTTTTTCCAATTCTGTGAAGAAAGTCATTGCTAGCTTGATGGGGATGGCATTGAATCTGTAAATTACCTTGGGCAGTATGGCCATTTTCACAATATTGATTCTTCCTGTCCATGTGCATGGAATGTTCTTCCATTTGTTTGTATACTCTTTTATTTCCTTGAGCAATTGTTTGTAGTTCTCCTTGAAGAGGTCCTTCACATCCCTTGTAAGGTGGATTTCTAAGTATTTTATTCTCTTTGAAGCAATTGTGAATGGGAGTTCACTCATGATTTGGCTCTCTGCTTGTCTGTTATTGGTGTATAAGAATGCTTGTGATTTTTGCACATTGATTTTGTATCCTGAGACTTTGCTGAAGTCAATTATCAGCTTAAGGAGATTTTTGGCTGAGACGATGGGGTTTTCTAGATACACGATCATGTCATCTGTAAACAGGGACAATTTGACTTCCTCTTTTCCTAATTGAATACCCTTTATTTCTTTCTCCTGCCTGATTGCCCTGGCCAGAACTTCCAACACTATGTTGAATCGGAGTGGTGAGAGAGGTCATCCCTGTCTTGTGCCAGTTTTCAAAGGGAATGTTTCCAGTTTTTGCCCATTCAGTATGATATTGGCTGTGGGTTTGTTATAAATAGCTCTTACTATTTTGAGATACGTCCCATCAATACCTAATTTATTGAGAGTTTTTAGCATGAAGTGCTGTTGAATTTTGTCAAAGGCCTTTTCTGCATCTATTGAGATAATCATGTGGTTTTTGTCTTTGGTTCTGTTTATATGCTGGATTACATTTATTGATTCACATATGTTGAACCAGCCTTGCATCCCAGGGATGAAGCCCACTTGATCATGGTGGATAAGCTTTTTGATGTGCTGCTGGATTCAGTTTGCCAGTATTTTACTGAGGATTTTTGCATCGATGTTCATCAGGGATATTGGTCTAAAATTCTCTTTTTTGTTGTTGTTGTTGTGTCTCTGCCAGGCTTTGGTATCAGGATGATGCTGGCCTCATAAAATGAGTTAGGGAGGATTCCCTCTTTTCTATTGATTGGAATTTCAGAAGGAATGGTACCAGCTCCTCCTTGTACCTCTGGTAGAATTCAGCTGTGAATCCATCTGGTCCTGGAGTTTTTTTGGTTGGTAAGCTATTAATTATTGCCTCAATTTCAGAGCCTGTTATTGGTCTATTCAGGGATTCAAGTTCTTCCTGGTTTAGTCTTGGGAGGGTGTAGGTGCCCAGGAATTTATCCATTTCTTCTAGATTTTCTAGTTTAGTTGTGTAGACCTGTTTATAGTGTTCTCCAATGATAGCTTGTATTTCTGTGGGATCAGTGGTGATATCCCCTTTATCATTTTTTATTACATCTATTTGATTCTTCTCTTTTCTTCATTAGTCTTGCTATTTGTCTATCAATTTTGTTTATCTTTTCAAAAAACCAGCTCCTGGCTTCATTGATTTTTTGAAGGGATTTTTGTGTCTCTATCTGCTTCAGTTCTGCTCTGGTCTTAGTTATTTCTTGTCTTCTGCTAGCTTTTGAATGTGTTTGCTCTTGCTTCTCTAGTTCTTTTAATTGTGATATGAGCTGTCAATTTTAGATCTTTCCTGCTTTCTCTTGTGGGCATTTAGTGCTATAAATTTCCCTCTACACACTGCTTTAAATGTGTCCCAGAGATTCTGGTATATTGTGTCTTTTTTCTCATTGGTTTCAAAGAACATCTTTATTTCTGCCTTCATTTCATTATGTACCCACTAGTCATTCAGGAGCAGATTGTTCAGTTTCCATGTAGTCGAGCGGTTTTGAGTGAGTTTCTTAATCCTGAGTTGTAGTTTGATTGCACTGTGGTTTGAGAGACAGTTTGTTATAATTTCTGTTCTTTTACATTTGCTGAGGAGTGCTTTACTTCCAACTATGTGGTCAATTTTGGAATAAGTGTGATGTGGTGCTGAGAAGAATGTATATTGTGTTGATTTGGGGTGGAGAGTTCTGTAGACGTCTATTAGGACCTCTTGGTGCAGAGCTGAGTTCCTGGATATCCTTGTTAACTTTCTGCCTCACTGATCTGTCTAATGTTGACAGCAGAATGTTAAAGTCTCCCATTATTATTGTGTGGGAGTCTAAGTTTCTTTGTAGGTCTCTAAGGACTTGCTTTATGAATCTGGGTGCTCCTGCATTGGGTTCATATATATTTTGGATAGTTAGCTCTTCTTCTTGAATTGATCCTTTTACCATTATGTAATAGCCTTCTTTGTCTCTTTTGATCTTTGTTGGTTTAAAGTCTGTTTTATCAGAGACTAGGATTGCAACCCATAATCTCCTTAAGCTGATAAGCAACTTCAGCAAAGTCTCAGGATACAAAATCAATGTGCAAAAATCACAAGCATTCTTATACACCAATAACAGACAAACAGAGAGCCAAATCATGAGTGAACTCCCATTCACAATTGCTTCAAAGAGAATAAGATACCTAGGAATCCAACTTACTAGGGATGTGAAGGACCTCTTCAAGAAGAACTACAAGCCACTACTCAATGAAATAAAAGAGGACACAAACAAATGGAAGAATATTCCATGCTCATGGATAGGAAGAATAAATATCATGAACATGGCCATACTGCCCAAAGTAATTTATAGATTCAATGCCATCCCCATCAAGCTACCAATGACTTTCTTCACAGAATTGGAAAAAACTACTTTAAAGTTCATATGGAACCAAAAAAGAGCCTGCATTGCCAAGACAATCCTAAGCCAAAAGAACAAAGCTGGAGGCATCATGCTACCTGACTTCAAACTATAATAAAAGGCAACGGTAACCAAAACAGCATGGTACTGTTACCTAAACAGAGATAGAGACCAATGAAACAGAACAGAGTCCTCACAAATAATGCCACACATCTACAACCATCTGATCTTTGACAAACCTGACAAAAACAAGAAATGGGGAAAGGATTCCCTACTTAATAAATGGTGCTGGGAAAACTGGCTAGCCATATGTAGAAAGCTGAAACTGGATCCCTTCCTTACGTCTTATACAAAAATTAATTCAAGATGGATTAAAGACTTAAATGTTAGACCTAAAACCATAAAATCCCTAGAAGAATACCTAGGCAATACCATTCAGGACATAGGCATGGGCAAGAACTTCATGTCTAAAACACCAAAAGCAATGGCAACAAAAGCCAAAATTGACAAATCGGATCGAAGCCCAGCAAAAGAAACTACCATCAGAGTGAACTGGCAAACTACAGAATGGGAGAAAATTTTTGCAATCTCCTCATTTAACAAAGGGCTAATATCCAGAATCTACAAAGAACTCAAACAAACCTACAAGAAAAAAACAACCCCTTCACAAAGTGGGTGAAGGATATGAACAGACACATATCAAAAGAAGACATTTATTCAGCCAAAAGACCCATGAAAAAATGCTCATCCTCACTGGCCATCAGAGAAATGCAAATCAAAACCACAACGAGACACCATCTCACACCAGTTAGAATGGCGATCATTAAAAAGTCAGGAAACAAAAAGGTGCTGGAGCTGGAGAGGACGTGGAGAAATAGGAAAGCTTTTACACTGTTGGTGGGACTGTAAACTGGTTCAGCCACTCTTGAAGACAGTGTGGTTATTCCTCAAGGATCTAGAACTAGAATTACCATTTGACCCAGCCATCCCATTACTGGGTATATACCCAAAGGATTATAAATCATGTTGCTATAAAGACACATGCACACGTTATGTTTATTGTGGCACTATTCACAATAGCAAAGACTTGGAACCAACCCAAATGTCCATCAATAATAGACTGGATTAAGAAAATGTGGCACATATACACCATGGAATACTATGCAGCCATAAAAAGGGATGAGTTCATGTCCTTTGTAGGGACATGGATGAAGCTGGAAACCATCATTCTCAGCAAACTGTCGCAAGTACAAAAAACCAAACACCGCATGTTCTCACTCATAGGTGGGAATTGAATGATGAGAACACCTGGACACAGGAAGGGGAATATCACACACCAGGGCCTGTCATGGGGTGGGGGAAGTGGGGAGAGAGAGCGTTGGGAGATACATCTAATGTCAATGACGAGTTAATGTGTGCAGCACACCAACATGGCACATGTATACATATGTAGCAAACCTGCACGTTGTGCACGTGTACCCTAGAACTTAAAGTATAATAAAAAGAATTTAAGCAAAAAATAAAATTAAATTAAATTTAAAAAATAAAGTAAAATAAAATAAAATAAAGATGATCAACTTAAAAAAAAAAAGAATGCAAAAATAACACAAAAGCATACCCGAGAAAAAGGAAGGCTTCTGTGATTCCGGGTTAAGAGTATGTATGGAAGAAAAGCTAATGAAAATATGTCTTGTAAAAGATAAATGAGTCCTTTAAGACCAGGCTCACAAGTTGTCCTCTGACGCTGAAGGATGAGCATGAGGCTTGAGATACTGTATTACATCAAATCAGAGTTCGGTTTGTCTTATCCAGGTTGAGGGCCTGAATCATTTCAACAATCATCCTCATAAGCTCCAAGAGCAACTTCTATACCAGAGAGCCACCAGTCTACTAAGTAATGCTTAATTTTGCTGGATGGGATCTCAAAATTCAACCCATAAGACACAAAGCTTGAATCTAAAAATATTAATTGTGGAAAATGGGGAACTAGTGCTTCTACTTTGACTTTGCATTTAAAGATAAGATTGACTAAATCAGAATTTCAATGAAGTCATAAATAAAATTAAAAGTGGATGCCTGGATAGAAAATCTTCTAGACCATGTGCAACATCATTTTAGGTGGGAGCATAAGAAATAAAGCATGAAAATATAGTAGAGGCAATATCAGAGAGTCACTTGAAGAACTTTTGGAAGTTATAACCTAATTAGGCCTCTGGGAAGATAATGCCTTGCCAAATGCAGATATTCATCATATTCTGAAATTATTTTTCTCTCTTTATTATTCAAATGTATTTATTGAGAATGAGCTTTCTTAGCCAGTAAGAAAAAAAGTAAAGCACCATATGGTGGAAAAAATTATTAGAGTTTTTGACCTTTGTCTGCCATTAAAGTGTAAACTTGGGCAATTCATGATCTGTTTGGTAACAGTTTCCCAATGAACAAAATTTCAATTAAAAGAAAAAAAAACACCCCACTGGTGGAAGGAGCTATACTCTGAGTTTCAACATAAGAGTTGGCCAGCTAGATATAAACAGAAATTAGACAATAAAAGTTAACCATATTTGCAACATTCAGATATTATCACAGTTAAAATTTCATCCTATGTTTTCCACTTTTTTGTATATATACTATTCATATAGGTAAAATATTTCCTTGTAAGCACATAAATTAGCTACAAAATACATGAATAAATGCCAAATATAATAGAACATATTAATATAGACATATATAATTATCTATGTTTGATACATTAATTTTATATAAGTAGGAATGTAAATGTTGTGTTATAACTGACATTTCCTGAGTACAACATAGTTTGACTTATAAATGCCCTTTAGTAGTAGATTGAATACAAAGATAAATACATTTTGGATGGCTCTATTTATGCAGTCTTCAAACAAATAAAACTAAGCTATGCTGTTAGAAATCAGAATAGTGCTTATCATTTAAGAGTAGCAGATGGGCAGTTATGGAGGATGCAGGGATAGGATCTCTGGAAGGTCATGGAGGATGCAGAGTGAGGACTTCTGGAAGGCCACTATACTCTATTTCTTGACACAGGTGCTCAAGAAATGTACTTCAACAAGGTAGTTTAATAATCATTGTAAAATAATGCCTTACATTGCAGAAATTGTGGAACATGGAGAAAGTGTCAATCACTATTTTCATTTTAATATATGCCTCCCTAATCTTTCTTTTAGAAATGTCTTTATTTTTTCTTGTAATCCCATGTAAAGTATACATATTAAAATAAAAATCCCAGATCAATACGTGTATATTAGAAAAGAAATGACCACTACAATTTCATGCCACAACGATAAGTTCTGTTAAAGTTTGGTGCTTACTCAGGAAGGGTTCGTTTTTATTTTAGTTGTATTTCACAAGTGAGGTTTTGATAATCCCATCTTTTTTTTTTCGTTGCTTGGATTGTTTTACAAATGTTCCTTCTCATTCCTGGGACGTATATGAGAAGTACATTGGAATAAATATATAAATAAGGGGGAGAAAGTGTATATAGGAATATGCTAAACTCTGTTCAAGAAGTGAAAGTAAGTCACTATCATTTAGGCTCACTATCTACACCAGACTGCCTCGCACATTTTACTGTTGTGTTATATGTTTGGGAATTACAAAAGAGAAAAAGAAAGTGGGAAATTGGCATTGACTAGGACCACAAAGGTCATTCCATAAGAAGGCACTCTTTGAAAGTACCACAGTCCTGGCCCACAAGGATTTGCTTCACTCACACAAAAGCCAAGAGGCATCCTTTGAGTCCTAGGAGCCACACCAACTCTCAGGCTAGCCCAAAGAAAAAATCTGAAGAGGAGGACGTAACTGGTGACACAAGGTCTCATTCATTTCCCATTATGTGCTGACTCAGGGTAGGGACGTGAGCTCTGAAAAGAATAGTGTTCAGAGGCCCTTTGAAATCATGTAAGCCAGTGGTCTTAAAGTGAAGCCAGCTTTACTCCCCATGGGACATTTGTCATGTGTGGAGACAACTGTAGTTGTGGCTCAGGGGAGAAGGTTGCTACTGGCATCCAATGGGTAGAGGCCAGAATGCTGCTAAATAGTTAACAATGCATGAGACAGATCCCACAACAAAGAATTTTCCAGTCCAAAATGTCAGTAGTGTTGAGGCTGGCATTAAGAATGTGAGTGGATAATAGTGTATGTGCAGCTGTGTGTATGTGTGTGTGTGGCTGGGTGTGTGTGAGTCTATGTTAGGGGGATCCGTTTTCGCTGGGGCCTCCAAATAGGTATGCAGATAAACAACCACTGACAAATTTTCTTCATCTCTGGGGAAGCTTCCTTGATGGAGGGCAGATAGTGGTTAAGTTCATTTCATCATGATTTATGGCACAAAATTCTGCATTATTCACATAGATTGGCACTGTGTTGCAGTCTCAGAGTACACACATACATTTAGGATATGCCAAGATTAGAAACAAACAAAACCCAAGGCAGTCTTGTAGGAAATCAATAGGTTAATTACCCCGAAGATGTACTTTGGCAGACATCACCCAAGCTCTTTGTGAGGCCAATTGGAAGGAACCGGGGAGAAAGAGTCACTCGGTTGAATTGATGCTGAGAAGGAACAGATAGTGAGAAGAGGTGGAAAGAATAATGCTTAGGATCAGGGAATCTGGGTTCTTGTGCTGACACACAGGACTCACTGGGGCACTCAGAGCAAGTCATTTAACAACTCCAGAACTCTTTTCTCCTTATTTGTAAAACAAAGGAGAGGGGAAGAAAATAAACATTTATTTTTAAACTACTGGTTTCTAGAACTTTCCCCTAACTTTCTTTCATTTCGTTCTTATCATATTTCAATAAAATAAATATTGATATTTCCATATTACATATGAACCTCAGACAGTTAAGTCGCCTGCCCAATGTCTCACAGCAAAAAATTCATAGGGCCAGATTTCAACCTAAGTGTCCTGGTATCCTTCATTTTACATCTTTCCATAGATCCCATTTCCTCAACCTGTAAAATAGAGATGACACATGGGTTTTCTGTAAAGATTTATATATACATACTGTACGCAGGCAAAGAATAGTAGTAGACATTTAATAAATGCTGAATATTATTTATCATTATATTATTCTGACATGCATATTGAAAACAAATTCCCTTTTATTTGCAAAAATATCTGCTTATAAATTAAATTCCATCATTATTAGACACCAATTATAAAGCAAATGTACAAAGTTTCTTTGGAAAAAAACCTGTCCTGATTTGTTTTTTCTGGCTGAATCAAGGAAGGCTTTGGGACCTGAAATTCTGACCTGGAGACAGAAATGAAGGCTGTGCAGCCTTGAGGGCCCCATTTACCAAGCAGGGGTCTTGCCTACCCTCTGACAGGCAGGTGGAAGGTAAATGAAACTGCTAACAATACCAGTGGCTAGAGCTCAGAAGTTGCAGTCTCTCTTGGTTATCAGGCTCTCAAAATACTCTCCTGGGATTCTCAACTATTAGAGTAAATGGTCCCAGTCTGAGAGGATGAATAATTCAGTGTTAGCCATACATTTTTGGGAAACAGAAGTGTGGGAGACACTCTGAGGGGCTAGTTGTTCTTAGAGACAGCCCCTTTCAACATGTGCTTTTAGATTTTTCTATAACCAACCCACCAGCTCCTCCTCCTACCAGTACCTGCTCCCACCAACACCTGTTGGGCTGCCAGCAAGCCCTATCCTTAGAATAGCACCTCCTGTTAAGACATAGAAGGTTCTTGTTAAATTGCAAATGTTACTTGGAGCAACAAATGCATGAATATGTTAGCATCTATTAACCCCGTGTTTATCAGATTAGCTGTCCCTTCCTAGAGCGATCCCTGGGGAACTGGGAGCTATTTTGCATTTGTACTGAGGGTAGAGAAGAGGATCCAGTGGGCGTGGTCTCTATTTAGAGAAACCGTAATAGTTTTCAAAATACTTTCACCTTCCCCTGCTATCATGTTCTTTGATATGCACATACTCATTCTAGGTTTGGCAAGAAGCCAGGTGCATAGAGGTTAGTAACTAGCCCGAGGTCATACAACTAGGAAGGGCAGGGACTTGATTAAAAGCTAGGAGTTTTAATTCTCAGTTCCATGTCAGGAGGTTGGCAGTGTACTGCCAATAAGGCAGAGGATACAATAGCCATGGTAAAGAAAAGCACAGGCTTCTGTGCTTGAGGTTGAAGATTTGGATTTAATGGGACAAGTTACTTTTGCCTTGGTTAAAGGAAGAAAGAAATAAGGTGTGAATGTATAGTTCAGAAGGTGAGATGTGCAAGTACAAATGCATGCATGTGTGTGGTGGGGGGAAGGGGAAGGTGGTCCTTTCTTTTTTTTTTTTTTTTTTTTTGAGACGGAGTCTTGCTCTGTCACCCAGGCCGGAGTGCAATGGCGTGATCTGGGTTCACTGCAACCTCCATCTCCAGGGTTCAAGTGATTCTCCTGCCTCAGCCTCCCGAGTAGCTGGGATTACAGGATTACAGGGGCGCGCCACCATGCCTGGTTAATTTTTGTATTTTTAGTAGAGATGGGGTTTCACCATGTTGGTCAGGCTGGTCTCGAACTCCTGACCTTAGGTGATCCGCCTGCCTCGGCCTCCCAAAGTGCTGGGATTACAGGCATGAGCCACCACGCCCGGCCGGAAGGTGGTCCTTTTGCCAGAATGTGCTGTGACTTCATTTACTGCCAAGGGAATTGAAGCAATATGTCTTGGATCTCGCTTTTGGTCCTTTGTGTCTGTCCTTTGTCTCACAGGCAGAGGAAGAGGAGGGACTAGCCTAAGAGCAAATTTGCTACTCCTTGGACCCCTGCCTGACCCCATGTGCCTTTTGCATGTGTAACCATCTAAAAAGCACCTAACACAAAGAGGTCTGACACATAGAAGATACATACAGGGACTTGATTTCACATAGGAGGGGTTTGAGACCTCTTTCAGGCAATTACTAACTACGTTCTGAACCAGCCCTAACATTTGCAAAGCTCAGGAAAAGAGCATACACAAAGTCAGCATACCATATGTCTAAATGTTTAAAGGTTATATATAAGTCAAACTTAAAATGGTTAAATAAAATGTATTCTATTATCCTAACTTCACGTTCATAGTAACAAAATCAAACTGCATAAAAGAAACTGCCTTTGCAAAGTTTTAATGGAGAAAATCATGACAGCGAAAGAGATCTTACCAACTCTCTCTTTCCTTTTAACTTCCAAACTGCCATTGTTCACTACTGGGCATAGACTGGCTAACAATAGGGGGAAATTAGTTTATACTTTAACTTAAAAACAAAGATAATAACAGTCCTTTCCCGAAACAAACCCCTTTTTGCCTGGGAACCAGATCACCTTATAAAGACTAACAAATTAGCCACAAGATTAGACATTATGGTTTAGGAGTCATGCAGCCAGAGGCCACAAGATTCGTGAACTTCTCAATTGCTCCTAGGGATAAGATCACTATTATGAAACCTAAGATTGGTGTTTCAGATATTTTTCTCCCTGTGATTTCATCTCCAACCCAGTTGATAGCACTCCCCACTCCCTAACCTCCTGCCTACCAAATTATCCTTAAAACACCCCAGTCTCTGAATTTTTGAGGAAACTGATTTGAATAGTAAAACTCTGGTCTCCTATTAAACATTTACTCTGTTGCAATTCCCCTGTCTTGATATTGGCTCTATCTGGGCAGCAGGCAAGAAGAAATCATTGGGCAGTTACATAAAACTCTGGTTTTTATATGACTGAAAGTCTGTAGAATATGAAAGACAACTGAATTTAATTATTATTGCATACATCTGGGTGTTTTGTTAACAGGCTAGCAAAGTTTAAATGAGTAATAAAGACAGGTATAACTAATGAATTATACTTATCCCCACCTCCAATTTTTTCTTAATTTATTTCAGCCAAAACACTAACATTGCTGTTATAATCAAGATTTTTCCAAATAATTTGGAATTATTAACAGTAACTATCTAAAGGTTAAAATTATAAATCATATCCAAAATACCTGCAATTTGATATTTTCCTCAAAAAGTATAAATTACAATAAAGGTAATAAGTCAAAAAGCATTTTTCATGTGTAATCACACAGCTAGGTTTTTCTAAATTATTCGAAATTGTGAGGATTAAAAAGGAAAACTCAAATTAATAGTAATGAACCTCAACATTTAATAAGTTATTTAAGTGAACAACATTTTGATTTGAATTACATTTTGAAAATTTAATTACCTCTTATTAAATAGTTTCATATAAATAAAGTCTATTTAAAGTTATTTAAGTGCATTTAAAAATAAAAAAGTTTATTTAAAAAGTTACTTAAATAATTTCATTCTAATTACATTTTGAAAATTTAATTACCTCTTATTAAATAGTTTTATTTATATAAAACTATTTACAATTCTAGCATTCCATCTTGTAGCTGACATGGGAGAAATTATGATGTAGCATGCTATGGGAACTGAAAGGTGATATGGATTGTTTAATATTTTGCAGGATGCTCCTCAGCTACCATGTTGCAAACTCATATGTACCTCTGGAGCCATGAATTGGAAAACAAATGGAAGCAAAAACATAGCTGGCCTCTGGGGAAAGAACATTTTGTTATGCTATGTTGGGAGGGAAAATAAAGGTGTGATACCTTTCCTCAGTCATCATAAGGGTCATGGGGACACTCTTGTAACATAAAACAGGTTATAGATGACACGAAAACACATCATGATTTATTTAATCAAAGTTTTACTGCCACATAAGTCCTCAGAAATGAAGACCCAAAGAATCAGGGAAAACTTTATTTTTATGCCCAGTTTCTATAAAAGAATGGAGAGCTATGGAGAAATATGATTGAACAAAGGGGAATGATCTAATGGTAATAGCCTGAGTGGGAAACCCAGCAAGACCTGCTCTTTGGATTCTTCTTGGCCTCTGCATAGCATTCCTTTCTTCCAGGTATAAAGCAAGACCCCTTCTGGTATGAGGGTCTTATGACCTAATACCAGGCAAGGGTAGCACAGAGAATTTCTTTACGGCCAGTTCCCGCACAGAAAGGTGGGGGAAGGTTAGAGTAATATTTTTAGTTTCTATGACCCACCTTGGGGAAGAGGACTCATAGTTCCCATGGCCTGCCTTGGGGGAAAAGAGAGAGCAGGAGAAAGAGGGGGAGGAGAAGGTCAGAGGCAGACTTTGCTTCTGAGGCCTTGCCAGCATCTCTTGGTTCAAAGCACTCAGCATGCCAAAGTGCCATACTTTGGGGTATCATTTTTTGAGCCTCAACACTTTAAATCTATTACTTTCATACTATCTGAGGTAAAGGATTTGACAAGACAATTACTGTCTTTTCTTTTTATTATTATTATTATTATACTTTAAGTTTTAGGGTACACGTGCACAATGTGCAGGTTAGTTACATATGTATACATGTGCCATGCTGGTGCGCTGCACCCACTAACTCGTCATCTAGCATTAGGTATATCTCCCAATGCTATCCCTGCCCCCTCCCCCCACCCCACAACAGTCCCCAGAGTGTGATGTTCCCCTTTCTGTGTCCATGTGTTCTCTTTGTTCAATTCCCACCTATGAATGAGAATATGCGGTGTTTGGTTTTTTGTTCTTGCGATAGTTTACTGAGAATGATGATTTCCAATTTCATCCATGTCCCTACAAAGGACATGAACTCATTATTTTTTATGGCTGCATAGTATTCCATGGTGTATATGTGCCACATTTTCTTAATCCAGTCTATGATTGATGGACATTTGGGTTGGTTCCAAGTGTTTGCTATTGTGAATAATGCCGCAATAAACATACATGTGCATGTGTCTTTATAGCAGCATGATTTATAGTCATTTGGGTATATACCCAGTAATGGGATGGCTGGGTCAAATGGTATTTCTAGTTCTAGATACCTGAGGAATCGCCACACTGTCTTCCACAATGGTTGAACTAGTTTACAGTCCCACCAACAGTGTAAAAGTGTTCCTATTTGTCCACATCCTCTCCAGCACCTGTTGTTTCCTGACTTTTTAATGATTGCCATTCTAACTGGTGTGAGATGGTATCTCATTGTGGTTTTGATTTGCATTTCTCTGATGGCCAGTGATGGTGAGCATTTTTTCATGTGTTTTTTGACTGCATAAATGTCTTCTTTTGAGAAGTGTCTGTTCATGTCCTTCGCCCACTTTTTGATGGGTTTGTTTGTTTTTTTCTTGTAAATGTGTTTGAGTTCATTGTAGATTCTGGATATTAGCCCTTTGTCAGATGAGTAGGTTGCGAAATTTTCTCCCATTTTGTAGGTTGCCTGTTCACTCTGATGGTAGTTTCTTTTGCTGTGCAGAAGCTCTTTAGTTTAATTAGATCCCATTTGTCAATTTTGTCTTTTGTTGCCATTGCTTTTGGTGTTTTAGACATGAAGTCCTTGCCCATGCCTATGTACTGTCTTTTCTTTTATGGAAGAACTTCTGCTGTTCAAATCCTACCCTTGCTCTGAAGCAGTGTCTGTCTCTAATACCAGCAACAGACAACCACAAACGTTCCCAGTTTTTGAACATAAATGTCTTTTTAGAGGATTCAGGGCAACAGAGGTGGAGAAATGTTTCTTTAGCCTGAATAGTATTAGTTAGGAGAGTAGATATTTAGGATTTGGGGTCACACTGTATCAGATCTGAGTGTTATTTTGGGGATGTTTGTGATACACATTCTCTCCAAGTGTAGAACCTGGAGCAGGGTACCATCTTGGTCTTGCCTGGGAGTAAGGGCAATATTGTGTACATAATTTTGGGCAAATCATTTTTCTGATTTCAGGAATGGAATAATACCTCCTAATCTACTTATTTCATATTTCTCTTAAGAGAATTAAGACAATGTGTTTGTATGTCCTTTAAAAATATATTTATAATTTTGGTAAAAGCTTGGTATTGAAGGAGCAGAAACCTTTGCAAACATAAAGTTTATTGTTTGTCTGGATTTCTTTTGTGTGTGTATGTATTAACAAAACAATTAGAGAGTGAATTAAGAGGATATATTGTTCTTACCATATATCAAGTGTCAATCAGCTAGGAATTTCTATTCAGACAGGCCTTCATGCATAGGATTCTGAAGAGGTTTATATTATTTACCTTACTGATATCCTAAAGCACATTAAAAATTCTATGTGTACAAAGTGAAATGGAGATGGCATTTATCTAATAAAGTCAAGCCATATAAGTGGTTGGCTATTCATTTGCATATGAGGGTGACATTACCAGTTCCATCTCCCTAATAAGACAAATTCACTGAAATCTTGCCTTCTTATGTCTTTATTTTGCTCATTTTTTTCTAATAAAACTTTCCAGGTTTTAAGAACATATTTAGTGTCAGAGTCTAAGCTAAATTTTACATGTAGTGTCTCATTTAGTCCTCATAATAACCAGCTTTTATTATTATGATCCCTATTATAAAATAAGCACAGGCAAAACAATTTGCTCAGGATTATGTAGGTAGTGAGTGAAAGGACTAAAACAAGATTAGTCTAATTTCAAAGCCCATGCTCTAAATTATTACACTGTACTGTCTGCTGTAGAGATTGTTGAAAATGCCAATCCAGGTTCCAGGATAGAATCACCTGTTATTGACTTCTCTGTTTGTACTAGTGATGCTGGTAACCCTGGGATCTTTCACTCGGCTTGACTTTAGAGAAAAATCTGTCTGACCCAGAATTATGAGTTGGAGGCATCCTGGCCTGATTTGCATGACCTCAGTTGTGTAGTTGTGTAGGGTTGTACAAAATGCTGACTTTGAAGGCTCTGGTTCAGGATAGTGTATAACTTTGATGTGAACAAAAAGATCAGCGTGTTGTTTCAAGCACAGCTGTGTAATCAAAGCCACACAGCCTAGATGGATTTCAGCTAATTGGTTCAATGGAAACTTACAGCTGGAATGTGATGGAATGAAGCTGTCTGCTGTTATTCAGGCAAACCAACCTCGGTCACGTTCCCTGGCCACCACTGAAACAAATGTCCTACTTTGTAAAGAGGCACCGAGTGGCGGCACACAAATAGCTAAGCTGTTTAACATTTGCAGACATTCACGGTAATGTATCAGCTGTCAATACGCTGCACACACATTAGGGGGGGATCGTGACAGCATTGCTGACACGCTATTGATTCATGGCACAGGCTGTTTATCTGTGACAAGAAAACATCAGTTGATATTGACAAATCATCTGAAAATACTCACCTACTTGCACTCTATCAAGTTGAGTGAAATACACAGTAAACTGACTGCCGGGAGTCAAGATAGATCCACAGAAAGAGAGTACTCGTCATACATTAGATATTCTCTATAAATACACAGCTCTGGTTTATTGATGATAAAGAAGTAGTTTTCTCACTGTAAGGCCAAAGACTGAATACCAGTTATGTAAATAATAGGAAAGAACAATGAGTGAATTCAGAGTGGGGCTTATTTACAAAATTCTGTCTTTCTCGCTGACCTTAAAAAATGAGTGTGAGAAACTGCCTGGTGTGCAGTGCTAGGCGGGCAAAAGTCTCCAACAGATTAGGAAGATAAAAGTATGCTTTTGTCTGAAAGATCCATGATCAGGGTTGAGGGTTTTTACTTGAGATAATATTTTACAAACACATTACAGGACTTTGCTCACCATTTCCTGTTGGGGTGGCTATTGAAATGCTGCGACATAGCACTAAATATAATGAAAAGAGTAAAGATTTAGTTGGTTAGGTGAGTGAAGATTCAATGCCCCATTCACTCAACCTTTTAAAAGCACTAAGCATTTTAAGTAAGTTTCATAGCCTTTGATCAACAAAAATTTTTAAATTGTGGTGCCGTGCACATTATGTCAAACTACAGTGTTGTATTTAGGTTATCTGAAAAAAGACTGCCATTGGTCTAAAAATACTGTTTCAAAGAATGTATTCACTCATTCAATCAAGATTTATTGAGCATCTACTGTTTGTCATGCACTCCGCTGGGTGGAAGAGATATAGCTGAGAACAGGAAACAAATTCCTTACTTCATGGGTTTATTTTCTAGTTTTGAGGGGAGACAAAAATATTAAACAAATATTTAAATAACTTCAAGTTGCAATAAGTGACATGTAGGAAACAAAGATAGTTTGAATCAGATCTGCCACATGCAGCAAAAAAAGTCTTCCCTGGTAAGCTTAGCCGTGTTGACCATATCTGAATGTTCATTAAGTCTTCCATGGACTCATGTACCCATAGTGATATGGGGTTAGGGAAGACAACTTGTATCTACTATGTGCCATGCACTGTAGTAGGTGCTGTTAGAAAGATTAAGGATTGTGAGTAGCAGCTTGGCAGGCGGAGCTCAGGATGTAAATGAAGACAGAATATCTTTAGTTTAAAACCTGCCTCTACTATATTCTACTACTGTGACCCTGGGAAAGTCACTTAAACTCGCTGAGCTTCAGTTTCCTCATTTATAAAATGGAGATCACATTTTGCTGGGTTGAAGTAAGGATTAAATGAGATATTATGTGTGCAATATGTGGTACATAAGAGGTGATCAATTAATTTATTGAATGTTTATAATCTTCTGATATGGTTGGTACCAAGTACCACTATACTATGTTTGAGGATCTCAAAGACTATGCAACTTATTTAAATGCTTGGTGCTTTTAAAATGTCAAATAAATGCGGCATTGGATCCTCATCTAACTGATTTAATTTTTAACCTTTTCATTATATTTAATACTATGTCATAGTAATTCAATAATATTTGCTCCTAATTATTCTTAGCACCACTGTAACCATGGCCTCCACCATGACCGCCACTGTCACCATGTCCTCCACCATGACTGCCACTGTCACCACCTCTGCACCTCCAATAGGCCTGTTTCTATAAGCACGTTCCCTTTGTTGAGCCCCTCTGATATGCCAGACAATATGCTACACTGTGAAACATATTATCTCATATAATTCTCACAACAATCCCATGTGATAATGTAAAAACCTCTCATGCTATAGATGGAAAAATGGAAGCCCTCTCTGTATTAAGAAATTAATTCTGGATATTAGCCCTTTGTCAGATGGGTAGATTGTAAAATTTTCTCCTATTCTGTAGGTTGCCTGTTCACTCTGATGGTAGTTTCTTTTGCTGTGCAGAAGTTCTTTAGTTTAATTAAACCCCATTTGTCAATTTTGGCTTTTGTTGCCATTGCTTTTGGTGTTTTAGACATGAAGTCCTTGCCCATGCCTATGTCCTGAATGGTATTGCCTAGGTTTTCTTCTAGGGTTTTTATGGTTTTAGGTCTAACATGTAAGTCTTTAATCAATCTTGAATTAATTTTTGTATAAGGTGCAAGGAAGCAATCCAGTTTCAGCTTTCTACATATGGCTAGCCAGTTTTCCCAGCACCATTTATTAAATAGGGAATCCTTTCCCCATTTCTTGTTTTTGTCAGGTTTGTCAAAGATCACATGGGTGTAGATGTGTGGTATTATTTCTGAGGGCTCTCTTCTGTTCCATTGGTCTATATCTCTGTTTAGGTAACAGTACCATGCTGTTTTGGTTACTGTAGCCTTGTAGTATAGTTTGAAGTCAGGTAGCGTGATGCCTCCAGCTTTGTTCTTTTGGCTTAGGATTGTCTTGGCAATGCAGGCTCTTTTTTGGTTCCATATGAACTTTAAAGTAGTTTTTTCTAATTCTGTGAAGAAAGTCATTGGTAGCTTGATGGGGATGGCATTGAATCTATATTGATTCTTTTCACGATATTGATTCTTCCTATCCATGAGCATGGAAAGTTCTTCCATTTGTTTGTGTCCTCTTTTATTTTGTTGAGCAGTGGTTTGTAGTTCTCCTTGAAGAGGTCCTTCACATCCCTTGTAAGTTGGATTCCTAGGTATTTTATTCTCTTTGAAGCAATTGTGAATGGGAGTTCACTCATGATTTGGCTCTCTGCATGTCTGTTATTGGTGTATAAGAATGCTTGTGATTTTTGCACATTGATTTTGTATCCTGAGACTTTGCTGAAGTCAATTATCAGCTTAAGGAGATTTTTGGCTGAGACGATGGGGTTTTCTAAATATACAATCATGTCATCTGCAAACAGGGATAATTTGACTTCCTCTTTTCCTAATTGAATACCCTTTATTTCTTTCTCCTGCCTGATTGCCCTGGCCAGAACTTCCAACACTATGTTGAATCGGAGTGGTGAGAGAGGGCATCCCTGTCTTGTGCCAGTTTTCAAAGGGAATGTTTCCAGTTTTTGCCCATTCAGTATGATATTGGCTGTGGGTTTGTCATAAATAGCTCTTATTAGTTTGAGATATGTCCCATCAATACCTAGTTTATTGAGAGTTTTTAGCATGAAGTGCTGTTGAATTTTGTCAAAGGCCTTTTCTGCATCTATTGAGATAATCATGTGGTTTTTGTCTTTGGTTCTGTTTATATGCTGGATTACATTTATTGATTTACATATGTTGAACCAGCCTTGCATCCCAGGGATGAAGCCCACTTGATCATGGTGGATAAGCTTTTTGATGTGCTGCTGGATTCAGTTTGCCAGTATTTTACTGAGGATTTTTGCATCGATGTTCATCAGGGATATTGGTCTAAAATTCTCTTTTTTGTTGTTTTTGTTGTGTCTCTGCCAGACTTTGGTATCAGGATGATGCTGGCCTCATAAAATGAGTTAGGGAGTATTCCCTCTTTTTCTATTGATTGGAACAGTTTCAGAAGGAATGGTACCGGCTCCTCTTTGTACCTCTGGTAGAATTCAGCTGTGAATCCATCTGGTCCTGGAGTTTTTTTGGTTGGTAGGCTCTTAATTATTGCCTCAATTTCAGAGCCTGTTATTGGTCTATTCAGGGATTCAAGTTCTTCCTGGTTTAGTCTTTGGAGGGTGTATGTGTCCAGGAATTTATCCATTTCTTCTAGATTTTCTAGTTTATTTGCGTAGAGGTGTTTATAGTATTCTCTGATGGTAGTTTGTATTTCTGTGGGATCGGTGGTGATATCCCCTTTATCACTTTTTATTGCATCTATTTGATTCTTCTCTCTTTTCTTCTTTATTAGTTTGGCTAGCGATCTATCAATTTTTTTGATCTTTTCAGAAAGCGAGCTCCTGGATTCATTGATTTTTTGAAGGTTTTTTTTGTGTCTCTATCTCCTTCAATTATGCTCTGGTCTTAGTTATTTCTTGTCTTCTGCTAGCTTTTGAATGTGTTTGCTCTTGCTTCTCTAGTTCTTTTAATTGTGATATGAGGTGTCAATTTTAGATCTTTCCTGCTTTCTCTTGTGGGCATTTAGTGCTATAAATTTCCTGCTACACACTGCTTTAAATGTGTCCCAGAGATTCTGGTGTGTTGTGTCTCTGTTCTCATTGGTTTCAAAGAACATCTTTATTTCTGCCTTCATTTCATTATGTACCCAGTAGTCATTCAGGAGCAGGTTATTCAGATTCCATGTAGTTGAGCGGTTTTGAGTGAGTTTCTTAATCCTGAGTTCTAGTTTGATTGCACTGTGGTCTGAGAGACAATTTGTTATAATTTCTGTTCTTTTACATTTGCTGAGGAGAGCTTTACTTCCAACTATGTGGTCAGTTTTGGAATAGGTGTGGAGTGGTGTTGAAAAAAATGTATATTCTGTTGATTTGGGGTGGAGAGTTTTGTAGATGTCTATTATGTCCACTTGGTGCAGAGCTGAGTTCAATTCCTGGGTATCCTTTTTAAATTTCTGTCCCGTTGATCTGTCTAATGTTGACAGTGGGGTGTTAAAGTCTCCCATTATTATTGTGTGGTAGTCTAAGTCTCTTTGTAGGTCACTCAGAACTTGCTTTATGAATCTGGGTGCTCCTGTATTGGATGCATATATATTTAGGATAGTTAGCTCTTCTTGTTGAATTGATCCCTTTACCATTATGTAATGGCCTTCTTTGTCTCTTTTGTTCTTTGTTGGTTTAAAGTCTGTTTTATCAGAGACTAGGATTGCAACCCCTGCCTTTTTTTGTTTTCCATTTGCTTGGTAGATCTTCCTCCATCCTTTTATTTTGAGCCTATGTGTGTCTCTGCAAGTGAGATGGGTTTCCTGAATACAGCACACTGATGGGTCTTGACTGTTTATCCAATTTGCCAGTCAGTGCCTTTTAATTGGAGCATTTAGTCCATTGACATTTAAAGTTAATATTGTTATGTGTGAATTTGATCCTGTCATTATGATGTTAGCTGGTTATTTTGCTCATTAGTTGATGCAGTTTCTTCCTAGCCTCAATGGTCTTTACAATTTGGCATGATTTTGCAGTGGCTGGTACTGGTTGTTCCTTTCCATGTTTAGTGCTTCCTTCAGGAGCTCTTTTAGGGCAGGCCTGGTGGTGACAAAATCTCTCAGCATTTGCTTTTCTGTGAAGTATTTTATTTCTCCTTCACTTATGAAGCTTAGTTTGGCTGGATATGAAATTCTGGGTTGAAAATTCTTTTCTTTAAGAATGTTGAATATTGGCCCCCACTCTCTTCTGGCTTGTAGAGTTTCTGCTGAGACATCCGCTGTTAGTCTGATGGGCTTCCCTTTGTGGGTAACCTGACCTTTCTCTCTGGCTGCCCTTAACATTTTTTCCTTCATTTCCACTTTGGTGAATCTGACAATTATGTGTCTTGGTGTTGCTCTTCTCGAGGAGTATCCTTGTGGCATTCTCTGTATTTCCTGAATGTGAATGTTGGCCTGCCTTGCTAGATTGGGGAAGTTCTCCTGGATAATATCCTGCAGAGTGTTTTCCAACTTGATTCCATTCTCCCCGTCACTTTCAGGTACACCAGTGAGACGTAGATTTGGTCTTTTCACATAGTCCCATATTTCTTGGAGGCTTTGTTTGTTTCTTTTTATTCTTTTTTCTCTAAACTTCCCTTCTCGCTTCATTTCATTCATTTCATCTTCCATCACTGATCCCCTTTCTTCCCGTTGATCTCATTGGCTCCTGAGGCTTCTGCATTCTTCACGTAGTTCTCAAGCCTTGGCTTTCAGCTCCATCAGCTCCTTTAAGCACGTCTCTGTATTGGTTATTCTAGTTATACATTCCTCTAAATTTTTTTCAAAGTTTTTAACTTCTTTGCCTTTGGTTTGAATTTCCTCCTGTAGCTTGGAGTAGTTAAGGGGTCAGGGAGTTCCCTTTCATAGTCAAAGAAAGGGGTGATAGATGGCACCTGGAAAATAGGGTCACTCCCACCCTAATACTGTGCTTTTCTGACGGGCTTAGAAAACGGCGCACCAGGAGATAATATCCCGCACCTGGCTCAGAGGGTCCTATGCCCAGGGAGTCTGGCTGATTGCTAACACAGCAGTCTGAGATCAAACTGCAAGGAGGCAGCGAGGCTGGGGGAGGGGCGCCCGCCATTGCCCAGGCTTGCTTAGGTAAACAAAGCAGCTGGGAAGCTCGAACTGGGTGAAGCCCACCACAGCTCAAGGAGGCCTGCCTGCCTCTGTAGGCTCCACCTCTGGGGGCAGGGCACAGACAAACAAAAAGACAGCAGTAACCTCTGCAGACTTAAATGTCCCTGTCTGACAGCTTTGAAGAGAGCATTGGTTCTCCCAGCACGCAGCTGGAGATCTGAGAACGGGCAGACTGCCTCCTCAAGTGGGTCCCTGACCCCTGACCCCTGAGCAACCTAACTGGGAGGCACCCCCCAGTAGGGGCAGACTGACCCCTCACAGGCCGGGTACTCCTCTGAGACAAAACTTCCAGAGGAACAATCAGACAGCAGCATTCACGGTTCACAAAAATCCGCTGTTCTGATGCCACCGCTGCTGATACCCAGGCAAACAGGGTCTGGAGTGGACCTCTAGCAAACTCCAACAGACCTGCAGCTGAGGGTCCTGTCTGTCAGAAGGAAAACTAACAAACAGAAAGGGCATCCACAACAAAAACCTATCTGTACATCACCATCATCAAAGATCAAAAGTAGATAAAACCACAAAGATGGGGAAAAAACAGAGCAGAAAAACTGGAAACTCTAAAAAGCAGAGCGCCTTTCCTCCTCCAAAGGAACGCAGTTCCTCACCAGCAATTGAACAAAGCTGGACAGAGAATGACTTTGACGAGTTGAGAGAAGAAAGCTTCAGAGGATCACAGAAAATGTAAGTTTATACTTAGAGTAAGAATGGATGCTTTCATAAAGTTTATTCTGTGTCAGACACTGTTCTAAGGGCTTTACATACATTAACTCATTTGATCCCTACAATTTGCAGAAAACATTATATTCTTTCTTGCCAGATAAAGAGACTGAGACATAAGAGGTTAAGTATCTTGCACAATTCATGAGTAGAGGAAGTCAGAGACTGAATCCGGATTCTCTGGCTCCATAGTCAATGTGCTATACAGTCAACCAGTCTACATACTACAGCATAAGTATCAATACAGGAAGGGAAAATATGGCAAAAATAGGAAGGATGCTACTCAAAAGACACTGCCCTAAGTTTTTTTTTTGGAATTACAGATTTGTGTCTTAGTTAAATCTTTGCCTGGAATAAAAGGTGCCTGCTCAAAAAATGATGTCATAGGTGAACAAATGAATGAATTTGTTTTCTATATCACAACCAGTGGCACCTCTCTAAAGCTCAAATTATATCATTTAACTCTTCTGCTTAAACTCCTTTAGTGGCTTCCTATGAAGGTTGTCAGATTAAGTAAATACAAACACAGAATACCCAGTTATTTGGATTTCAAATAAACAATGATTTTTTAATAGTATGTTTTTAATAATAATTAAGACATATTTATACCGAAAAAGTTATTTGTTGTTTATTTGAAATTCACATTTAGCTGGGCCTTCTACATTTTATCTGGCAACCTTGCTCTCAATTGCCCTCAGAATAATGTTCAAATTATTTAATTGCTTTGGAGTTTGTGATGTGCTTGTAGCTTATTTCTTCAACCTCTTGAGGTTTTTACACCATTCCCCACTTAGACTTTATGTTCTAGACATGCCTGAATATTTGCAGTTCCCTGAACGAATCTTTTTCTCTGAACTTCTGGCCTTTTCACAGGATATTCTCTTATTCTTACCATTCTTTACCTAACTTTTTTGTTAGATCAGATAAGAAGTCGCTCCTCCAAAATGTAGGTTAGGAGCAACCATGCCTTCCTCTTTTCCAAGCAGAGTTCCCATTACACTGTCTAGTAATAGTCAGATAAACAATTTTAATTGTTTGTCTCTCTCTAGACTTCAGGCTCTTTGAAGGTAGGGGGATATCCATCTTGCTCAATGTTGCATCCTTTTGTCTGCCTGGCACATAATAGAATCTGAAGCAATATTTGGTGAATAAAGTGATCTCAAAAGTGTAATTATGGAGAAAGTTAGAGTCTCCTTGCCCACTTTGTTTATTCAGAAAACAAGGAGCCAACAAAGTATTCGTAATAAAGTGACTATTGGTGCATATGTGTATTCTGCATGTTTTGCCCATGTCAGATCCATTTTTTACATGAATATATTTAACATTATTACAAAGTTTTAAAATTTTGTGTCTCAGGTAAGCTATACATGATTGGCTCCTTTCAGCAGCAGTGTCTGTGTGGTTAAAATCAATGGTATAAAAATTATGGCTTTAATCATTCTGATAAATCATTGTAACTTTAGAGCTTATTTATCAATTTCTACAGAATTTAATATCAAGATGTAGTTTACCCAGCTGATTCTGTTTGCTTATTGGCAACCTTTATATAGTCTGAATGTATAAGACGATGATGAACACCACATAAAATCCATACTGTATAGTACTAGTGCTGAGCAACTCAAGGCCTCTCAGGGATTTTCCTAGCAAATCTTATCCTAGAACTTAGACTGATCAGTAAGCAATCATTAATGTAGCCATTTTTCATGGAGGACTACTGTACAGTCATTTGCGATTGTGCTATGCTAATGTGGATCTGGCATTTTCATCATGCAGTTCACTGAATACGAACTTGCCAAATTGTTCTTTTCTATCAAGCTCAAGTTTCACCCAAATCAACACGAACTTTTTCCATGAATTTAGAAAATGGCAACTGGGCAGCCCATGCTACTTGACTCTGGAGGCGGGGCTCAGACACCAGGCCAAATAGAGAACGAGCTAAAACAGGTCCAGCGGGGGAAACAGCTTTCCATAAGGCAAACCCCACCAGTGGACCACATTAGTTTGCCATTGCCATGGCAACATCTGGAAGTTGCTGCCTTATTCTATAATAATGACCAAACAACTTGAAGTTGTCACTCTTTTCCTAGGAATTTCTGCATATAATTTAAAGTAGGTATAAATATGCATGCAGACATGCCTTTGAGCTGCCACTCTGGGCACACTGCCTATGGGGTAGTCCTACTCTGCAAGGAGCAGTATCTCTGCTGGCTGCTGTTCACTGCTGCTTCAATAAAAGTTGCTGTTTAACACCACCAGTTCACCCTTGAATTCCTCACTGGGCAAAGCCAAGAACCCCTGGGTAGAGCCAAAAACCCTCCCAGGCTAAGCCTCAATTTTGGGCCTTTCTTGTCCTGCATCACTACCAGTTCCTTTCTGGATAATAAAGCTGGCTTCAAATAGAGAGTATAGAATTTTGAGTCAAAGATCACTCTGAAGACTTTCTGCTTTTGTTAGTCTTTGAGACTCCTCTACCTTCTTTGTAAAATGGAACTAATAATATGAATTTTTGGAAAAGTTGTTTTAGGTTTCTAACCTTTTAAAGATATTTTAAGCTCAGCCATTATCATCAGAAAATGTTGTTTGTCTGCCTGTGTTTTTTGTCTGCCTACTGCCTGCCCACTTCTCTGCCTCTCTTTTATGTGCTTGGAAGTACACATGCACACACACACACCCCTGGAAAATTTGAATGGAAACACCTCTGGTACCCATGGAAAAAGTACTGGCTCAAACCATCCATAGCTTAGCTGAATATTAGGGAAGCCAGCCTCCTCTGTACTGCTTTCACATTACTCCACTTTAGGATGTCTAAATATTAGCAAGTCTAGTGAGCAGATCACCTTATTTCTAATTGTTATTCCAAGTGATATCAAATGAACTTGATGAGGGTCTTGATTAACAGCTGATGAGAATGTAACCACTATCCTTCTACATCTTCATATGTCTCAACACTGAAGTTCTAATACTTAAAAAGTGTTATGCATGTCTATTTCTTGCAGCCTTAAAAAACCTGCTGAAAATACAATTGTCTAAAATTTTATTGCCAGAACTGACAACTGGGAAAAAATATATGATTAATAATATTTATAGTAATTTGTTTCTAATAATGAAAAATTTGAAATAACAGAAACATCAAAAACTGGTGGAAATTAGTGGCTATGCTTTACAAATTTTATCATTGAGCAGGGCCATCAGAATCTTACTCTAATAAAGCTATATGCTGGGAAGCCCCTGGATTCACCTGGCTACACTGAGGACCAAGTGGATTAACAGCTTGAGATGTACCTGAAGTCCATTCATGGCATGCTGACTGGAAAGTTCTAAACTAAAGCATTTGCTTACAATGGGGTATTTTAATTAGCAAAAATGGTCATATAAATCTAAATGAAAAGATTTCTACAGCAGATTGCATAGGAAAAAAGGTTACAGTTAAGTATATATAGTTTACACAATTTATGCATATGTGCATGCCTGAACAGCTGTTTGGAGTGAGTCAGCAATATCATATTATGAAGTGATAGGATTCTGGGTTCTAATTTAAATATATATATATTTGTTATATAAAAATTTTTACCAGTGTTTGCTGCATTTACTGTGGGAATGAAGACCATTCTCGGCAGACTGTTGATATTTCAGAAAATGTCAACACCACTCTGAAGGGATGCGTAGTTTTTGTGAAGGGCCCCAGAGGAAACCTGCAGAGAGACTTCAGTCACATCAATGTAGAACTTAGTCTCCTTGGAAAGGAAAAGAAGAGGCTCAAGGTTGACAAAAGGGGGGAAATAGAAAGTGGCTACCGTTTGTGCTATTCATAGTAGCATACAGAACATGATCAAAGGTGTTACACTGGACTTCCATTACAATATGAGGTCTGTGTATGCTCACTTCCCCATCAATGTCATTATCCCTGAGAATAGGTCTCTTTTTGAAATCAGACATTTCTTGGATAAGGCCGGGTGAGGTGGCTCATGCCTGTAATCCCAGCACTTTGGGAGGCCAAGGCAGGAGGATCTCCTGAGGTCAGGAATTCGAGACCAGCCTGGCCAACATGGTGAAACCCCGTCTCTACTAAAACTACAAAAAAATTAGCCAGGCATGCTGACAGACGTCTGTAATCCCAGCTACTCGAATGGCTGAGAATCACTTGAACCCAGGAGGCTGAGGTTGCAGTGAGCTGAGATCACGCCATTACACTCCAGCCTGGGCAACAAGAGTAAAACTCCATCTCAAATATATATATATATTTCCACAGGGTTCAGATGAGGCCAGGTGTTGCTTGTTCAGTATATCTCAAGCCCAGAAAGATGACTTAATCCTGGAAGGAAATGACATTGAACTTGTTTCAAATTCAGCTGCTTTGATTCAGCAAGCCACAACAGCTAAAAACAAGAGTATCAGAAAAATTTTGGATGGCATCTATGTCTCTGAAAAAGGGACAGTTCAGCAAGCTGAGTAAGATATAACAGTTGTCTGGTTACATAAACAAGATGCCAGATGATTCCAAAGAACTAACTGTGATATTTAAATGATGCAATAAAAGACCTGTTGATTTGGAAAATAATTACCATTATCAAGTATACTTTTCCCAAAATAATAATCCTATATAACAGGAGAAGTTTCTCACCTACTGTTGTGGTCTTGAGTCTATCCTCCTCCACCCTATTTATTTCCCATCAGGTGATAGACTTGCATTTTGAGAGATCAACTTCACTTTTCTGGGGATGTGTCATGATTAGTTCAAGTGAACTTTGTTAATTCCATTTATTTTATCAGTGATTGATACAAGCAACTCTGTCTAAGGTAATAAGAACATGTCAATTTTCAGTTCACAAGGACTGGCTCAAGTTTGAGGATCTGACTCAGTTTGAAACAGTGAGGTGGAATTAAAGTTTATTAATGGTTTCTGGAAAAGTTTCCTTGCTTTTAAAATAGAGACTCAAAGAATATATTATCTCTTTTTCTATGGATTTTTTTTTTCAGTTGCCGATGTGCCGCTTTGCCTGAGCATTGGATCTAACTAAGAGAATTAAAAAGAAATAGAGTCAGAGTCCCAAATTAAGCACGCCAGTCTTATTTTACTGTTACCAGAACAAATACTTTTCCTTATAGCTTAATGCTGTTTGATTTCATTGCTGTTGAAAGCATTTTAATAGGTTCATCCACTTGATTGGTGGCAAGAATAGAGTTATCCCACCTCCAGGCATCATGTCAAAGATATCTTGTAAGATATGGTGATGTATGTAATGTTTAACATATATATGTTAAAGAAACAAAACAAAAATTTCACAAATTGTTCATCTCAGCATTGTGGAAATGTGCAAGCCATATCTATAATTTTAAAATTTCTAGTTGCCACATTTTAAAAAGTAAATATAAACAGGTAAAATTAAATTAAATAATATATTTTATTTAACCATCATAGATGAAAATCTTTTACACATTTAATCAATACAAAATATTAATGACTTATTGTATTTTGGGGAGCAGTAAGCATGTGATGTCTGTTGTATGTTTTATACTTAGGGCACATCTCCATTTGGGTAGCTGCAGTTTGAGTGCTCAGAAGTCACACGTGGCTAGCATTATTAAATACCATAAGTCGATTTCCACGCTAGTATTTTCTACATGCCAGAAACATCAGCAAGATTGGGAGCCTGTTAGAAATACAATCTTAGTCCCCACCCCAGACTTAGTGAATCAGAATCTGCATTTTAACAAGATTATCAGGTGATTTATTTTTATATTAAAGTTTGAGTAATTATTATTATTATTGTTATTTCTGTTTTCACTATTATTTTGGTATTAGCAGAAATGAACCACTTGTAGCACATTTTATGACTGAGCTATGGCAAACTGGGAGTACAGTCAAGGTATGTTGCAGACAAATACCTGAATGCAGACCTGATCAGGGCTGGCATAAATTCTTCAGACTGCCTAGGCCTTATGCTAGCTCTGAAATGAATGGTGTAAGCCTAATAGTAACAGAAAAGATTGGTTGTAAGCCCCAAGTGAATGGCACAGCTGTAATGTGTTGATGCATTCCTAATCAACAGATTTATTTATACAGCCTTGTTTTGCATGAGAAATATCTGATATGGGATTGTTGGTAAAATATTTACAGTTCTTCAAGTTTTCTTTTGGAGAGATGGGCTTGAAATTGAATGGAACAATGTGAGGTCATCATTAGGCCCTTATCACGTGCCAGGTTTCTGTGCATTTGTTTTGGTTTGATTTCTATCTGCTTTGCATTCTTCTTCATGATAAATGGTACCAAATCATTCGTTAATAATTCCCCATTCAGTGGAAGGGAGAGACCAAAGGATTTTCAGAGATAACATAACTGGTCTTGAATTCCACAGTGGGCATAAACCTTGGTGCATTTGTCTCCTCTATAGTTATTTTTTCTATTCATCTCGAACCTCATCCGAACAGATAACAAACCACTTCATGAACAGATGTGCCACTTATTTATGTAGTTCTGTAATGATAATGAAGAAAATTTAATCTGGAGTGTCTGTAGAAGATGAACTAAAGCCAGATTGGTATGAATAATAAAGGCTCTGTTGGAATGTTGGGCCCCACATGAAAAGCCAATCATTAAGTACTTGACAATGCTGTCTTTCATATAGTCTAATAGTGTGTAGAAACAACCACCTCTCGGGTACTGGACTCCACATGCAGCTACTGTTTCTACAGATGCAAACATTCTAAATTGTTTAGAGCATAAGGGAGCATAAAGGATAATTTTTTTTTTTTTTTTTTTTTTTTTTTTTGCAGCTGGAAGCAACATCTGATGTTGCAAAATGCTGCAAATATGTTAGAGGGATTGCTTTATTCAGACAAATTTAAAATGAACTAAAAAACATGCGTAGCTTAACATTTTTGTTGAAAAGAAACAACAAATTGAGGCCAATTTCCTTCAAAAAACTATGCAAAATTATCTTTTGGGGAATAATTATTTGCTTGAAATCTGCTGCACACTTGACCTTAGTTTTATACATGATGTGTAGTTGTTCTTGGCATACAAAAAAGTGTGGTCTCTGTAGCTGAGAGGCAGTAGTATGTTCAATAAACTCCAAAAGAGATTTGTCATAAGGATTGTTTAATTTTCTCATTTATATAATTCAGTTCAACAAAACAGCAATAACAATAACAATACCGATATAAACTCTGAGAATTTAAGTTTGTCCCATATCCTCAATGTGTTCCCCATTTTCAACACAATCACTTTTTCTTTTGGTGCTTTTGTGTCTTTGTTTTGGAAACGTGGATAAGAATAACAATTTGCTTTATGAATCTATTGACTTACTCTCTATTTTTAATTTATAAGTTGTATTATAAGGAACTTTGATATACCATTTTAATAATGAAAAAATCATTCAGACAGAAAATTAATAAAAAATATTGGATTTGAATATCACTTACCAATAAAATAGACCTAAAAGACATCTACAGAGCATCTTCCCCCAAGAGAACAGAATCCATGTTCTTCCCAAACAGTCAGTGAACATTCTCCAGGATAGATCATACGTTAGGCCAGAATACAAGTCTTAGAAAATTTAACAAAATGGAAATCATATAAAGTACCTTTTCCAACTACAATGGCATATAATTGGAAATCAGTAACAGGAGGAATTTTGGAAAATTCACAAATATAAGGAAATTAAACAATATGCTTTGGAACATTCAATAGATAAATGAAGAAATTAAAAAGCAAAATTTAAAAATTTATTGAGACAAAAAATTGGGAACACAATATGTCACAACTTATGAGATGCAGCAAAAGCAGTTTTAAGAGGAAAGTTTATAGCAATAACATCTACATCAAAAAACAAAAATGATCACAAACACATACAACTGAACATCAGTCAAGGAACTCAGGGAAAGAAAAAAAGAATGAACTATGCCCAATATTAATAGAAGAAAAGAAATAATAAAGATCAGAGCAGAAGTAAATTATAAAATAGAGACTAGAAAAACAATACCAAAGATTAATGAAACAAAGTTAGCTTTTTTAAAGATAAACAAAATTGATAAACCTTTAGCTAGACTAAGGAATAAAAGAGAAGACTCAAATAAATAAAATCAGAAATGAAAGAAGAAGACATTACAACTGACAGCTCAGAAATACAAAGGATCATGAGAGGCTACTATGAACAATTATATTTCAACAAACTGGATAATCTAGAAGAAATGGATAAATTCCTAGACACATATGACCTACTAAGATGGAATTATGAAGAAAGAGAAAATTTGAACAGACTAACAGTGAGCAAGGAGATTGAAAATGTCTTCTATCAAAGAAAAGCCCAGGACCTGATGTCTTCACTGGTGAATTCTACCAAACGTTTAAAGAATATCTAATACCAATACTCCATACACTTTTGCAAAAAATCAAAGAGGAGGAAATACTTCCAAACTCTTTTTATGAGGCTAGCATTACTCTGATTCCAAAGCCAGATAAGAAAATCACAAGAAAAGAAAACTACAGGCCAATATCCTTGGTAAACAGATGCAAAAATCCTCAACAAAATACTAGAAAACCCAATTCTATAACACATTAAAAAGATATTCATCATGATCAAGTGAGATTTTTTTCTGCAATGCAAGAATGCATCAACATTTGTAAATCAATAAATACAATACACCACATTAACAGAAAGACAAAAATCATATGATCATCTCATTAGATGCAGAAAAAGCAGTTGACAAAACTAAACACCTTTTCATGATGAATACATTTAACAAATTAGGTATATAAGGGATATAATTCAACACAATAAAGGCCATGTATAATAAGCCCAAAGCTAACGTGATTCTAATACTTAATGATGACAAATTGGAACCCGCTCCTCTAAGATTCAGAATAAGACAGGAGTACCCACTCTCATCACTACTATTCAACACAGTTGGAAGACCTTGCCAGAAAAATGAGGGAAGAGAAAAAAAATAAAAGGCATCTAAATAAGAATAGAAGTAAAAATGTCATTGTTTGCTGATAACATGAACTTACATATAGAAAACCCTAAAGATTTCAGAAAAAAACTGAGAACTGATAAACAAATTCAATAAAGCTGCAGGTAAAAAATCAACATGCAAAAACTAGTAGCATTTCTTTACACTCACAACAAACTTTCTGAGAAAGAATCAAGACAGCAATCCTACTTATGATAGCTAAAAAAAAATTTAGGAATAAATTTAACTTAAGGAAGTGACCAAGACCTGTACATAGAAAATAATAAAACCTTAATGAAAGAAATTAAAGAGACACAAATAAATGGGAAAATATCCAGTGTTCATCGCATGAAAGAATTAATAAAGTTAAAATATCCGTACTACCTAGCATGATCTATAGATTCAATGAAACACCTACCAAAATTCCAGTGTCATTTTTCATATGGAAAAAAATTCCTAAAATTGATTCAAAACCACAAAACAACTCCAAGCCCCCCAAATAGCCAAGATAATCATGAGCAAAAACAACAAAAACAACAACAAAATTTTAAAAAGCCAACAAAACAAAACAATAGAACAAACCTGAAGTTATCATACCATCTGATTTCAAGCTATACTATGAAGTGGTAATAACCCAAACAGTATGGTATTGGCATAAAAATTAGCACATTGACCAATGGTACAGAATAGAGCACCCAGAAAAAAATCCACACATCTATGGTCAATTGATTTTTGACAAAGGTCACAAGAATATACAATGGCAAAAGGACAATATCTTCAATAAGCAGTGTTGGGAAAACAGAATATTCACAAACAGAAGAATAAAATTAGACCCTTATCTCACTCCATTTGCCTGAAAGTTGCAAAATGGATAAGTGATTTAAACATAAGTTCTGAAAGTGTAAAACAACTAGAAGAAAACATGGAGTAAAACCACACAATATTGGTCTGGGCAATGCTTTTTAAATTTGACCCCTTAAGTACAGGCAACAAAAGCAAAAATTGACAAATGAATTATATCAAAGCAAAAAAGCTTCTGCACAACAAAGAAAAACACAGAATGAAGAGAGAACCTACAGACTGGGAGAAAATATTTGCAAGCTGTACATCTCATAAGAAATTAATGTCCAAAATATGTAAGGAATGCAAACAACTTTATAGACAGAAAACAAATGATCTGATTAAGAAAGGGCAAGGGACCTAAATAGACATTTTCAAAAGAAGATATATGAAAGGCTAATAGATACAAGAAAACATGCTCAACATCACTAATTATTAGGGAGATACAAAGTAAAACCACCATGAGATATCACCTTAAACTGTTGGAATGACTATTATCAAAATGGTGAAAGACAGCAAGTGGTGATGAGGGTGTGGAGAAAAGGGAATCCTTGTACACTGTTGGTGGGAATGTAAATTAGTGCAGCCATTGTGAAAAACAGTATAGAAGTTTCTCAAAAAGCTAAAAATGGAATTGCCATATAATCCACCAATCCTCCTTCTGGGTATTTACCCAAAAGATTTGAAATCTGTGTGTTGATGAGATGCTTGCATTCCCATGTTCATTGTAGCACTATTCACAATAGACAAGTTATAGAATCAAAGTAAATGTCCATTAATGGATGAATGATTAGAGAAAGTGTAGTATATGTAGAATGAAATATTATTCAACCTTTAAAAAGGAAGAAATTCTGTCATGTGCAACAACACAGATGAAATCAGAGAATATCATCTTAAGTGAAATAAGCCAAACACAGAAAGACAAATAGTACATGTTCTCACTTATATGTGGAATCCAAAGCAATTGAACTTATAGAAGCAGAGAGTAGAATGGTGGTTATAGAGGCTGAGGGGTAGGAGGAAGAGGGAGATGATAGTCAAAGGGTACAAAGCCTCAGTTACATAGAAGGAATACATTTGATTTTTTTAAAATCTATTGTGAACTGTGGTGAATATAGCTAATAACAGTACTTTACATTTCAAAGTCAGTAAGAGAAAATTTCAAATGTTCTGAATACAAAAGATATTAAATATTTTAGGTGATGGAGATGTTAATCCATTTGATTTAATCATTTTACATTGTATTCAAAAATCATGGCTGGGCGTGGTGGCTCATGCCTATAATCCCAGCACTTTGGGAGCTGAAGTGGGCAGATCACGAGGTCAGTTCAAGACCAGCCTGGCCAACATGGTGAAATCCGTCTCTACTGAAAATACAAAAATTAGCCAGGAGTGATGGTACACGTCTATAATCCCAGCTACTTGGAAGGATGAGGCAGGAGAATGGCTTGAACCCAGGAGATGGAGGTTGCAGCAAGCCGAGATTGCGCCACGAAACTCCAGCCTGGGTGACAGAGCAAGACTCCACATCGAAAAAAAAATCATAACATTACTTTGTACATTTTACATATATGTATGAATAATTTGTCAATGTACAATAAAAAAGCCTCCACTCCCAAAATCTTTGAATGAGGATAGTGAAAGACAACTTGAAAGTTTCTGGTTGTGGCAACTGATTGGATTGTGATTTCAATAACAGAAATAGAAAATTCAGAGTCAGGAATTTATGCATGTGCATGGAATGATACTAAGTTTGTTTGGATGTTGTTCATTTTGAAGTGCCTTTGTGGGTAAGCAAATTGAAGAATTGCAGAAGTTTTGGAATGTAAGTCCCTGAACACTTGTCAAAGGGCAGAGTAAGAGCTGTAAAATTATATGTTGTAACTGTTATTGTGGTACTTTGGTTTTAGCTTGTAGTACCTGTACAAAATACCCAAACAGAATGTCCTTATGCTACCATATATATTGGCTGTTTTTAACAGCTACTTAGTAATATTTTCAGTGGTTTACTTTAAGTACAATCTTTGGCTTAATATTCTCTTTCTATTTTATCCTTCAGTTATCTTGCTCAATATCAGTTACTTCCTCGAGGCAAACAACCCCAAAGTGAGGGAAAACAAATGAGGTCTTTTGTTGACAAACTACATGGAAAATATCAATGCATGTACATGGTAATAGGGATATTTTTAAGCATTTATTTTGATAGTGCCCAAGTTTCAATGAAAAGAGTAACATAAGATGATGTTGCAAGGGCAATTTGGGACTGGATAAGAAAAAATTGCCAGGCCAAGGATCTTTGGAATTCTTTTCAGTGGATAATAGAAAGCCTTTATAGTTTTAAGCTGGAGAAATTGGATATGTGCTTTAGGGAGATTCATTTGGTCAGAACTTTTAAGATGGGTTGGAGAAGAGAGGCATCGCTGGCACAGATTCTAATTTGTGACTCATGCTAGCCTCAAGGTGGGAAGTAACTGACAAATTAATAACTTTCAATTGTTCTTTCTAGTAGTGATTACAAAACAAAAGCAGGGAACAATTCATAACCATTTATATTTGGCTTTATGCTTTGTAGAGTCATTCTTTCAGTTTGCTTCTGTTTTTACTATGTGTGTGTGTGCTTTTTCTTTTTCTTGCTGTGAGCCACTTCTTACAAATTAGATTTGATATAAAATCAGTTTAAGAAATATCCATTAACTCTTAGGTGTTAAGAGCTGCCCTATGTTATCCAAGTTTAAAAAATTAAAAGAAAGTGGCCTTCTCTTCAAAGAGGTTTAAGTATAGATGGATAGATAAAACATGGATTTTACTAAATAATCGGAAAAAGATTCTATGTTCTTTGCACACCTCAATTCTATTATAGTACTGAAGACAGAGCAGGTGGCCTGAAAGTATGTGAATGAAGGTGGCCAGAATGCCACTACATTTTACATGGAAATTATCCATTTGCAGCTGCAGTTAGAAGATTAATGAGGAAATGGGTGTACACAGAAAACATCTAAATGACCATATTTTTACATTTAGAAAGTGCTGGTGACACAGGCCCACACCATCTGTTGGCTTGGCAGCTGTGACAGTTGACAACATTGCTCAACAAAGAGCCAGGATTCACTTTTGGGAGGATAAATGCACAATTAAGCATGACTGGGGGAGCTTGTGAACATGGGTTAGAGTGGTAAGCCTAGAATAAACTTCTTTGGTTTTTATGTCCATCCAAGGCTTGGAACTCCGAAAAGTCCCCTTCAGCAACATCTTCTTATTTCTCTTCACCCCAAATAAACCCTGATCTTGACCCTCACCACAATCTCAAGGCCTCAAGCCTTTCTTGTCTAGGTTCCCATGCCTCTCTATTCAACTAAACCTCCTTTATAACCCAACACAGTTTTCGCAGCCTTAACTTCTGCCCAATACATTTGTCAATCTCCAATTCTGAATAAACTCCATTCTCAATGTTCTTGAAACATCTATGTTTGTTTACTGCTAAGTACATTTGTGGGAAGGTGATACGGTTTGGCACTGTGTCCCCACCCAAATCTCATGTCGGTTCATAATTGAGGGAGGGATCTGTAATCCACATGTGTTGAAGGAGGAAGGTAATTAGATCATGGGGGCGATTTCCTCCATTCTGTTCTTGTGATATTGAGTGAGTTCTCATGAGATTTGATAGTTTTATAAGTGTTTGAAAGTTCCTCCTTCACATTTCTCTCTTGCCTGCCACCTTGTGAAGAAGGTGCTTGCTTCTCCTTGCATCCTCCATGATTGTAAGTTTCCCGACACCTCCCCAGCCATACAGGTAAGTCAATTAAACTTCTTTCCTTTATAAATTATCTAGTTTCAAGGAAGTTCTTTACAGCAGTGTAAAAACAGACTAATACAGAGGATAAATTTATGAGTGAATCTATTTTAATTTCACATAGACATACCAGTAAGACTATTAGTCTGAATCCCTTATCTGTAAATCTAATACTAAATCTGATACTACCTTCCGAAAATTAAGTGGTTTTGTGATTTACCTGGTGACAAAATCTGGCATAGCTTGAACTAATCTGTTAACAATCCCTTAATCTGAACTGACCTAGGGCTATCATTTACTTAGTTCTCTTGGTGCAAATACTAATATTTCACTGAAGAAATATGTGATTGCAAACTCATTCCTTTTATCATTTTTGAGATGACACATATGTTATTTTTATGTCATTATGTCTGTAAAACAAAAATATGGATTCTGAAGTGTATACGGTCTCAAAGTTTATTTAACTTTTGGAGGGGGACCTGAATGCATTTAACTTTATGGGTTACAAATACTTCCATGTGTTACCTTGGGTAATCCTTACAATAATCCTGAGATGTTATTAATGCATTACTGCAACCATTTTCTTTAGATGCAATGACCGAGGTTTAAAAAATGTGAAGTCTCTAATTATATAGCTAGTAAGCAAGAGAGCTAGGATTTGAAACTGGGTGTTTTTTCTAGTTCCATGCTATTTCAGAATTTTTCCTCTAATAGTTTCTGTCTATTTTTATTATAAAATTAATCAGAGGTTTTAGTAGAAAGTGAAAAATCTGAAAACTAGAAATAAAGAAATCAAAACCACTCACAACTTAGAAATAACATTGTTGTGAACATTGTGTTACTTTTTTGATCTGTGCATTCATAATATATCTTAAACAAAATTGGTATATCCATATGTAGTATTTTTTATTTTTACTCACCTAAATTATACACACATTCTAATGGCATTAAATTATCTTCTGCATCACAATTTTCTCTATTTTCTTTGAGCCTCTGGTGCAGAGAATTCAGGGTGCATTCCCACTTTCAAAATTTGTAGGGTCCTCCTCATTCCTGGTCCCCACTCCTATTCTACCTCACTCCTCCCACCCCCACCTTTATAGACACTCATTCTCACGTGTCTGATAGATGACCCTAGATATATGGATATTTATATGAAACAAATGTTATATAGATTAAAAATTTCATGTTTTCCAAACTAAATCATAATATGTTAAGGATGGGGGCTCATTTCTAATAATTTTTACTCATAGTGTATTTTTTAGATGGATTTATAATTTTTTTTTTTTTTTGAGAAGGAGTCTCATTCTGTCACCCAGGTGGGAGTGCAGTGCCTGATCTCGGCTCACTGCAACCTCCGTTGCCTGGGATCAAGCGATTCTCCTGCCTCAGCCTCCCGAGTAGCTGGGACTACAAGCACATGCCATCACACCTGGCTAGTTTTTTGTATTTTTAGTAGAGATGGGGGTTCGCCATGTTGGCCAAGCCTGTCCCAAACTCCTGACCTCAGGTGATCTGTCTGCCTCGGTCTCCCAGAGTGCTGGGATTACAGGCGTGAGCCACTGCCCCTGGCCTGGATTTGTGATTTTTTAAAACTGTGGTTAACTGTTTCATAGTATCCATGGTGATTATTTATCACCATTATTTAATTGGTAGATACTTCATAATTATAAACAATGCTGTGAGGGATATCTCTGAACATGTTGCCCTATGAATCTGAGTAAGAATCTCTGGGCGAGCCAAATCATGAGTGAATTCCTATTCACAATTGCTACAAAGAGAATAAAATATCTAGGAATACAACTGACAAGGGATGTGAAGGACCTGTTCAATGAGAACTACAAACCACTGCTCAAGGAAATAAGACAGGACACAAACAAATGGAAAAAACATTCCATGCTTATGGATAGGAAGAACCAATATCATGAAAATTATATTGGGCCTCAGAATCAATATCATGAAACAATAGAATCAATATCATGAGAATCAATATCATGAAATATCAAAAGTCAATATCATGAAAATGATATTGGGCCATACTGCCCAAAGTAATGTATAGATTCAGTGCTATCCCCAATCAAGCTACTGTTGACTTTCTTCACAGAATTAGAAAAAATTACTTTAAATTTCACATAAAACCAAAAAAAGCCCGTATAGCCAAGACAATCCTAAGCAAAAAGAACAAGGTGGGAGGCATCATGCTATCTGACTTCAAACTATACTACAAGGCAACAGTAGCCAAAACAGCATGGCATTGGTACCAAAACTTATATATAGACCAATGGAACAGAACAGAAGCCTCAGAAATAATGCCACACATCTACAACCATCCAATGTTTGACAAACCTGACAAAAACAAGCAATGAGGAAAGGATTCCCTATTTAATAAATGATGTTGGGAAAACTGGCTAGCCATATTCAGAAAACTGAAACTGGACCCCTTCCTTACAACTTATGCAAGAATTAACTCAAGATGGATTAAAGACTCAAACATATGACCTAAAGCCATAAAGACCCTAGAAGAAAACCTAGGCAATACCATTCAGGACATAGGCATGGGCAAAGACCTCATGACTAAAACACCAAAAGCAATGGTAACAAAAGCCAAAACTGACAAATGGGATCTAATTAAACTAAAGAGCTTCTGCATAGCGAATGAAACTATCATCAGTATGAACAGGCAACCTACAGAATGGGAGAAAATTTTTGCAATCTATCCATCTGACAAAGGGCTAATATCCAGAATTTACAAAGAACTTAAACAAATTTACAAGAAAAAAACAAACAACCTCATCCAAAAGTAGCCAAAGGATATGAACAGACACTTCTGGGGCCAACAAACATATGAAAAAAGCTCATAATCACTGGTCATTAGAGAAATGCAAATCAAAACCACAATGAGATACCATCTCATACCAGTTAGAATGGCGATCATTAACAAGTCAGCAAACAACAGATGCTGGAGAGAATGTGGAGAAATAGGAATGCTTTTACACTGTTGGTGGGAGTGTAAATTAGTTCAACCATTGTGGAAGACAGTGTGGTGATTCCTCAAGGATCTAAAATCAGAAATACCATGTGACCCAGCAATCCCATTACTTGGTATATACCCAAAAGATTATAAATCATTCTACTGCAAACACACATGCACACATATGTTTATTGCAGCACTGTTCATAATAGCAAAGACTTGGAACCATCCCAAATGCCCATCAATGATAGACTGGATAAAGAAAATGTGGCACATATAGACCATGGAATACTATGCAGCCATAAAAAAGGATGAGTTCATTTCCTTTGCAGGGACATGGACCTTGAGAGCTTGTTTGAAGGTTCTAGCAGGAGAGCACAGCTACTCGTGTACCCTTGACCAAAGACTGGTCCTCGTCTATCAGGGATGATCGTCCTCTTTGACAGAGCGCGCAGCTTTGGGAGGGACGCACGTGGAGCGGTGAGAGAGGAAGGGGACACCCACCTAGCCAGCCAGATCAGCTGTATCAACCCTGGCGATCAATGGGGTGACAAATGTCGCAGCCAGATTGCCCTCACATCCTGCAGGGACATGGATGAAGCTGGAAACCATCGTTCTCAGCAAATTAACACAGGAACAGAAAAATCAAACACCACGTGTTCTCCCTCATAAGTGGGAGTTGAACAATGAGAACACATGGACATAAGGAGGGGGACATCACACACTGGGGCCTGTCAGGGGATGCAGGGTTAGGGGAGGGATAGGATTAGGAGAAATACCTAATGTAGATGACAAGTTGATGAGTGCAGCAAACCACCATGGCACATGTATACCTGTGTAACAAACCTGCACGTTCTGCCAATGTATCCCAGAACTTAAAGTAAGATAATAATATTAATAAAAAATAAGATAAATTAAAAATAGGAGAAATACGTTTTGAGACCTATGGAACAGCAGGGTGACAAAAAAAAAAAAAAGAATCTCACTGGGCTCTGTACTTAGAGCATGATTTCCCAGTCGTAGGGCATACACAGTCGAATTTCTACAAGTAATGCCAGATTGTTTTTTTTTGACACATGTGCCACTTAAGCCTCTCATAAGCAATGCCGAAGGATGTTCATTTCACTAACTCTAGGAATGACCCAGGTTTTGAAACTTTTTGAAATCTTGTGAGTGTCAAATGGGATATCATTCTAATTTGCATTTCTCAGTGCCAGTGAATTTATGAAAATCTTTATATTCTGTTCATCCATCTGTGGTGCCTTATCTACAAATTGCTATTTCATACCCTTTGCGCATTTTCAATTGAATTTCTGTCTTTTAAAAAATTTATATTCAGTTGCTTACATAAATGTGACATATTTCATTTTATGGAAGTGTTAAAATTTATTTATTTATGTATTTATTTATGTATTTATTTATTTATTTATTTATTTATTTTTTGAGATGGAGTCTCGCTCCATCACCAGGCTGGAGTGCAGTGGTGTGATTTCTGCTCACTGCAACCTCCACTTCCCCGGTTCAAGCAAGTCTCCTGCCTCAGCCTCCCAAGTTGCTGGGATTACATGTGTGTGCCACCATGCCCAGCTAGTTTTTGTACTTTTAGTAGAGATGGGGTTTCACCATGTTGGTCAGGCTGTTCTGGATCTCATGACCTCGTGATCTGCCCACCTCGGCCTCCCAAAGTGCTGGGATTACAGGCGTGAGCCACCGCGCCCGGCCCTACAGTTTATTTTACCTATTTCCTTGGTTGAATATTTTGATTGGATTCATTGGTTGACACTTTATATAATGGTGCCATGAGTATTTCAGTACATTTGTATATACCTCTATTTAGTTCTTAAACCATTTTTTTTAAAGAAAAAGAAAAAGAAGTACTGAGATTCAATAGTTCACGTTTGTTTAAAGTGTTAGGTAGGTTATAAGAAATTAGTTTGCATCAATGCACACAGTGTATGAGACTTCCTAATTTCCCAAACCCTTGCCAACCTTGACTAGTATCTTTATCTGAATAATTACTAATTGTTAAGTTAGTATCTTTGAGTTTCAATTAGCATTTCTTCAGTAACTAATACATTGACTATCATGCTATCAAACTCTTTATTGATGTGCCAGTAACACAGGATTTTAATTATGCATATTAAAGATTTGCTTTTATACTGTATAGAGCTGGTCTCCCTCTTTACTGTTTTTTTTTTTGGCCAGAATTTTCCTGTATATTCTTCTTTATTTTTTCATTTGAATTTTAGAATTAGTTTTTCTGGTCTCCTCTTATGAAGTTCAGTGAGTTTTGTTTCTGTTTTAGGATTTCGGTTAAATGTATATATTACTTTTGACAGGATTGAATCTACAATATTGAGCTTTTCTAACCAAGAACATGACATCTCTTCAATTAGCTTAAGCCCTCTTTATTCTTCAAGACCCTTCAAATTTGCTTCATATAGATCCTTCATATTTCTCACTTAGTGTATTTCTAGGTGCTATATCTTTTTTTAGAAGGAGGGAAGAAGAATTGCAATTTTTAATGAGATTTATTCCCCCATCATAACTTCTAAGTTGTTTGTATATATTAAGACTATTGATTCCTTGTATTAGTCGTGTATACTGAACTCCTTATTAAATTCTATTATTTTTTGTAATTGCTTTCCTGTTAATTTGCATAACTGGAAATATAATGTCACTGTTTGTAATAATACCATCTGCAAATAATGGTAATTTTGACTCCTTTACAATTTTTTTCTCTTTAGTTGTTGTTGTTGTTGTTTTCTGTTTCCTAGTTGCATTTCCAATACTCCAGAAAAAGGTTAAATAATAATAGTGGCTACACACGCCTTTGTTTTATTTGTGATTCTGAGAACACTTCAAGTGCTTCCTCACATTTTGAGATAGCATATGTTATGATATTAGACAGTAACCATTTATTCTTATCTTAATAAATAATTTTTGATTTTTAAAGAAATAATTTTTATTTTGTTAAAAAGTTTTTCAGCATCTATGAAGATAAATACAATTCTTTTTATATATATTAGACATTTTAATTAATATTCTAAAGTTTACCTGCACTTTCATTCCTGGAATAAGCTCTGCTTTGCCATGATTTATAATTATTTGAATGTATTTCTGGATTCTGTCACTTAATATTGTATTTATGATTTTATTTATTTAGAATTTTAAAGTGATATTTATAAGTAAGATTGACATATAGGTTGATTTCATCTAACATTTCTGAACTTTTGATTTCAAAGTTTTGTTTATTTCATTAAAAATTATTCAGATGCACATGGGTGGAATTTTAGAAGTTATGCTAACTGAAATAAGCCAAACACAGAAAGACAAATACTACATGTTCTTACTTACATGTAGAATCTAAAACAATTGAACTCATAGAAGCAGAGAGTAGAATGGTGATTATCAGAATTTGGGGTCGGGGGAATGGGGAGATGATAGTGAAAGGGTACAAAGCTTTCTCTATCATCAGTTAGATCATTTTTTGAGATCTATTGCACAGTGTGGTGACTATAGCTAATAAATGAGTACTATACACTTCAAAATTGCCAAGAGAGTAAATTTCAAATTTTCTGAATGTCCAAAATGTTAAATATTTGAGGTGATGGAGATGTTGAGTAGCTAGATTTAATCATTTCCACGTTGGAATCATAACATCATAGGAATCATAGGAATCAAGGAATCATAACATCACTTTTTGCCCCATAAGTGCACACAATTATATTTTGTCAACATATAATAAAAAGTTATATAAAAAATTTCAGAAAACGTTGTTTTAAATTTTCCTATGTAAGTAGAACTATGTAGTAGAAATTCGCTCTAAAATTTGTGGTCTAGAGCTTTTGAGGGCAGTAATATTTGATCAATTTGTGTGCACTGGCTTGCACACTCTCTCTTTCTCTCTCTCTTTCTCTCTCTCTCAGTGGATCTCAACTGAGAGTGGCTTAATTTGGATTGAAAAAGGTGATTGCTGCCATCTGTGGTTTCTGTTCTCACTGTATTGTTACTTGTATGTCTTATAACTTCTGACTGCTTGCTTATCATTGTCATCGGAAAATTATTTGTGAATGATCCTGAGGTCTGAAATAGGTTTCCTTCCTCCAAGAGGCTTCTGCTACTTCCATGGGCACTCCCAATCAGGACTGCCTGGATTACTCAGGCTCTGTACCTGAGGGAAGGCATAACTTCTGTCCCATATCCTTTCTGTTTTACTTTCCGGTTCTGCTTAGCATCACGTCAGTTCTTCCCATCTTTTATAGTATTTGGAGTGAGTAGTGGTAGTGAGGGGAGGGAGAGAGGGTTCTAGATCTGCTTTGCCCTTGTTCTGAGTTGCACTTGGGGCCTTGGCTCAGTATAGGAGGATTCCAAGTATAGTGGGCCTTGTGTGTTGGCCTGTTTTTTCTCTAATCCGGGGATTGAAGCCACAGAACCAGAACCATGTTGTGGTATAAAAAGACGCCCTCTAAGCAGAAGCAGCTTTACTGCTCTGATACTGCGCTTACTTCTCTTGCTAAAAACTTGGCTTGGGACTTTCCACTTTCTTTTAATATTAATATTTTACTGCTTTTTGTTTTAATCTTTATTTTAGACATCATGATTAGACATTTTCAGTGGGGAGAGTTGATTTGAATAACTGAGTCTGCTGTTAATGGAAATTAGAACTTTTTCTCAAATTATTGTTACCCTCTCTTTATTTCCACTTGACTGTTTTTTAATATCCCCATTCCCTAGTTATATTTAGCAGAGCTCCAGTGTTTCTCCTGATTCTACCTTAATTTAATACATTTTTACATTTCTATTTCACATTTTCCTGAATTTCTCCAGCTTGCATTCCTTTTCTTTCTATGGTCTTGACATATCATCTCTGAGCTCCTGTAACTCTGCTTTTTGCTTACATGTCATAGACTTGATTGCAGCATAAGAGTTTTAATATTTGTGGTGAATCCAAGGTCACATTTTCTGATGCATTTTATTGGTCAGCCATTTCTTCATATCATTTCATTCCTCCTGTTTCTGTAGAATATCTTGTACAGATTTGGGGATTGCTCATTTTGTTTGATTACTCATATTTGAAACAAGCAAATTTTTCCTGGCCCAGCTATTTAATGGAGTTTCTGTTGGGGAGGGATGATGAAGATAGACCAGTATTTTCCCTGTGATCTGAGATTTGTTTTAGATTTAGTTTCTCCCATATTAAGGATATAGATATCAGGAGACAGATAATTCAGAATGTAACATCTTTTTTCTCTGCTTCCAAAAATATAGATTAATTTATGAACTTATGGTTTGCTCATCTGATGAGTTTCCAAGTAGGTGCTGCTGTGTCTGGCTGTTTGATAGGAGCCTCATCTGGGGACACCTCTGTTACCAGCCCACATGCCTCTTTGGACTGCTGTCAACCAAGAATTCAAACACGTTCCACCCCTCAGCTTCAGGGGTGTACTTTGAGCAGTTGACTCTCTGAGGCCATAATCTTGCTCCATTCCTCCTCTACACAATTTTTTGCTTTCCCTCCATTGCTTTTGGCAATCCTTTGACATGTCTTAAGATTTGAGGCTTTAGCTGTCTCTTCATTTAGCTGAAAATGGAATGTGCATGTTTCCTTTGTTGCTTTTAGAGAATTTCTTGGAAGAGAAATGTTGAAATGCTGACTTAATGACTTTATTTCCAAACCAAAAGTTGATTAAGAGACATTTTTCTATATTTTTAAATTTCATGAGTAAATTTTAAATTTGTCAAACGCCCCTTGTGCATCTCTTATGTTTGGAATTCAGTGGTTTTGAAGAGCACATATTAAATTGTAATAACGTTGTTGTAGAATATCCCAAAGTGATCACACAATTTTTACCCTTTGACCTGCTGATGCAATAAAATATATTAGTACACCTGTAATATTAAATCTATCTTGTATTCCTCAAATAAATTTCCCTGAAAAGCTAACAATAAAATAAGAAAAGGTAGATGCTCAATAAATATAACTGAATGCCTTGTGTATATCATCTTTTTCAATCCTCACCACAGTCCTCTGAGATCAGTACTATTAATATTTTACAGTTGGGAAATGAAGAGTTGATGAAGCTAAGTTGTGTAAGTTCACAAAGCAGTGCAAATGCCAAACTCAAGCTTTAAACAGGTTGGCTGACCTCATAACCCACCATTTTATTATTTTAATGTGCTAGTAAATTTAATTTACTACCATTCATTTACCCTTTTAAATCTTTTCCAATACATCTGTAAGATTTTGGTGTAATGGTTATTTTTGCTTTATAAAGTGAAATGGAGAGTTTTACAATTTTCTGCATTTTTTATTGGAGAGGCAATGGAAGGCTGTAGTTATTTCTGCCTTAAACATTAGATGGTTATCACTTATAAAGCCATTTAAATACAGTGACTAATTTTAGAAGAAATTCTTCAACATTTATTTCTGTTATTCCTAATGCTGTCATTTTTTTCAAGATATCTTTTTTCTTTTTAGAAAAGTTTTGGTAATTTTATTTTTCTACCACTTGTTCTCTTTTATTTAAAATTTCCATGTTTTTATAATACATAATTTATGTATATACATACATATATACATGCCTACCTATATAATATATATCCAGATAAATAGGTAGGTAAATATGTAAATCCTCAAATGTGTTGTCATATTTTTGACTTGAATTTTCCTTTCTTTTCTTGTGCTCTTTTCTTGATTTACAAGGCTTAAGATTCCCTGTATCCCACTCTAAAACCACCTCTTAGACTCATCAATTTTTGCTTTTGTTTGTTTGAATGTATCTTTGTGATTAATTATTATTATTATTATTATTATTTGGGACAGAATTTCGCTCTTGTCACCCAGGCTGGCATGCAATGGCAAGATCTCGGCTCACTGCAACCTCCACCTCCTGGGTTCAAGCGATTCTCCTGCCTCAGCCTTCAAGTAGCTGGGATTACAGGCAGCTGCCACCATGCCCAGCTCATTATTGTATTTTTAGTAGAGATGGGGTTTTACCATATTGGCCAGGCTGGTTTCGAACTCCTAACCTCAGGTGATCCACCCGCCTTGGCCTCCCAAATGGCTGGGCTAAAAATTTTCTCATAGTTTTTCATCAAATATGCTTTAATGTTTTCTTTCTAAAGCTTAAAGTTAAAAGTTAAGTATATTTTCTTTCATTTCTTTTAAGATATTGATTGAATTTAAAGGTATAAATTTCTTTCATTTAGATTTAGCTTTTTTCTATATTAAAGTTATATTATTATTATTATTTCTAAAGAGCTTATAATTATAGTTTTGATTTTCCTTTTTTAAAAACAGTTTCATTTGGTAAGTTAAAATTTTTTTTATTGTTTAATTCTACCATTATTGAGTTGTTATTAAAGAAAGTGGTATATAATTTCTACCTTTGAGAATTTATGCCATCCTTATTGCCACAGAATGAAACCAATTTTGGTAAATGTTCCATAATCTCTGGAAAATAAGGTGGCTTCTGGGTATGTGAAAAACTATTCTATATACAGCCATGCATTATATTTGAAACCTCAATATATTATATATATATATATATATATATATATATATATATATATATATATATATATATTACTTTTGTTGCTTCTTCTGTCAAAAGCTGAGACTGGTATGTTAAATTTTTCTCATTCATTGTGTTTCTAAAAATCTTATTCTCTGTAATTCTGACAATTTTTGATTACTATATTTCAATGTTGTGGTACTACTGAAGATTCAGGACTCACATTTTAATGTCTTTTTCTACATTTAATTTTTGTTGATATAAATGACTTTTTAAAAAATTTTTACCTTGATTATCAAGCTTTGGTAATTTTTCCAACCTGATATTTTTGTTCGTTCTTTCTGATGTATCCTTGTTTTATGCCCTCCCACACACGTCTACATATATATTTTTGTTTTTATTTCTGTGATTTGAGAGGAAACATGTACAGTGAGACCTTATCAAATATACATTTATGTGTTTTATCTCTTTTAAGGAGGACATAAGAATCATCTCAGATCACGTGGAGGGCCACTCTTGGAAGTACACCAATGTCGAGTCTCTTAAGGTGTGCTCCCCCAGAACTGTTTGGCACCTTGGAGTTGATTAGGGGCCTTCCATAGGAAGTTAGATGAGAAGCTCATTTGTCTAGAGAAACTTGATGTAACCAGAATCTTTATGTTTTTTTTTTTTTTTTTTTTTGAGACGGAGTCTCGCTCTGTCGCCCAGGCTGGAGTGCAGTGGCACCATCTCGGCTCACTGCAAGCTCCGCCTCCCGGGTTCACGCCATTCTCCTGCCTCAGCCTCCCAAGTAGCTGGGACTACAGGCGCCCGCCACTACGCCCGGCTAATTTTTTGTATTTTTAGTAGAGACGGGGTTTCACCGTTTTAGCCGGGATGGTCTCGATCTCCTGACCTCGTGATCTGCCCGCCTCGGCCTCCCAAAGTGCTGGGATTACAGGCGTGAGCCACCGCGCCCGGCCCAGAATCTTTATGTTTTAACAACTGAAAAGAATTTGCTTCAGGAAGAGGGAAATGTTTCTGAGTCTAGCAGGTAGTCATAGGGAACACATCCTATAGCAGTATTCCCGAGGAGGGTGAGATGGCTTCCTAGTAGGTCTTTATGGCAACTGACAGAGCTAAGCGCTAAGAGTTGTAACCCTAGGAACCCACGCCTGGACCACCGATGTTCAGTACTTGCCTTGATCATGTCTCCTTAAGGAATCAAGAGAGCTTGGGCAGTTCTCTGAAGAACTGAGTATTTCTCCCAGTAGTGGGCCAGCAGCCTTTTTGAGTCATAAATAACCATTCTTCAATCACAACTCCTTGTGGAAATCAGAAGGAATACTTTTAGTGGACACATTTCACTCCAGGTCATTTTCTACAATGTACAATGTACATCCTTCAGATTAACCTTTCTGGATGGGAGTAAATCTCTGGGGCTCATGGATTTCCAGAGAGGATAGGCGAATATCAGGTAGAAGCTATCAAACCTCCTGCAAGTGCAGCATTTGTAGGTGAGAACAATTGGAAAAATAAGAGATGTGACCATATCTAAACCCTAAATTCATGGAATAGGATATGTATCATATTTTCATTCAAATTGTGGTCACTTCTAAGTTAAAAAGTGTTTGAATTTATTTTTATTTAACAAGATCCACACTGAAATAAAAACTGACTATTGACTCTATAAGATAGAAATTTTAGGATAATTCTTAATTCTCCCTTCCACTTGTTCTTGTCTCAACATTCATTCATATAATTTTGGATTTGGAACCTCAAATTACTATTAGTTAATCACGATTTGTTCAATGATGTGTCCAAGCTTAAAACTATTTTGGATTCTTTCACTACATTTTAAAGCCATGTTGACAAAAACTATTTTAATGTTACTTTGTTTAATCCAGTTTTATTCATAGTTAAGACTTATGATAACCATTTCCTCTTGAAATATATTTTTTATTCATCTCTAGAAGGCTGTTATCCATCAACAAGTAATTTATTTTTTAAGAAGAATGTGTGGGTGCTACACACATAACATGCTTTCTCTTTTTGACTTCTTATATATATTTTTACATCATTGCAATTCAAATTACAAATATTTTTGTCTATATCCATTACTTTATTATATTTAAAGTATCTGCTCCATTCGCATTTGTCTTCCCTCAACTCAACAAAGTTTTCTTTTATTGTTTCTTATTTTCTTTTATTATTTCTTATTTTTGTCTTAAAATAAGAAATTTTTCTATCTCCTTTGGGATTCTTGTTATATACTTATCTTTTCTCTCATCTTTTTCATTATGTTAATATTTTATCAACATCTTTGAATTTCTGGAATTTGTCAAAATCAATTTATGGGGAGTGTCTAACATTCTGCTTACTATGCTAATATTTTAAAAGGAAATCTTTACATAATCTTTACTGATTTTGAAATATTTCTTCCAAAACAAATGCTAAGCTCAATTTTCACATATAAAATACTTTCTTGAATCATTTTGGAACACAAATTAGAAATTCTTTAATATGCTCTTCTATTTCTCACAGTTAATTTATGTTAAAGAAGAATCTCCTTTGATACCTTTTTTTTAATGTAATTCTCTTTATTTGAACTGCACTTTAAGTTTAGAAGTATTTTCTCTATTTTCTCATTGAAAGAAACACAGGATTTTTTGCCCCGTTGAAGTTATTTCCTCTGGGAGAAAGCCCTGCCTCATATAATCCCTTCATTGTTTAAGTGTTGCAATATTACCTTTTCTCACCTCACTTACCGAGGGAATGTTAGTGGAGATTTAGTGGAGAAGTCCCTTACTTCTTCTTCAGGAAACCTTCTCTCTCATAAGAAAGGAAATCAATTGTCTTCCTTTCTATCTGTATTCTATTTTTACCCGCAGATATCTTAGCAGGAATTATTTGACTTTTCTGAGATCTTCCTTATTTCAATCACTGATGAAGACTTTCCCTATTAAAAATCCACACAAAATTTTTATAGAAGTGGGGCAACAAAGTGAGTGAGCTTGTTTATAGTATATGTTATTGTGTATTTTATAACATATTACAATATGTAATATGCACTTATTTAATATCATATATACACCACACATGCTACATGCACAACATCATATATTTTACAGAAATCTGTAATCTTTTGTTACTATCTAGTTATCTTTCTATTATGGCATGCATTCTCTTCATTCCATACTTCTCTTAATCACTGTAAGATCTCAGAGCCTTTACTGAGAAGAGCAGATCAATTCAATGTGATCTCCCCTAGCTTGCTTTTTTCTACATCCAAAATTATAATATCACTTTCTTTTTTTAACCTTTCTTCCTTATAAGGGATCTCTATCCATTCTCATATTCCTACTTCTCTGAGTCTTTGATTCATCGATTGTCTTTTTTTCCCCTTGCAACGAATTTCCTCTTACACTTTTTCCTAGATGGAAAATCTGCTCAAGTATTCCTTATCCTAAAAATCCTTCCTTTGAGAAAGAAGTCTACCCATGATGCATACTGTTTATGACCATGCACTTACTCCTCAACCACCAAGCTTTTCCTGTTAAAATAATTCTTTTGGCCAGGCGCGGTGGCTCACAGCTATAATCCCAGCACTTTGGGAGGCCCAGGAGGGGGTGCATCACAAGGTCAGGAGATCAAGACCATCCTGGCTAACACGGTGAAACCTCGTCTCTACTAAAAATACAAAAAAATTAGCCGGGCGTGGTGGCAGGCACGTGTAGTCCCAGCTACTCGGGAGGCTGAGGCAGGAAAATGGCTTGAACCCGGGAGGCGGAGCTTTCAGTGAGCCGAGATGGCGCTACTGCACTCCAGCCTGGGCGACAGAGCGAGACTCTGTCTCAAAATAGATAGATAATAAATAAATAAATAAATAAATAAATAAATAAATAAATAATTCTTTTGAAAGTCACACTTCTAAAAGGGGGCTGTAACTCTTTCCTTATTCTCCTACCAATCTTTGTGGCCTATAAGATCATTAGTCATCCCTTCCATGTTGTAGAAACTCTTTCCACCTCTGAGACCTAGGTTTGTTCCTGTTTGTTTTCCTTACTTTCTGATCATTTTTTTTTTCCATCTTGACAGGCTCTTCTGATTCTTCCCTCTCCCTAAGGTTTCTGGTACACTGATGGACTTCTTTCCCTATACTCTCTTTGTTGGTGAATTCTTCCATTCTTAGTTTTAGTCTGATGGCTCTTGAATCTTCATCTTGTATTTTGAGCACATCCTTCTAAGATCATAATCTTTTCTCTCAACTATCAGATAGGCACTATCTACAAGACTCCTAGCATCAATGTTCAGAAGCTTGTAATCTCCTCCTTTCTCTTCCCACTTGTAATCTCCCTTTCTCTTCCCACATCCACCAGTAGCCAAATGCTATCAGTTTTTCCATTTGTGCATTTAGTTTCATTTCTACCTTTGGACTCATCTCAATTTAGTAAGAGCAATCACCTGTGTCACTCTTGTGTCATATAGAGTAATAGACTCGAAGCTACTATGATTGCCTTCTCATAAGCAGTGATGTGCACAAGCTATTCAAGACCAATTTCTGCTATGACCAAACACTCTGAAGGCGCTACTCATATTCACATGCCATGTAAGTCTTTCATAATGCAAAAATATCTATTCATATGATGATAATACATTCCTTTGAAGTTCCATCTCTTCCTACTGCAGGAGAGTAATGTTGTAAGTATTTAAACAGTATAAAGGGATGAACTTAAAATATTTTTATTTTTAATAACTTTCAGAAAACCATGTTCTGGGACTTATCTCTTATGACTTATTGCAAAAAATGACATGCCAGCACACAAGTGACTCATGTAGTTCTTTGTAACATCCATTCTGCCCAGAAAATTATCTAGCTTGGAATTTAGATTAAATCCTGATGTGTAACAGAAGAGAGAAATAGTTTGCAAATATTTGGCCAAGGAGTATTTTTAAAAAATACACCTACTGAACTATGGGATTTTAAATTCTGTAATGTTACAGAGTCTTTTTGTGTGTGTGTGTATGTGAAATTGGTTTGGAGACAGGGCCTGGGACTCACAGTGTAGGGTTGAGGCTTAAGTGATTAAATCCCATTATGTAGGGTTCAGTATGAAGCCTGGGCAATGATGGCAGCTTAGGTATACACAGCACATTAGAGTTCACGAAATACTTCTATCTGCTCTATTTCACTAATCTTCGCAGCATCTCTATGATATAGGTAGAAAATGCTGCACTACTTTTAATTAATAGATAAAGAAAAATCATGTTTGGAGGGATTTCAGTGGCTTGAGCGGGTGAAACAGCTAGAAAGTATCAGATTCTGGTCTTCAGTTCTTGCTTCTAATTCTAAGACCAGTGTTTCTCTCCATAGTTAATTTGACTATGATTAAATCCTATTATTTCAGTTATTTTAGAGGCATAAAACAATAACAATTTGTTACACTCACAGATTCTGTGAATTAATGATACAATCAAGGCACAGCAGTCACCTTGTCTCTCCAGTTCTAGCTTCTGATTCCAAGACCAGTGTATAAGGTGTTATACAAACTTATCTCATTTATATACATATTAAATGCTCTTGTAATTTTATAAGTCTTCTCTGTATTTTAAGTATGAGCTATTCAACGTATCTGATTTCATATTATTCATCTTTGTATCCCTAGAGACTGTTACAATTACTGGTACTGGTTGCTGTCCACTATGTTGATATTTGATATACAAAAACATAGTAACAGCTAACATTTATTGGTGTTTCCTTTGTTTCAGATACTGTGTTAATCACTTTATTAACTTGTTTAATTCTTATCAATATTCTATGAGTTAGACCTGTGATATGGTTTGGCTCTGTGTCCCCACCCAAATCTCACATTGAGTTGTAATAATCTCCACATGTTGATTGCGACCAGGTGGAAGTAATTGAATCATGGGGTTTCTCGAATGCTGTTGTGGTGATAGTGAATAAGTCTCATGAGATTTGATGGTTTTATAAGCATCAGGCATTTCCCCTGCTTGTGCTCATTCTCTCTCCTGCCGCCCTGTGAAAAGGTGCCTTCCGCCATGATTGTAAGTATCCTGAGGCCTCCCAGCCATGCTGAACTGTGAGTAATTAAACCTCTTTCTTTTATAAATTATCTAGTCTTGGGTATTTCTTCATAGCAGTGTGAGAATGGACTAATACAGCATGGTACTTATCATCCCTCTTCTATAGAGGAAGAAACTTGAGCCAAGAAAGGTCAAATAATGTAACCAAAGTTACATAACCAATAAGTAGTAGAGCTTATATTTGAACTCAGAACTCATTTAACCATTGTGCTCCAATGACTTTCAGTATCTGAGTTTATTTTATGACAAGCTAAGTGATAGTAATTAATGCAGTGGTTTCAACACGGCTACATATTTTTGACAGTCCTTCCATGGAAAAGTGTGGGTTTATATCTCCTCCTGTTGAATCTGGAGAGTATAGTAAAATTGATGTTATTTGGCTTCCAAGACTGAGCCATAAATGGTCATGCAGCTTCCACTTTATCATATGGAAAATCTGCTCATAAAGCTCTGACTGCCATGAAAGTGGTCCAGCAAACTTGAGGATGTCCTGCTGTGAGAAACCCCAACCCTCCGCAGAAGTCATATGTTGGTAGCTGTGGTTAACAGTCCCAGCTGATACTAGCATTCAAGTGAATCCAGACCCAATATTACACATAAATGAAGAATCACTCCTGTCCCAGGTGTTCAAGTCACTCCCAGCCATTCTAGTTTTCCCAATTGAGGGACCAGACATTGTGGACCAGAGAAGTCATCCCTGCTGTGCCTTGTCTGTATCATTAATTTACAGAATGTGTGCGTGTAACAAATGGTTATTGTTTTATGCCTCTAAAATAACTGAAATAATAGGATTTAGTCATAGTCAAATGAACTCCTCTGTATTCTGAGGCCAACTTACTTTCTGATAGCATATAATAATAATAATAGTCTAGGGCTATTAAGTTGAACCAATCAAATATGTCATATATTACACATCCCACACTTGAGAGTGCTCTGCATTAGCTGACTGAAGCGTTTAAAGGGGTTGGCCTGTTGGACAGTTCTTTGCTTCCAGAAAAGCCACAGGAATATGGAATCTCTTGTTTATATTCTGCTGAGCTCAGTGTGTTGTGTGTTTGTTCCTGGCTTCTTGCCCAACAAGCCTTGGCAAGCATATCACTTGTTTCTTGATTATTTAGCAACCGGGTATGAACTGATGCTGCTGTACTGAGGTTTTATTTTCTACATACTTGGTGTACTGGCCAGTTTCCTTCACTGTATAAACCACTTTCTATCCCTACATTTGTCGAGGACTAGCCAGGCCCACAGATATTCAGGAATGACTAATATTAGTTCAAGCTTTCTTCTTGAGCTGGATACATTTACTTGGTTTGGTCTTTATACTATTTTATAAACCAAGGATATCAATTTGTGCCTCTATGTCATGGCAATCACTAATAACTTGGGAGGTTTGTAAACTCTGGACACACAAAAGCAGTAAAAGACTCTGCTGTCAATGCATATGAGTAACTGCTGTTGTGATGTGTTCTCTGAGCCCAAATTTCTATTCAAGCCATTCATTAATTTATTCATTCATTGAAAAATTATTAATTAACATCCATATATGAAACACTCTGCTAGGGGTTGATAATGCGGCAACAAACAATGCCGATATTATCCCAGCTCTTACAGACTCTATAAACTAGTGGGGAAATTTTTCAGATAAATTACCAGGGAAATGGAAATTGGAATTTGCTCTTCACAAATTTCTGATATGTAAAGATGAATATTGTGCTTTGCATGCAACAGCATATACACATGTCCCCTACCTCTTCATATCTCTTACCTCTTCTTGCCCATATCCAGCAGCAGCAATGCTGTTCAATATTTCCTTTTAATAAAATTTAATTTAATTTTTAACTGACACATAATTATGCATATTTATGGAGTGCAGAGTGATGTTTTTATACATGTTTATAATGTGTAATGATAAAATCAGAGGGACTAGTATACCCATCTCTTCAAACATTCATCATTTCTTTGTGTTGGGAACATTAAAAATCCTCTCTTCTAGCTATTAGAAAATATACAATAAAGTATTGTTACTAATAGTGATCCTGCAGAGCTATCAAACATTAGAACTAATTCCACCCATCTAGTTACAATTTTGTATTTATTAACCAATGTCTCACTATCATTCTCTACACCTTACCTTTCCAAGGCTCAAAAAAACTACAATTCTATTGTCTACTTCTGTGAGCTCAAGCTTTTTAGCTCACACGTACAAGTGAGAACCTGTGGTTTTTTCTTCCTCTGCCTGACTTATTCACCTAAAATGATGTAATCCAGGCTTATCTATGTTGCTGTGAATGACAAGATTTTATTCTTTTTATGGCTGAATAGTATTCCATTGTTATAGATACAACATTTTCTTTTTTTTTTTTTTTTAATTTTTTTTTTTTTATTATACTCTAAGTTTTAGGGTACATGTGCACATTGTGCAGGTTAGTTACATATGTATACATGTGCCATGCTGGTGCACTGCACCCACTAATGTGTCATCTAGCATTAGGTATATCTCCCAATGCTATCCCTCCCCCCTCCCCCGACCCCACCACAGTCCCCAGAGTGTGATATTCCCCTTCCTGTGTCCAAGTGATCTCATTGTTCAATTCCCACCTATGAGTGAGAATATGTGGTGTTTGGTTTTTTGTTCTTACGATAGTTTACTGAGAATGATGGTTTCCAATTTCATCCATGTCCCTACAAACGACATGAACTCATCATTTTTTATGGCTGCATAGTATTCCATGGTGTATATGTGCCACATTTTCTTAATCCAGTCTATCATTGTTGGACATTTGGGTTGGTTCCAAGTCTTTGCTATTGTGAATAATGCCGCAATAAACATACGTGTGCATGTGTCTTTATAGCAGCATGATTTATAGTCCTTTGGGTATATACCCAGTAATGGGATGGCTGGGTCAAATGGTATTTCTAGTTCTAGATCCCTGAGGAATCGCCACACTGACTTCCACAATGGTTGAACTAGTTTACAGTCCCACCAACAGTGTAAAAGTGTTCCTATTTCTCCACATCCTCTCCAGCACCTGTTGTTTCCTGACTTTTTAATGATTGCCATTCTAACTGGTGTGAGATGATATCTCATAGTGGTTTTGATTTGCATTTCTCTGATGGCCAGTGATGATGAGCATTTCTTCATGTGTTTTTTGGCTGCATAAATGTCTTCTTTTGAGAAGTGTCTGTTCATGTCCTTCGCCCACTTTTTGATGGGTTTGTTTGTTTTTTTCTTGTAAATGTGTTTGAGTTCATTGTAGATTCTGGATATTAGCCCTTTGTCAGATGAGTAGGTTGCAAAAATTTTCTCCCATGTTGTAGGTTGCCTGTTCACTCTGATGGTAGTTTCTTTTGCTGTGCAGAAGCTCTTTAGTTTAATTAGATCCCATTTGTCAATTTTGGCTTTTGTTGCCATTGCTTTTGGTGTTTTGGACATGAAGTCCTTGCCCACGCCTATGTCCTGAATGGTAATGCCTAGGTTTTCTTCTAGGGTTTTTATGGTTTTAGGTCTAACGTTTAAATCTTTAATCCATCTTGAATTGATTTTTGTATAAGGTGTAAGGAAGGGATCCAGTTTCAGCTTTCTACATATGGCTAGCCAGTTTTCCCAGCACCATTTATTAAATAGGGAATCCTTTCCCCATTGCTTGTTTTTCTCAGGTTTGTCAAAGATCAGATAGTTATAGATATGTGGCATTATTTCTGAGGGCTCTGTTCTGTTCCATTGATCTATATCTCTGTTTTGGTACCAGTACCATGCTGTTTTGGTTACTGTAGCCTTGTAGTATAGTTTGAAGTCAGGTAGTGTGATGCCTCCAGCTTTGTTCTTTTGGCTTAGGATTGACTTGGCGATGCGGGCTCTTTTTTGGTTCCATATGAACTTTAAAGTAGTTTTTTCCAATTCTGTGAAGAAAGTCATTGGTAGCTTGATGGGGATGGCATTGAATCTGTAAATTCCCTTGGGCAGTATGGCCATTTTCACGATATTGATTCTTCCTACCCATGAGCATGGAATGTTCTTCCATTTGTTTGTGTCCTCTTTTATTTCCTTGAGCAGTGGTTTGTAGTTCTCCTTGAAGAGGTCCTTCACATCCCTTGTAAGTTGGATTCCTAGGTATTTTATTCTCTTTGAAGCAATTGTGAATGGGAGTTCACTCATGATTTGGCTCTCTGTTTGTCTGTTGTTGGTGTATAAGAATGCTTGTGATTTTTGTACATTGATTTTGTATCCTGAGACTTTGCTGAAGTTGCTTATCAGCTTAAGGAGATTTTGGGCTGAGACGATGGGGTTTTTTAGATAAACAATCATGTCGTCTGCAAACAGGGACAATTTGACTTCCTCTTTTCCTAATTGAATACCCTTTATTTCCTTCTCCTGCCTGATTGCCCTGGCCAGAACTTCCAACACTATGTTGAATAGGAGTGGTGAGAGAGGGTATCCCTGTCTTGTGCCAGTTTTCAAAGGGAATGCTTCCAGTTTTTGCCCATTCAGAATGATATTGGCTGTGGGTTTGTCATAGATAGCTCTTATTATTTTGAAATACGTCCCATCAATACCTAATTTATTGAGAGTTTTTAGCATGAAGGGTTGTTGAATTTTGTCAAAGGCTTTTTCTGCATCTATTGAGATGATCATGTGGTTTTTGTCTTTGGCTCTGTTTATATGCTGGATTACATTTATTGATTTGCGTATATTGAACCAGCCTTGCATCCCAGGGATGAAGCCCACTTGATCATGGTGGATAAGCTTTTTGATGTGCTGCTGGATTCGGTTTGCCAGTATTTTATTGAGGATTTTTGCATCAATGTTCATCAAGGATATTGGTCTAAAATTCTCTTTTTTGGTTGTGTCTCTGCCCGGCCTTGGATAGATACAACATTTTCTTTACTCACTCATCTGTCATTGTAAACTTAGGATGATTTCATAAGTTGGTTATTGTGAATAGTGCCACAATAAACATGGGGGTGTAAATATCTCTTCAATACACTGATTTCCTTTCTGTTGGATAAATATTCAGCAATAAGATTGCTGGATCATATGGTAGTTATATTTTTAGCTTTTTGAAGAAATGCCACACTGTTTTGTTTTTAACACTGGGACACCATGCAGCATTTCTATTTTTTATTTTTTTAGATCCATAAAGTGAAAACTTTCTTTTTTTGTTAAAATTAGATTTTATGTATTTTATTTCATATTCTACTCTTTAAAACTTTTATTTTAGCTACAGGAGTATATGTGCATGTTTGTTATATAGGTAAATTGCATTTCACAGGGGTTTGGTATACAGATTATTTTGCTACCCAGGTAATAAGCATAGTACTTGATAGGCATTTTTTTTTATCCTCACTCTCCTCCCTCACTCCACCTTCAACAGACACCCTGATGTCTCTTGTTGCCTTCTTTGTGTTCAAATGTATTTAACGTTTAGCTCCTATTTATAAGGTAGAATATGCAGTTTAGGTTTCATGTTCCTTTGTTAGTTCATTTAAGATAATGGACTCTAGCTCTGCCCATGTTGCTGCAAAGAATATAATTATGTTCTTTTAAGGTTGCATAGTATTTCACGGTGTATATGTACCACATTTTCTTTATCTAACCTACCATTGATGGGCAGGAATTTAGGTTGATTTCATGTCTTTGCTGTTGTTAGTAGTGCTATGATGAACATACACGTGCATGTGTGTTTATGGTAGAATGGTTTCTATTTCTTTGAATATATACCCAATAATGGGATTGCTGGGTCAAATGGCAATTCTGCTTTGAGTTCCTTGAGAAATCACCAAACTGCTTTCCACAGTGGCTGAACTAATTTACATTACCAATGGCAGTGTAAAACTGTTGTCTTTACTATAAAACCTTGAGAACATGTTATTTTTTGACTTTTTAATAATAGCCATTCTGGTGGTGTGAGATGGTACCTCATGGTGGTTTTGATTTGCATTTCTCTAATGATTAGTGATGTTGAGCATTTTATCACATGTCTGTTTGTTGTGGGTATGTTTTCTTTTGAAAAGTGTCTGCTTGTGTCCTTTGCTCACTTTTTAATGGGTTTTTTTTTTTTTTGCTTTTTGGTATAAGTTTCTTAAAGATTGTGGATACTAAACCTTTGCACAGTTCGCAAATATTTTCTCCCATTCTGTAGATTGTCTGTTCACTCTGTTGATTGTGACTTTTGCTGTAGAGAAATGCTGTAGTTTAATTAGGTTCCATTTGTCAATTTTGTTTTTATTGCAATGGCTTATGGTATCCAGGCTTTACATTTAAGCCTTTAATCTGTCTTGAGTTAATTTTTATACGTGGTATAATGCAGGGGTGCAGTTTCAATCTTCTGCATGTAGCTAGCCAGTTATTGCAGCACCATTTATTGAATAGGGAGTTCTTTCCCTTTTGCTTATTTTTGTTGATTTTGTTGAAGATCACATGGTTGTAGATGTGCAGCATTATTACTGGGTTCTGTATTCTGTTCCATTAGTCTACATGTCTGTTTTTGTATTTGTACTATGCTGTTTTGGTTATGGTAGTCTCGTAGTATATTTTAAGTCAGGTAACGTGATGCCTCCAGCTTTGTCTTTTTGTTTAGGATTGTCTTGGCTATTCAACCTCATTTTTTGTTCCATCTGAATTTTAAATTAGTGTTTTTTAATGCTGTGAAAAATGTCATTGGTAATTTGATAGAAATAGCATGGAATCTGTAAATTTCTTTGGGCAGTATGGCCATTGTTAACAATATGTACTCTTCCCATCCATGAACATGGAATGTTTTTCAATTTGTTTGTGTCATCTCTGATTTCTCTGAGTAGTGTTTTGTAATTCTCATTGTACAGATCTTTCACCTCTTTGGTTAGCTGTATTCCTAGGTATGTTATTCTTTATGTGGCTACTGTGAAAGGGATTGCATTCATGACTTGGTTCTCAGCTTGGATGTTATTGGTATATAGAAACGCTACCAATTTTTTACATTAATTCTGTTTCCTGAAACTTTGCTGAAGTTGTTTATCAAATCAAGGAGTTATTGGGCAGAGAGTATGGGATTTTCTAGGTATAAAATCATATTGTCTACAAGCAGGGATAGTTTGACTTTCTCTCTTCCTATTTGGATGTCTTTTATTTATTTCTCTTATCTGATTGCTCTGGCCAGGCCTTCCAGTACTATGTTGAATAGGAGTAGTGAGAGAAGGCATCCTTGTCTTGTCGTGGTTTTCAAGGGGAATTCTTCTAGCTCTTGCTCATTCACTATGATGTTGGCTGTGCATTTATCATAGATAGCTCTTATTATTTTGAACTATGTTTCTTCAATGCCCAATTTGTTGAAGGTTTTTAACATTAAGGGGTGTCAAAATTTATAGAATGCTTTTTCTGCATTTATTGAGATAATCGTGTTTTTTTTCATTTGTTTGTGTGATGAATCACATTTATTGATTCATGTATGTTGAATTGACCTTGCATCTCAAGGATAAAGCCTACTTGTTCATGATGGATTAGCTGTATTATATGCTGCTGTATTTAGTTTTCCAGTATTCTGTTGAGGTTATGTGCATCTATTTTCATCAAGGATATTAGCCTGAAGTTTTCTTTTCTGTACGTGTCTTTGCTAGGTTTTGATATCAGGATGATGCTGGACTCACAGAATGAGTTAGTAAGAAGTCCCTCCTCCTCTTTAATTTTTGGGAATATTTTCAGAAGGAGTAGTACCAGCTCCTTTTCTTTAATTATACTTAAATTTCAGGAATACATGTGCAGAACGTGCAGGTTTATTGCATAGGTATACACATGCCATGGTGGTTTGCTGCATCCATCAACCCATCTTATACATTAGGTATTTCTCCTAATGCTATCCCTCCCTATTTCCCCCCAGCCCCTGATCCCCTGACAGGCCCCAGTGTGTGATGTTCCCTTCCCTGTGTCCATGTGTTCTCATTGTTCAACGCCCACTTATGAGTGAGAACATGTGGTGTTTTGTTTTCTGTTCCTGTGTTAGTTTGCTGAGAATGATGGTTTCCAGCTTCATCCATGTCCCTGCAAAGGACATGAACTCATCCTCTTTTATGGCTGCATAGTATTCCATGGTGTATATGTGCCACATTTTCTTTATCCAGTCTATCAGTGATTGGCATTTGGATTGGTTCCCAGTCTTTGCTATTATGAACAGTGCTGCAGTAAACATACGTGTGCATGTGTCTTTATAGTAGAATGATTTATAATCCTTTGGGTATACCCAGTAATGGGATGGCTGGGTCACATGGTATTTCTCGTTCTATACTCTTGTGGAATTGCCATACTGTCTTCCACAATGGTTGAACTAATTTACACTCCCACCAACAGTGTAAAGGCATTCCTATTTTTCCACGTTCTCTTCAGGATCTGTTGTTTCCTGACTTTTTAATGATCGCCATTCTAACTGGGGTGAGATGGTATCTCATTGGGATTTTGATTTGCATTTCTGTAATGACTAGTGATGATAAGCTTTGTTTTTTGTATTTTTTTGGCCACATTAATGTCTTCTTTTGAGAAGTGTCTGTTCATATCCTTTGCCCATTTTTGATGGGGTTGTTTTTTTCTTGTAAACTTGTTTAAGTTCTTTGTAGATTCTGGATATTAGCTCTTTGTCAGATTGATAGATTGCAATTTTTTGCCCATTCTATAAGTTGCTTGTTCACTGTGATGATAGTTTGTTTTGCTGTGCAGAAGCTCTTTAGTTTAATTAGATCACATTTGTCAACTTTGACTTTTGTTGCCATTGCTTTTGTTGTTTTAACCATGAAGTCTTTGCCGATGCCTGTGTCCTGAATGGCATTGCCTTGGTTTTCTTCTAGGGTTTTTATGGTTTTAGGTTATACATTTAAGTCTTTAATCTATCTTGAGTTAATTTGCCTTTGTTTTCTTCTAGGGTTTTTATGATTTTAGGTCTTATGTTTAAGTCTTTAAAGCATCTTGAGTTAATTTTTGTATAAGGTGTAAGGAAGGGGTCTAGTTTCAGTTTTCTACATATGGCTAGCCAGTTTTCCCAACACCATGTATTGAATAGGGAATCCTTTCCCTATTGCTTGTTTTTGTCAGGTTTGTCAAAGATCAGATGTTGTAGATGTGGGGCATTATTTCTGAGGCCTCTCTTCTGTTCCATTGGTCTATATATCTGTTTTGGTACCAGTACCATGCTATTTTGTCACCTTGTAGTATAGTTTGAAGTCAGGTAGCGTGATGGCTCCAGCTTTGTCCTTTTTGCTTAGGATTGTCTTGGCTATACGGGCTCTTTTTTGGTTTCATATGAAAGTTAAAGTAATTTTTTCTAATTCTGTGAAGAAAGTCTATGGTCTTCATGAGGATAGCATTGAATCCATAAATTAATTTGGGCAGTATGGCCATTTTGACGATATTGATTCTTCCTATTCATGAGCATGGAATGTTTTTCCACTTGTATGTGTCCACTCTTATTCCCTTGAGTAGTGGTTTGTAGTTCTCCTTGAAATATTCCTTTACATCCCTTGTAAGTTGTATTCCTAGGTATTTTATTCTCTTTGTGGCAGTTGTGAATGGGAGTTCACTAATGATCTTGTTCTCTGTTTGTCTATTATTGGAGTGTAGAAATGCTTGTGATTTTTTATTTTTGTCACCAACAGACCTGCTTTATAAGAGCTTCTGAAAGAAACAATAAACATGGAAAGGAAAAACCACTACCAGCCACTGCAAAAATAGACCAAACTCCAAAGACCAACAAGACTGTGAAGAAAATGCATCAACTAACGGGCAAAATAGCCAGCTAGCCTCATAATGATTGGATCAAATTCACACATAACGATATTAACCTTAAATGTAAATAGGCTAAATGCCCCAGTTAAAAGACACAGACTGGAAAATTGGATAGAGTCAAGACCCATTGGTGTTCTGTATTCAGGAGACCTATCTCATGTGCACAGACACACGTAGGCTCAAAGTAAAGGGATGGAGGAATATTTACCAAGATAATGGAAAGCAAAAAAAGCAGGAGTTGCAATCCTAGTCTCTGATAAAACAGACTTTAAACCAACAAAGATCAAAAAAGACAAAGTAGAGCATTACATAATGGTAAAGTGATCAGTGCAACAAGAAGAGCTAACTATCCTAAGCATATATGCATCCAATACAGGAGCACCCAGATTCATAAAGCAAGTTCCTAGAGACCTACAAAGAGACTTAGACTCCCACACAATAATAGTGGGAGACTTTAACACTCCAATGTCAATGTTAGACAGATCAATGAGACAGAAAATTAACAAGGACTTGAACTCAGCTCTAGACCAAGCTGACCTAATGGACATCTAGAGAACTCTGAACTGCGAATCAACAGAATATACATTTTTCTCAGCACCACATCACACTTATTCTAAAATTCACCACATAATTGGAAGTAAAACACTTCTCAGCAAGTGTAAAAGAACGGAAATCATAACAAACAGTCTCTCAGACCACAGTGCAATCAAATTAGAACTCAGGATTGAGAAACTCACTCGAAACTGCACAACTCCATGGAAATTGAACAACCTGCTTCTGAATGACTACTGGGTAAATAATGAAATTAAGGCAGAAATAAATAAGTTCTTTGAAACCAATGAGAACAAAAACATAGTGTACCAGAATCTCTGGGACACACCTAAAGCAGTGTTTAGATGGAAATTTATAGCACTAAGTGCCCACAGGAGAAAGCAGGAAAGATCTAAAATTGACACCCTAACATTACAATTAAAACAACTAGAGAAGCAAGAGCAAACAAATTCAAAAGCTAGCAGAAGACAAGAAATAACTAAGATCAGAGCAGAACTGAAGGAGATAGTGACACAAAAAACCCTTCAAAAAATCAATGAACCTGGGAGCTGGTTTTTTGAAAAGATTAAGAAAAGAGACCAGTAGCCTGACTAATAAAGAATAAAAGAGAGATGAATCAAATAGACACAATAAAAAATGATAAAGGGGAGATCACCACTTATCCCATAGAAATACAGACTACATCAGAGAATACTAGAAACACCTCTATGCAAGTAAACTAGAAAATCTAGAAGAAATGAATAAATTCCTGGACACATACACCCTCCCAAGACTAAACCAGGAAGAAGTCAAATCCCTGAATAGGCCAATAACAAGTTCTGTAATTGAGGCAGTAATTAATCGCTTACCAACCAAAAAAAGTTCAGGACCACATGGATTCACAGCCAAATTCTACCAGAGCTAAAAGGAGAAGCTGCTACCATTCCTTCTGAAACTATTCTAAACAATAGTAAAAGAAGGGATCCTCCCTAACTCATTTTATGAGGCCAGCATCATCCTGATACCAAAATCTGGCAGAGACACAACCAAAAAGGAGAATTTTAGGCCAATATCCCTGATGAACATCGATGCGAAAATCCTCAATAAAATACTGGCAAACTGAATTCAGCAGCACATCAAAATCTTATTCGCCATGATCAAGTCGGCTTAATCTCTGGGATTCAAGGCTGGTTCAACATACACAAATCAATAAATGTTATCCATCACACAAACAGAACCAATGACAAAAACCACATGATTATCTCAATAGATGCAGAAAAGCCCTTTGATAACATTCAACACCCCTTGATGTAAAAAACTCTCGATAAGCTAGATATTGATGGAACATATCTCAAAATAATAAGAGCTATATATGAAAAACCCACAGCCAATGTTTCACTGAATGGCCCAAAGCTGGCAGCATTCCCTTTGAAAACTAGCACAAGACAGGGATGCCCTCTCTCACCATTCCTATTCAACATAGTATTGGAATTTCTGGCCAGGGCAATCAGGCAAGAGAAAGAAATAAAGGGTATTCAAATAGGAAGACAGGAAGTCAAATTGTCTCTGTTTGCAAATGGCATAATTGTGTATTTAGATAATCCTATCATCTCAGCCCAAAATCTCCTCAAGCTGATAAGCAACTTCAGCAAAGTCTCAGGATACAAAATCAATGTGTAAAAATCACCAGCTCCTTTTTATACATCTGATAACATTTGGCTATTAATCCATCTCATGCTGGGCTTTTTTTATTGGTCAGCATTTTATTACTGAATGAATTTTGAAAGTCAATATTGGTCTTTGTTCAGGGATTCAATTTTTTACTGGTTCAATTTTGGGAGGTTGTATGATTCTAGAAACTTATCCATTTCTTCTAGGTTCTCTAGCTCATGTGCATATAGGTTTTTGTAGTATTCTCTGAGGGCTGTTTATATTTCTATAGGGCTGGTGGTAACGTCCCCTTTGTCATTTCTGATTGTGTTTACTTGAATCTTCTCTCCTTTTTTTCCTTTTTTAGTCGTCAGAAGTCTATCTTATTTATTCTTTCAAATAATAGATTTTTGAACTGTTTATCTTTTGTATCTTTTTTGTGACTCAATTTTCTTCAATTCAGCTCTGATTTTGGTTATTTATTTTCATCTGCTATCTTTGGAATTGGTTTGCTCTTGTTTCTCTAGTTCCTGTAGTTGTGATGTTAGGTTGTTAATTTGAGATCTTTCTGATGTTTTGATGTGGGCATTTAGCACCATAAACTTCCCTCGTAACACTACTTCAGCTTTGTCCCAGATACTGGTATGTTGTTTCTTTATTCTCATTAGTTTCTAATAATTTATTGATTTCTGCCATAATTTCATTGTTTACCCAAAGGTCATTCAGAAGCAGGTTGTTTAATTTCCATGTAATTGTATGGTTTTGAGTGATTTCCTTAGTATTCCTGTTTTTATTGTGCTGTAGTCTGAGAGTGTAGTTGTTAATAATGGCTTTGCTAATTATTAGCACTAACAGAGCTAACCACAGTTGGTGGTGGGAATGAATCCATCAACAGCGTATAAAAATAGTTTTTTCTCTACATCTTTGCCAGCATTTGTTACTTTTTGTCTTTTTGATAATGGTCATTTTAACTTAGATGAGATTATATCTCATTTAGTTTTGATTTGCATTTCCCTTATGATTAGTGATGTTGAACATTTTTTCATATACTTTTTGGCCATTTTTTTTGTCTCTTTTGAGAAATTCTTTGCCTATTTTTACATAGGATTATTTTGTTGTTGTTGTTGAGTTGTTAGAGTTGCTTATAGATTTTGGATATTAATTCTTGTCATATGTATAGTTTTTTTTCCCATTCTATGAGTTGTCTATTCTATAGATTGTTGACTTTGTTGTGCAGAAGCTTTTTATTTGTAATAATTCAATTTGTCTATTTTTGTTTTTTTCTGTGCTTTTGAAGTCTTATTCATGAAATCTTTGCCCAGACCAATATCCTAAAGAATTTCCCATACGTTTTCTTCTAGTAGTTATATAGTTTCAGTTATTACATCTAAATCTTTAATAAATTTTGATTTGATTTTTGTATATGGTGAGATGGAGAGGTTTAGTTTGATTTTTCCACATGTGGATATCCAGTTTTCCCAGCACCATTTATTAAAGATGCTGTTCTTTTCCCAATGTATATTCTTGTTGCCTTTGTCAAAAATCAGTTTTACTGTAAATACATGGATTTATTTCTGTGTTCTCTCTTCTTTTCCATTGTTTGTGTGTCTGTTTTTATGCCAATACCATGCTCCTTTTGTTGATATAGTTTTGTAGTATATTTTGAAGTCCCAGGTAGAATGATGCTTCCAGATTTGTTCTTTTGCTCAGGATTGCTTTAGTTATATGTGGTCTTTTAGGCTTGTTTTGTCTATTTCTGTGAAAAATGTCATTGGCATTTTGACAGAAATTATACTGAATCTGCAGGTCACTTTGAGTAGTGTGATAATTTTAACAATATTATTAAGTCAGTACAATTACTTTTGCATTAACCTAATAGTTCTTTGAAGTTATAAATGTGGGATGTCTTTTTATTTTTTTTGTCCTCTTCAGTTTCTCATCAGTATTTCATACTTTTATTGCAGAGATCTGTCCCTTGTATGATTAAATTTATTCCTAGCTATTTTGTTGTTGTTATAGCTATTATAAATGAGACTTCTTTCTTGATTTCTTTTTCAGCTAGTTTGTTATTGATATATATAATAGAAATGCTACTGATTTTTGTATGTTGATTTTTGTATCCTACAACTTTACTAAATTTGTTTATTAGTTCTAAGAGTTTTCTTATAGTCTTTAGGGGTTTTTTTAATATGTAAGTTTATGTCAACTCCAAAGAGAAACAATTTTACTTTCTTTTTCCAATTTGAATGCACTTTGTTTCCTTCCTTCATTCCTTCCTTCCTTCCTTCCTGTCTTTGTCTTTTCACCTAATTGGTCTATCTAGGATTTCCAATACTGTATTGAATAAGAATAGTAGAAATTGCCATCTTTATCTTGTTCCAGTTGTTAGAGGGAAATCTTTCAGTTTTTCTTTGTTTAGTATGTTGTTAGTTCAGGTTTTGTCATACATGGCCTTTATTGTATTGAAATATGTTTCTTCTATACTTAATATTTGAGAGTTTTTAATATGAAGAGATAGTAAATTTTCTAAAATTCTTTGTCTGTTTCCATTGAGGTAATACAATTATTTTTGTTATCCATTCTGTAAAACTATCACATTTATTGATTTGCATATGTTGAACTATCCTTACATCCTGGGATAAATTACACTTGATTACTGTGTATAATCTTTTTGATGTACTGTTTGATGCCATTTGCTAGTATTTTGTTGAGAATTTTTGCATCTGTGTTCATCAGGAATTTGCCCTATAGTTTTCTTTTTCTGTTTGTTCTTGTCCGGTTTTGGTATCATGGTAATAGTGGTCTTGTGGAAAGAGTTAGGAAGACTTCTGTCCCCTTCACTTCTTGGAAATAGTTTGAGAAGAACTGCTGTTAGTTCTTTAAAAGTTTGTTATAACTTAGCACTGAAGTCATCCAGTACTGATATTTTCTTTGTTGGGAGAGTCTTTATCACTGATTCAATATTGTTATTTGGTATTTGTCATTTCAGGTTTTCTATTTATTACTGGTTTAATCTTGGTAGGTTATATGTGCATGTAAATTTATTCACTTTCTCTAGGATTTTCAATTTGTTGTCATTTAGTTGCTCATAATAGTCTGTAATTATCCTTTGTATAACTGCTGTATCAGTTATAGTGTCTCTTTAATGGTTTCTGATTTTGCTTATTTGGATCTTCTTTCTTTTTATTTTTAAAAATTTTTTGAGATGGAGTCTTGCTCTGTTGCCCAGGCTGGAGTGCAGTAGTGGGATCTCAGCTCACTGCAACCTCCACCTCCTGGGTTCAAGTGATTCTTCTGCCTCAGCAGGATTCACCCACCTCAGCTTCCCAAAGAGCTGGGATTACAGGCATGATCCACCATGCCCAGCTCTTCTTTCTGTTTTCTAAGTTAGCATAGCAAATAATTTGTCAATTTTGTTTATCTTTTTAAAAAACAGGTTTTTATTTTGTTCATCTTTTGTAAACTTTTTTGTCTCAATTTTATAGTTCTGCTCTTCATTATTTCTTTCCTTCTACTAGGTTTGCATATGTTCTTCCTTTCCTAGTTCCCTGAGGTTTTTTGATGTAAGCATTTATTAACTTCCCTTTTAATGCTGCTTTTTTTTTGTATTCCATGGATTTTAGTATGTTTTGTTTTCATTTTCATTTGTCTCAATTTTTAAACCAATTTTCTTCTCAATTTCTTCCTTGAGCCCATTGATCATTCAGGAGCATGTTGTTTAACTACCATGTATTTGTGTAGTTTCCAAAGTTCCTCTTGTTATTGATTTATAGTTATATTTGTGTGTGGCTTGAACAGATGCTTGATAAGATTTTGATTTTTAAAATTTGTTAAGACTTGTTTTGTGGCCTAACATACAATTTATCCTGGAAGCTGTTCCATATGCTGATGAGAAGAATGTATCTTTTGCAGTTGTTGAATAAAATGTTCTGTATATATCTGTTAGATCTATTTGGTCTCTACTTCAGTTTGTGTCCAATTTTTTTGTCCATGTTTTGTCTAGATGATCTGTCCAATGATGACAGTAGAGTGTCTAAGTCCCCAACTATTATTGTACTAGAATCTATATCTCCCTCGACTGCTAATAATATTTGCTTTGTATATCTTTGTACTTCAGTGTTGGGTGTATTTAAAATCGTTATATCCTCCTGCTGAATTTATTATTTTGTGATTACATAATGATATTCTCTGTCTCCTTTTTATGTTTCTTTGACCTAAACTCTATTTTATCTGATGTAAGTATGGCTACTTCTGCCCAATTTTGGTTTCCATTTGAATGGAATATATTTTCCATCTCTTCACTTTCAGTCTTTCTGTGCCTTTACGGGTGAAGGAGTTCCATATAGGAGGCATATAGTTGGAACATGTGTTTGCTTTTACCTTTTTAGCCAGTCTGTATATTTTAATTGGGGAATTTAAACCATTTACATTCAAAGTTGATATTGGGAAGTGTGGACTTCTGCCATTTTGTCAATTATTTTCTGGTTGTTTTTTGTATCCTTTATTTTTTCTTTCTATTTAATACTTTATGTTTGCATTCTGGTGGTTTGCTGTAGTAATAACTTTTGATATCTTCTCTTTCTCATTTGTATATCTTCTCTACCAGTGAGTTTTATATTTTCATGTATTTTATATTGGTAGATTTTTTTTTTTGCTTCCAAATGTAGAGCTCCATTAAGTATTTTGTGTAGAACTGATCTAGTTGTGATGAGTTCCCTCCGTTTTTGCTTGTCTAGGAAATACTTTATTTCTCCTTCATTTCTGAAAGATAGCTTTGCTGGTTATAGTCTTCTTGCCTGGCAGGGTTTTATTTACGTTTAGCACTTTGAATATATTTTCTTCTTCTCTCCTAGTCTTTAAGGATTCTGCTGAGAAATATGCTGTTAGTCTAATGTGGTTGCCCTTAGATGTGACCTGCCACTTTTCTCTTGCTGTTTTTAGAATTTTCTGTCTTTGACTTTTAACAACTTAACTATAATGTGCCTTCAAGAGGCTTTTTTTTTTTTTGTATTGAATGTATTTGGACATCCTTGGAGTTTTATAGATTTCATAGATTATAGATTTCCATATCTCTCTGAAAACTTAAAATGTTTTCAGCTATTATCTCATTAAATAGGTTTTCTATACCTTTTCCCATCTCTTCCTCATCTGAAACTCTCACAATACAAATATTTTTTCATTTAATGGTATCCTATATATCCCATAGGCATCCTTCATTCTTTTTATTTTTATTCTTCTTTTTTTGTTTCCAACTGGGTTATTTCAAAAGATCTGTCTTCAATTTCAAATGTTTTTTTTTATTCTAGAGCTAGTGTATTGTTGAAACTTTCAAAAGGTCTGTCTTCGATCTCAAATTTTTTTTTATTCTAGAGCTAGTCTATTGTTGAAACTTTCAATTGTGTTTTGAATCTCTCTCATTAAAGCCCTTATATCTAATATATCTGTTTGGTTCTTTCTCATGATGTTTATCTCTTTCTTTTAATTTCTCATTAAGAGTGTACATTCCTTTTCTAATATTGTCGAATTTCCTATCTGTGTTATTTTCTATCTTGCTGAGTTTCCCTAAGTGCACTATTTTAAATTCATTTTCAGGCATTTCAAATATTTTCATTCTTTGGGTAATTGTTACAGACTATTGTGTTTCTTCAAATGTGTCATGTTTCCTTGCTTGTTCATATTTCTCATGCTCCTTCATTGGTATCTGTGCATCTGGTAGAAGAGTCTCTTCTTCTAATTTTATGCAGTAGATTTCTTGGGGAAGATTTTTTTCATTTTTTTTGTTGTTGTTGTTGTTCTGTAATGTGTTCTATAGTGTTGGTTGGGTAGAGTGCTTTAGTTTTGGCCTTGGGTGAACATAGTAGTGTACACTTCATATAATTTCTTTGACTGCAATGCACATCAATGGTGTGTGCAAGTACCTCAATAGCCTAGGCTGTGGTTGTTTTGGAAGCTGTGGAAAAGCCTTGCTGGAAGCAGAGATGCTAGCTGGGCCAAACCCAATAGCTTTGCCACCTGCTATGCTCCCACATTTGCTTCTGGGGGATGGGGTTGCCAGCAGAGGCAGCAGACCCTGGGCAGGAAGCTATTAGGTTCTGGTGTGCACACATATTTAACCCCTATGACCTAGGCATAGCCTCTCCTTTGTTCTAGACTGCTTTTTTCCTGAATTTCAGGGTGCTGTATGGAATCGGGTGCTGGAGTCATGGCTGCATTGCTGGGTGTGGCTATTGTAATGCTGCAGCTCATGGATTAATGTAATGGATTGTTGGGAGGGCTTCAGGAATGTGGAGTTGCAGGGGCTACTTGATTCCAGGGCAGGATGCACTCTGATGGTGACTCCTCTCTGAAAATGCTAATGTACTGTGGCTTCTGGAGTCATGGGGGTGGAAGAGACACAGACTGAATTCTTTCTCTGAATTAATGCAGTCATGTGGACTCCAGGAACATTCCTATACTGGACTCAAGGCCAGCTAGGACTATGATATTCTCCTGTAGCTAGGATTGCAGGTGCCTGTGATGGACATGTGGTCTTCCAGGGACTTCTGCTTAACTTTTCCTTACTGTGCGGAGTCCCTCTTGTTTCAAAGTTGATGTGGGCTATGTGCATTGCTTCCCTCTCTAAACTGCCATTCCAAGTCTTCGTGACTCAGATGGTACTCATCACTTCTTTGCTGAATTCCAGTATAACCCCTAGACACTCTGTTAAATATGTTGTTATTTATTTGTTCTTTTGGTCTTTTTGTATGGAGCACATGAGTAAAGGCTGGGTACATTTACTCAGCCATATGATGATGTTTTCAATCTTTAATATATGTTCCTTTTAATGGATGAAACCATCGGAAGTAAAATTGAAACTTTTTACTTTTTCTATAATCAGGCAAAATATGCAGGCATTGAAACGTCTTAGGCTGGCTGTAATTCCTCTGCTTACCACTGCCTCTGCTTTAAGACCTCTGGGGCCTGCAGCAAATGTAATCTCCACCAGCTGGAATCTTTCTTTTACAGCCTCAGGCCACAGCTGGAGAAAAGGCAGTTCTTGGATCAAAAGTTCTTGGATGGACTAAAATTATAGTCAATGCCTGATTTAGAGTGCAGTGTAAGTCCATTGTTTCCTTATTGATGATTTGTTCATTGCTGAAATTTGAGTGTTCCCTTTTATTATTGTATAGCAATCCATGAACCATTAATATTTTCTTTATATATTTAGGTGCTCTAATGTTTGGTGCATATATATTTAAAATGTTATGTCCTCTAATTGAATTGACTCACTTATCATTCTATAATAAGTTTTTGGTATTTTTTAACAGTTTTTGACTGAAAATAAATTTAAATCTTATGTAGGTGTAGCTACTCCTGCTCTTTTTCAGTTTCCATTTGCCCAAAGTATATTTTTCTATCCCTTCACTTTCAGTCTATTTGTGTCTTTATAGGTGAAGTGTGTTTCTTATAGACAGTAGATAGTTAGGGCTTGTTTATTTTATATCCATTCAACCACTCTGTATTTTCATTGGAGAGTTTAGTCTATTTACATTCAATGTTACTATGGATGAGTAAGAATTTACTACTGCCATTTTGTCACTTGTTTTCTGATTGTTTTGTAGACCTCTCATCCTTTCTTCCTTCATTTCTTCCTTCCTTCCTCTCTTTCTTTTTATGAAAATGACTTTCTCTAGTATGTTTTAATTTCTTGCTTTTTATTTTTTGTATGTCTGTTGTAGGTTTCTGGATTTGAGGTTACCATGAGATAGCAAATGACATTTTATAACTCATTATTTTAAACTGATGACAACTTAATATTATTTACAAAAATGAACAAACTAGCTAACAAGCAAAAAGAAAACTAATAAAAACTCCAGACTTTATTCCCTCTGCTTTTTAGGTTTTTGTTTCTAATTATATCTTCTTATACTGTCTATGACTTGAAAAGCTGTTGTAGTTATGATATTTGATAGTTTAACTTTTAGTCTTTCTGCTCAAGATATAAGTAGTTTACATACCACAGTTATAGTTATTAGAATATTCTGTATTTTTCTGTATATTTAGTATTTCCAGTGAGTTTTCTGCCTTCACATGATGTCTTGTTGGTCAGTAATGTCCTTTTATTTCAGATTAAAGAACTTTAACATTTTTTGTAGGACAGATCTTTGATGACATTCCTCAGCTTTTGTCTGTCTAGAAGTCTTTGCTTCTCTTTCATGTTTGAAGGATATTTTCACTGGATATACTATTCTAGGATAAAAGTTTCTTTATCCTTCAGAAGTTTATATATATCCTGCCACTCTCTTCTGGTCTGTAAGATTTCCACTGAGTAGTCTGTTCTGGGATGTATTGGACCTCTTTTGTGTGTTAGTTTTCATTGCGGCTTTTAGGATCCTTTCTTTATCCTTGACCTTTGAGGATATGCATATGAAATGTCTTGAGGTAGTCTTACTTAAGTCTGCTTGGTGTTACCTCACCTTCTTGTACTTGAACATGATATCATTCTCTAGGTTTGGGAAGTTCTCTGTTGTTATCACTCAGAATAAACTTTCCACCCAATCTCTTTCTTCTTACCTCCTCTTTAAAATCCGTAACTCTTAGATTTGCCCTTTTGAGGCTATTTTCTAAATCTTGTAGGCATGCTTCATTCTCTTTTTTTCTGTATCCCCTAACTGTGTATTTTCAAATAGCCTGTCTTCAAGTTCACTAATTCTTTCTTCTGCTTAATTTCAATTCTGCTGTTGAGAGACTCTGATACATTCTTTGGTATGTCCATTGAATTTTCCAGCTCCAGAATTTCTGTTTGATTTGTAAAAATTATTTCAATCTCTTTGTTAAATTTATCTGATACAATTCTGAGTTCTTTCTCTTTGTTATCTTAAATTTCTTTGAGTTTCCTCAAAATAGCACTTCTGAATTTTCTGTCTGAAAGTTTACTTATCTGTTTTTTCCAGGATTGGTCACCGTTGCCTTAATTATTTTGTTTGTTGAGGCCATGTTTTCCTGGATGGCCTTGATGCTTGTAGTTGTCTGTCAATGTCTAGGTATCAAATAGTTAGGTATTTATTCCAATCTTCACAGTCTGGTCTTGTTTGTAACTGCCCTTGGTGAGAAGGTTTTCCAAGTATTCGAAGGGAATGGAATGTTGTGATCTAAGTCTTTGGTCACTGCAGCCATATCTGCATTAAGGGGCACCCTGAGCCCAGTAATGCTGTGATTCTTGTAGACTTGTAGAATCACTGCCTTGGTGGTCTTGGGTAAGATCCAGGATAATTCCCTGGATTCCCAGGCAGAATGTCTTGTTCACTTATCTTACTTTTTCTCAAACAGAATCTTTCTCTCTGTCCTTATTGTTCTGGAGTTGGGGAAGGAGTGCCACAGCTACCCCTATCATCACTACCACTGTGACTTTGCTGGGTCAGACCTGAAGCCAGGACAGTACTGGGTCTCACTGAAGGCCTGTGGTACCTGGCTACCACTGATGTTTATTCAAGGTCCAAGGGCTCTTTAATCAACGGATTGCGAATCCAGCCAGGTTTGTCTCATTCCCTTGATAGTAGTGGATTCTCTTCTGGCCAAGGGTGGGTCTAGAAATGCTGTTAGAGAGCTAGGACCTCAAGTTGGGAACTTTAGGAATCTATTTAGTGGTTTGTTTTACTGTGGGTGAGCTGGTACCCAAGTTGAAAAACGAAGTCCACTTTATCTTTCTCTCCCCTTTCCTCATGTGGAAGGAGTCTCTCCCTGTGGCCATCACTGTTTCAGGCCCATAATGAGTACTGCCTGGCTATCACTGTTGTTTATTCAAGGCCCAAGTGCTCTCTAATTAGGTTGTGGTGAATCCTGCCAGGTTTGGGTCTCTCCATTCAGAGCAGCAGGTTCCCTTCTGGCCTGGGGTGGGCAGAGTGCATCTAGAAAAGACATTCAGGTGTTAAGTCCTGGAATTGGGGACTTTAGGAGTCTGCTTGGTGCTTTATCTTAATGTGGCTGAGCTGGTGCTCAAGTTGCAAGACAAAGTTCTTTTCATTCTTCCCTCTCCTTTCCTTAAGCAGAAGGTGTCTCTCTCCAGGGCTACCACAGCTGGAAATGTGGTGGGTCAGTTGAAGCCAACATGCTACTGGGTCTCACTCAAGGCCCATTGCAAGTACTGTCTGGCTACTGCTGATGTTTATTTAAGGTCCAAGGGCTCATTTGTCAGCAGGTCATAAATACTGTCAGGACTGGGTCCTTCCTTTCAAGGAGATGGTTTCCCTTCTGGCTCAGGTTGTGTCTAGAAATGTCATTTAGGATCTAGGGTCTAAAACAGAGAATTCAGGATTCTGCTTGGTGCTTTATTTTAATTGTGGCTGAGCTGGTATCCAAGTTGCAAGACAAAAATCCTCTTTATTCTTCTCTTCCCTTTTCTCAAGTGGAAAGAGTACCTCCCAGTGCTGTAAGCTCTGCTGCCTAGAGTTGGGAGAGCGGTAACACAAGCATTTCCTTGGCCACCCCAGCTGGTGTCTCACTAGGTAATGTGCATTCCAAGTCCACTGGATCTGAGCCCAGCACAGCACAAGGACTTGCCCAGGAATTGAAGTCACTGTGGCCTAGACTGCCTTCCAAATTTTATTTATTTACTTATTTATTTTTATTTTTATTATTATACTTTAAGTTTTAGGGTACATGTGCACAATGTGCAGGTTTTTTACATATGTATACATGTGCCATGTTGGTGTGCTGCACCCATTAACTCATCATTTAACATTAGGTATATCTCCTAATGCTATCCCTCCCCCCTCCCCCCACCCCACAACAGGCCCCGGTGTGTGATGTTCCCCTTCCTGTGTCCATGTGTTCTCATTGTTCAATTCCCACCTAGGAGTGAGAACATGCGGTGTTTGGTTTTTTGTCCTTGCAATAGTTTGCTGAGAAAGATGGTTTCCAGCTTCATCCATGTCCCTACAAAGAACATGAACTCATCCTTTTTTATGTCTGCATAGTATTCCATGGTGTATATGTGCCCCATTTCCTTAATCCAGTCTATCATTGTTGGACATTTGGGTTGGTTCCAAGGTTTTGCTATTGTGAATAGTGCCTCAATAAACATACGTGTGCATGTGTCTTTATAGCAGCATGATTTATAATCCTTTGGGTATATACCCAGTAATGGGATGGCTGGGTCAAATGGTATTTCTAGTTCTAGATCCCTGAGGAATCGCCACACTGACTTCCACAATGGTTGAACTAGTTTACAGTCCCACCAACAGTGTAAAAGTGTTCCTATTTCTCCACATCCTCTCCAGCACTGGTTGTTTCCTGACTTTTTAATCATCTCCATTCTAACTGGTGTGAGATGGTATCTCATTGTGGTTTTGATTTGCATTTCTCTGATGGCCAGTGATGATGAGCATTTCTTCATGTGTTTTTTGGCTGCATAAATGTCTTCTTTTGAGAAGTGTCTATTCATATCCTTCGCCCACTTTTTGATGGGGTTGTTTTTTTCTTGTAAATGTGTTTGAGTTCATTGTAGATTCTGGATATTAGCCCTTTGTCAGATGAGTAGGTTGCAAAAATTTTCTCACATTCTGTAGGTTGCCTGTTCACTCTGATGGTGGTTTCTTTTGCTGTGCAGAAGCTCCTTAGTTTAATTCGATCCCATTTGTCAATTTTGGCTTTTGTTGCCATTGCTTTTGGTGTTTTAGACATGAAGTCCTTGCCCATGCCTATGTCCTGAATGGTATTGCCTAGGTTTTCTTCTAGGGTTTTTATGGTTTTAGGTCTAACATGTAAGTCTTTAATCCATCTTGAATTAATTTTTGTATAAGGTGTAAGGAAGGGATCCAGTTTCAGCTTTCGACATATGGCTGGCCAGTTTTCCCAGCACCATTTATTAAATAGGGAATCCTTTCCCCATTTCTTCTTTTTGTCAGGTTTCTCAAAGATCAGATAGTTGTAGATATGCAGCATTATTTCTGAGGGCTCTGTTCTGTTCCATTGGTCTCTATCTCTGTTTAGGTAACAGTACCATGCTGTTTTGGTTACTGTAGCCTTGTAGTATAGTTTGAAGTCAGGTAGCGTGATGCCTCCAGCTTTGTTCTTTTGGCTTAGGATTGACTTGGCGATGCGGGCTCTTTTTTGGTTCCATATAAACTTTAAAGTAGTTTTTTCCAATTCTGTGAAGAAAGTCATTGGTAGCTTGATGGGGATGGTGTTGAATCTATAAATTACCTTCGGCATCTTAGTGCACTTTAGCCCACGGTGGTGGGGCTAGCCAGAGCTCAGTTTCTGACCGAAGGGTTAGATGATTCCGCTCTGGTTAGGGCTTGTCTAAATGCTCCCTCTGTGGGCTTTGGCTGAATTCTGCCCTGTGTTGCTTTCCACTGTGACAGGGAAACACTTGAATTTCAGTGCAAAGTCTCACAATTACTACACTCCAATTCCTCCAAGCATACAGATTCTATCCCTGTGCCTCACAGCTTTTGCTAGGTAATACGGGATAAGTGGTATCAGCAATTCAAGACTATCTTTTCTACCCTCTTCAATGCCTCTTTCCTTGATATGATGCTAAAACCAAGTACTGTGAATACTCACCTGAGTTTTAGTTCTTAGAAAGCTGCTTTCTTGTGTGGATGGTTGTTCAGTTTGGTGCTCCTGCATGGAGGGTCATCACTGGAGTGTTCTATTTGACCATCTTGTTCTGCCTCCTCTCCTTTATGTTTTTTTTTTTATTAGAGAATTCAATTCATTTATATTCAAGGTAATTATTGATAGGTAAAACTTACCGTTGTAGGCAGCAAGCTTCATTAAAACACTTATTTTGAATTCTTTGCTAGACAGTTTATACAACTTCACTTCTTTTGGATTGGTCACTGGGGACTTTATTTTGTCCCTGTTTTCAGCATTCCAGAATACAGGTACTATAAAAAATAGAAGTCAAATAAATGGAAATGAATATAGTGTGTTTGTGGTTTAGATATAGATTTGTTAACTGACTAATGGAGCATAGGTAACTTTTTTTTGTATCTAAACCACTTCTCACTAGAAAAGAAGTGAGGACAATAATAGAGCAACACAAAAGAAACCTATACAGAAGCAGTGGAAAATGATGTTGGCGAGCTGTGGTGGAGAGGATAGTGAACAGAAATGAATTACTGAATAACTTGGTGTTTGATTGCAAAAATGTTGACTACATTAAATCTCATTGAAGTCTTTGTTACTAGGAGAAATTTTTGAACTCTTTTTACTTTGACACATGACAAAGAAAGAGACAAAACCTACAGTCAGGAGAGTAGTGCTCATAGTTAAGCTCCTTATTTGCCATGCAGCCTGGGGCATATTATGGCACCAAGTAGCAATTTCTCCTCTTTATAATGGGCAAGATACTAATTTCTACCTTCTGAGTGTGGACTTCAATCATAGCACAATGCCTGGTGTATATTATGGGTCTAAATATATTTAATGAATATATAAATAAATTTATGTTTAAAAGTATGTAAATAAAATAATTTATATACAGCTCTTCCAAGACATGCTGTCTCATAGATAAAGCATTTAAGAAATATTAATTGATGTTACCTAATGTTGTTATGATATATGTATGTATATGTATGTCAAAATGACAGACACATTATGTTAACTATATGTAACTATATTATATATATGTAACTACATTTTATATATAGCCATTATGAAGACTACTGCATTGCATATGTATTTATGTATATTGTGTGTTTATTCATACTTTTTTTTAAAGGAAGATTCGGAAGGGACAGATAAGATGACAGATTAGCATTCTCCAGCAATCATCTCCCCGCAGAAACATCAATATAAACATCTATCTATGCAGGAAAATGCCTTCGCAAGAGCTGAGGAAAGCAATTCAAAGATCATAGTACCTGGTTGTCACACACAATAAGAAAAGACACATTGAAGAGGACAGAAAGGACAATTTTACATTTAGCCTCCCCCAGTCCTCAGCAGCATAGCCTGGAGAGAGATACTGTTCACTTGGAAGAAAGAGAAGTAAGCACAGGGCTTTGCTTTGGACTCCAACATCAGGCCCATTGCAGTAAAACCAGCGCTGGGCAGCCCCCCGTGGCTGCAGATTTCAGGCTGGTACTCAAAGGCTGAGACTCCAGAGACTGCCTGGTACCAGGCAAGACCCCACAGCCCTAGTCTTCAAGCCTGCAAGGCCAACTTGATTTAGACTACATGTGACCCACAATACCTTAAATATTTACTACCTGGCCTTTTACAGAAAAAGTTTTGCCAGCCCCTAATCTAGATCAAAGATGACAAGTCTATGGCTTATTTGCTGATAGTTTATCCTGCTCTGCCAATGGCAGACGTCTTTAATGTTTTACCGAATTCTCCTCCATCTGCTTCAGAATCTCTACCAGCATAGTAGTCCTAAAAGTTATTGCCAACCTAGTGGATTTTTCATTTTAGCCTGCAAGTCCTCATACTCAGAAGAATTTTGTGACAGTCTCTTAGTGTTTCCAATCCTATTTTTCTAACCTTTTAGTGTATTCTAGCTGACTTCCACTGCCAGTATCTCTACGTCTTTTGCCCAAGGGCTTTTTCCAAAGTCATTGAAGGTGGCTCTCCTCCTACTCACAGCCGTCCAGAAATGCCAAGGAATTAACACCTCTGGGAGCAGTGTCAGGAGTTGGTGTATAAATACCCCAGCTCTCTTCCATTTTGGGTAGGATAATTATGAGACATTTTTAACAAAATCTCCCAGAGTTTCCCCATGAGGTTAAGCTCAATTTGCTCATTATGATATCTGGCCTAATGAGGCACCTTTATTGGCTACTTTCCATTCCCTCTGTCACTATTCTCCTCACTGCAAGTGTTCCCTGACTCTCCAAAATAAACTACTTGCATCTGAATCCTTGTCTCAGAGTGTGCTGCTGGGGAAATCCAAACCAAGACAGATTTCAAACCTACTTCTCTATGGAAGTAATGCTTTTACAAAGGCCTCTAATTTAAAGCATCATGAACTTCACTTACAAGTCCTCAAAATTGCTGCCTGCAGTTACTCATTTTGAGGACAGCCCAATTTTTTGTGGTCTGATGTATCTATTGTTGACTCTGACATTACAGATGGGTCAACCAATTAATTTTCTGATGGTATACAGAGTGCTTTTCAGTCTTCTTCTCCAGGCTCCTATTAGTGAAGAAACTTCCTAGGTGCCCTTACAATGGAAAATTCACAACCAATAAACACTTGAATCTTAAGATTTACATTGGCCAGGCAGGTCATTATACCAAAGTCTAATAATAACTCAATTTTTCCTTATACCCTGGCACAAAATGCAGGCAGCTGTGTCCAATTATGCTGAGCACAGCAAACTCAAACTTATTAAAGGTAAGAAGCAGGCTGTTTCAGGATGTGAAAAACTCAACATAAGGTGAAGCTAATTTCTCAAGTGTACGGTTTACTTGCTGTTTTTGTTTCATTTTATTTCTCAAGCCAATATTGTTTTTAGTTCTCAATGTAGGGAAGGAAACATGGTCCTCATTAATACACAAAAGTCACAGTCCAAATATATATGCTCCATTCCTGGGTCAACCAGCAACTCTACTGACTAACCCACAGCAAATCACTTGTTTCATTTACTGACTAGGAAAATGCATTTAACAGTGCCTTCTAGTAAAAGAAAAAAAAAAGGTTTATATAAGGCTTTAAGATCTGAAACCAAGATACAGAAAAAAGCAAGATGATGAAGCATTTTAATTAATTGTCACATGGGTCCACCTGAAATATTGGAACACTGTGTTTTATGAAGTGATATTTGCGAAACAGAAAAAAAAATTATTTTGTTATGATCTGCAAAAAAAAAAAAAAGTATTTCTTCCAGCAACTTTTTCTCCTTTGACCACCTCTGGCTTCCCCAGAGTAGTTGATTCCATCAGCAACTTGTTCTATCACCAAATTATTCTGATGATGTTTTCTAAGCATTTAAGCAGAGTTTTCCATGCTGCAACACAGACCTGGCATAACTTGTTTCTTTCCTCTAATGGAAATAATTGATCCCTCTGCTAGCTTTCTCTAATGAGGGCAAGCCAGGGATTCGTCTCTTTTCTCACTCTTTCACTAATTGAATTTGATTTTTCCTGTACCATAAGATACTTTACAGCTGTGTCCAAAACAATGCACACAGTAGTTTTTCATGCTGTCAAGATGAATTTTTATTTTTCTAAACAACTTTCATATCCCCTGTCTAAATTAAGTCCTCTGTCATAATGATCCCCAACACTTTTGGCACCAGGAACTGGTTTTGTGGAAGACAATTTTTCCACAGATGGAGGGGTGTGGGGGGGGTGAGGGGTAGGGGAGGTACAAAGAGGGGATGGTAGGCCAGAGGAGGAGTTTCAGGATGAAACTGTTCCACCTCAGATCATCAGGCTTTAGATTCTCATAAGGAGTGTGCAACCTAGATCTGTTGCATGCACAGTTCACAATAGGGTTCTGGCTTCTGTGATAATCTAATGCCACCACTAATATGACAGGAGGCAGAGTTCAGGTGGTAATGCTCGCTTGCCCACAACTCGCTTCCAGATGTGCAGCCCAGTTCCTAGACAGGACACTGATGAAAACTGGTGAGTGGCCCTGGGGGGTTGGGGCCCCTGCATCTATCATGCTTACTCATGTTATACTGTGCTTTTCATTCATTGACTTTAGAGCCGTTTGTAATTATTTATTCATTTTGTTGGTTATGCAACTAATGTTTCTTTACCACCGGTAGTCTATATGCCTCCAGAGGACAGGAATCCTATTTGTCCATTCCTATATTCTCAGTGTTTTTCCTAACACATAGTATTGTTGAATGCTACTAATTACATATTATTTACACTTAACATACTTATATATCACATTTATTAATATATAATCATTATTCAACAATGCTATGTTCCAAAAATATACTTAGCCCTGAAGATATGTATATATATGTAAAATATGTATACATGCATATACTATATACTGCCTGCATATATACTATAGATACATTATGTATACATGTATGTGTACAAATATGTTTATTTATTTATATGACCCAAAAATATAGAGTTACTTTTCTTTTGAAATACTGAATTTTTATAAGTTTTGATCAAAGGAAATGAGAAACTTGTTGAAGTCTGTTGTCCAAGTTATGTTTATTTTTAACTTTCTAAGAAGATACTAAGTTTGTTTTTTATTGTTTCAGACTGAGAATGTACAATGCACTGGCTACATTTATATTAGTTGCCATGGTTTCAAATACTTCAGAAATTGTCCAAGAAAGGAGTGGAATTTTTCTCACCATGCAAAGATGTTTTTCCCTAACTTGTTTGTGCCCACGTAATGTACCAGTTTGAATCGTCTGCTTTTCTCCTCCCCATCTGTGCTGTTTTCAAGGGGCGGAGAGGAAAAGAAAAGAAAAAAGCAGGTAGAAGAGAGTTAGACATAGTTTCATTCCAGCATCTATTAGCTCACAATTTCATACTCTTGGTTGTAAACTGAAGGCCTCTTACATAGTATAGACAGCATCTATAATATGTTTTGCTTTTCTCAAATAATTCCTACATGACCATATAACAGTTTTTGTAGAAAAGGCAGGGCAAAGACTACTAATTCTCAAGAGGCTGAACTGTCAGAAGAGATTTTATGCTAACAGTTTTATTCCTGCTGTTGCTGCTGTTGTTTTTAATTATTCTTTTATGACCAGTTGGAAGGATCTACTTTTGTAGAGATGACTGCCTTTGCTTCTGCTTAATTACTCATCTGTATTATTATCTCAATTCTCCTAAAAAGGAAAATACGTCTTGTCTAGAGAAAGTGTTATTTACTCACAGTTTTATGGCTTCTTTTCCACTGCAGTATTATTGCATTCCCACTTTCTCTTAGTAATGGTTATTATTTATTAAATACTTATTATGTGCTTGAAACTGTGTTTAATATGATAGAGTCAATATTTACTTAACCCTCGCAATAACCCTGTAGCATAGATGCTATAATTATTCCCGTTTTAAAGATGAGAAAACTGAGTCAGAATCCAATGTGTGGATCTAAAACTCTAAAATAGACCTTTATTACATTAGACATGTATCAATTTATCAATTTAGGAAATTTATTGACAGCTAACTATGAGAGAGGTAATTTTATAAGTTCTGGAATATACATTAATGAACAAAATAAAGTTTCTGCCCTCATAAAACTTCTATTCTAATGATCTACACAGGGCTACCCTGCCTCTTGTATCATTTATTCAAGCAAAAGGAAGATTTTGCCTAAAAATATTGGGGTATTTCACTCTTTGTAAGTTACTTTAAATATTGGGGTATTTCACCCTCTGTAAGTTACTTTAATCTCATGTCAGTAAGCTGGCTAGTCTATTGCTAAAGAAGGAAGCTCAATAGACAAGTTTTGGGTGTCTGCTTAATCTATTACAGTTTTCTCTAAGTTCCTGCTATCCACAGATATGGGCCCAAGAAGTTGTGTCTTTTCTGTGTTCCATTACCTTGTCAACACCAATGGTCATGGCTGGTTGGCTTTTCTTATGGTTAGGCCAATCGGTTTTTTTCCTCAATCTAAAATTTGAAATTAAAAATCAGAGATACTAAAAAGACTGCTTGCTATTTGAAGAGAAAAGATTTAAACTGATTTTATCCTGTCATTCTTGGCTACATAGGCTCAAGAATAGCAGAAGTTTGCCTTGAGAGTGAGAAAGTGAAAAAGAAGAGGAAGAAGGAGGGAATTGTGGGTGAAAGAAATTAAGTAGATAAACAGAAGCAGCAATAGAGAATAATATGATACTAAAAAGAAGGAAACCAAAAAAGCACTCTCTTAATATGGCACCTGAAATCCTATCTTAGTTTCTGCTGCTAGGAAACCTGCCTAAGAGAGTTGGTACTAGGAGTGGGCTTAGGAGCAGCTGGCTGAGATGGAATTTTGGAGTTGGATCACCCACCAGCCATTTGGCAATGAGGATACTGTCACTGATGGCAGATGGAGTGGTGGTAGATCTAGCATGAGGTTGCAGTGCACTTGGAGAGTGAAGACCTTCACCTGTGATGACCCAGTACAGGACACAGCTTGGATGAGTGCACTGACTCATGCAATACCTCTAGCATATTATATGAAAGATGTAGGGAAATACTAATTATAATGATTATGTTGTGCTGACCATCATTGAAGCTTTGCAGAGGTACAAGCTCAGAATAAATAACCAATTCAAAGTAAAGCTTGAGGATAAGAGATCCTCCTAGGCAGCATTTAGAGATTCTCACGACCTGAACTAGAGAGTAGGGGAACTGAGGACCATGCAGATAATGTAACTGGGGGACTGGCAGAATTTCGGAGAAAGCTGATAGTCTCAGTGTGGCACTTCACCCATGCCAAGTAAGGGCATGATAGAGAAAAATTGTGACCTTGGGATTGGGATGAGGATATCTGCATAGATGTACTTGAGCAACTTGAAGTGTAAGATTCTCTGATTTCTCTGGGCCTGCAGAAGCCTTCCATTTTCCTTTGTTGGAGATAGAGCCCCAGCTGCTCACTTACACCCTTTGTTGGAGGCAGTGGAGAAAACTCAAATGAGGCAGGTTCCTTATAAGATAATGCTGATCTGACTTCACCTCCCTCCTGGTTGCCAGACTGACAATGAAGGGCAGATGGTAACAAGTTCTGGGCCTGCTGAGGTGCAAGAAGAACTCTGTGCCAGAGAAGCATGGAACCTGGCTATCACAGACTAAGTGGAGTTGGCAGAGCCCGACTTAGATGGATTCTTGGGGCAAAGGGTCAGTAAACTAGATAATGGAGCCAGTTTTGAATTAGGGACTCTCTCATATCATACGATTTAACACCTTGGTGGGGGGTTGGGGGGCACTGGGAGATGGCCCTGATATATTTCTGGGATGAGAGTTGGAGGCTTAGATAAAATGGTGGACCATATTAAATAGCATAGAGATTCCAGAACTGCCCTGGCAGACAGTGGAGGAAGGCCTCGGAAGCCTCTGAGAACTGGTATGCTTGGATGAGTCTACTATACAAGAATAGAAAACCCACCAGCTGACTATATCCTTGGGGCAGGGGTGCTGAGTGCACCCTGTTTACCAAGGTGATAAAAAGGTATTGGTAAGGGCAGTACCTGCATCACAGGATGGGTGAGAAGCTCAGTGGAGGCTGTACTCTGTATGTGGGGCTGATGATAGGAGACACTGGTACAGAACTGAGATCCTAGAAGCAGTTGATATAATAAGATAACAGATTATTAGAAGCCAGAGGCAACACTTAGCATCAGGAGCAAGGTGAGCTTAATTATTCTAATGGTCAGTGAGACTGGAATGGCAACCTAAGGGACTAACCTGTGAAGATCTATGATGCTGTCTATTAAAGCTCTCCCTCCATAAGTCATGTGCCCCCAGACCTTTATTTCAGGCTTATATCTAGGGGACCCAACATAAGATAACCTCGTTTCCAGCCCACAGGCTTTGGACTCTCCTGTCTAAGCCTTAGTCATTCTGAAAGAATAGGAGAGAAATCTTCTTATTCCGAATTTTAAATCCGAGCCCCTCCAGGAAGTTGCCAGGCAGGAATGGCAGCAGCTGGTCTGTATCCTGTCATTACAGAGCCAAAGCAGACGTCTTTCCTCAGCCCAAAATGATGGCCCTGAAAATGCAGACTGCGCAACTTGGCGTGGGAGCAGGCGGTGCTGTCCTGGGGTTGCCAGATGGTGTGCACTCACATGGACATAGCATGTGTGCTCTGCCGGATGGACGAGGCTGAGACCCATGAGTCAGATAGTAAGTGAGCGGTCCAGTTTGGTCACAAAGATGAATCTCAATAAAATAATTATATACTTTGATAATTGATGTGTGTGTTTTGTTTGTTTTGATTTTTGAGACAGAGTCTCACTCTGTCACCCAGGCTGGAGTGCATTGGTGTGATCTCTGCTCACTGCAAGCTCCGCCTCCCAGGTTCAAGTGATTCTCCTGCCTCAGCCTCCCAAGTAGATGGAATTACAGGCATGCACCGCTATGCATGCTTAATTTTTGTATTTTTAGTAGAGACGGGGTTTCGCCAGGTTGGCTAGGCTGGTCTCGAACTCCTGACCTCAGGTGATCGCCAGCCTTGGCCTCCCAAAGTGCTGGGATTACAGGCTTAAGCCACCATGCCTGGCCGACCTGTGGCTTTTTGGTCTGCTTTCTCATTGGATCCTGTATTAAAACAAGGTATTTTTGGTTATATATGAGAGAAACAAAACTTGAATTAAGCTCAGTCCAAGAAGGGAATTTATTAACTTACACAATTCAAGGAAGGGTTGAATAAGCACACCACGAGAAAGGCAGATAAGCAACTGCCCTGCAGGAACAAACAGATCCAGGAACTCAAATGCCAGCAAGTCTTTCCTCCCGATTCTCGAAATTCCCTTTTTGGTGAAGTCAGGTTCACTCTATCTCACTGCAGACTTGTTCTCTCCTTAAGGAGCAACAGAATGGTATCAATAGCTTCTGAGTTTACTATCTCTGTGGCTTCAATCTCCAGAAAGAAAATGCCCAGTCTTTCTTTGGCCCAACATATAAACATTTTGGGAATGGAGCTACTTAGTATGTCTTGAGTTGGTTGCTTACTCAGAGATTAATCAACTGTAGCCTGAGAGGTAGGAGCATGTTCAAACATGACATTTTCTAAGGAGAAGGGTCAATGCTTGGTCAACCAAACCTCTATACCTCCACAGGTTTCCACAATAAAGCCTTAGGCAATCCTGAGTGGAAGGCGAGACGCCACTCCCTGTCAAAGGCACTGGAAGTAAAGATAGAAAACATAGTGCAGGCCTCCACGAGAGCATGTTGGTATGAGGGAAAGTGCTCAAAACTTAAAATCAAAGGCAACAAAAGTTCAAGTAGTAGTTATCTCATTAACTGTCTGAACAGAAATGGGTCATTGCATCTCTCTATGTGACTTCAATGTAAAATAGAAGGAGTCACTGTCCTGTTTACCTATGATTATGGAAGTCAAATGATAATTTTAAAAGGTAAGATGGAATAGTGGAGTCAGCTCTATAGACAGACAAATCCACGTTAAAAACTTAATCCAGGTTAAGAAGCTAGAAAACTTATTTCTACCTATGTAATTTTAGATAAGATTCTCAACTGTTCTGAGTCTGTTTATTCATCAGTAAAATGAGAATGATTATATAAATCTACTTTATTGGGTCATTCTAAGAATTAAATGAGATAACATATCCAAAGAAATATAATACTGCAGTAAGTACTCAGTAAATGTTAGCAACCATTATTATAACAATACTAATAACCATAATCTCCTGGTAGCCTGTGAGTTCATTGAATGTTGGGATTATATTTTATGCATGTTTATTTATTGAGTTCATTGGATATTGGAATTAGGTTTTATGCATGTTTATTTATTACTCTAAAGTAATACCAGCATAGGGCTTGCCATGTTGTTCAAACTTAATATGTATTTTCTGAATCTTAATATCATGATAGGCCATCATCCATTTTTAAGCCCATTACACATTCATTCAGAAAATAAGTATTGAGTTTGAACACATGCATGTACAAATATGCACATGCACATACACATAAACACACAGTTACATTATTGTTCTACCCCTGGCATGACCACATTGGAAACTGTTCATTTATCTGATCTATTGTTCAACATTTAGGTCATTATGATTATGGGAAACTTGACTGAATTTACATATCCTATCAAAATGCATTAAGCAAAATAACGTGCAATAAACAACACAATTATCTAGTGCCTTCACATCTGAAAACTTATGTTAGGCCAATATATTTGAAGCTTGTATTACTTAGACACCTATTTCAGCTCCACCCTTCATTTCATTCAGCGTACATAAATACATGCTTTCTAAGGATTTTGGAAATAACTATTTTCCTTTCCTTTATCTTTTCTGCTTTTTCTGGGTCCGTTGGGCAGGTTTTCCTAGAATAGAGGAGAAAAGAAACACATGTTAATTTTGTTCGCCTGGGGAAGGTGCTGGAAATGTGTCTTCTGAGGCACACCTGCTCATTCCTAGCCCTGGCTCTGGGCCACACCTTCCCTAGACTGCTTCATTTCTGGGGAAGTAGCCATGGCTTTTCAATCCCACCTGGAGTGAGGTCTGAAAGGCTCATTTTAGTTTCTGATGTTGGATTGAAAGGCTCACTTATCTTCTTTCACTGGAAGGGCCTTTAAAAAGGCCTGGCCTCAATAGACTGGATTCCCAGGATAGGGTTCTATACAGCCCTGGAGGCAGACAAAGAATAAGAGCTTCTGTAAGAAAAGAAAAGCAAGGCATTCATTATTTACCTATTTGTAACTGTGCCCCTCTTTGTTTACAAAGCTGTGGCAATATTTGTGTTGAATCACTTAGAGCAGAGAAGTGCTTTTATCAGAGTTTCGAAAGAGACAAAACACAGTTCTCAATTCCTCGTTTTCTTATTCTTTTTTGCCCCATCCCCCCACCCACCCCATAACAAGGGCTAAAAGTAACACCACTTGCATGCACCTTGGAGCTGAGGTGTTCCAAATTATCTTAGCCTGAGTTTCCCAAAAAGCAGAGCCTAGGTAAAGGCTTATGAGGTATTATTTTCAGAAGAGAATGTAATTCTAGTAAGCCTGAGAAAAGAAGAAGGGGTGTACAGCAGGGAAGGAGTGAGAACTAATGTGCCAGTATGAACACATGTTATCAACACAGCAGTCACTTGGTATCAAGTGGAACTGATAGCGCCATCTCGGAGGCTGTCTTCAGAGAAGCTCATGGACTTGTTCTCAGGGCAGTTCGTACAATGAAAGAAGGAAGATATTTATCTGGTCTCCCCAGATTCCCGTGGGTTCAAAGTTTCACTCCTCTAGGACATTAATTCCCTTAAAGTTCCCAGCAGCATCTGTCACTTCAGCATCCCAGTGCACTGAGGACACAGGTGAGTAGTGCACAGAGCGTACACAGGTTATGATGCTGCTGGCTTGTGTTTATGGGAAGTCGGGTCCAGTTTGTCAGAGACAGCTGGGACGGGACAAGGGGCCAGAGTCTGATGAAGCCAAAAACATCTGAAGCAGCACATAAGAGGTCTTTGGCATCCGAGTTAATTTACAAGGAGACTTTTTTTTTTGACACCCAGGCTGGACTGCAGTGATCTCTGCTCACCACAACCTTCACTTCCTAGGTTCAAGCAATTCTCCTGCCTCAGCCTCCTGAGTAGCTGGGATTACAGGTGCCTGCCACCACACCCAGCTATTTTTTTCTATTATTATTAGAGATAGGGTTTCAGCATGTTGATCAGGCTGCTCTCAAACTCCTGACCTAAAGTAATCCGCCTGCCTTGGCCTCCCAAAGTGCTGGGATTACAGGCGTGAGCCACCGCGCATGGCCTGAGGCATTTTTCTTAAATGGAAACTGTCATTAGCATATGTCCACTTGGGGGGCAATCTTGCACAGAGGTTAAAAGACTGGACTTTGAGTCCAGTAAAGGAGGTTTTTAACCTAGTTCTGCCATTTCATGACTATGTGACTTTGGGCCACAGATTTCTTACCTGTAAAATGAGGCTAAGAAAAGGACCTGCTTTACAGGCTTTACTTAAATAAAGCAGCTCATGTGCAGCATTTAACACAGCATCTAATCTCTAATCAGCACTCAAAGTTTGATAGGTAATATCACTATTTTCTCCATTTCTGGGGATTATGTTACATTTCTGTGGGAATTAGATTTTATTTATAAAGCCGTTAAATAAATTTTCTGCCAAATATCCACAAGTTATTCTACCATAACCGATTCTTTCTGTGTTATAGATGAGACACTAAAATGCAAGAGGACAAATGAGGTTGTCAGAAGAGTAAAGATAAACATGACCACTAACACAGTTTCAGCAGTAGAGTGAAGGGGAAGGGATCTGTATTTTTTAAATTCCCAGGTTATTGTGATAGTGCCCATTCACAAACCAACACTCAGAAACTACTTTTAGAGGTCGTTGCTACCTTTAACTACAAGCCTTGACATGCTTATCACTCGTAACACTGGGATTTGTGAGCTTTTGGGTAGCATCTTTCTTTTATGACCTCTGTAAAGCAAATCATAAACATATATACACACACACATTCTCACACATAGATTTTTGGAGGGACTAGGCAGAGGGTACGAGAGAAATAATTTAAGTGTCATGAACTACATGAATTTAATTAGTACAGGAATGTATACTAAGAGGAACTGAGGGGTTTCCGCAACTCTCCCACACATTCTTAGGAACTACAATTTGTAGTTTCTTATGTGGACTCAGCTCCCAGTTATCCTTCAGGGAGGTTGTCTGCTTTGTGAATTATGACTGCCAGGTTTATCTCCATGGCCAGCATGCTAGGCCGGCTGGCTTGCCGCCCCCACTGTGGAAAGCATGTGTTTATTCAGGAAACAGTCGTTTAGTTTTAACATTGGCCTCAGCAAACCTATTTATGAAGGTAAATCCAGGGCTGCTGCAGAACCAAATTCCAGCTTGAACACCTTCCAAAACCAAGCTGAAATGGCTTTTGGATTATCCACAGTGGTGGATTATTCACACCACTGCTCTCCTATTAACAAAGCCTTTATTCATAATTCACCAACCAGACAAGTCCCAAAACTGAACGAGCACTGTTGCAAGTCCATTGCATGCAACTCAGAACATGTTACCCTGTAAGCTGTATGAGGAACTGTGGTTAGACCCTAGGTCTGTGGTTCTCAAAGTGTGGTCCCTGTCCAACGGCAGCAGCAGACACATAGCTGGGATCTTAGAAGTGCAAGATCATTCACTTTTTGTATAATTAGATGTGCATAATGAAAAAAAAAAGATTGTAACATATGAAATGAACTGCCTTGTGATATGGCATGTGTCCAACAACTAGAAATATTTAAGTATAGATGAGATAACATGTCGGAGGCTCATAGAAGAGATTCTTGTTTTAGATGAGGCATTGAATAAGAAGGCTGCTAATAATATTGCTTCTGATGCTAACATTCTGTGCTCCTACCAGCAAGAAGTGAGTGGTCAGAGTATCTCATCTTTGTGTTTTAATTTGGATCTCATGGATGGCCAATGCACCCACACTATTACTCATTACTTCCAGACCAGTGTGAATCTTTTCCTGAGTTTTGCTGCAATATCTGCATTTGCTTCCAAGTAAGTATTTGGGAAACCATTTTCCAAATTGATCTTATCTGTAACCAGAATTTCTGAGGTTTCTAAAGACTCTAACAGCATAATAAAAGTCAAACAAATGAGCCCGTGTTTGGGATGAGATAAAAATGTTTGGGCAGTACGATTTACCTGATTCATAAAAACACTTTATTTTTATCACTGGAAGGTTATCTTTATTGACATGATTCACCAAATTTTAGTACAAATTGTTATTGTCATTGATAATAATAAGGGAATAACTTTTGTGCAGTCCTTTTTGGAGGACACAAAGTACATCTACATACATGAGCACGTTTTGTTCTTGTAGTGACCCCGTGAGCATTTATTACCATGTTTACCCATGTTTTACAAAAGAAGAGCCTGGTGTTGGAGAGTTCAGTGAGTTATCTAGGATTACTCTGCTACTAGTGATGTAGGAGGAGAAACGTAGTAGTCCAGGCCCTGACTTTATAAGTCCATATTCTTTCCCTTAGTCCTTATATCAATGGTTCTTAAATGGTTTTGCCTCAGGATCTCAATTATTGAGGACCCCAAAGATATTTTATTGATAAAATTTGTCTCTATAGACATTCACTGTATTAAAATTTAAAACTGATAAAATTTAAAAATATGATGTCATTTCATTTAAAATAATATTAGTAAACAAATTACATTGTAATATAAAGAGTGTGTATTTGCATTTCCATATTAAAACATATTTTTTCGAGACAAAAAATAGAACAGTTTTTTTGACATCTTAAAATCTCTCTTTAATATTTGGCTTAATAGAAGATTTTTGTATTTTCTTTTGCATTCTGCCTGTTGCAATTGATATTTTGGTTGATGTGTATAAAAAATGTTGACTCACAAAGATATGTGGTTTGAAATAGTTGTATATTTTAATGCCTTTTACAGATAATTGTAGATATTTTGTTGATACTACACCAAAACTCAAGTGATAGATTCTCAAATATCAGTTGTAATATTGAATGTGCATCCTTTTTAATGAACATTTTGTACTTTGTTACATTAAAATACATTAATTTATTTTGTACATTTAATGAAGATTTTCCCCATATACTATTTTATGACATTATGCTCTGTTCATTTGGAAAATATTAATTCACTGAGTTACAAAGATTTTCTATTCGTCACATTTTATTATATAGTATCAAAAATCACATTTGTTAATAGTATCACCAATATTTTCAGAAAAGTCTTTATGTATTGAGAAGCTGTCAAGTTCATGATTGCAGCTACAAGGTTTGCAAAATTCTCATTTTTCGGTTCAAATGTTATCTTTAACACCAAATGTTGTTTCTTTGAAGTGATAGGCTCACTTTATTATTCTCAAGAATATATCTTCATGTCAAATTTCCAAGTCTGAACAAACAGAATTTATATTTTATACAATACCCCCCACAAAAATCAGTTGCTTTAGCTTGCAGCTCAAACACGCACAAATCTTTCTCCTCAAGACAACCATCATCCATTGGTAGCAGCAGTGGTACTTCATGCCTCTTGCATAAATTTCAATTCAGCATATTGTCACGCAAAATATTAAAATGGTACGTATTCAAGATCAAGATTTAATAAACTTGACTTATACTGCTTCTACAATGAGATCATTTAGTGAAATTGTTTTTAAATGCAAGTGCACAGTAGTGAAAAATACAGTGGAAAACTACAAATGCAGTTTGGAGTCACTTATCTTTTTTTTCTTTTTTATTATACTTTAAGTTCTGGGATACATGTGCAGATCATGCAGGTTTGTTACATAGGTATACACGTGCCATGGTGGTTTGCTGCACCCATCAACCTGTCATCTATATTTGGTATTTCTCCTAATGCTATCCCTCCCCTAGCCCCCATCCCACGACAGGCCCCGGTGTGTGATGATCCTTTCCCTGTGTCCATGTGTTCTCATTGTTCAAGTCCCACTTATGAGTGAGAACATGTGGGGTTTGGTTTTCTGTTCCTGTGTTAGTCTGCTGAGAATGATGGTTCCTAGCTTCATCCATGTCCTTGCAGAGGACATGAACTCATCCGTTTTTATGGCTGCATAGTATTCCATGTTGTATATGTACCACATTTTCTTTATCCAGTCTATCATTGATGGGCATTTGGGTTGGTTCCAAGTCTTTGCTATTGTGAATAGTGCTGCAATAAACATACGTGTGCATGTGTCTTTATGGTAGAATGATTTATAATCCTTTGGGTATATACCCAGTAATGGGGTTGCTGGGTCAAGTGGTATTTCTGGTTCTAGATCCTTGAGGAATTGCCACACTGTTCTCCACAATAGTTGAATTTACACTCCCACCAACAGTGTAAAAGTCTTCCTATTTCTCCACATCCTCTTTAGCATCTGTTGTTTCCTGACTTTTTAATTATCGTCATTCTAACTGGCATGGGATGGTGTCTCACTGTGGTTTTAATTTGCATTTCTCTAATGACTAGTAATAATGAGCTTTTTTTCAAATGTTTGTTGGCCGCATTAATGTCTTCTTTTGAGAAGTGTCTGTTCATATCCTTCAACCACTTTTTGATGGGATTGTTTGTTTTTTTCTTGTAAATTTGTTTAAGTCCCTTGTAGATTCTGAATATTAGCCCTGTGTCAGATGGATAGATTGCAAAAATTCCCTCCCATTCTATAGGTTGCCTGTTCATTATGATGATAGTTTCTTTTGCTGTGCAGAAGCTCTTTAGTTTAATTAGATCCTATTTGTCAATTTTGGCATTTGTTGCCATTGCTTTTGATGTTTTACTCATTAAGTCTTTGCTCATGCTTATGTTATGAATGGTATTGCCTAAGGTTTTTTTAGGGTTTTTATGGTTTTATGTCTTATGTTTAAATCTTTAATTCATCTTGAGTTAATTTTTGTATAAGGTGTAAAGAAGGGGTTCAGTTTCAGTTTTCTACATGTGGCTAGCCAATTTTCCCAACACCATTTATTAAATAGGGAATCCTTTCCCCATTTCTTGTTTTTGTCAGGTTTGTCAAAGATCAGATGGTTGAAGATGTATGGTGTTATTTCTGTGGCCTCTGTTCTGTTCCATTGGTCTGTATTTCTGTTTTGGTACCAGTATCATGCTGTTTTGGTTACTGTAGCCCTGTAGCCTTGTAGTATAGTTTGAAGTCAGGTAGCGTGATGCCTCCAGCTTTGTTCTTTTTGCTTAGGATTGTCTTGCTATATGGGCTCTTTTTGGTTCCATATGAAATTTAAAGTAATTTTTTCTAATTCTGTGAAGAAAGTCAATGGTAGCTTGATGGGGATAGCATTAAATCTATAAATTACTTTGGGCAGTATGGCCATTTTGATAATATTGATTCTTCCTATCCATAAGAATGGAATGTTTTTCCATTTGTTTGTGTCCTCTCTTATTTCCTTGAGTAGTGGTTTGTAGTTCTCCTTGAAGAAGTCCTTTACATCCCTTGTAAGTTGTATTCCCAAGTATTTTATTCTCTTTGTAGCAGTTGTGAATGGAAGTTCACTGATGATTTGGCTCTCTGTTTTTCTATTATGGGTGTATAGAAATGCTCATGATTTTTGTACATTGATTTTGTATCCTGAGACTTTGCTGAAGTTGCTTACCAGCTTAAGGAGTTTTGGGGCTGAGACAATGGGGTTTTCTAAGTATACATCACATCATCTGCAAACAGAGACAATTTGACTTCCTCTCTTCCTATTTGAATACTCTTTATTTTTCCTCTTGCCTGATTGCCCTGGCTAGAACTTCTAATACTATGTTGAATAGGAGTAGTGAGAGAGGGCATCCTTGTCTTGTGCCGGTTTTCAAAGGGAATGCTTCCAGCTTTTGACCATTCAGTATGATATTGGCTGTGGGTTTGTCATAAATAGCTCTTACTATTTTGAGATACATTCCAACAATACCTAGTTTATTGAGAGTTTTTAGCATGAAGGGGTGTTGAATTTTATCAAAGATCCTTTCTGCATCTATTGAGATAATCATGTGGTTCTTGTCATTGGTTCTGTTTATGTGATGGATTATGTTTATTGATTTGCATATGTTGAACCTGCCTGCATCCGAAGGATGAAACCAACTTGATCATGGTAGATGAGCTTTTTCATGTGCTGCTGGATTCGGTTTGACAGTATTTTATTGAGGATTTTTGCATCAATGTTCATCAGGGATATTGGCCTGAAAGTTTCTTTTTTTTTGTTGTGTCTCTGCCAGGTTTTGGTATCAGGATGATGCTGGCCTCACAAAATGAGTGAGGGAGGATTCCCTCTTTTTCTATTGTTTGGAATAGTTTTAGAAGGAATGGTCCCAGCTCCTCTTTGTACCTCTGGTAGAATTTGGCTGTGAATCCATCTGGTCCTGAACTTTTTTTGGTTGGTAGGCTATTAATTACCGCCTCAATTTCAGAACTTGTTATTGGTCTATTCAGGGATTCGACTTCTTCCTCATTTAGTCTTGGGAGGGTGTATGTGTCCAGGAATTTATCCATTTCTTCTAGGTTTTCTACTTTATTTGCGTAGAGGTGTTTGTAGTATTCTCTGATTATAGCCTATATTTCTGTGGGATCAGTGGTGATCTCCCCTTTATCATTTTTTATTGTGTCTATTTGATTCTTCTCTCTTTTCTTATTTATTAGTCTGGCTAGTGGGCTATCTATTTTGTCAATTTTTTCAAAAAACCAGCTCTTGGATTCACTGATTTTTTTGAAGGGTTGTTCACGCCTCTATCTCCTTCAGTTCTGCTCTGATCTTAGTTATTTCTTGTCTTCTGCTAGCTTTTGAATTTGTTTGCTCTTGCTTCTCTAGTTCTTTTAATTGTGATGTTAGGGTGTCAATTTTAGATCTTTCCTCCTTTCTCCTGTGGGCATTTAGTGCTGTTAATTTCCCTCTAAACAATGTTTCAGCTGTGTCCCAGAGATTCTGGTACATTGTGTCTTTGTTCTCATCAGTTTCAAAGAACTTATTTATTTCTACCTTAATTTCATTATTTTACCCCATAGTCATTCAGGAGTAGGTTGTTCAGTTTCCATGTACTTGTTTGGTTTTGAGTGAGTTTCTTTTTTTTTTTCTTTTTGTTTGAGACAAAGTTTCATTCTTGTCACCCAGGCTGGAGTGCAATGGCACAATCTCTGCTCACTGCAAACTCTGCTTCCTGGGTTCAAGTGATTATCCTGCCTCAGCCTCCTGAGTAGCTGGGATTACAGGTGCCCACCACCATGGCTGGCTAATTATTGTATTTTTAGTAGAGATGGGTTTTTGCCATGTTGGCCAGGCTTGTCTTGAACTCCTGGCCTCAAGTGATCCACCTGCCTCATCCTCCCAAAGTGCTTGAGTGAGTTTCTTAATCCTGATTTCTAATTTGATTGCACTATGTTCTCAGAGACTGTTTCTTAGGATCTCCATTCTTTTGCATTTGGTGAGGAGTGTTTTACTTTCAATTATTTGGTCAGTTTTAGAATAAGTGTGATGTGGTGCTGAGAAAAATGTATATTCTCTTGATTTGTGGTAGAGAGTTGTATAGACATCTATTAGGTCTGCCTGGCCCAGAGCTGAGTTCAAGTCCTGAATATCCTTGTTAATTTTCTGTCTCATTGATCTGTCTAATATTAACAGTGGGGTGTTAAAATCTCCCACTATTATTGTGTGGGAGTCTATGTTTCTTTGTAGGTCTCTAAGCACTTGCTTTATGAATCTGGGTTCTCCTGTATTGGGTGCATATATATTTAGGATAGTTTGCTCTTCTTGTTGCATTGATCCCTTTTCCATTATGTGATGCCCTTTGTCTTTTTTGATCTTTGTTGGTTTAAAGTCTGTTTTGTCAGAGACTAGGATTGCAACCCTTGCCTTTTTTTTTTTTTTTTTTTTTTTCTGCTTTTCGTTTGCTTGGTAAATATTCCTCCATCCCTTTATTTTGAGCCTGTGTGTGCCTTTGCACATGAGATGGGTCTCCTGAATACAGCAAACCAAAGGGTCTTGACTCATTATCCAATTTGCCAGTCAGTGCCTTTTAATTGGGTCATTAAGCCCATTCACATTTAAGGTAATATTGTTATGTGTGAATTTAATCCTGTCATTATGATGTTTAGCTGGTCATTTTGCCTGTTAGTTGATGCAGTTTCTTCATAGTGTTGATGGCCTTTACAATTTGCTATGATTTTGCAGAGGCTGATACCAGTTTTTCCTTTCCGTATTTAATGCTTCCTTCAGGAGCTCTTGTAAGGTAGGCTTGGTGGTGACACAATCTCTCAGCATTTGCTTGTCTGTAAAGGATTTTATTTCTCCTTTGCTTATGAAACTTTGTTTGGCTGGACATAAAATTCTGGGTTGAAAATTCTTTTCTTTAAGAATGTTGAATATTGCCCCCCAGTCTCTTCTGGCTTGCAGGGTTTCTGCAGAGAGATCCTCTATTAGTCTGACGGGCTTCCCTTTGTGGGTAACCTGACCTTTCTCTCTGGCTGCCCTTAACATTTTTTCCTTCATTTCAACCTTGCTGAATCTGACGATTATGTGTCTTGGGGTTGCTCTTCTCAAGGAGTATCTTTGTGGTGGTCCCTGTATTTCCAGAATTTGAATGTTAGCCTACTTTGCTAGGTTGGGGAAATTCTCCTGGATAATATTCTGAAGTGTCTTTTCCAACTTGGCTCCATTCTCCATGTCACTTTCAGTACACCAATCAAAAGTAGGTTTGGTCTTTTCACATAGTCCCATATTTCTTGGAGGGCTTGTTCATTCTTTTTCATTCTTTTTTCTCTTCTCTTCATGATTCATTTCATTAAGTTGATCTTTAGTCTCCGATATCTTTTCTTCCACTTGATTGATTCTGCTATTGGTACTTGTGTATGCTTCACGAAGTTCTTGTGCTGAGTTTTTCAGCTCCTTCAGATCATTTATGTTCTTCTCTAAACGAATTATTCTACTTAGCAATTCCTGTAATCTTTTTTCAAGGTTCTTAGCTTCCTTGCTTTGGGTTAAAACATGCTTCTTTAGCTCTGAGGAGTTTGTTATTACCCGCCTTCTGAAGCCTACTTCAGTCAATTTGTCAAATTCATTCTCTGTCCTGTTTTGTCCCCTTGCTGGTGATGAGTTGTGATCCTTTGGAGGAGAAGAGGTGTTCTGGTTTTAGAATTTTCAGCCTTTTTGTGCTTGTTTTTCCTCATCTTTGTGTATTATCTACATTTGGTCTTTGACTTTGGTGACCTTTGGATGGGGTTTTTGTGTTGACATCGTTTTTGTTGATGTTGATGCTATTCCTTTGTGTTTGTTATTTTTCCTTCTAACAGGCCACTCTGCTGCAGGTCTACTGGAGTTGCTGGAGGTCCACTCCAGACCCTGTTTGCCTGGGTATCACCAATGGAGGCTGCAGAACAGCAAAGATTGCTGCCTGCTCTTTCCTCTGGAAGCTTCGTCCCATAGGGGAACCTGCCAGATCCCAGCCAGAGCTCCCCTGTATGAGGTGTCTGTCAACCCCTGCTAGGAGGTATCTTCCAATTAGGAGGCATGGGGGTCAGGGACCCACTTGAGGAGGCAGTATGTCCCTTAGCAAAGCTTGAGAGCTTTGCTGGAAGATCCCCTGCTCTCTTCAGAGCCAACAAGTAGGAATGTTTAAGTTGGCTGAAGCTGCGCCCACAGCCGCCCCTCCCCCCAGGTGCTCTGTCCCAGGGAGATGGGAGCTTTATCTACCAGCCCCTGATTGTTGCTGCTGCCTTGCTTTCAGAGATGCCCTGCCCAGAGAATAGGAATCTAGAGAGGCAGTCTGGCTACAGTGGCTTTGCTGAGCTGAGATGGGCTCCGCCCAGTTTGAACTTCCCAGCAGGTTTGTTTACACTGTGAGGGGAAAACTGCCTACTCAAGCCTCAGTAATGGTGGACACCCCTCCCCCCACCAAGCTCGAGCATCCCAGGTTGACTTCAGACTGCTGTGCTGGCAGCAAGAATTTCAAGCCAGTGGACCTTAGCTTGCTGGGCTCCGTGGGGGTGGGATCTGCTGAGCTAGACCACTTGGCTCCCTGACTTCAGCCCCCTTTCCAGGGGAGTAAATGGTTCTGTCTCGCTGGTGTTCCAGGCACCACTGGGGTATGAAAATAAACTCCTGCAGCTAGCTTGGTGTCTGCCAAATCAGCCACCCCGTTTTGTGCTTGAAACCCAGGGCCCTGCTGGTGTAGTCATCTGAGGGAATCTCCTGGTCTGCGGGTTGTGAAGACCATGCATAAAGCATAGTATCTGGGCTGGAATTCACCGTTCCTCATGGTGAGATGTGGCAACGTGCTAGCAGCCCTTGCTCACCCTTGGTGCCTCCTCAGCCTTGGCGTCCACTCTGGCCGCACTCGAGGAGACCTTCAGCCCGCTGCTGCGCTGTGGGGGCCCCTCTCCGGGGCTGGCCAAGGCCCGTGCCAGCTGCCTCTGCTCACGCGGAGGTGTGGAGGGAGAGGCGCGGGTGGGAGCCGGGGCTACGCATGGTGCTCGTGGGCCAGTGTGTGTTCTAGGTGGGCGTGGGCTCGGCCTGCACTTAGCGCGGCTGGCGGTGCTTGCTGGGCCTGATCAGAGACTGGGTCCCGTGCGTGGAATGCCATTCCCTCTTCATGGGGTCGTTGGCCATGATGGCGGGTCTCAGTCTCTTTCTCACTTCCCCTCTTTTCTTCTTGGTTATCTGGGACAAGCTCCCTCTGAGCTGCCGGAGTGCCCGGGCTAGGTGCTGCAAAGCCCTGCAACGAGTGCCAGTGAGAGGTGAAGCCTCTGGGCTTCTGGGATGGGTGGGGACTTGGAGAACTTTTCTGTCTAGCTAAAGGATTGTAAATGCACCAATCAGCACTCTGTGTCTAGCTAAAGGTTTGTAAATGCACCAGTCAGCACTCTGTCAAAATGGACCAATTGGCTCTCTGTAAAACAGGCCAATCAGCAGGATGTGGGTGGGGCCAGATAAGGGAATAAAAAGCAGGCCACCTGAGCCAGCAGCGGCAACCTGGGTCCCCTTCCATGATGTGGAAGTTTTGTTCTTTCGTTCTTTGCAATAAATCTCGCAGCTGCGCACTCTTTGGGTCTGTGATGCCTTTAAGTAAGAGCTGTAACACTCACCTCGAAGGTCTGCAGCTTCACTCCTGAAGCCAGTGAGACTGTGAACCCACCAGCAGGAATGAACAACTCCAGAAGGGAGGAACGAACAACTCCGGAAGCGCCACCTTTATGAACTGTAACACTCACCGCAAAGGTCTGCAGCTTCACTCCTGAAGCCAGTGAGACCATGAACCCACTGGGAGGAATGAACAACTCCAGACGTGCTGCCTTTAAGAGCTGTAACACTCACTGCAAAGGTCTGCGACTTCACTCCTGAAGTCAGCGAGACCACAAACCCACCAGAAGGAATAAACTCCGGACACATCCGAACATCAGAAGGAACAAACTCCGGACACATCATCTTTAAGAACTGTAACACTCACCACGAGGGTCCGTGGCTTCATTCTTGAAGTCAGCAACACCAAGAATCCACCAATTCTGGACACAATGGCACAGTCCCTCATGACTTCCCTTGGCTAGGGGAGGGAGTTCCCTGACCCCTTGCACTTCCTGGGTGAGGCAATGCCCCACCCTGCTTCGGTTCACCCTCAGTGGGCTGCACCCACTGTCTAACCAGTCTCAATGAGATGAGCTGGGTATCTCAGTTAGAAATGCAGAAATCACTCACCTGCCTTCTGCACTGATCTCGCTGGGAGCTGCTGGTGGCACTTTCTTGATTTATACAATGAAATCAGTAGTTTTATCCACCATTGATTTTACCTAATCACTACAAGTGTCCACCCAGTGAAAAATCAAGTCACATCTTATTATTATGAATACAGTTTGGATCTCATGGTCCTCCTGGAAGGGTCTCGGGGACTTTGGTGTCCACAAAAGTATTGCTTTGTTATATCAAGCTGCCTTTGTCTGTGGTAGCTGGATTTTGAAGCCAATGATCCTACATTCCATTTTAGGGTAGATACTTCTAGTGCCAACCTTCTTAATGTTGCTGACGTTGACATTTTTTATTTTGTGTTTCTCATGGCCCATTTTGAACTGTTCTCCTCCTTGAACAATACATGGCAGTCCCACTAAACTTTCCATGCCTTTAACTCTGTTCTCTCTAGCATCTAGAACTTGTTCTTTTCCTGGGAAAAACACTCACCTCATTAAACTGTAGGGCTAACTCATTCTCAGGTATGAGCTTAAACATTATTTTTCCAAGGAGATGCTCCATGACAGCTACATTGAAACATACTCTTAAATCGCTACTATATGCTAGGGACTCAGCATTTAGTCATACACTGGTAAATATTGAGTATACATTGTTACTATCAGTTTAATGTCTGTCTTTCTTATTAAGCTCCTTCTGTATTATTCATTCTTATATCATCAGTACCCAGCATGGTGCCTGTTCATAAACCTGTTGAGAATGGGTGCAACATACAGTCTATAGTTGGTCCTCATTATTCAGATTCCATATTTGTGAATTTGCACACTCACTATATTTGTAATCCTAAAACAAATAGTCATGGTGCTTTGATGGTCACACTCAGATGTGTTCTGAGTGGCATAAAATTTGAGCTGCCTAACAGGCATATTCCCAGCTGAGGTTTCACAAGGCAATGCTTTGCCTTCTTGTTTTAGCTTTAAACAAGTGTCCTTTGGGGATCTATTTAGTGCTACATTTTTCACATTTTTTGAGCATTTTGCTGGTGATTTCACTGTTTTAAGGAAAAAATATGTGTGTCAGGTAAGCTTTGTTCAGGCTCAAGGCATAGTGTTTGCCGTGAGTTCAATGTTAAAGAATCAACAATATATATGAAATAAGATGTCTATAAACAGAGACGTATAAAACAAGGTTATGTATTGATCAGCTGACAAAAATGTTGTGACCAGAGGCTTGCAGAAACCTAATCTTGTTTTCCCCTGGAGCAGTGGTTTAATATCTGCTATTTCTGTATTCAAGACAATATTTTAGAACAACTACCATGAATAATGAGAATTGACTGCACCATTTTCCTGTCACTTTCTCTGGTAACTGAGTAAGCAGCTGCCACCTGAATTCTGATTCTAGCTCTACCATGTACTCACTACATGGAAGACCAGGAGACTTTTTGAAGAAACTGCTCTAAAGATAGAGCAGAATTCTAGTTAGTTCTCTCTCCTTCTACCCTGTTGCGGGTTGAATTGTCTCTCCCCATGAGATAGGTTGAAGTCCTAACTCCCACTACCTGTGAATGTGAGTTTATTTGGAAATAAGGTCTTTGCAATTGTAATAAATGTCAGAGGTAGTCATACTGAATTAGGGTGAACCCTAAGTCCAATGACTGGTGTCTTAATAAGGAGAGAGAGACTTGAAGACAGAGACACAGAGAAGACACAGGGAAGAAGCTCAAGTACAGACAGAGGCAGACTGGAGTTCAGCTGCTGCAAGCCAAGGAACCCAAGGATTGCTGGCAACCACAAGAACTCAGGGGAGCAGCACAGAACACATTCTCCTTCAGATCCCCCAGAAGGAACCAATGCTGCAGACACCTTGATTTTAGACTTCTGGCCTCTGGAACAGCTGGAGAATAAATTTCTGTTGTTCTAAGCCACCCACATAGTGGTAGTCTGTTCTAGCAGCCCTAGGAAACTCACACACACCCCTTAGCACATTAGGGTAGCATCTTTGAGGTGATCCAGCAGAAAAGAACTCCAAATAGATAGACCGAGGAGAAAAGAACATTGCATCAGCAGCATTGTGGCAGCTTAGCCTTCTGCTAATTAACTGGAAATTCCAGCCTCCAGGTTTTTGGTAGCGGATGTCGCTGAGAGAAGTAGGACGCTGGAGAGCAGGCTCATGGGGAAGCTTCCGTGCGTGGCATTTCACACCCTCAGATCAAATGCTGTTTAAAGGAGGAATAATACATATTAATGCAGCGCCTGCTTCAATTGCTTTCAAGTGGCAGGAGCTGACAGCGCAGCGTGCGCGGCAAGACTGTAGAAATAGCCCCTGACACTCTTGCAGGTTTACCTCAGCGATTCTTCCCGCACTATACCCAGAGGCTTTCTTAATTGGCCCTCCGAGGGGGTCGGGGTGTGCACGCGTGTCACCTGCAGCACCAGGGCCGGCAGCAGCGGGGTGGGCGGGCTGCCAGGCTCCGGGCTGCGCAGGTGTTCCTTCCACTGCCCGCCTCCGGTGGAGAGAGAGATGGCCAACCGATTTCCCGTTCGGTTCCTGGGGAATGGCCTGAGGAAGGCATACCGCTCCCAGTGGAAGTGAATAATCAGTGTCCCTGAGCTGTTCCCTGAGGTGACATTTGACTCACTTGGCTCCGCTTCCAGCTGTTGCAGGGGCCTCGTATCTCCCTTAAGCCGACAGGGGAGCTTTGAGCGGATGTACCTCCGCCAGCTTTGGGTTATTGTGAGAGCACCAGGGCCTGAAAATCCTGCGTGGGAATGAACTGTAATCAGGCAGGCTGAACTAGCACCTGTACCTAGGCCTGAGCCTGCCTCTAGCCACCTGCATTATTTAGAAACGCTCAAAGTAGTCCTCAGCTACAAGCTTCAGCTGAGAGCTGGGAGGGGAGACAGTCCATTCCCCCATCGCTGTGTGACGAAAGTGAACCTCTGCAAGTCAATTTTGTTTTAAATTTTTTTATTGTGAGAAAATACATGTAACGTAAAATTTACCATATTCTCCATTTTTTTTTTTTTTTTTTTTTTTTTTTACAGATGGAGTCTGGTTCTGTAGCCCAGGCTGGACGGCTGTGGCGCCATCTCGGCTCACTGCAAGCTCCGCCTCCCGGGTTCACGCCATTCTCCTGCCTCAGCCTCCCCAGTAGCTGGGACTACAGGCGCCCGCCACCACACCCGGCTAATTTTTTTTTGTATTTTTAGTAGAGACTGGGTTTCACCGTGTTAGCCAGGATGGTCTCAATCTCCTGACCTCGTGATCCGCCCTCCTCGGCTTCCCAAAGTGCTGGGATTACAGGCGTGAGCCACCGCGCCCGGCCCTCCATTTTTAAGTATACATACATTTCACTGGTACCGTATACATTCATAATATTGCTCAACCATCACCCACTATCCATTTCTATAACTCTTCATCTTGTAAAACTGAAATTCTTTCCAAATTCAATTAAATCTCCCCTTTTTCTTTTTCATCCCGACTCTTGACAACCACCTTTCTACTTTCTGTCTCTATGATTTTTGACTACTCCAAGTACCTCATCTAAATGGAATCATACAGTATTTGTCTTTTTGCGACTGGCTTATTTCAACCAAATATAATTTTAAGTCATAATTTATAGAGGACTCTATGTATGCCAAATGAGTGCTTAATAAAATTTATGTCATTAAATTCTAGCAACCCTAAGATTAAGCAATTATTTTTCCCCTCGTTGTACATATAAAGACTTCAAAGAATAATATAAATTGATTACATTTTCCAGGTCACATTCTAGTAAGTGGTAGAGCCTGCTTACAAGCATAGGTCTGCTTGGCTCCAATCCTACCTTCTAAGTGAACAACCCCTGAGCAGAATTTGAAATATTTATGCATGTGTGTATTTCATATGTATACCCATGATTCTTAGATTAGGATATAGCCTGTGCATGGCATAATATTAATACTAACGTCTGACATAAATATGCCACTAGCTAGTAAGGAAGACCCAAAAGAGCAGAGACAATTTGTTTTTCTCACTAATGTTTACCTAGGTATTAAGTACAGTACCTTGCACAAATGAAGGTAGTTCCCCCTTATCCATGGTTTTGTGTATCACAGTTTCACTTACATGTGGTCAACTATGTTCTGAAAATATTAAATAGAACGTTCCAGAAATAATGCAATTTTTAAATTGTGCTGTGTTCTGAGCAGCATGATGAAATCTCATGCCATCTGGCTGTGTCCTGTTGGGGACATGAGCCATCTCTTCATCCAGAGGGTCCACCCTGTATACACTTCGAGCCTATCAGTCATTTAGTAGCTGTTTCAGTTATTAGATTAAAAAAGTAGTATATACAGGGTTCAGGTCTTGGAAGTTTCAGGTATCCATGGTGAGTCTTTGAATGTATACCTCTAGGATAAGAGGGAGATTACCATACTTAGTAAATATTTGTTAAATTAATAAATGAAAAGAACACATGAATAGACGAAATTAGTCTGCTTGTTGCAAAGTGTTACAACCACTATAACCTTTTTATTCCCAGAACTACCTTGGGAAGTAAGCAAAGTAAAAAATATTTTTACTTTGCCAATATTTAACTAGAACTTGCATTTTCTGGTTGCTAGTTTTGCTTTCTTAACTCTAAGTTTTTGATATGGCAGAAGTAACATAGGGTTTAACCTTGAATTCAACTTTTACTCTCTCTATTCTTGTTTTAATGGACATGACTTGAGACACTGGACAAATAGTTGCTGATTGCCAAAGACAGGTTAAGAATCACATGAAAATTCCCGCATTTTCTACTGTCATCATTCAAATAAGCTTCAAACATGCTGAGATTGCTCTTAAGTTGGGGAAGGGTCCCCATGTCAAGGTTTGACGTCCTGAAACACATTCTAGCAATATTAATCATTTCAGCATTCTTTTGGTGATGCAGAGACCTTTTTCTGATTTGTCATATTCACATTAATCAAGCACTTTCAGGAATTAATTCTTGTTTGGTATTTTAGGGCATCATTTAGGGAATGATAGATACAGAAGTGAATGACCTATGGATAAATATATAAAAGTTCACAAATCTCTGGTGATTTTTTAACTGTAATCTCAATTGTGAATGGTTCTGGATAATGATGTATATGTGAAAAATGACACGTTATCTACATACCTTACTACTGGCATCTCTCACTCTGTCTATTCCATGTTGTTCAAAGGCAGGATGGGCAATTCTCAAAGCCATCCTGTAGTCATATATGCAGTTTCCTGTAGTCACACATAAAAGGCAAGACTGTGTGTAACCTTTGGGAAACAAGACTCTAGAAAGACAAACATAATTTCTGTGTATCTGCCAAGCATTGTAATGAGGGTCCCAGAAATAATAAAAGACCTATTAGGAACCACAAAGACCATTTTGGCCCAATTACCATCTCTTATCTTTCTGTGGAAAGAGATATGTTAATTAACAAATTTGTCTGTTTTCTGGAATCAAAGCTAGAGCTTTTGAAAGATGCTCTTTAGGTTCATTACAGATTTTTGAACCTCACTACCTGGGGTGGACCTCTGAGGATTCAAACTAGTCCTTTTACTTATATTTCTGGTCCAAAGGACTCTTGTTATATTCCCTTTAGCTTCTGTTCCAAATTACTATTAGACTTGTATTTCTCTTAATGGTAACATTTCCTTTGCCTCCCTGTTTTTAATTTGGAGCTCTCAAGTCCTTACATCAAGAGTCAATTAGACTTTCTCCTCGTCTTTAATATCTGATCAGTTACCAAGTTTGATAGATTTGGCTTCATAAATTCTCTTAATTCTCTTCTTTCTGTTTGTACCACAACCTTACCATTTCATTCTACTAGAATATTTTTACTACCCCTCTAAAATTATTGAATGCTTCTTTTCAGAGTAGTCTGAGAAAAGATCATCTTTAAGAACCTTTTTTTGAAAGGCAACCTACCCAATGAAGTTTGATCCTGCCTTCTCCTAAAGTCTTATGGCACATAAATTACACATTGTACTGTAGTTATCTGTGCTGTTTTTATTATTAGTTTTTTTGGTTAGAATCTAAGAAGCACCAGGTTCAGTGTTAGCCATGGAGGGCTGGCAGTACACTGCACCTATTAGACTTGCACCTAAAAGACAGTCTAATAGAATGAGTTAAGTATTCTGGAGTCAAACTGTCTAGATCTGGATTCCAGCTCATACATTTTCACATGCATGACCTTGAAAAAGCCATTTTTCTGCTTTGAACTTCAGTCCTTTTATCTAAAAAAGAACAATAAATATGTTTGAGGAATGTACTTTAATATAAATGTTTTATCAGTGTTCTCTGGCACATGGTAAAAGTTAATTCAATTCATTTAACTGATATTTTCTGAACAGGTAATCTATACCAGGTATTCTTTTTGATTCAAATAATACACAGTGGTGAACAAAACAGATGGATTTCTTGCTTTCATAGGGTGTAGATACTAGTGGTAGGGGGCAGAGAGGGCTAATGTTACTTTGATATAAATAGCATAGTTGTACCAGTTTTCAGCCAGTTCCCCTTGTGACTTGTAGGTGCCTGTGCCATATTGGTTACTAAAGATCTTGAATGCACTTATGGATATCGATAATTACTAATGTTGAAATGGAAGTTTTGGATGAAGCATCATGATATAAATACCATGTTCTAAAGTGAAATTTGAGGCCATAATATAAACATTTAAAAATGGTGTTGAAATCTATTTCTACATCTCCAAAAGCCTTTACCTGCAATGAGCACAACTAAATGTCAGCATATGAAGATAGAAGAAGATTTTTGGAGAGAGCATTTGGGGTTCTCTGAGTGTGATCTCCTCCTCTAAGGATGGGACAAGTGTGGCTGCTTCCATCTTCATCTCAAGTTAAGGAAAGGTGTTTGAGGAAGAACTACTAAAAGTTTAATATGCTTGTTCTTTAGTTTGGTACACAGTAAACCTGAATCTTTTCCTCCTGGAGTATATAATAAGAAGTGAAAGATGGGTTGGCTAGTTGCTTTGATGGTGATTAATGGAGCATTTAGTAGCCTGCAGTCCTTGAGTTTGTTGAGGAAGATAATATTTGAGTAATCTCCATGGATCAAATGTGCATGAACATGCAAGAAAGAGGAGGATGATTTAACTCCTTTCTAAGAGGTTTCAGGGAAGATTCAACAGACTTCAGCAGAAAAAAATGTGTGGTACCAATGGATGCCTATGTTCATGGACAGAGTAAATTATCACCTGCAAAATAGAGATGCATTCATCCTTCTGAATAATCAAGATTGACTGGGCACCTTAGGCACTTATGAAGGTAATGATTTATATTTATATAAGTAAACAAGATAACTTGAGAGAGTGATAAAAGCTATGGAGAAAATAAATTAGGACAATATAATAGAGATTGGCTAGGGTTCAGTAGAAGTAGCTTTGGAGTGGATGCCCTGGGAAGGTCTCTCAATGCAGACAATGGTAGATTGGCAGGAACTAGACAGCAGGCAATGATATGGAGACTGAGAAAGTTTTGCACACAAACGGAATGCCAGATGCCGTGGCCATTGGGTGGAAAGGAGCTTGACATGTTTTACAAACCCAAAGAAAGACAGTGTGCAGAAACTTCGTGGGAGTGATGGAATAATATTGAATATTATCTAAGAGGATTGTAGGGACAGATCAAGTAGGACCTTGCAGGGCATGGTAAGGGATTTGGGTCTTATTTTGAGCAGAAAGGGGAGCCAGTAGAGAGTTTCAAGCAAGGAGTGACATTAAGTGACTTACATTTTTTAAGTATTACTTTTATTGCTGAGTGGAGTAACAGAAAGTTGTGTAAAGTACAGAGACAACAGAGTGATGAGAAACCTCCTGGGGGATATCAGCCTTGAACAGATCTGGAACATGCGGATTAGATTTAGAGAAGCTGGAAAAAATGGTACGTGCCCTTCAGCTTGGTGAAAAAGAGGCTACTGACACAGAGGCAGGGAGGTATATGACAGAAGTCACAACTCCCCCACAATGCAAACAAAAGCCCAGAGATTGGGATTCTGAGACATAGGTTGGTTGCTGGGATGGACAGAGACTGGTCCACACAACTGCCAAGCAAGGATCTGGAGGGGGAAAAAAAGATGTATAATCCAACCAAACCTGAAAGCCTGGCAGGGTGATCAACTGTGAGTCTAGCTAAATTGATCCAGTGAAGAGACAGAATCCAGGAGTGAAGTTGCTGAATAAAAATCAGGAAGAAATATTGAAAAGGGTGGTGGGATATAGAGCATAAGAAGAGTATTTTAGTGGGTAAAATGTAGCAGCATGTTCTATGTTGCCTATGGGCATGAACAAAGAGGTAGCTATTGAGTAGTAAAGAGAGAAATCCAAACTATACCTGCATTCTTATGGGCAGGTGACCGTCTTCACTTTTCCACTGGCAGCCTCTTGCTTACAGCTACTGAAATCTAAATGAGCCACTATCCAGCAATTTTATGGCATTTGTCTGAGGTGTGCTTTACTGCATGTGATTTTCTGACTAGGATCTGTTTCCACAACCAGATGATCAGCTCAGTAAAAGCAGAGAACGTTCCTAATTTTGCTCATTAATCTATTCCCAGCACAAGCCTGAGCACCTAATAGTTACTAAAACATCTGCTGAGTGAGATTTCATGAGTTGAAATTTCATGAGTTGATGTCTTGCCTCTTCCTGTTCCAAACAGATTAGCACCATTCTAGATTGTGAGTGACACAAATAAGTATAATTAATTTCTTCATTCATATATCCAAGAATATTTGATTAGTACCTACTATGTATCACTGTGTCAGCTGTTCATTTATGTAATATTAAATTAATACAAACCTTCCCCTTATTCCCAAGGTATTTAACCTTTAGTGGAGGATATTAAACAAATAATTATTCACAAGGATATTTAATTACAATTAACATATTTGCTAATGAGGAAAAATATAGGACACTATGAATAGTATAAATTCATTTTTCTACCCTCAGAGAAGAAAAATATTACAATCTTGAAGAGAGGAACCATAATTCCAAATGTTATTTATAATTTCTACGGGACCTAGAATAGGCCCATTCCTGGTAGTTAAATGCCTGTCAGAGTAGAAAATCAAAGCTGACACACTGACAACACACATGAATAATGCTAATCAGTAGGTTCTATTAACACAGCACTGAAATTATAAACTCCTTTTTTTGTTGTTGTCCCGTGGGTATAGTGGTCAAGGAATTACTGGAGAGTATCTCTGTGGGATGGGATATTAGACATTTCTTTTCCGTCTGTCTACACACATGGAGATGTTGGCTCTTGGCCTGTGTCAGAAATTAGATTGATCAGTATAGACATACTGGAATTAAATGTGTACAGGGAATACTTCCAGTGGTTATTGAAAGATTAGAATCTCCTTAGAGATTTTAGGTTGGGACAGATAGACATCCACATAAAAGCAGTAAAGAAATCAGGTGGCGGGGGCTTGGCATGGTGGCTCATGCCTGTAATCCCAGCACTTTGGGAGGCTGAGGCGGGTGGATTGCCTGAGGTCAGGAGTTTGAGACCAGCCTGACCAATATGGTGAAACCCTATCTCTACTAAAACAAAAGAAAATATAAAAATTAGCCAGGTGTGGTGGTGTGCATCTGTAGTCCCAGCTACTTGGGAGGCTGACGCAGGAGAATTGCTTGAACCCGGGAGGTGGAGGTTGTAGTGAGCTGAGGTCGCACCACTATACTCCAACCTGGGTGACAGAGTGACACTCCATCTCAAAAAATAAAAATAAAAAATAAAAATAAATAAATCAGGTTGGGGGAAGGAAAGAAAATTTAGAAACTTAAGTGGATAATGGTAGGGAAATTTAATATAAGGATTTAGTGAGGCCAGAGGAGAAATATATTTTATTGTTTAGCTGACCATAAAGCCATGTTTCTTATGCATACAAGGCACTTCTGAACCTTTACACTAGCTGTTCCTTCTTCTTGGAATTCTTTGCACCTGCTCTGCCTGGTGATTGTGTTTATATTTTAGATCTCAGTCCAATAGATTACTTGATTACCCTTCATAAAGTGATTCCACCCCATTTACTCTTCCTTCACTCTATTATGTCCTTTATAATATCTAATTTACATTTATCTGGTTAATTTTTACACTTTTAATTTACCTTTCTGTCTCATTAAAACATAAGCTTCACGAGGGCAGGTATGTTTTCTGTATTGCTTACCACTTGAACTCAAAAGCAATTGGGCCCCTCGGAAGCACTCTATAAACATTTGTGAAGCAATGAACTAATGTTGATTGGCTATTATGGGGAGTATAAGGATGTCATTTTTTCTTTTTTGATGGATTATATATATATATATATATATGTTTAATTTATTTCAGGTTCAAGCATACATGTGCAGGTTTGTTATACAGGTAAATTGCATATCATGGGGGTTTGGCATATAGATTATTTCACCACCCAGATGATAAGCATAGTATCTGAAAGGTAATTGCTTGATCTTCACCCTCCTCCCTACCTCTACCCTCAAGTATGCTCTGGTGTCTGTTGTTCCCTTCTTGGTGTCCATATGTACTCAATATTTAGCTCCAACTTACAAGAGATAACATGTATTTTGTTTTCTGTTTCAGTGTTAATTCACTTAGGACAATGGCCTGTAGCTCCATCCATGTTGCTGCCAAAGACATGAGAGCATTCTTTTTTATGGCCGTATAGTATTCCATGATGTATAGGTACCACATTTTCTTTATCCAATCTACCGTTGATTGGCATTTAGGTTGATTCTATGACTTTGCTACTGTGAATAGTGCTGCAATGATCTACATGCATGTGTCTTTATGGTAGAATGATTTATATTCCCTTGGGTATATGCCCAAGAATGGGATTACCAAGTTAAATGGTAGTTCTGTTTTAAGTTCCTTGAGAGAGCACCAAACTGCTTTCCACAATGGCTGCACTAACTTACATTCCCACCAGCAGTGTTTAATCATTCCCTTTTCTCCACAACTTCACCAGCATCAAGGTGGTGGCTTGACCTTTTGATAATAGCCATTCTGACTGGTGTAAGATAGTTTCTCCTTATGGTTTGATGTGCATTTCTCTAATGATTCATGATGTGGAGCAATTTATATGCTTGTTGACCATATGTATGTCTTCCTTTTAAAAGTGTCTGTTTATGACATGTTATTTTATATTGGTGGAAGTCACTTGGATTTTCCAGACTTATAGAGAAGGAAACTCTATAGCTGTTTTAGTTTTTTATTTTCTATTTAACTACTCCTATCATGCCATCATGTAAATCCTCCAGTGCTTAAAATTAAGCTTGGTGACTATTTTGCCATTCTTTACAGATAAGAATGATTTCATATTGAGATTTTGGTTACAAGACCCCTCCTTTCATCTGTAAAATGAGAAGTTTGGACTAGATGATAATATAAAGTGTCTTCTAAGTCTAAGATGCTATAATTCATAGATATTACACTTAAATATTTTGTTCTTGTTTCCAACTAATCTTTCTAAACGTCAGAATTGGATAACAGATGTCAAAAATGTTCTGGGTCAAAGTTCAAGTCAAGTGGGAAGGTAAAGTCAGTGTTAATTTAGGTCTTGATCTTGTTGACCTGGTTGCAAGAGGAGCCTCAAATTATGTGGAAACCTTAATTATTAAAATTTACTCATCTCCATTGAGATGCTCCTGGAAATTCAGAAATAATGTTAAGAATTTCAAAAGAAGCCATAAATTTTGCCTAAAGAAAATGCCAAGGAGTGACTTTTTCATTTGAAGAAAAAGATAATTTTCTAAACAGGAATAAATTTCAAACTTTTGTGTTTTTTTCCCAGCATTCCAATGTCTACCAGAAATGTTTCTCTTTTTCACAAAGTATCTTTGCCACTGTTTAGATGGCAAGGAGAAGCAGAAAGGACAATGCTGAAGACAGAGTGTAGTAGTTAAGAACTTTTGCTCTGGGCTGGGATCAGTATTTGAGCCACTAAACTAATCTGTCACCTTGAGCAAGTCCTTTAACCTCCCTGACTATCATGTTTCTCATCTGTAAAGTGTGTATAACAATAGTACTCATATAGCACTGCTTGAGCTCTAAATGAGGTAATATATGAAAAGTATATATCAGAGTCTGGCGCATTATCATTTGCTTCATAAATATTAGTCATGACTCTATTACTATAATATTTGTAATATTCAACAAATATTTGAAAACAGAATAAATAATAAAATTTAAGAGTTTCTTCCTAGTATTCCCAATCCATCCCCTTCTCGCCTTCACACACATTGCTTGTTTAAAATGAGCTCCTTAAAACCAAAGCATACTTAGCAATGGAACAGTATACCAGAAACTTCCAATCTGTTATGGATGATGTAAAATATGAAAAAGATGACTTTTTAATAGTTAATGAACTCCCTCTCCCAACGTATTTCCTAAAACTATGTTCTTTACTCTCTGCATTAAAATGTATTCATTTATTATATTCAGCGTATGCTGAATACAATATGAACTTAGCATTTTTTACTAAGACTGACAACTACAATAAAAATACAGAGCCCTGTGTCTACCCTCAAAAAGCCTATAGCACAATGGTTAAGAGCATGGGCTTCAGAGTTATATAGACCTAGTTTCAAATTCTGGCTTCCTTGTTTTATAGTTATGTAAACATGAGAAAATTGTTTATCAGCTCAGCCTTAATTTTCTTGGATATAAAATGTAAAACCCTCCTTGTATGTTCTTATGACTATAATTCATGTAACAATTATAAAGTAATTTTTGTAAAGCATAAATCAGAGTATCTAATATATAATAATCAACTGATTAATAGTTATTATCATTACTAAAATGTACTGTAGTACACAATTTTAAAATACCCATTTTAAAATTATTACATACTTACAATAAATATTACCATTTCTACCTCCTTATTAATCAAGCTAATCTAGCCTTATAGGCAGGGCTGTAACAACAGCAGCAACAACAACAACAACAACAACAACAACAACAACAAAAACCTGTCAAATAACAGCAGTTTAACACAATGAAATCTTATTTCTTGTTGACCTAAAGACTTCTGTAGTTCCAAACAACTCCTCAGGCCAGCTGTCTTTTATATTGTCATTCAAAAACACAGGTTGCCTTGCTTTTTAGTTGTCATGGTTCCCATCTACTGAACACAAGAAGACACTTCTGTGGGCCTAGAAGTGGAAAATTGGTATTGAGGAGCTCTAGTAATATCTTCCACAATCTTCTTCTCCCTAGTAGATTCTTGGGTATACATAGTAAAAATCTCATGATAAAATCAGAGAAATGCTGGCTCATAGAGAGAGATAGAGAAAATAAAATGGAATAAAGGATTTCTCAGTTCATTTGTGTTGCTGTGAAGGAATACCTGAGGCTGGGTAATTTCTAAGGAAAAGGGTTTGGTTTTGTTGGCTCATGGTTCTGTAGGCTGTACAAGAAGCATGATACCAGTAACTGCTTCTGGTGAGGGCCTCAGGAAGCTTCCAATTATGGTGGAAGGGAAAGGAGAGGAGGCATCACATGGCAAGAGAGAAAGGGGGTGGGTTGTGTCATACTCTTTCTAACAACCAGTTCTCATGTGAACTAAGAGTGAGAGCTCATTCATAACTGCAAAGATGGCACCAAATCATGGAGGATGTGCTTTCATAGTCCAAACACCTCCTACAGGCCTCACCTCCAGCGCTGGGGATTAAATCTCAACATGAAATTTGGAGAAAACAAACATCTAGACTATATCACAGGGACAATTGCAGAGATGTTTTATTTTTTCATGCTAGCATCAATTTATGTTCTTTCTGTTTGTCCAGAGAGAGGGTTTGACTGAGAAAGTTAGTCTTGCTTATTGGAAAATGTGCCTTCATCATTTAACAGTGTGTTCCGTGGGCAAGGAAGGCAGAAGTGATGGCACACCACATATTTGCCTTTCGTGGCTTAAGTAAAACTCATGAGTATATTATTACTAAGTTATTATTTTGAACTATGTTTAGTATAAAAATGTCAAAGATACATAAAATGAACAGTAAAATCAATTTTATGTGTCTGCCACAAAACATCAATATTTTGCTAATGCTATTTTATATTCATGCTTCCTATTTGTTTTTTTCTGTTAAATTTTAAAACATATCCCAGTGTGGTATCACTGGAATATGTTTGAAACACAACATGATCCAGTGTTGTATCACTTTACTACTTAATTTTGGTAGTTTTAACTACTTTACTAATACTTATGTTAACATTACCTCCATGCCATTGTTGCATATAAATATAACAATAATTACCTGATGTCATCTAATTCCTAGTCCATGTTTGAATTTTTCTAATTATTTCAAAAATGTTCTTTTTGTCTACTCTTAAAATTCAAACGATAACCTAGAACCAGTTATAATATTTGATTATGTGTCCTTAGTCTGCTTTATCTTATAAATCTCTATTCAATTTTTATGTCATTGATTTGTTGGAGAAATTAGATCACTTGTCCTGCTGAATGTTGTACATTTTGAATTTACCTGTTCCCTCATGGTTTGGCTAATCTTATGTTTTTACCCTATAAGCTTGTAGGTAGATATAAAGGATTGATTCAATTGAGAGTCCATTCATTTGTGGAATATATGTATTTTATTTTTGCTTAAGTTTTACATTTCAGGAATTTATTTTTAAAGTTTTCCTAAGGACATCTTGCCTTGAATAATGTTGGCACAGATTTTATTATACTAACATTTCTGCTACTAACAATTATAAATGTCAAACAAGACATATAAAATAGTTATTTGAAAGCATAGGATACAAGCAGGCAGATACTTGAGGGAATAAAATGATTGAAAAAAAGGAAATATACTAGTTGCAATCCATATTTACATGTTTTTCCCCCACTCTCAACAACGGCTGGAAATTGAAAAAGGAATCCAGAAAAATAGGAAGTCCACAAAAGGTAGAAACTCCAAAATCTGCATACATATTCTCTGCATACATCAAATCTTTCATGCGCATCTGTGTGAAGAGACCACCAAACAGGCTTTGTGTGAGCAACAAGGCTGCTTATTTCACCTGGGTACAGGTGGGCTGAGTCCGAAAAGAGAGTCAGCGAAGGGAGATAGGGGTGGGACTGTTTTATGAGATTTGGGTAGGTAAAGGAAAATTATAGTCTAAGGGGGATTGTGCTCTGGCGGGCAGGAGTGGGGGTCACAAGGTGCTCTGTAGGGGAGTTTTTGAGCCAGGATGAGCCAGAAGGAATTTCACAAGATAATGTCATCAGTTAAGGCAGGAACAGGCCATTTTCACTTCTTTTGTAGTGGAATGTCATCAGTTAAGGCAGGAACTGATCATCTGGATGTGTACTGCAGGTCACAGGGGATATGATGGCTTAGCTTGGGCTCAGAGACCTGACATTCCTGTCTTCTTATATTAATAAGAAAAATAAAAAGAAATAGTGGTAAAGTGTTGGGACGATGAAAATTTTTGGGGGTGGTATGGAGAGATAATGGGCGATGTTTCTCAGGGCTGCTTCCAGCGGTATTAGGGGCAGCTTGGGAACGTAGAGTGGGAGAGATTAAGCTGAAGGAAGATTTTGTGGTAAGGGGTGATATCCTGGGGTTGTTAGAAGAAATATTTGTTGTGTAGAATTATTGGTGATGGCCTGGATACAGTTTTGTATGAATTGAAAAACTAAACGGAGTAAGAGAAGGAGAAAAACAGGTTTTAAAGGACTAGGAATTGGGAGGACCCAGGACATTATTTAGAGAGTGCCTAAGGAGGTTCAGCATAGCCTTGCCAGCAAAGATTATTTACTTTAAGAGTTAAGAGTGGCGGTTTGGGGATAGCACCAGGAGATGCCAGCTGTGATGGTTTGGAGAAATAGTGTAAACCAGCAGTGTAAACAAGAGCAGGGCATTTATGAGTAGTTGAGAATGGTGAATAGGAGTATGACTAGACAGAAAATAGGGATGACAAGTTTCTTGGGGCACAGTCTAAGTTGGTCTGGTGTCTAGGATGAGACTGGGACCTAATAAAAAGGAGCTTCTATACAGGAGTTTAAATGGGCTGTACCTTGCAGCATTCCGAGGACAGGCCTGAATTCTGAGAAGGGCAAGAGGTAAAAGTACTGTCTAATCTTTTTCAAGTTGGAGGCTGAGCTTGGTGAGGTGTGTCTTTAAAGACCATTAGTCCGTTCTAACTTTCCTGAAGATTGAGGACGGTAAGGGATATGAAGGTTCTACTGAATACTAAGAGCCTGAGAAACTGCTCGGGTGATTTGACTAGTAAAGGCTGGTCTGTTATCAGACTGTATAGAGGTGGGAAGGCTAAACCGAGGAATTATATCTGACAGAAGGGAAGAAATGACCGTGGTGGGCTTTTCAGACCCTGTAGGAAAGGCCTCTACCTATCCAGTGAAAGTGTCTACCTAGACTAAGAGGTATTTCTGTTTTCTGACTCGGGGCATGTGAGTAAAGTCAATTTGCCAGTCCTGGGCAGGGGCAAATCCTTGAGCTTGATGTGTAGGAAAGGTGGAACTGCCATCAATAAACTAAATGTGATCAGGGTGAGGAACAGGGAAGAAGAAAATATGGGGAAATGAGGTGAATAGCAGGTGGATCAGAGAGATGCAGTCATGAGGGTCAGGTGTGGTATCCAGAATAATGTGGGAGGCCAGATTGAAGTCTGGGCCAGGAGCAATAGTAATTGTGGGAGACTCAGCAAAGAGTGAGTACAGCTGAAGGAGCCGGGAAGCAGAAAGTATAGGCCTCAGGTGTGAGGAAGAAAATAGATTTTGAAAGTTATGAGAGCTATAGAGAGTGAGTTGAGCATAGTTTGTGATTTTGAGGGCCTCTAAAACTATTAGGGTGGTGGCAGCCACTGCACGGAGACATGATGGCCAGCCTAAAACAGTAAGGTGAAGTTGTTTGGACAAAAAGGCTACTGGATGCGATCCTGGTCCTTGTGTAAGAATTCTGACTGCACGGGCCTGTACTTCAGCTGTGGGTAATCAAAAGGGTTGGGATGAGTCAGGGAGAGCTAGGGTGGGGGCAGTCTTTAAAGCTGTCTTCAAGGAACAGAAAGAGGAGTGGGGAAAGGATTTAGGATCTATGGGGTCAGCTAGGTTTCTTTTTGTGAGTTTATATAATGGTTTTGTTACGATGGCAAAACCAGGTATCTAAAGTCAAAAGTATCTAACCATGCCTGGGAAGGAAAGGAGTTGTTGTTTTGTAGAAGGTACTGGGGTTTGAGAGATCAGTCGGACATGATCGGCAGGGAGAGCATGTGTGTTTTTATGAGAATTATGCTGAGATAGGTAACAGATGAGGAAGAAATTTGGGCTTGATCGAAGTAATGGGGGCTGTCTGTGAAGCTTTGCGGCAGTACAGCCCAGGTAATTTGCTGAGCCTGATGGGTGTCAGGGTCAGTCCAAGTGAAAGTGAAGAGAGACTGGGATGAAGGGTGCAAAGGAATAGTAAAGAAAGCATGTGTGAGATCCAGAACAGAATAATGGATTGTGGAGGGAGGTATTGAGGATAGGAGAGTATATGGGTTTGGTACCATGGGGTGCATAGGCAAAACAATTTGGTTGATAAGGCCCAGATCCTGAACTAACCTGTAAGCCTTGTCTGGTTTTAGGACAGGTGAAATGGGGGAATTATAAGGGGAGTTTATAGGTTTTAAAAGGCCATGCTGTAGCAGGCAAGTGATAACAGGCTTTAATCCTTTTAAAGCGTGCTGTGGGATGGGATATTGGCGTTGAGCGGGGTAAGGGTGATTAGGTTTTAATGAGATGGTAAGGGGTGCATGATCGGTCGCCAAGGAGGGAGTAGAGGTATCTTACACTTGTGGGCTAAGGTGGGGAGTTACAAGGGGAGGATGTGAAGGAGGCTTTGAACTGGGGGAAAAGGCGGCATGTAGCCCAGGAATAGTCAGGGAAGCAGATAATTTAGCTAAAGTGTCCTGGCCTAATAAGGGAACTGGGCAGGTGGGGATAACTAAACAGGAGTGCTTAAAAGAGTATTTTCTAAGTTGGCACCAGAGTTAGAGTTGGGAAATTTTAAGAGGTTTAGAAGCCTGGCCGTCAGTACCTACAACAGTTATGGAGGCAAGGGAAACAGGTCTTTGAAAAGAAGGTAATGTGGAGTGGGTTGCCTCCATATTGATTAAGAAGGGGACGGACTTACCTTCCTGTGAGAGTTACCCAGAGCATCTGTGGTGGTCCTGTAGGCTTCCGAGGCAATCGGGCAGTCTCAGTCTTCAGCTGCTAAGCCGAGAAGATCTGGGAAGAAGTCAGAGAACCTTGGGCCAGAGTTCCAGGGGCTCTGGGAGTGGCTGCCAGGTGAGTTGAACAGTCCGATTTTCAGTGGGATCCCGCACAGATGGGACACGGCTTAGGAGGAATCCTGGGCTGTGGGCATTCCTTGGTCCAGTGGCCAGATTTCCGGCACATGTAGCAAGCTCTTGGGGGAGGAGGTTCTGGAGGAACCCCTTGCAGCTGCGGTTCAGGCATTTGGAAGTTCTTGTGTGCTGGAGACATGGCTGGGGTATGTCTCACAGTGGAGACAAGGAATTGCAACTCAGAAATATGTTGCTACTTGGCTGCCTTTACTCTATTATTGTACACCTTGAAGGTGAGGTTAATTAAGTCCTGTTGTGGGGTTTGAGGGCTGGAATTTAATTTTTGGAGAATTATTTAATGTCGGGAGCAGATTGGGTAATAAAATAAAATGTATATTGAGAATAAGATGGCCTTTGGAACTTTTAGGGTCTAGGGCTATAAAGCGTCTCAGGGTTGCTACTGAAGAGGCCATGAACTAGGCTGGGTTTTTTATATTTGATGAAAAGGAGTCTAAACGCTAACTGATTTGGGAGAGGTTGGATAAAGAAAAAGTAGCATTAACCTTGACTATGCCTTTAGCTCCAGCCACCTTTTTAAGAGGAAATTGCTGGGCAGGTGGGGGAGGGCTAGTCACAGAACAAAACTGTAAGCCCGACCAGGTGTGAGGAGGGGAGGTGATAAAAGGATTATGGGGTGGAGGAGCAGAGGCTGAGGAAGAATTTGGACCTAGCTCAGCCTGGTGAGGAGGGGAGAGGTCAGATGGGTCTGTAGAAAAGGAAGATTAGAAAGACTCAGCGACGCTTGGGGTTGGGACTGAGGGGAGAGGTCAGATGGGTCTGTAGAAAAGGAAGATTAGAAAGACTCAGTGATGCTTGGGGTTGGGACTGAGGGGACAGTCAGGAGGGAAAGAAGGAAGATTTGGGACGAGTTACATTGGGAACAGAGACTAGGGAGAGACCGATATGTAAAAGAATGCCTGGACATCGGGCACCTCAGACCGTTTGCCCATTTTACGACAAGAATTATCTAGATCTTGTAGGATGGAAAAATTGAAACTGCTGTTTTCTGGCTATTTAGAGCCATTTTCAAGTTTGTATTAGGGCTAAGTAGTGTTGCAGAAGAAAATAAGATGCTTAGGTTTTAGGTCAGGTGAGAGTTGAAGAGGTTTTAAGTTCTTAAGAACACAGGCTAAGGGAGAAGAAGGAGGAATGGAGGGTGGAAGCTTGCCTATAGTGAAGGAGACAAGTTGAAAGAAAAGGGTAGAGACACGGAGAAGGGGGTGGGGAGCAGCCCTGGGCTGCAACATGGGTGAGCAGCCAAAGCAGGCGTCCCCGCAATTGACTTGACATCAAGGGAACGTGGGTGAATGATCAAGGCAAGCATCCCCGCAGAGATCAGACACCAATGGAAGGTGGGTGAATAATCAGGTAGGTGTCCCCCCAGTGATTAAATACCAAGGGAAGGCTGCCTTCCCAAGTCCGTGACCGGTGCTGGAGTTTTGGGTCCATGGATAAAATGTGTCTCCTTTGTCTCTACCAGAAAATGAAAGGAATTAAGAGAAGGGAGAGATTGAAGTGTGGTGACAAGATTGAAAAGAGAAAGAGGTTGAGGGATAGTGAGGGAGGTTGGAGAAGAGAGTAAAAAGAGGCCGCTTACCAGATTTAAAATTGGTGAGATGTTCCTTGGGCTGGTTGGTCTGAGGACCAGAGGTCATAGGTGGATCTTTCTCATGGAACAAAGAGCAGGAGGACAGGGGATTGATCTCCAAAGGGAGGTCCCCTGATCCGAGTCACGGCACCAAATTTCATGCATTTCTGTTTGAAGAGACCACAAAACAGGCTTTGTGTGAGCAACAAGGCTGTTTATTTCACCTGGGTGCAGGCTGGCTGAGTCCGAAAAGAGAGTCAGTGAAGGGAGATGGGGTGGGGCCATTTTATAATATTTGGGTAGGTAAAGGAAAATTACAGTCAAAGGGGGGTTGTTCTCTGGAGGGCAGGAGTGGGGTCACGAGGTGCTCAGTAAGGGAGCTTTTGAGCCAGGATGATCCAGGAGAAGGAATTTCACAAGATAATGTCATCAGTTAAGGCAGAAACAGGCCATTTTCACTTCTTTTGTGGTGGAATGTCATCAGTTAAGGCAGGAACTGGCCATCTGGATGTGTGTGTGCAGGTCACAGGGGATATGATGGCTTAGCTTGGGCTCAGAGGCCTGACAAAATCTTTGATGTATTCCTGAGCTGTATACATGCAGAGGGTGAAGCTTCAAGGAGTTCAAAACCTAGGAGTGAAAGAGCTAAAAATTTAATGGTTCTCTGGTGCTGGGAAAAGAGTCTGGGGTACAATCCTCATTAAGTTAGGGCAGATTACCAAGTAGCTTGGGCTTTTGAGTTAAATCCCTAAAGGACCATGCCTTAGAGTTAAGAACTATATGGTGTAAGATCGGAGACTGTAAAACTGCTAGAAGAAAACAAACAAACAAAATACACAAAATTGTTTTGGCAGTGATTTGCTTTTTAGACTTGATTCCAAAAGCACAGGCAGCAAAAGCAATAATAGACAAATGGGATCACATCAAAATGAAAAACTTCTGCATAACAAAGGAAACAATTAAGCAAGGGAAGGGACAATGTACAGATTGAGAGAAAGTATTTGCAAACCAAATACCTGATAAGGGATTAATATCTAAAATATACAAGAAACTCAAACAATTCTATAGAAATAAAACAACTAATTCAGTTTATAAATGGGCAAGGGCCCTGAATAGACATTTCTCAAAAAAGACATACAAATTACCAAATGACCAACACATATGTAATCTGATTAGTGATTTTAACATGTAGATATATGTGTGTGTGTATGTGTGTGTATATATGTGTGCACGTGTGTATATATAATACACATGCATATATATATCTCAACATTACTTATCAATAGTGAGAAACAAATTAAAACCACAATGACATATACCCTCACACTTGTCAAAATGGCTATTATCAAAGAGACAAAAGATAACAAGTGTTGGAAAGCAGGTGGAGAAAAGGAAACATCTGTACACTGTTAGTATAAATGTGAATTAGTGCAGCCACTATGGAAAATTATATGGTGGTTTCTTAAAGAAAATAGAGTTACTATATCATCGAGAAATCCCACATCTTGGTATTTGCCCAAAAGATTTGAAATTAGTATGTTGAAGATATGTCTGCACTCACATGCTCATTGCAGCACTATTCACAATAGCGAAGTTATGGAATCAACCTATATGTCCATCAACAGATGAATAAATTTTAAAAATGTGGTGTGTGTATATATATATATACATATATATATAATTCAGCCTTAAGAAAGATAAATTTGCCACTTGAAATAACACACACGAAATTGGAAAATGTTATGCTAAGTGAAATAAAACAGCCACAGAAAAACAAATAATACATGTTCTTACTAATATGTGGAATCTTAAAGGATCAAACTCAATCAGAGAGTACAATGGTGATTACCACAGGCAGGTGGGTGAGGAAAATGGGGAGATGATGGTTAAAGGATACAAAGCTTCAATTAGACAGGGAGAATAAGTTATGTTTTCCTTTGAGATATATTGCACAACATGGTGAATATAGTAAGAAATAATGTAATCTAATGTACACTTCAAAATTGCTGAGAGTAAACTTCAGATTTTCTCACCACAAAAAATTGATAAATATTTGTGGTGCTTAATATGTTAATTAGTCTTATTCCACATTGTAGCCATAAATTATAACATCACTTTGTATCTTGTAAATATGCAAAATCATAATTTGCCAATGTACAGTTTAAAAAAATAAAAATGTATATGTGAGAACCAAGATCTATGTTCTAGGACTAAGATCATTTATTCAGTAATAAAACCTAACACCAAGCCACCACAGAATAAAAGTGATCCACTATCATTGATTGAATTAACTGCTGGCACAAAACTTCATACTCTTCAGAGGAACACACAATAATCCAGAGTTTCTACAATGAATCACGTATAATGTCCACTTTATAATCAAAGCTTACCTGACACAATAGAAGTCAATAAAATATGACTATAAGGAGAAATAAACAATCAAACCTGCAGATAACCCAGCTGTGAAAATCAGTCAAATTAGGCAATTAGGCAAAGACTTTAAAATAACAAGTAAAATATATGAAAGAATATATATGAAAGTAAGATATATGAATGTCAAAAAAGACATGGGGATTCTAAAAGACAATCAAGCAGAAATCCCAAATTTGAAAAATGAAATCTGAAATAAAAAATGAAATCTGAAATAAAAACTGAAGTGGCTGTGTTTAAATACAAATTATAAAATGCAGAAGAAATAATCTGAAATAAAAAATGAAGTAGCTGGGTTTAAACACAAATTATAAAATGCAGAAGAAATAATGGGTTTGAAGGAAGACCAATACAAATTTTTAAACAAATTGAAGCACAAAATAAAATTGGGATAAGTAAATATAGTCTTAATGATCGTGGAACCATGTCAAGTGATTTTAACATACATGTAATTGGACTCACAAAAGAAAAAAATGGAATAGAAAAGTGATAACAAAATATTAGCAATTTTTTCAAATGTAAAATATTTTTCAAAAAGTAAAAATAGCCATAGATTCCAAAAGCTCAAGAAAAGAACACAACCAAATGAAAACAAACAGAATACAAAAAACTAAACATGAACACATGATAGTTAAACAGCTGAAAATCAAACATAAAGAACATATTTTAACAACAGCTAAATAAAAAGACATACTCATGCAAGGAAATAATAATCAGAATTATAGTAACAACATCAGCTATAGCACGAAGCTAGAATACATTGGAAGGCCATCTAAAGTACTAAGTGAAATAAAGCAATAAGAAAGAAAATTTATATTATGTAAAAATATTCACTGAAATATACATCAAAAATGAATACAAAATAATGAAAATGTTATATAAATAAGAGCTGAGACTAAAACTTGTAAAGGAATTTATCCAGAATAAATGAAGAAATTAACAACTGAAAATTCAGATCTACAAAAAAAGAATTAAGAGCGCTGAAATGGTAAATATAAAGATTATTTTTCTCTGAGTTATATTATTTAAAAGACAATTGAACATCTATGAAATTTTAAAAATCAGTAAAATGATGTATCGGTTTAAAATACCTCTAGATTTAAAACAGAACTACAATAATAGAAGACACAGAAGAAAGGGCATGAATGTATTCTGTTATAATTTTTTCTTATACTTTAAATCCTACAAAGTTTCTTTAAGTGTCTTTATACATTAAATGAAATGACATTAAGGATTCAGATTGAATTTTGACATTTACCTTTAAAAATAATACAATGCCATAGCTAATAAGCCAGTAATGCAGATATTTAAAAAAATGAAAATTCTCAGACCAAAAGATGTTAGTAAAGAGCAGCCAAAGAAACAAAAAACAGAGTTCAGAGACAGGAGGAAAACAAAAACAAAAACGAGATGGTATACTGAAACCCAGACATATCAGCAATTAGGTTAAATAAAAATTATACTGAACATTTCAATTAAAAGGAAGACATTGATGGAATAAAAAAAGGAAACGCGTGTGTGTGTGTGTATGTGCATGGCTGGCTATATGAATATGAGAAAACAGTTCAAAAAGAAATATTAACATGTAGAAAGGGAAACATTTCATAATTATAAAAGGGTAAATTTATCAAGAGAACATAATGACCTTTAATGTGTACATACCTAATAACAGAGCTTAAAAATACATGAAGGAAGAATTGGCAAGACTAAAGAAATAGACGTGGCCGGGCGCGGTGGCTCACGCCTGTAATCCCAGCACTTTGGGAGGCCGAGGCGGGCGGATCACGAGGTCAGGAGATCGAGACCATCCCGGCTAAAACGGTGAAACCCCGTCTCTACTAAAAATACAAAAAATTAGCCGGGCGTAGTGGCGGGCGCCTGTAGTCCCAGCTACTTGGGAGGCTGAGGCAGGAGAATGGCGTGAACCCGGGAGGCGGAGCTTGCAGTGAGCCGAGATGGTGCCACTGCACTCCAGCCTGGGCGACAGAGCGAGACTCCGTCTCAAAAAAAAAAAAAAAAAAAAAAAAAGACGTCTTTACAATCATACTTAATTATATCTGCAAAGTCCATTTGCCATATAAGGAAATACATTGACAGAATCTGTGGATCAGGATATGGACATCTTTAGGATCCAGTATTCTGTCTACAGCAGCAATGTACCAAACACCCACAAGACTCACTCTTTACCAGATTCATTGATTGTGAATGATCTCTCTCTCTCCCTCCCTATCTCTCCCCTGCCCCCAACTCTCTTTCTTTCTCTTTCTCTTCTCTATCTTGGCAACTTCAGCAAAAAGAGGGGAAACAAAAAAGTAAAGAAAGTGTAAAGGCACGAATGAATCAGGAGTGGTACTGAGCATGGAATTCTGTTATAATTTTTGAGGTCTTTTAATTATTATTTTTCTAGGAGTGTGGAGCATAATTCTTATTTCAATTTTTATTATTCTTAAAAATGCTACTAATTTTTGAAAACGGGGTCAGGATATCATGAAATCAAACAAATGGAGTTCCAACTCATAGAGATCTCTAAATTACACATTAATTCATTTTAAAATTTCACTTACATTAATTAAGTACAACTCTGTGTACTTTATAGTGGCATTTATGCAAATGGTTAAAGGTAATTGAGATGTGCCAGTACATAACAAGTTTTATTGAATACCTACCACATATACACACTAAACTCAGCCTGGGAAATACAGCAATGGATGGTACATGCCTATTCTCTATGTTCATGGAGCCCACAATCTTCCAATGGGGCATCCTATTGAGGAAACTCTAGAAGAGCATTTTAAAAACTATTACTATTAATTCACTTTTACAGCTAAAGGTCTTTCCCTAGAGACATTCGGGAGATGGCAGGAAATCCTGGTTACCAGTATATGAAAAATGATGAAGTATGAAATACAAAATGTGTTACATTGAGAGTTAATCTAATAACTATTTAAAAACATGTTACAACATGATGAATTTGGTGCTTGAAATCTTGCAGAAAAACTGTAGTAGTACATAATTAGAAATGGAAAAAATCATAGAACAAATATCTTACAAAACAGCTGAAAAAGAACACTCTTCACAACAGAATAATCTCTGGAATGACAGATGGGTGCTTAGTTTCCTGGGACATTTAGAGAAAATCATATTAAAAAGCCCAGAAAAAATTATGGTGGAGAGTCACTTATTATTCTACAGCAAATAGACTATGTTCACTATTCTTCTACTTGGTTCCAATTTCTATTCTAAAATTGACAAATCTGTTCTAGCTTATTTTTATTTCTTTCCCCAGTATCCTGAATAATTTTTTTAAATGTACGGATTCTTATAATCATTACCTTGTGATTTTTCAGAACAGGAGAGAATGTTTTTAGAGGAAAGTGGTGAACAATGACATAAGAATCGCAATCTGATTTTACTTGTAATTATTTTGTTAGATATGTGTGTGTCTCCATATCACACATGCTAAACCAAAAATCAAGTATGTTTAAAGAGGATAAATCTAATTGTTGCAGAGAAAAATTTATAAATGCTTATTCAAGTTGCATTTATTTGAGAAAATTATATTTGAAAAGAGATTCATGGCCAAATATTCCATCGAACACATTGCATTAGTTAGGACAATTAAAACTACAACTACAAAATTTTGTGGCAGAACATAATAAAGTTTGTTTCTCCCTTATGCGAAGTACAAAGTACATGATGATTCTCTAGAACAACTGTCCTCCATTAGGTGACTTTCAAGTCCGGGTCACTTGTGGCACTCACTCTATCTTAATACATATTCTTTCAACCATGAAACGCAGAGAAAGAGACTGTCTGTTGCACTGAAAATAGAATGTTTTGGCTGAGAAGGAGCACATATCAGGTTTGCTCACAATCCATTCACCAGACCTTACTCAGAGCTGGTAACATGACTCTTCCTGCTAAGGGTATGGGTGTTTGGACAGAAAAAGGAGAATGGTATATATGTGAGTACTAGAAATCTACACCATGTATGTTACATTCTTCTATGAGAATGTAAACCCATGAGGGCAGGATGCTTGTCTGTTTAATTCACTGCTGCTGTAGCCCCAAAGCCTTGAATAGTTTCTTACACATAATTGGTGCTGAATGTTTGTCAAATAAATGCAGAAAAAAAATCACCTGGAGATTAATTCCTCCAGATAGGGCTTTGGGTGGCAGATATTTGGACTTTCTTAGAGTTTTCCTTAGTAAATAAGCTGTACAATAATCATATTGAATGGTGAGAAAGCTGGGGTGACTAGACACAGTCTCTGAATAATCATTATGATGGCCTTTGTAGTCAAGATTACTTTCAGGTACAGATGGCAGACTATTCAAGTAAAAAAAGACTTAAACAACCGGGATTTAACATTCTCCTACATAATAAACAGTCTTCAGGACAATAGTCATGGAGTGATTTATTGGCTCAATAGTTATCAAAGACCCAGAGTGTCCCCATCTTTCCACTCTGTCAAACTAAGTGTGTTGAAAAGAATCACATAATGGTCACCAAATCCTTATAAAACAATGTTTTTAAAAAATAAGTTGGGGCCAGCAGTTGTCCTCATGCATCTCTCTCTCAGATAGGAAACTATTTTTCAAAACCCTCCTGAAAGACATCATTCTATATCTCAGTGGCTAAACTAAGTAACATGCCACGACCTAGCTGTAGGACAGGGGCTTGGGCTGGAGTTAAAAACTTGGAGTTATCAGCATACAGATGGTATTTGGAGTCATGAGACTGGATGAGATCACCAATGAAATGATGTTGATAGAAAGTGGGAATCATTAGAGTTCTTCAATATTAAGAATTTGGGGAAATTAGGTGGCACTTTGTAGGTCGGTAACCTTGGGGAAGTTACTTAACCTTTCTGAGCCTCCACCTTTTCAGCTCCAAAATGAGGAGAATATATAAATAGCCAAATATCTATACAACCTACTCAAAACTCCTAAAGTTACCCAGGCTTGTATTTTCAGTGTAATATTAAGGAGAAAGGATTAAATAAAACAGTGCATGTGCCATACACTGTGTGTATCTGATATGTATTAACTTTCTTTTTTATTTATTTATTTAAGTTTTAGGGTACATGTGCACAACGTGCAGGTTTGTTACGTATGTATACATGTGCCACGTTGGTGTGCTGCATCCATTAACTCATCATTTAACATTAGGTATATCTCATAATGCTATCCCTCCCCCACTCCCACCCCAAAACAGGCCCCAGTGTGTGATGTTTCCCTTCCTGTGTCCATGTGTTTTCATTATTCAATCCCCAACTATGAGTGAGAACATATGGTGTTTGGTTTTTTGTCCTTGTGACAGTTTGCTGAGAATGATGGTTTCTAGCTTCATCCATGTCCCTACAAAGGACATGAGCTCATCCTTTTTTATGGCTGCATAGCATTCCATGGTGTATATGTGCCACGTTTTCTTAATCCAGTCTATCATTGATGGACATTTGGGTTGGTTCCAAGTCTTTGCTATTGTGAATAGTGCCACAATAAACATACATGTGCATGTGTCTTTATAGCAGCATGATTTATAATCCTTTGGGTATATACCCAGGAATGGGATGGCTGGGTCAAATGGTATTTCCAGTTCTAGATCCCTGAGGAATCACCGCACCGACTTCCACAATGGTTGAACTAGTTTACAGTCCCACCAACAGTGTAAAAGTGTTCCTATTTCTCCACATCCTCTCCAGCACCTGTTGTTTCCTGACTTTTTAATGATCTCCATTCTAACTGGTGTGAGATGGTATCTCATTGTGGTTTTAATTCGCATTTCTCTGATGGCCAGTGATGATGAACATTTTTTCATGTGTTTTTTGGCTGCATAAATGTCTTCTTCTGAGAAGTGTCTGTTCATATCCTTCGCCCACTTGTTGATGGGGTTTTTTGTTTTTGTCTTGTAAATTTGTTGGAGTTCATTGTAGATTCTGGATATTAGTCCTTTGTCAGATGAGTAGATTGCAAAAATTTTCTCCCATTCTGTAGGTTGCCTGTTCACTCTGATGGTAGTTTCTTTTGCTGTACAGAAGCTCTTTAGTTTAATTCGATCCCATTTGTCAATTTTGGCTTTTGTTGCCATTGCTCTTGGTGTTTCAGACATGAAGTCCTTGCCCATGCCTATGTCCTGAATGTTATTGCCTAGGTTTTCTTCTAGAGTTTTTACGGTTTTAGGTCTAACATTTAAGTCCTTAATCCATCTTGAATTACTTTTTGTATAAGGTGTAAGGAAGGGATCCAGTTTCAGCTTTCTACATATGGCTAGCCAGTTTTCCCAGCACCATTTATTAAATAGGGAATCCTTTCCCCATTGCTTGTTTTTGTCAGGTTTGTTAAAGATGAGATAGTTGTAGATATGTGGCATTACTTCTGAGGGCTCTGTTCTGTTCCATTGGTCTATATCTCTGTTTTGGTACCAGTACCATACTGTTTTGGTTACTATAGCCTTGTAGTATAGTTTGAAGTCAGGTAGCGTGATGCCTCCAGCTTTGTTCTTTTGGCTTAGGATTGACTTGGCGATGCGGGCTCTGTTTTGGTTCCATATGAACTTGAAAGTAGTTTTTTCCAATTCTGTGAAGAAAGTCATTGGTAGCTTGATGGGGATGGCATTGAATCTATAAATTACCTTGGGCAGTGTGGCCATTTTCGCAATATTGATTCTTCCTACCCATGAGCATGGAATGTTCTTCCATTTGTTTGTATCCTCTTTTATTTCCTTGAGCAGTGGTTTGTAGTTCTCCTTGAAAAGGTCCTTCACATCCCTTGTAAGTTGGATTCCTAGGTATTTTATTCTCTTTGAAGCAATTGTGAATGGGAGTTCACTCATGATTTGGCTCTCTGTTTGTCTGTTACTGGTGTATAAGAATGCTTGTGATTTTTGCACATTGATTTTGCATCCTGAGACTTTGCTGAAGTTGCCTATCAGCTTAAGGAGATTTTGGGCTGAGATGATGGGGTTTTCTAGATAAACAATCATGTCATCTGCAAACAGGGACAATTTGACTTCCTCTTTTCCTAATTGAATACCCTTTATTTCTTTCTCCTGCCTGATTGCCCTGGCCAGAACTTCCAACACTATGTTGAATAGGAGTGGTAAGAGAGGGCATCCCTGTCTTGTGCCAGTTTTCAAAGGGAATGCTTCCAGTTTTTGTCCATTCAGTATGATATTGGCTGTGGGTTTTTCATAAATAGCTCTTATTATTTTGAGATACGTCCCATCAATACCTAATTTATTGAGAGTTTTTAGCATGAAGGGCTGTTGAATTTTGTCAAAGGCCTTTTCTGCATCTATTGAGATAATCATGTGGTTTTTGTCTTTGGTTCTGTTTATATGCTTGATTACATTTATTGATTTGCATATGTTGAACCAGCCTTGCATCCCAGGGATGAAGCCCACTTGATCATGGTGGATAAGCTTTTTGATGTGCTGCTGGATTCAGTTTGCCAATATTTTATTGAGGATTTTTGCATCGATGTTCATCAGGGATATTGGTCTAAAATTCTCTTTTTTTGTTTTGTCTCTGCCAGACTTTGGTATCAGGATGATGCTGGCCTCATAAAATGAGTTAGGGAGGATTCCCTCTTTTTCTATTGATTGGAATAGTTTCAGAAGGAATGGTACCAGCTCCACCTTGTACCTCTCGTAGAATTCGGCTGTGAATCCAGCTGGTCCTGGACTTTTTTTTGGTTGGTACACTATTAATTATTGCCTCAATTTCAGAGCCCGTTATTGGTCTATTCAGAGATTCAACTTCTTCCGGGTTTGGTCTTGGGAGGGTGTATGTGTCAAGGAATTTATCCATTTCTTCTAGATTTTCTAGTTTATTTGCGTAGAGGTGTTTATAGTATTCTCTGATGGTAGCTTTTATTTCTGTGGGATTGGTGGTGATATCCCCTTTATCATTTTTTATTGTGTCTATTTGATTCTTCTCTTTTCTTCTTTATTATTCTTGCTAGCAGTCTGTCAATTTTGTTGATCTTTTCAAAAAACCAGCTCCTGGATTCATTGATTTTTTTGAAGAGTTTTTTGTGTCTTTATTTCCTTCAGTTCTACTCTGATCTTAGTTGTTTCTTGCCTACTGGTAGCTTTTGAATGTATTTGCTCTTGCTTCTCTAGTTCTTTTAATTGTGATGTTAGGGTGTCAATTTTAGATCATTCCTTCTTTCTCTTGTGGGCATTTAGTGCTATAAATTTCCCTCTACTCACTGCTTTAAATGTGTCCCAGAGATTTTGGTATGTTGTGTCTTTGTTCTCGTTGGTTTCAAAGAACATCTTTATTTCTGCCTTCATTTTGTTATGTACCCAGTAGTCATTCAGGAGCAGGTTGTTCAGTTTCCATGTAGTTGAACAGTTTTGAGTGAATGTCTCAATCCTGAGTTCTAGTTTGATTGCACTGTGATCTGAGAGACAGTTTGTTATAATTTCTGTTCTTTTACATTTGCTGAGGAGAGCTTTACTTCCAACTATGTGGTCAATTTTGGAATAGGTGTGGTGCTGAGAAGAATGTATATTCTGTTGATTTGTAGTGGAGAGTTCTGTAGATGTCTATTAGGTCTGCTTGGTGCAGAGCTGAGTTTAATTCCTGGATATCTTTATTAACTTTTTGTCTTGTTGATCTGTCTAATGTTGACAGTGGGGTGTTAAAATCTCCCATTGTTATTGTGTGGGAGTCTAAGTCTCTTTGTAGGTCTCTAAGGACTTCCTTTATGAATCTGGGTGCTCCTGTATTGGGTGCATATATATTTAGGATAGTTAGCTCTTCTTGTTGAATTGATCCCTTTACCATTATGTAATGGACTTCTTTGTCTCTTTTGATCTTTGTTGGTTTAAAGTCTGTTTTATCAGAGACTAGGATTGCAACCCCTGCCTTTTTTTGTTTTCCATTTGTTTGGTAGATCTTCCTCCATCCCTTTATTTTGAGCCTATGTGTGTCTCTGCACGTGAGATGGGTTTCCTGAATACAGCACACTGATGGGTCTTGACTCTTTATCCAACTTGCCAGTCTGTGTCTTTTAACTGGAGCATTTAGCCCATTTCCATTTAAGGTTAATATTGTTATGTGTGTATTTGGTCCTGTCATTATGATGTTAGCTGGTGATTTTGCTCGTTAGTTGATGCAGTTTCTTCCTAGCCTTGATGGTTTTTACAATTTGGCATGTTTTTGCAGTGGCTGGTACTGTTTGTTCCTTTCCATGTTTAGTGTTTCCTTCCGGAGTGTTTTAGGGCAGGCCTGGTGGTGACAAAATCTCTCAGCGTTTGCGTGTCTGTAAAGTATTTTATTTCTCCTTCACTTATGAAGCTTAGTTTGGCTGGATATGAAATTCTGGGTTGAAAATTCTTTTCTTTAAGAATGTTGAATATTGGCCCCCACTCTCTTCTGGCTTGTAGAGCTTCTGCCAAGAGATCAGCTATTAGTCTGATGGGCTTCCCTTTGTGGGTAACCCGCCCTTTCTCTCGGGCTGCCCTTAACATTTGTTCCTTCATTTCAACTTTGGTGAATCTGACAATTATGTGTCTTGGAGTTAGTTGCTCTTCTCGAGGAGTATCTTTGTTGCGTTCTCTGTATTTCCTGAATCTAAATGTTGGCTTGCCTTGCTAGATTGGGGAAATTCTCCTGGATAATATCCTGCAGAGTGTTTTCCAACTTGGTTCCATTCTCCCCGTCACTTTCAGGTACACCAATCAGATGTAGATTTGGTCTTTTCACATAGTCCCATATTTCTTGGAGGCTTTGTTCGTTTCTTTTTATTCTTTTTTCTCTAAACTTCTCTTCTCACTTCATTTCATTCATTTGATCTTCCATCACTGATACCCTTTCTTCCAGCTGATTGAATCAGCTACTGAGGCTTGTGCATTCGTCACATAGTTCTTGTGCCATGGTTTTCAGCTCCATCAGGTCCTTTAAGGACTTCTCTGCATTGGTTATTCTAGTTTGCCATTCATCTAATTTTTTTTCAAGGTTTTTAACTTCTTAAGGTTTTTAACTTCTTTGCCATGGGTTCGAACTTCCTCCTTTAGCTCAGAGTAGTTTGATTGTCTGAAGCCCTCTTCTCTCAGCTGGTCAAAGTCATTCTCCATCCAGCTTTGTTCCGGTGCTGGTGAGGAGCTGCGTTCCTTTGGAGGAGGAGAGGTGCTCTGATTTTTAGAGTTTCCAGTTTTTCTGCTCTCTTTTTTCCCCATCTTTGTGGTTTTATCTTCCTTTGGTCTTTGATGATGGTGATGTACAGATGGGTTTTTGGTGTGGATGTCCTTTCTGTTTGTTAGTTTTCCTTCTAACAGTCAGGACCCTCAGCTGCAGGTCTGTTGGAGTTTGCTGGAGGTCCACTCCAGACCCTGTTTGCCTGGGTATCAGCAGCAGTGGCTGCAGAACAGCGGATATTGGTGAACTGCAAATGCTGCTGCCTGATCGTTCCTCTGGAAGTTTTGTCTCAGAGGAGTACCCGGCCATGTGAGGTGTCAGTCTGTCCCTACTGGGGGCCTCCCAGTTAGGCTACTCGGAGATCAGGGACCCACTGGAGGAGGCAGTCTGCCTGTTCTCAGATCTCAAGCTGCATGCTGGGAGAACCACTACTCTCTTCAAAGCTGTCAGACAGGGACATCTAAGTCTGCAGAGGTTATTGCTGTCTTTTGTTTGTCTGTGCCCTGCCCCCAGAGGTGGAGCCTACAGAGGCAGGCAGGCCTCCTTGAGCTGTGGTGGGCTTCACTCAGTTGGAGCTTCCTGGCAGCTTTGTTTACCTACTCAAGACAGAGCAATGGCGGGCACCCCTCCCCCAGCCTCCCTGCCGCCTTGCAGTTTGATCTCAGACTGCTGTGCCAGCACTGAGCAAGGCTCCATGGGTGTAGGACTCTCTGAGCCAAGGTGCGGGATATAATCTCCTGGTGTGCCGTTTGTTAAGCCCATTGGAAAAGCACAGTATTAGGGTGGGAGTTTTTTTCCCAGAATCATCTTTGCCTTCTGTCTTTGCAGAAGTGAGGAAAGTTTACTATGGGCTGAACTTCAGCAAACTGGCTTAGATGTTGTTGTGGCAGTTTATGACCACAGGGATTTCTCCCAATGTCAACACATGAATTGCAATGGCAAGTGGCTGATGTGTGTGTAAGTGGCTCCAAGCTGAAATTTTCTTACTGAAGGAGAATGAGGAGCAAGATGATGGAATAGAAAGAGCTACCAGTTACATTCCCTGCAATGACACCAAGTTAACAACTATCTACACAGAAATAAAAGACTTTCATAAGAACTAAAAATCAGGTGAGCCCTTAACAGTACTTGGTTTTAACTTCCTGTCACTGAAACAGACACTAAAAATATAGAAAATACAGTCCTAAATCACTGATGCCACCCTTCCCCAACCTTGTGCAACCATGGTGTGGTACAAAGAGCATCTCTGGGCACTAGAGGAGGAAGAACACGGCGATTGTAAAGCATTGAATTCAGTGCTGTCCTGTTAGAACAGGTAGGAAACCTGGGTCAAACTAAGCTGATGCCTACTCATGGACAGAGCATTTGAACCAGCCCTAGGCAGGAAGGAATCATGCATCCTAGCAGTGCAAACTTGAGTGCCTGCAAACATAGTCACTAAGGGCTGTAGCTCTGTGTCTCCAAGTCAACTTGAAAGGCAGTCTAGGCCATAAGGATGCAACTCTTAGGTGAGTGCTAGTACTGAAGTACGCCCAGAGACAGTGAACTGAGAGGATACATAACACCATGGTGTTCAACATAGTGAAACACCAACTGGGGGAGCCAAGGGTGTGCTGGCCTCACCCCTCCTTAAACCCAGGATGCAGAGCCCATGGCTCCAAAAGAGACTATTTCCGTCCCCTTCAGAAGAGGAGAGGGAAGAGTAGGGAGGGCTTTGTCTTGCATCTTGGATACCACCTCAGCTACAGCAGGATAGGGCACCTGTGAGACTTGTGGGGCCCTTGTTCTAGGCCCCAGATCCCAGATGACATTTCTAGACACACCCTGGGCCTGAAGGGAACCCACTGCCTTGAAGGAAAGGACCCAATACCTGGCAGTATTCATCCCCTGGTAACTGAAGAGCCTGTGGGTCCAGAATAACCAGAAGTAGTACCCAGGTCCTACAGCAAGCCTCTGAGGCTTGCTGGCTTCCAGGGATTCTCAGCAGTAGTGGCTATGGGGCAAACTCCTTCTGGTTGAGAAGACAGCATTCACAACAAGGTGACTTAAGAGACCTTGGGCCTTAAGGGAGCATCAGCAGTATTCTGGCAGTACTCCTCATGGCCCAGGATGGTGGTGGCTATGGGGCTATGGGGTACGGATCCTTTGCCTTTGGAAAGGGGAGGGAAGAGTGGGAAGGCCCACAGCTTGTGGTTTAAGTGCCAACTCAGTTGCCACAAGATAGAACACCAGGTAGACTTCTAAGTTTTTTGACTCTATTCCCTGACTCCCAGGCAGCACTTCTGCACCCACCCAGGGCCTGGTTACCTTGCTGCCCTGAAGGAAAGAACACAGGCCTGGCTGGCTTTGCCATTTGCTGATTATAGAGTCCCAGGGCCTTGAGTGAACATAGGCAGTAGGAAGGGAGTGTTTACAGCAGGTATTGGATTCAAGTGCTGGATTCAGGTCTGACCCAGCACAGTCACAATGGTGCTGGCAACAGGGGTGCTTGTGTAATTTCACCGTCAGCTCTAGGTGGCTCAGAACAGTGAGAGAGAGAGAGAGAGAGAGAGAGAGAGAGACTCTGTATGTTTGGAAGAAAGTAAGAGAAGAGAACAAGAGTCCCTGCCTGATAATTTAGATAATTTTCCCAGATCTGATTCAGGATAATCACAGTGATACCTCTACAAGTCTACAAGAACCACAGGATTACTGGGCTTAGGGTGCCCCGTAATTAAAGATAATGGCAGAACCTGCAATTACTTTTGCACCAACCTAATGCATCTTAGATCACCACACTTAGATCACAACACTTAGATCAAGTCCTTTCAAATATCTGGAAAGCCTTCCCAAAAAGGATGGCTACACATAAGCCCAGATAGTGAAGATTATAATAGATACCTAACTCTTAAATGCCCAGACAGTGAAGAACATCTGCTAGCATCAACATCATCCAGAAAAATATGACCTCACCAAATGAACTAAATAAGGCACCAGGGACAAATCCTAGAGAAACAGAGATCTATGACCTTTTAGTCAGAGAATTAAAAATATCTGTGTTGAGGAAACTCAAAGAAATTCAAGATAACACAGAAAAATCTTAGAATTCTACCAGATAAATTTAACAAAAGGATTGAAATAATTAAAAGTAATCAAGCAGAAATTCTGGAGCTGAAAATGTAATTGGTATACAGAAAAATACATCAGAGCCTTTTAATGGCAGAATTTATCAAGTGGAAGAAGTAGTGAGTTTTAAGGCAGGTTTTTGTTTGAAAATACATGGTCAAATAAGGCAAAATAAAAAAAAAAAACAATGAAACATGCCTACAAGATCTAGGAAATAGCCTCAAATGGGCAAATCTAAGAGTTATTGGCCTTAAAGAGGAGGTAGAAAAAGATAGTGGTAGAAAGTTTATTGAAAGGGATAACAACAGGGAACTCCCCACACCTAGAGAAATATATCAATATCCAAGTACAAGAAGATTATAAAACACCAAGCAGATTTAACTTAAAGAAGACTACTTCAAGGCATTTAATAATCATGCTCCCAAAAGTCAAGGATAAAGAATTCTGAAAGCAGCAAGAGAAACAAATAACAAACAATGGAGCTCCAATATGTCGGGCAGCAGACTTTTCTGTGGAAATCCTTCAGGCCAGGAGAGAGTGGCATGACACATTTAAAATGCTGAAGGAAAATAACTTTTACCCTAAAAGGGTATATCTGTGAAAATATCCTTCAAACATGAAGAAGAAATGAAGATACTCCCAGAAAAACAAAAGCTGAGGGATTTCATTAATGCCAGTCCTGTCCAATAAAAAAATGCTGGCTCACGCCTGTAATCCCAGCACTTAGGGAGGCTGAGACGGGCGGATCATGAGGTCAGGAGATCGAGACCATCCTGGCTAACACGGTGAAACTCTGTCTCTACTAAAAATATAAAACAATTAGCCAGGCGTGGTGGCAGGCGCCTGTAGTCCCAGCTACTCGGGAGGCTGAGGCAGGAGAATGGCGTGAATCTGGGAGGCGGAGCTTGCAGTGAGCTGAGGTCATGCCACTGTGCTCCAGCCTGGATGACAGAGCGAGACTCCATCTCAAAAAAAAAAAAAAAAATGGTAAAGTACTTTGATCAGATTAAAAGTATATTAATGAGCAATAAATAATCATCTGAAGGTACAGTACAAACAGGTAATAAGTACACAGAAAAACAGAGAATATTATAATGCTGCAACTGTGATGTGTAAATTACTTTCATCATAAGTAGAAAGAATAAATGAACCAATCAAAAATAATAAATACAACAACTTTTCAAGACATAGTACAGTAAGATATAAATAGAAACAATGTAAAGTTAATAGGTGGGGAGACAAAGTTAAGGCATAGAGTTTGATATGATTTGGCTGTGCTCCCACCCAAATCTCATCTGAATTCCCATGTGTTGTGGGAGGGACCCAGTGAGAGGTAATTAAATAATAAGATCAAGTATTTCCTGTGCTGTTCTCATCATAGGAGTAAGTCTCACAAGATCTGATGATTATATAAGGGGAGTTTCCCTGCACAATCTCTCTTCTCTTGTTTGCTGCCATGTGAGATGTGCATTTCATTTTCTCCCATGATTGTGAGGCATCCCCAGCCACGTGGAACTGTAGGTTCATTAAACCTTTTTTTTTCTTCCCAGTCTCGGGTATGTCCTTATCAACAGCATGAAAGCAGACTGATACAGAGTTTTTATTAGTTTTCTCTTTGCTTGCTTGCTTGTTTGTTAATGAAAATAGTGTTAAATTGTTAATAGGTTAAAATAATGGGTTATAGGATAGTATTCATAAGCCTCATGGTAACTTCAAACCAAAAAATGTATAAAGGTTACACAAAAGATATGAAAAGCAAGGAAAAAATCATATCACAAGAGAAAATAACCTTCAGTAGAGGCAGACAGGAAGGAAAGAAAAAAGAAACAGAATATTATAAAACAACCAGAAAACAAATAAATAAATGGTAAGAGTAAGTTCTTACTTATCAATAATAACATTGATTGTAAATGGACTTAACTCTCTAATTAAAAGACATAGACTGGCTGAATGTATGAAAAAACAAGACCCATTGATCTGTTGCCTACAAGAAACACATTTCACTTATTAAGACTACATAGTCTGAAAATAAAGGGATGGAACATGGTGTTCTATGCTAGTAGAAATTTTTTAAAAGTAAGACTCACTATACTTATATCAAACAAAATAGCTTTTAAAACAAAAACTATAAGAAGAGACAAGGAAGGTCACCATATAAGGATAAAGGAGTCAATTCAGAAAGAAGATATAACAATTTTAAATATATATGCACCCAACACTATAGCATCTAGATATGTAAAGGAAACATTATCGAGCTAAAGAGAGAGATAGGCTCCAATACAATAATAGATGGAGACTTCAGTCACTCATTTTCAGCACTGGACAGATCTTCCAGACAGAAAGAAACAATAAAGAAACATCAGAATTAATCTGCACTGTAGACCAAGTGGATCTAGTAGGTATTTACGGAACATTTCATCTAAGAGCTGCAGGATACACATTCTTTTCCTCAGCATATAGATCATTCCTAAAGAAAGACCATATGTTAGGTCACAAAACAAGTCTTAAAACATTCAAAAAATTGAAATAATATCAAGCATATTTTCTGACCACAAGGCAATAAAATTAGAAATTAATAACGAGGAATTTTGGAAACTATACAAATACATGGAAATTAAACAATATGTTTCTGAATGACCAGTGGGTCAATGAAGAGATTAAGAAGAAAATTAAAAACTTTCTTGAAACAAATGATAATGGAAACACAACATACCAAAACCTATGGGATACAGCAAAAGCAATACTTAGAGGGAAGTTCGTAGCTGTAAGTGCCTCATCCAAAAAGGGAAAATACTTTAAGTGAACACTCTAACAATTCATTTTAAAGGATTAGAAAAGGAAGAGCAAGCCAAATCTAAAATTAGTAGAAGAAATAATAAAGATCAGAGCAGAATTAAATGAAATTAAAATGAAAAAATACAAAATACCAACAAAACAAAAAGTGGTTTTTATGAAAAGTTACACAAAATTGACAATCCTTTAGCCAGACTAAGAAAAAAAGAGAGACAATCCAAGTAAATAAAATCAAAAATGAAAAATGAGACATTACAACTGACACTGCAGGAATTCTAAAGATCATTATTGGCCACTATGAACAACTATATGACAATAAATTGGAAACTCTAGAAGAAATGAACAAATTCCTAGATACATGCAACCTACCAAGATTGAACTGGGGAGATATCAAAAACCTGAAAAGACCAACAAGAAACAAGATCTAAGCCATAATAAGAAGTTGTCAGCCAGGTGCAGTGGCTCATGCCTGTAATCCCAGCACTTTGAGAGGCCAAGGCAGGTGGACCACTTGAGGTCAGGAGTTTGAGACCAGCCTGGTCAACACGGTGAAACTCCATCTCTACTAAAAATAGCAAAAAATTAGCTGGGCATGGTGGTGGGCACCTGTAGTCCCAGCTACTTGGGAGGCTGAAGCAGAAGACTCATGTGAACCCAGGAACCCAGGAGACAGAGCTTACAGTGAGCTGAGATCGCACCACTGCACTCCAGCCTGGGTGATGGAGTGAGGATCCATCTCAAAAAAAAAAAAAAAAAGTTGTCCATTAAAGAAAAGCCTGGGACCTGATGGCTTCATTGCTGAATTCTACCAAACATTTAAAGAATTAATACCAGTACTACTCAAACTAGTCCAAAAAATAGAGGAAGGAATATTACCAAATTCTGCAAGGCCAGTATTACCCTGATATGAAAACTAGACAAAGACACAGCAAAAAAAAGAAAACTACAGGCCAATATCTCTAATGAATATTGATGCAAAAATCCTCGACAATATACTATCAAACCAAATTTAATATATTAGAAAGATCTTTCATCATGATCAAGTAGGATCTATCCCTGGGATACAAGGATAATTCAACATATGCAAATCAATGTGATACGTCTTATCAAAAACATGAAGGATAAAAACCATATGACCATTTTAATTGATGCTGGAAAAGCATTTAATAAAATTTCACATCTCTTTATGATAAAAATCCCTAAAAAACTGGGGATAGAAGGAATGTACCTCAACATAATAAAAGCCATATACAGCAGACCCACAGCTAGTATTATACTGAATGAGGAAAGACTGAGAGCCTTTCCTCTAAGATCTGGTACATAACAATGATGCTCACTGTCAGCACTATTATTCAACTTAGTACTGAAACTCCTAGCTAGAGCAATCAGACAAGAAAAAGATATAAAGGGCATCCAAATTGGAAAGGAAGAGGTCAAATTATCTTGGTTTGCAGATAATATGATCTTATATTTGGAAAAACCTAGAGACCCCACAGGAAAACTATTACAACTGATAAATTCATTAAAGTTACAGGGTACAAAATCAACATACAAAAATCAGTAGCATTTCCACATGCCAACAGTGAACAATGTAAAAAGGAAGTAAAAACATAATCCCATTCATGATAGCCACTCATAAAATTAACTACATTGGAATTAACCAAATAAGTGAAAGCTCTCTATATTAAAAATTATAAAAAACCCATGAAAGAAATTGAAGAGGACATCAAAAAATGGAAAAACATCAATTTTCATGGATTGGAGTAATCAATATTATTAAAATGTCCATACTACCCAAAGCAGTCTACAAATTCAATGTAACTCCTATCAAAATACCAATGATATTATTCACACAAATAAAAAAAAAATCCTAAAATTTATGTGGAACCACAAAAGACACAGAATAGGCAAAGCTATGCTAAGCAAAAAGAACAAAACTGGAGGAATAACATTACCTGACTTCAGATTATACTATAGAGCTATAGTAACCAGAACAGCATGGCACTGGCCTAAAAACAGACATCATAGATCAATGGAACAGAATAAAGAACCCAGAAACATTCATACAACTACAGTGAACTCATTTTTGACAAAGATGCAAGAACATACACTGGGGAAAAGATAGTCTCTTTAGTAAATGGTGCTGAGAAAACTGAATATCCATAAGCAAAAGAATAAAACTAGACACATATCACCATATTCAAAAATAAAATAAAAATGAATTAAAGATGTAAGTCTAAGATGTCAAACTATAAAACTACTACAAGAGAACATTGGGGAACATCTCCATGACATTGGTCTTGGCAGAAATTTCTTGAGCAATACCCTACAGGCGACCAAAGCAAGAGTGCACAAATGGCAATAACACAGGCAACCAAATCAAGAGTGCACAAATGGGATCACATCAAGTTAAAAAGCTTCTGCACAATAAAGAATACAATCAATCAACAAAATGAAGAGACAATCCACAGAATGGGAGAAAATATTTGCAAACTACCCATCTGACAAGGGATTAAGAACCAGAATACATAAGGAGCTCAAACAACTCTAGGAAAATGTTCAATAATCCAATAAAATGGACAAAAATTTGAATAGACATTTCTCAAAAGAAGACATACAAATGGCAAATATACATATGAAAAGGTGCTCAACATCACTGATCATTAGAAAAATGCAAATCAAAACTACAATGAGATGTCATCTCACCCCAGTTAAAATGGCTTTTATCCAAAGACGGGCAATAACAAATGCTGGCAAGAATATGGAGGAAAGGGAACACTATTGGTGGGAATATAAATTAGTATAACAACTGTGGAGAACAGTGTTGTTGTTCCTCAGAAAAATTAAAAATTGAGCTACCATATGATCCAACATTCCCACTGCTGAGTATATATTCAAAAGAAAGGAAATCAGTATATTGAAGAGATATCTGCACACCTATGTTTGTTGCAGAACTGTTTTCAATAACTAAGATTTGGAAGAAACCGAAGTGTCCATCAACAGATGACTGGATAAAGAAAATGAGGTATGTATACACAATAGAGTACTATTCTGCCATAAAAGAATGAGATCCAGTCATTTACAACACTAGGGATGAAATTGGAGATCATTATGCTAAGTGAAACAGGTCAGGCACAGAAAGACAAACATCACATGTTCTCACTTATTTGTGGGATCTAAAAATCAAAACAACAGAACTCATGGACATAGAGAGTAGAAAGATGGTTACCAGAGCCTAGGAAGGGTAGTGAGTGGCTTGTTGGGGGGCGGATGGGGAAGGTGTGAATAGTTAATGGGTACAAAAAAAGTTATAAAAATGAATAAGACCTATTTGATAGCACAATAGGGTGACTCTAGTCAATAATAATTGTACATTTTAAATAGAGTGTAATTGGATTGTCTGTAATTCAAAGGAGAAATGCTTGAGTGGATGGATACCCCATTCCCCACGATGAGCTTATTTCAAATTGCATGCCTGTGTCAAAACATCTCATGTATCCTATAAATGTATATACCTATGTACTCACAAAATTAAAAAATAAATTTTAATTAAAAAACTTTCTTACTGAGGGACAATTGGGTCCAACTATTAAGAAATCAGTTCAGTGCATATGATTGTCTGCATAGATCTGTCTGCTCTTTGCTGCACCATAATGCTGACTGAAACCTCTAGTCACATGAAGTGTAGAAATAAATAAATTCCAGGTCCCCCAAACACTTTCTCAAGAATAACAAAATAGTTAACCCAAGTTAGAATTGCTTCACAAACATCCAATCATTTTATTTTACCTTTTATTATTATTCGTTTAAAAAAATGTCCAAGGTAAGACAGACTAGAAACATGGCTATTGTTCAAGTTTGTAATAGAGAAGTGAATTGCTCACATTATCAATTACAATTGCCATATTCAGAGTGTAAAATCCAAAAACAACTTCAATTGATTTAAGTTACTGAGTTAACTCTCTTCTACATTTTCAACTCTAGTGTGCTGCTCACTGTCTCTTCCAACAAGGCTGAGTAGAGGGTCAAGAACTTATCTAGGAAATGTGATTAATGGTGACATAGTGTAGAACAAAATCCTATTTCATTATCAGCAGCAGCTGTTGCTGTAAAGGTCTGGAGTTTCTGAGCAGTTGTTTCAACTAATTTCATTTGTCCTTTAAAAGCCCAAGAAAAGCAATTTGATAAAAAAAAAAATCTCCCCCGGGGGACATGGGTTTATTAGCTAAAAGAACATCAATACAATGTCTTCACCTTTCACATCATTGGCATCTGATAATCTCAATAACATTCATAAAGACCTCCTGGAGCAGGAGGCTGCGGAAGATAGTGTTTTGTGCAGAAAAAGCAGAGAATAGAGCACTGACCTTAGCAATAAGAGGGAACGGGAATGTAGGAAATGTCAGGGAGAAGAGACAAGAAATCCAATATAACAGCTGCAGCCATATATTGTTCTGAGCTGGTATGAAATAGAGAAGGAGAGGAAATTTCAAATGGTGAGAGTAAGGTAAATGGTGTCAAGGAAAGCAATTTTCTTCTCCTTTTTAGTTTTATAGAGAGAGAGAAGAAGGAAAAATAACTTGGATTACAAAGTTCTCAAGGGGGGTGCACATGAAATAGAAGAGGAATGAGGAGTTAGGAGTCACTAACAGGGCACTTTTTAGTTTGTGATAAAGTATAGGAGAGAAAAATCCAAACTCATCATGAAACAGTGTACAGTATTATTGCCAAAACCTTAGTTTTGTTATTGATTTAGCCACTCAGACAACTGTCAGGATCCACCTCCCACCCCACCATGCCCCTAGTTGTACCACATGGGTCCTAGAATACTGTAAATTAAAATAACACCTCTTTGTAAATTTAAAACTTGTAATACAAAAACTTGTAATTCAAAAAATTGTATCCATCAACTGACATCCCCTGAACCACGCAAACAAGAGAAGTAATGGCACAAGTGATCTCTGATTCAAAAAGATGGGCTTTTGCAAAAATATTAATAAGTTAGAAGATGACAATAAAATCCCAAGATCTTTCTCACCAATTCCACCGCCTACATACAGCCTAATGATGGACCACTCTCAATTCATAAGGGTCCTGGCAGGAAGAAAGGAATATTATTTATTCAACAGTTTATTCAACATGAATTTAGTTGTGCCAGCTCTGTGCCTAGCACTGTTCCATGTGCTAGGACGGAACAGCAAACAAAGTCCCTGAACTCAAGAACACACATTCTAGGAAGAGAGGCAGACAGCAAACACACATGCACAGTACACCTGATATAACAGGTGATGTGAAGAAAAACAGAGCACAGTAAGGGAGACAAGGTTGCCTAGGGAGAACTGGTGTACTGTTATTTAGCATACTTAAGAAAAATCTCTCTGATAAGGTGACTTTTAAGCAGAGATTTGAAGGAAGTAAGGAAGCAAGGTGTGCAGATGACTGAAGGAAGAGGTAACCAGGTAAAGGGAACAGTAAATGCAAGGACCCTGAGGTGAGAAAGTACAGGCATTTCCAGGGATGTCTAAAGTAGTCTTAGTGGTTAGAACAGAATAACAAGGACAGATAAGAAGAAGTCAATGTCTGCAGTTCTGTTCGTTAGGAAGACATAATTCAAATAGCTAGGAATGGACAAATAAAAAAAAACGCTGTTGTTGGATGCTGGCTTTTCAAGATCATCTTGCTTTACAGAGCTCATGGGAGACAGAAAAGCGCAGCAGATTTGAAACTTTGCATCTGAATTCGTTTCCAATTCTATTTTAATGATGGGTCTTTGATTTTTTTGTGGTTGAAATATTTATTGTAATATTTGTGGATTCACATGCAGTTTTGTAAAATAGTACAGAGAGATCCCATGTAAATTTTGTTCATTTTCCTTGATGGTAACATTTTGTGAGGAAATAATATAATATCACAACTAAGATGTTAATATTGATACAATACACTGATCTTATTCAAATTTTCCCATTTACATTTGTATTTGTGTGTGTGTTCAGTTTTATACAGTTACCTACATGTAGGTTAATTTATCCACCACCACAATCAAGACCCTGAAAGTTCCAACATAAGAATCTCTCCTGTTAGTCTTTTATATTAATAATATGCTATCTCTTATATACCCTAAATATCTTTCTCCCTTCTTCTCCCCTGCCCCATAATATGCCCCCCATGTCTAAATTTTTGTCATTTCAAAACTGCTATATAAATGAAATCACACAGTATATGAGCTTTTAGGACTGGCTTTTTTTCCCGACTCAGAGTAATTACCTGGAAATTTATTCAAATTGTTGATGCATAAATAGTTCAATCTTTTTTATTGCTAAGTAATATATTCCATACTATGAATGTACCATAGTGTGTTTAACCATTCACCTGTTGAATGATACACGGGTTGATTTCAGTTTGAGGCTATTTTGGATGAAATTACTATGAACATTCATGTTTACATTTTTGTGTAAACATAGGTTTTTATTTCTCTGGGACAAAAGTGCAAGGGTATAACTTCTGGGACCTATTTAGTTGCATACTTAGTTTTATGAGAACATAACAAACTGTTTATCAGAGAGGCTGTAATATTTTACATTCTCACCAGCAATGCACAGGCGATCCAGTTTCTCTATATTCTTGCCCACATTTGGTGGTGGTCCTATATTTTTTCATTTTTGCCATTCTGCTAGAAGTGTAGTGATATCTTATTGTGGTTTTAATTTGAATTTCCCTGGTGGCTAATGATTTTGAAAATCTTTTGATTTTGATGTACTTATTTGCCATTTGTGTGTCCTCTTCGGTAAAATGTCTAATCATTTTCTTCACGCATTTCATAATTTTATTGCTTTTTATAGTTGTTGCCTTTTTTTTTTTTTTTTTTTTGAGAAGTAGTTTTGCTCTTGTTGCCCAGGCTGGAGTGCAATGGTGCGATATTGGCTAACCACAACCTCCATCTCCCGGGTTCAAGCGATTCTCCTGCCTCAGCCTCCTGAGTAGCTGGGATTACGGTGCCAACCACCATGCCCAGCTAGTTTTGTATTTTTAGTAGAGACGGAGTTTATCCATGTTGGTCAGTCTGGTCTTGAACTCTCAACCTCAGGTGATCCACCTACCTCAGCCTCCCAAAATGCTGGGATGACAGGCATGAGCCACCACACCTGGCCATTTTTTGGTTGTTGTTAGTTGCCTTTCTTTTCTTTTCTTTCTTTCTTCCTTTCTTTTTTAACTTGTTTACTGCCCAGGCTTCCCAGATCAGGAGGCTTGCTATAGCTGGATCCTCCTTGTTGTTTCTGCCCACTATATCTGAGTCTTTCGGTAGGGGAGGAGAGTTTTGGGCCTGCAATCACAAAGTGGCTCCTCAGAATGAACTGCTGTATCTCTCTTGCGATTTCCACTCACCCACCTGGGTTTCTCTTGGCAGAAAGAGAGAATCTTCAACCAGGCAGAGAAGGAGAGTGTTTTTCCTGGATGCATATTTTTGGTGAGACTCCTAATGGGTCTCCCCTTACTGTTGATATTTGGCTTACCTGATGTCATTGTAGGGACTCTCATTCCATTTGGGGCAGGAATAACCCACATGTATTGCCTACTGTTGCTGAGTTAAAAGACACCAGGCCTGTGTGACCATCTGTTGGGTGGGTACCTAGATGCCCTGTTTTCCAGATCTGCAGTCCAAAACAAGCTCGCCTCCTAAACACCTTTAAGACTTCTACCTTCATTGTCTCTTATACCACTTTTAGAATGTATAGTTGGACTTAATGGGGAGAAACAGGGCAAAAACAGGTCTACATTATCTTGTCTGGACTGAAATTTTCTTCCAACTTATTTTGAAAAGATTATTTTATTTTGAAACAATTATACATTGCACATTATAGTTGTAAAAAAATGTACAGAGAGGTTCTGTGCACCCTTTACTCAGCCCATTTCATTGTCAACATCTTCTATAACTATAGTACATTATCAGAACCAGGAAGCCCAACTTAGTACAAATTATAGAGCTTTTTCACTTATTACCAGTTATATATGCACTCATTTGTGTGTATATAGTGTGTGTATGTACGTGTCTGTTTATAGCTCTATTTTCATAGAGCTATATCTTATGTGGAGCTTCATGTAACCACCATGACAATCATGATACTCACTATGTTATGACAAGACTCTCAAGGAAATTATGCTAAGTGAAAAAAAATCTCAAAGGGATACATATGGCATGATTCTATTTAAATAACATTTATGAAATAACACAGTTGTTGATATGGAGATCAGATTAGTGGTTGTCATGAATGAGAAATGGGGGAGAAGGGGTGGATGTGTCTATAAAGGGTCCACTCTTGGTGTCGTACAATCTATGACTTTGGACATATTTATAGTGCAATGTATTCATCATTATGGTGCCATAGACAGGGGTTTCACTGCCCTAAATATCCTCTGTGCTCCACCTATTCACCCTTTTCTCCCCCCATTGCCTGGTAACTGCTGGTCTTTTTACTGTCCTCAGTTTTGCCTTCTCTAGAATGACATATATTTAGAATCGTACACTATGTATAATTTTCAGGTTGGCTTTTGTCATTTAATAACATGCATTTAAATTCCTTCAATGTCATTTTATGGCTTTATAGCTCATTTCTTATTAGTGCTGAATAGTATTCTAAGGTCTGTATGTACCACAGTTTATTTAACAATTCATCTACCAAAGGAAATCTTGGTTGCTTCCAAGTTTTGGCAATTATGAATAAAGCTGCTATTAATATAAACACCCATATGCAGGTTTTTGTGTGGACATGTTGTCAACGCCTTTGAGTAAATACCAAGCAGTGTGATTACTACATCATATAGTAAGAATGTTTAGTGTTGTAAATCACTAAACTTTCTTCCAAAGTGTCAGTACAATTTGGATTCCCACCATCAGTGAATGAGTGTTTCCGTTGCTCCCAGCTTCACCAGCATTTTGTGTTGTCAGTGTTCTAAATTTTGGCCATTCTAATAGGTAGGTAGTGAGATCTCATTTTTTTTTCTTTATTTCTTAAAAAAAAAAAAACAGGATACATGTGCAGAATGTGCAGGTTCGTTACATAGGTATACATGTGGCATGGTGGTTTGCCACACCTATTGACCCATCCTCTAAGTTCACTCCCCTCACCCCCCACCCCTCACCAGGTCCTGGTTTGTGTTGTTTTCCTCTCTGTGTCCATGTGTTCTCAATGTTCAACTCTCACTTATGAGTGAGAACATGTGGTGTTTGGTTTTCTGCTCCTGTGTTAGTTTGCTGAGGATGATGGCTTCCAGCTTCATCCATGTCCTTGCAAAGGACATGATCTCATCCCTTTTTATGGCTGCATAGTATTCCATGGTGTGTATGTGCCACATTTTCTTTATCCAGTCTATGATTGATTACCATTTGGGTTGGTCCCATGACTTTGCTATTGTAAATAGTGCTGCAATAAGCATATGTGTGCATGTGTCTTTACACTAGAATGATTTATAATCCTTTGGGTATATACCCAGTAATGGGATTGCTGGGTCAAATGGTATTTCTTGTTCTAAATCCTTGAAGAATCACCATACTGTCTTCCACAATGGTCGAACTAATTTACATTCCCATCAACAGTGTAAAAGAGTTCCTAATTATCTACAGCCTCGCGGGCATCTATTGTTTCCTGACATTTCAATATTTGCCATTCTGACTGGTGCAAGATGGGATTTCATTGTGGTTTTGATTTGCATTTCTCTGATGATCTCATTGTTGTTTTAATTTGTATTTCCCCAATGAGACAACATGTGGAGCACCTTTTCATATGCTTACTTGCCATTTGTATATCTTCTTTGGTAAGGTGTCTGTGAAAGTCTTTGAACTTTTTTTTTTTCTTTTCTTTTTTTTACTGTTGAGTTTTAGGAATTCTTTGTATATTTTGGATAACACTCCTTATCAGGTATGTCTTTTGAAAATATATTCTCCCAATCTGTTGGTTATTTTTTCAACCTCTTGATTGCTCATTTTCTAATGGGATATTTTCGTTGTGTTAAAAAACACGTAACATTAAATTTGCATCTTACTCATTTTAAAATATATAGTTCAGTAGTGTTAAGTACATTGACACTATTGTGTAACAGATTCTAAAACACTTATCTTGCAATGCTGAAACTCTATACACAGTGAACACTAATTCTGCCTCCTGCTTCCACTAGACCTTGATAGCCATCTTTCTGCTTTCTGAGCCTATGATTTTAACTACTTTAGCTACTTTATACAAGTGGAATCATACAGTATTTGTCCCTTTGTAACTGGCTTACTTTGCCTAAGATAATGTCTTCAAGGTTAACTAATGTTGTGGTGCATGACAGAATGTCTTTCTTTTTAAGGCTACATAATATGCCATTGCATGTAAATACCACATTTTCTTTATCCATTCAACTGTCAGTGAATATTTGGGTTGCTTTCACCTCTTGGCTGTTATGAGTAATCAACCATATGATGAACATGAATGTGTAAATATATCTTCAAAGTTCTTTGAATTCTTTTGGATGTATATGCAAAAGTGGAATTGCTGTATCATATGATAATTCTATTTTTATTTTTTTGAGAAACTGCTAAGATATTAATGTGTCCCCTCCAAAATTCAGGCATTGAAAAATTAATGGCCAATGTAATGGTATTAAGAGATGATTAGGTTATGAACATTTCTCTCCTCATGAATGGAATTAAGACCACTATAAAAAAGACAACCTCTGCAGCATTGGCTTCCTTGCCCTTTTGCCTTCTGCCACATGAGGACACAGCATGTCTCCTGAAAGAATGCATTAGCGGGCGCTATCTTAGAAGCAGAGAGCAACACTCACCAGACAATTGAGCCTGCTGGTGCCACAATCTTGGACTTCCTGGCCTCCAGAAGTGTGAGAAAAAAATTCTCTACTTTATACATAACCCCTTCTGTGATGTTTTGTTACAGTAGCACAAAATAGACTAAGCCAGAAACCTCTGTACTGTTTTCCATAAAGGCTGAACCATTTTGTATTCTTACCAACTGCACGCAAGGATTTCAACTTGTTTGCATTCTTGCAACCACTGGTTATTTTTTGTTTTTCTGATAGTGGTCATCCTGATGGGTATGACGTAAAATGTCATTGTGGTTTTGATTTGCACTTCTCTAATGATTAGCGATGTTGAGCATCTGCTACAATCTGAATGTTTGTCTCCCCTCAAAATTAATATGTTGAAATTCTAACCCCTAACATGATAGTGTGAAGAGGTATGGCCTATAGGAGGTGATCAAATTGAGAGCAGACACAGGAATGGAATTAGTGTCCTTATAAAAGAGGCCCAAGGTAGCTTGTTTTCCTCTTCTGCCACATGAGGTTACAGTGAGAAAATGCTAATCTATAGAGGAAGCAGGTTCTCATCAGATACCAAATCCGCTAACATTTTGATCTTAGACTTCTGAGACATCAGAACTGTGAGAAATAATTTTCTGTTGTTTATAAGCAACCCGGTGTATGGTGTTTTGTTGCAGTAGCCTGAATGAACTAAGACAGTGCTGTTAGGAATTTTTAATGTTGAGTTTTGAGAGTTCTTTATGTATTCTACATAAAAGAACTATGCTGGGTATGTAATTTCCAAATGTTTTCTCCCAGTCTAAAATTTGTCTTTGTATTTTCTTAACAAGATCTTTAACAGAGCAAATGGTTTTAACTTCAATGCTGTTCAATTTTTCTTTTTTGAATTGTATTTTTGGTGACAAGTGTGAGAACACTTTACCTAGACTTAGATCTAGAAGCTTCTCTCCTATGCTTTTTTCCAGAAGACTCTCACCTATGCTTTTTTCTAGAACTTCTATAGTATTGTGTTTCACATTTAAGTTTAGTATCTATTTCAAGTTAACTTTAATAAAAAGTTGTGATATTTAGGTAAAAGTTCTTTTTGTTTTGTTTTTTGGAATGGATGTTCAATTGCTCCTGCACCATTTATTGAAATCCTCTATTGAATTGGTTTTGCCACTTTTGCTACTTTGCTATTTTTAATGCCATTCTTCAGCTGCCACTGCAGGATATGCAGCCATTTGATGGTCCAGCTAAGGACCAAACATCCTTGCCCACTGATCTGTCTGTAAATGGATTTGTCTGTAAATGGATGATATGTCTGTAAATGGATTTTTATTGTTTGAACCGAAGGTAGTGTTGGGTAAAGGCAAGGAGAGAGCGGGGGAAAAGCAGTCAGAAACTCCTTTCTTATTATAGTTGGCAAAGAAACTGCCATTTCCCTAGGCAGGGCTTGACTGACTGAGACCAATTAGCTTTCAGCTCATTTAACAGTTTTTTCCCTTGATCTTTTTCTCTTTTGCTTATAAATAATGGGATGCTCAAAAGGACTTAGCCTTGGTCACTCACTGGATTTCTTTCTGTATTCAATTAACAGACATTACTGTCAGATTCATGGTATTAGGTTAAGGTGTCTATTATGTTTGTCTCTTTATGACTATTTTTATTCATTATTTTATTTCATATGCTTATTGATGGCAGAGCAAGTGGCCTATGTTTTATTTTCTCTTTGACTTTGATGGTGTGTGTGTGTGTGTGAGAGGGGGAGTCGTTTTAGTCTTTCTTTTTTGTATTGTTTAATGATACAGGATAATATAGTAAGATTATGAGCTGGCTGGTGAGCAGAATCTTGACTTTGTAACCTGCAACCACGTCTATATCTAAAATAGCTTAAATCAAAAGCATGGGAACATTTTAGAGTATTTGCAAAATAATATTCTTTTGACCATCTTTAGAAAAAAAGAGCACTTGGGTTGAGTCAGTAGAGGATAGGGACAAACATACACATGTTAGAGACTTAGTTTAAGGTATTTTAAGAGCTGGCATTCAATGTACATGGTATGTTAAATAATATATTTCCAAATGATGCTTATTCCATAAGCAAAAATTTGGCTCTCATTAGGGTGATGAGTTGTTCATACATATTTTTTTTTTGGCTGGAGATAGGAAAGATTATTATTTTCCTTTTGCTTATTCATAGGCCTAACTCTGTCCTAAGAGCTGGAAGAGTCAATGGCTAAGGGTTGCCCAAGTGGACAGAGTGACCACTGGACTAATCATAGGTGTTTTGACCAATCAGGGCTAGTGCCATGGTCTGGTAGCTAAGCTGGACTTTCTCATTAGTTGCTCTCTTTCTTTCCCATCTTCTAGTAGATAAAGAAATCTTTTCAACCCACAAATGACAGAATTAATCAATCACTCTCCTAGGCTTCCATATACCAACTTCATACTATCATTACAGTGCTTATTATACAGGGTAATTCTATTATGATTATTTTGTATTTTTTTAGTCCATTACTGGACTTTAGATTCCTTCAGAAGGAAATCTGTGTCGTATTTAACTTTCTACCCATAACACTTGGCACAAAGTTTACTCAGTAGACGCTTTTGGAATAAATGCATAATATTTATGCCCTATTGATAGCCCTGACAATTCAGTTCATTGGGAATATTGACTTCCTTAAATCCTTACAAGAGTTATTGCCCAACTATGCATTTTATTTATTTTATTTTTATTTTTTAATTTAAGATAGAGTCTCCTGTCACCCAGGCTGGAGTGCAGTGGCATGATCTTGGCTCACTGCAACTTCTGCCTCCTGGGTTTAAATGATTCTCCTGCCTCAGCCTCCCAAGTAACTGGGATTACAGGCGTGCACCACCATGCCCAGCTAATTTTTTTTTTTTTTTTTTGTATTTTTAGTAGAGACCAGATTTCAGCAAGTTGGCCAGGCTGGTCTTGAACTCTTGACCTCAGGTGATCCTCCCACCTCAGCCTCCCAAAGTGCTGACTTTACAGGCGTGAGCCACTGCACCCAGACAAAACTATGAATTTTAAGTTATTCTTTGACACTACTTTGTATTCCTGTGTGTTATTGTTATGGTCACCTGCAGACGTAGATGGAGGACTACTGCTAAGTTTTATGTTAGCACCTCCTATGTTGATGGGACACTCACTCTGAGCCAGTCACCTTTGCTTGCTCTCTCAAGATACTTTGAACCTGATGGCGAGGCCTGCCTGCTCTTAAAATTGTGAAAGTAACAGGCTTTTTCATATCTCTCTGTATGTGGTATGATAAAGCCTTGACGTCAACGTCATGTTTTTGGGTAGGCGTTTATTTGCATTTACAAGTGACCATACATTATTCTTCCATTATTACCTTATCAGTTCATTGACAAATAAGAATAGCTAACTTTGAGCATCTACCATGCACTTGTTTCTTGTAATATGACATTGAAAAGTTTTAAAGTATGAATGTAGCAGTTATTTCTTACCTGCCCTTAGCTCACTGAATTTTACTTGTACACTGAGGCATTTTCTGGCCCTCATAGTGCACAGTCAGATGTAAGTATCCCACTAGCAAGTCAGAAGTTAAGCTGTAAATACACGACTATCAAACAAACAAGCAAAACTCACTAGGCTAAGCAAGTGACAGAAAGACAAATTTAGGAGGTGAAGATGAAGAGGAAGAAGAATCATGTGGGAGGAGAAGATGAAATTTTGAAACTTTATCTCTGTGGAGCAAGGACTGTACCTGTCAGGAGAGACACCAAGAAAAATAAGACAGGTGCTGTCGTCAAGGATGTTCAACGTTTATTAAACTGGACTGTGCTTTAGGGGAAATTAAGTTTCCCTTATTGTGGTTTGGAGGACTTGCAGAGCCTCAGCAACTGAGCAATTATCCCCTTCAGCACCTTCAAGAACAAGAGATGAACTAGGGTAAGGAAGGAAGGGCAGAGTTTTTATAGCCATAGTAGGGCATCAGCTCTTCTTCAGAGGTGCCTGATACTCACAACTCGAAGTCACTTTTAAATGCACTGAACAAAGGAAGGGTAAAGTAGCTGGTGGTTCTCTTTAATCTCATTACCTATAGGAAACTTTCCCTAGGGTAAAAGATTAATGCTGGAGGATTCATTAAAAAATTTCTGATGCTTTATATTGCCCATGGTGGATAGAAAAAAAAAGATATCAATTAACTTCTAGTCCTCAGGGTTCAATCATGAAACTTTAATAAATTTACAAATCAGGGCCTGAGCAAGTTTGGACCTTGGCTAAGATATGTCCTATTTTCTATACACTTTCTACCATTTTCAAAAAGGGGGTGGCTGCTTTGGATAATCAATTCAATAATAACCACAAGCCTCTATATCAGTAAAGCACAGTTTTTTGTTTGTTTTTGTTTTGTTTTGTTTTATTGTCTTAGTTTTAAGAAATATCCTCCATTCAATTCTTAGGCTTCCAAAGTCTGTATATAAGAAGCTTTTCCTTTATTAAAAATAGAAGTCACATTGGCCCCTGATACCATTAAAGGATGTGGAAGCTATAAAATAATCTACCCACAAATCTTTTAAGCCCAAACATTAATCCCTTTTGATAACAACTAAATAAAACAGAGTCTTTAAAATATTAAAGCATATTTTGCACATGCACAATTAACTGATTAAGCTACCAAATGTACAATTATTGAATTATGAGGAAAGGGGGAAATTAAAATTAGATATGGTTTTTTTCTAGAAAGGGTAATTAAATTGTTACATCAAAGAAACATGATAACATTTAAATCAAAGAATCAGAAAAGATAGGACATGTTTCACCACAAATATAGAAATAGAGAAGGGAAAGAAATGAGTTGACCTGACTGATATTGGTGAAAAAAGAAAGGACAGAAAGGAGGAAAGAAAATAGGAAAGAGGATGGGAGAAACTTATTTGAATATACAAAGGAATAAAATTAGAACACTCAATAAATATGTCTTATTGAGTAAGTAAATAATTTTATGGATAATAGTATATTAGACAATAAAACCACTTCCTGGATGAAATCCTGGAGAGGATGCTATGGAACATAGTCGTTTTAGGTCAAATTTTGAAAGATAATGATCTTGTATGCCTGCTTTTTGTTTCCATTTGAGTTATAAGCATAGTAAGAAAATATTCTGGAAAAGCAATTGTCTTCTAGAGGAAGGCCTCATGATGGCTTCAAACTTAGCTGATTGGGAAATGATAAATAATGTAGGTGCAGATTGTCTTCCAAAAATCTTCAGCTTACCTTTGTCTCTCCTCTTCATGTATTCATTTAAGCAACATGTACTGAATGCCTACCATATGTCAAGCACAGTGCCTGGCTCTGGTAATAGACACAAAGGCCAAGAAAATAAACATTTTATCTGCCCTAAAAGGGTCCCATCTTTCTTTTCATGTAAATGACTTATTTCCCTCCTCTTCTGACTTCGAATGGGACTCAGGCCGTAGGTTTTTAAAACTTTTTGAATACTACAGAAAAATGTAAAAGAAGCATTTTATGTTGTACTTGCCTTAAGGATTTTTTCAAAACTCTTTTAAAAGACTCAGTCATGATTTTAAAGTTCTGGGCCTTTCAGCAACTGGGATGAATTCCCTGGATAGTCCTTATATTCATTTATAACCTTGGAAGGTTTAGTTCTGGGACTCCAAGTGTTTTGTTTGTTTATTTTGCATTTTCTGTCTAGCAAAGAAGCCATTCTTTTTAAGTTTTGGCACACCTGACTTGTCATGGGTTAGCTAAAAGGCCATGTATCTCCAGATATGTTCCATATGTTTCACATGTTTGGGCTCCATTCTGAAAGACCTTACCGGGAACACTACTTCAGAAATAGGCCAAATGTTCTGAGTCTCTTGACTTGTGTGGATAGACAGAGGCAGTGGTACCCAGAGACAGAGTCCTCCAGGATGATAGAGGTCAGGAAAGAAAAAATTTTCCCCAATCTTGAATATTAGCTGAAAAAGTGATCAATCTATTTTTCAGATTTAGAATCCAGGGTAGAATAAAATTATCTCTGATTGCTTCTTGGAATCAGAGGAAATTTGCTCACAAAGGTCCTAGGGCAATTAGGAAGGGACATTATTTGGCCCTAGATTACTAATAAAACTCTACGCCCCAAATTTGGGTTGGTCATGGTATTAGTCTGTTTTCATGCTGCTAATGAAGACATACCCAAGACTTGGTAATTTATAAAGGAAAGAGGTTGAATGAACTCACAATTCCACATGGCTTGGGAGGCATCACATCAAGGCAGAAGGTAAAGGAAGATCATGTTGGCAGGCAAGAGTGCTCGTGCAGGGGAACACCCATTTCTAAAATCATCAGATCTCATGAAACTTATTCACTATCATGAGAACAGTATGGGTGAAACTGCCCCCATGATTAAATTATCTCCACCTGCCTTTGACACATGGGGAATATTAAAATTCAAGGTGAGATTTGTGTGGGAGCACAGCCAAGCCATATCATTCCACTCCTGGCTCCTCCCAAATCTCATGTTCTCACGTTTCAAAACCAGTCATGCCTCCCCAACAGCCCATCAAAGTCTTAACTCATTTCAGCATTAACTCAAAAGTCCACAGTCCAAAGTCTTATCTTAGACAAGTCAAGTCCATTCCACCTATAAGCCTGTAAAATCAAAAGCAAGTTAGTTACTTTCTGGACACAATGTGGCTACAGGCAATGGATAAATGAACCCATTCCAAATGGGAGAAATTGACCGAAACAAAGGGGCTATAAGGCCCCATGCAAGTCTACAATCCAATAGGGCAGTCATTAAAGCTTAAAGTTCCAAAATGACCTCCTTTGACTCCATGTCTCATATCCAGGTCACACTGATACAAGAGGTGGGCTCCCACAACCTTGGGCAGCTCTGCCTCTGTGGATTTGCAGGGTATAGGCCCCCTCCTGGCTGCTTTCATGGGCTTGCATTGAGTGTCTGCAGCTTTTCCAGGCACATGGTGAAAGCTGTCAGTGGATCTACCATTCTGGGGTCTGAAGGATGGTGGCCCTCTTCTCATAGCTCCACTAGGCAGTGCCCTACCTTTCCCTTTCACCCCACATTTCCCTTTCACATTGCCCTAGCAGAGGTTCTCCATGAGGGGCCCACCCCTCCAGCAAGCTTCTACCTGGACATCCAGGCATTTCCATACATTTTCTGAAATCTAAGTGGAGGTTCCCAAACCTCAACTCTTGACTTCTCTGCACCCACAGGACCAATATCATGTGTAAGCCACCAAGACTTGGGGCTTGCACCCTCTGAATAAATGGCTTGAGCTGTACATTGGCTCATTGTAGCCACAGCTGGAGCTAAAACAGTTGGGATGCAGGGCACCATGTTTGGAGGCTGCATAGAGTAGGGGGGCTTAAGCCTGGCCGGAGAAACCATTCTTCCCTCCTAGGCCTCCAGCCCTGTGATAGGAAGGGCTGCCATGAAGGTCTCTGACATGCCCTGGAGACATTTTGCCCATTGTCTTGGCAATTAACATTTGGCTCGTTGTTACTTATGCAAATTTCCGCAGCCAGCTTGAATTTCTCAAAAAAATGAGTTTTTCTTTTCTATCACATTGTCAGGCTGCAAATTTTTTGAACTTTTATGCTCTGCTTCCCTTTTATACATAAGTTTCAATTCCAAACCATATCTTTGTGAATACATAAAGCTGAATGCTTTCAACAACACCCAAGTCACCTCTTGAATGCTTTGCTGCTTAAAAATTTCTTGTGCCAGATGCCCTAAATCATTTCTCTCAAGTTCAGAGTTCCACAAATTTCTAGGGCATGGACAAAATGCCACCAGTCTCTTTGCTAAACCATGGCAAGATTGACCTTTATTCCAGTTCCCAACAAGTTCCTTATCTCCATCTGAGAGGAGCAGCATTTGGTCAAAGCCATTCAACAAATCTCTAGCAAGTTCCAAACTTTCCCACATGCTCCTGTCCTCTTCCGAGCCCTCCAGACTGTTCTGACCTCTGCCTATTACCCAATTTTAAAGTCACTTCCACATTTTTGGGTATCTTTACCACAGTGCCCCACAACCTGTTACCAATTTACTGTTTTAGTCTGTTCTCATGCTGCTAATAAAGACATACCCAAGACTGGGTGATTTCTAAAGAAAAGAGGTTTAATGGACTCACTGTCCCACATGGCTGGGGAGGCCTCACAATCTTGGTGGAAGATGAGGGAAGAGCAAAGAGATGTCCTACATGGTGGCAGGCAAAAGAGCTGGTGCAGGGGAACACCCACTTATAAAAACCATCAGATCTCATGAGACTTATTCACTACCATGAGAACAGTATGAAGGAAACTGCCCCTATGATTCAATTGTCTCCACCTGTCTTTGCCTTTGACACATGGGAATTACTATGATTCAAGGTGAGATTTGGGTGGGGGATACAGCAAAAACATATCAGTCACCTTATCTAATATTGGGGGATCTCAAATGTCAGGGTTCTTAGGTCCTTTCTTGAGCAAAATTTAAAAATTCTGCAGAATTACATTGTATCATTTAATCTATCTGAAATTGTTATTCCTCTTTAGGTTGCATATTTAGTATCAAGAACTAAATCAGACCATGAGAAGGATTACCTATTTAGGGAGGGTCCTTTGATGATGGCTGCTGGGCTTAGCATTGTAAAGGGAATATTCCTTTATCGATCCCACTCACAAATTAGTTCATAATATTTGAACACATTTTGGAAATATGTTTTCCATGTCTTCCTCCTCACTCTCAACAGTAGAAGTCTCTATTCAACTGTCTGGTTTGATTTCTTTTCCATAGTGACCCAAGTTATGGCTCTTAGGTGATGGTGTGGAAAAGCCACATCAATTTTGCATGATTGTTATTGCTGCTATGAATTTTTATGGTGTGATATCTACACATGCTTGGGAATTTTAAATATTTTATTTTTCATGCAGTTTGCATGTCTTTCTAAGTCAAAATTTATCAGTAAACACACTGTCAGTGGACCACCTAAATTTTCCTGTGCCAGCCAGCCCAAGGGAGACTGGATTATCAGCATGAGAACTGAAGCATGAAAAATTCCTTTTAAAGTCTTCTGTTTTGATTGGCTAATTAGAGAAAATGAACACTTATAAAAGAAGAAAATAAGTAAAATAAAGTTTTTATGGTAGACAGTCTCATTTCAATGACTATTAGTGGATCCTTTTTAAACACTAAGAATTTAATATTGTAATAAAGAAACAATTTATTGAATGTTTTCTCTTTGCCACACATTTCATTAGCATTCCACTGTGTCATGATATCTCTTTACCAGATTATCTAACTCCTTTAAATATGACAATAATAATCAACAGCAGCCAGGATAACAATAGCTAACATTTATTGAGTAATTACACGTGCTAGGTACTGCTCTAAAGACTTTATTAATTACCTGATCTTCACAACAAACTAATGAGATAGTATAGCAGTTGAGGTCCTATAAGGCAACAGATAGCATGCCTAAATGTGGCAAATTTAAAAAAGTCTTCTAAAAGAGACAATTTACAAAGGTATGGATACTATTAAGAAAAATCAATAGGGGTTGGTGAAGAGCAACATTGATCCATTAGCAACACTAGGCTCATGGGTCTGAAAAAGGAGCAGTTATTAGAAATTAGAGAGAATAGGCATAGATATAGCAGAGGGCCACTCAACTGGGAAGTTTTCCCAAATAATCACCTACCACTACTACTCTTTACATGAGGCAGGAGGAGAGAATGTATTTATAAACAAATGTAGCTGTTGCAATTTCAGCTTCTGTTTCTGGACATGATGTCTAGGTTTATAATTGTAACTTCTCTATTTCACCACCCATTACACTCTTGCCATCTGCCAGCACTTTGGCTGGGTAAAATTCTGTACCTGGTGGAGTGAGACAAAAGCTTCAGTCTCAGCATCCAAGTCCTAGGTAGCCCTACTACTCTAGGATCAAATTTTCCCATCAAGACATGAAACAGCTCCCTTTATAACACTTACAGTTATGCCTAACTTAGGAGGACAGCCAACATATTGTTTTCAAAGGATGCCAATATCCCCTCATGGATGCATTTCTTAAGATTTTGGTAAAGAGAGTGTTCTCTGGAATCTCTTGATGCTGTGGTGATTAAGACAGGACTGAACAGGTCTATTCTACTATTCCCATCTCTCTGTATCTTCTGACTCCTTCCCAAGTAATGGTGCCAGGGAAGTTCTGACATTTTAACCTCATTGGCTTTAGGATATTACTGAATCCAAGTTTAAGGAATCAACCAAACAGATGATTAATTATATTCCCCTGTCAATAAATTAGTTAGTGAGCCCCATCAATAAATTTGGCTCATAGACAGTTTTATATTTTGGCATTGTTAGTCTAATACCCTTAATGTTCACTCCTGTACCTGCTACCCTAACTCCCTCCTCCTGATATAAGTTGGCAATGTCCTGAAGCTGTTTTGGCCTATATACTATTTCCTTTTAGATCAGGCCTTATGATTCTCTGTTTTGACTATGGTAGGATTTACCTTATTGATTTTGTATTTAGAATACCTGTCTCTGTTAGGAAGCTTTAGGAATGCAAAGTTCTCAGCCCCATCTGTGTTCTGCCTAAATGTAGCCTTCCAGTGTATCCCTTACCACTCCTTCTCCATCACTGTCATTGTATAAACGATGTGATGAGGTTGAACATTTAATTGGTTCTCAACTCAGCATCACTTACTTTCAGACCCTGGGCTCCATTGCAGATATATGAGCCCTGTGCATGACTATGAGACTACTGCAAAGGGTTCCTACAAAGTTATCATCAAGGCTTTCTGATTTTCCACTTGAGTTATGAGCCGTGAGGTTAAAAACTCCAATTTGTGCTTTCTCTGGGGTCTATCAGCTCTCCAGGGCTGTCAGAAAGAGCTAACTAACCCCAACACATTCTGATCAATACTGTCACCATAGAAACCACGTGCCAAAATCACTTGATCTCCTGATACTGTGCTTTTCATTTGCACTTCATCCCAGGACATCTTCAGTGATAACTTGTGTAATTATAATACCATCATAGCTCATGGAATACTCTCTTTCCACTTACCTCCTACAAGGACAGTATCTGTGTCCTCAAATATGTGAAGGGCCTACTCTCAGAATTCTATTGTAAGGATTTGTTTCCTCAAGCCTTCCTTTCATATCAGCTGTGGTCAAGTGAGAAAACAAATGAGATATTCATATAGAGTAATGAAAAAGATTTGAATGAAGGAATTACTGTTTACACAATTGTGATCACAGTTAGAGAAGGTAACAGAGTGGGTGAATAAACTAGCAAGTTAGTCGTTACTGCCTCTAGACCTGAAGGGACCAGGACAGGAAGTTGCTACAGAATCTGGAGAGAATAGCTGTGGCTGTGAGAGAGGACCATTTAACTGGAGCTTTGGTTTAGGTGGAGAGTGGCAGGCAAACTAGTGAGATCTGATAGGAAGGGATCCAGGAGAATCAGTGTTTACCTCACTCTTTCCCACATTCCTGTTCTTCCGTGCTTCCCATGGGCCACATCCAACTGAAAGTCATATGACCAGGCAGCCTATTGATCCACTCCACAGAGCTCATCTCCCAGGATAAAGAGCGGGATGGGCACAAAAGGAGAGGGATTGTGATGGAGCAAAGAGAAAATAAATAGCACAAAGTCTAGGCTCGGTGGCTCATGCTTGTAATCCCAGCACTTTGGGAGGTCGAGACGGGCGGATCACAAGGTCAGGAGATCGAGACCATCCTGCAACATGATGAAACCCCATCTCTACTAAAAATACAAAAAAAATTTTACCCAGGCGTGGGGGCATGCATCTGTAGTCCCAGCTACTGGGGAGACTGAGGCAGGAGAATCGCTTAAACCTGGGAGGTGGAGGTTGCAGTGAGCCGAGATCGTGCCACTGCACTCCAGCCTGGGTGACAGAGTGATACTCCATCTCAAAAAAAAAAAAAAAAAAGCGCAAAGAAATACTGTTACTATTCCCATTTTAAAGATAAGGAAACTAAAGTTCTGAAAGCAAGAATCACTTGTTCAAAGTCATTCAGCTCACTAGCTGGAATTTCAACAAAAATGGATGGATTCCAGTCACTCATAACTGCTATAGAAATTGCTTCACACATCAGTCTTCATAGATCAGTTGTTTGGCATTTTAATCTACAAAGCACTTTCTTGCTAAAGAGTCCTTGTTTTGTTTATCACTAAAGGTGTTTCTGAGATAGAAATTGCAATCCTTCCATCTTATGGAGTAGAAAGCTGAAGCTCAGAGAGTTTAAGCTGTGATCCTAAGCCTCACACTCGGTAGGTGGTAGAGCCATCTAGAATATGAGTGTTCTGGACTCTCAGTACCATGCTCAGGCCACCAGATCATCAGGATATCAGGGTTTGCTTGCCTTCTTCCCTTCCTTCCTTCCTTCTTTCCTTCCTTCTTCCCTCCCTCAATGTTTTTTTTTCTTTCTTTTTGACGATCTGCTTTTATTTTTAATGAGGACTATTTTTAATGTGGATTATTCTTAGGTCTAACAACAAATATGTTTATTTTTGTCATCCATTTTCCAAGAGCCAACTCTTGACAAAATTGTAAATTGGGCAGAGTTTCTCACTCCACATCCCCTTGCATACGCATGGTCACTTGGGCGTCCATCCCATCCTATGAGATTTGTCATCTCTGGGCGTTTAGGAGTGGTCTTCCCAGTTCACAGCATGGGAATACAAAAGCATGGAATTCACCATTTTTGCGACAAATATTTCAGCATCAGCTCTGGGTTATTAGATTTACTGAGCTGTAAATAACACTGATTAAAAAACACAATAACATTATTTTTCAACAGCTTATGGCTTGGTATTTTATCAACAGGAAAAGAAAATAATTAGTGAAAAACTAGGACAAACATTGCTAGAGTACTCACCTAATCTACTTAAATAATTGTTAAAATGATACTATTCTCTAACACCATTATCATTTTATTTTTGCTTACTTTTTCTCCTGGGAATTAGGACATCAGGATGATTTTCTCTGTTATGATATTCTGAAAATATTTTGTAAAAGTAGTAAAGAAATCATTGACTTTTCTTGGGGCAGCTGTAAGTTTGTATTGTGCTAAATTAGAGGATTTCCCACCTGCAGGTTTATTTCCTATTGATTCTAAGTCAGTACTATCACTTTCTTTGCTGTTACATTATGACAAGAATAAGCCCCTTTAGAGTGTCAGATGACAATCCCTACTTCAATAACTGAGCAAATTCTGTACCATGTTTTGTGTTTATTTTTATTTATATGCCCTGGAGGTAAGGTTCAAATAGGAATAAAAATAAAGTTCTGAAAACTGTGTTTTAATGAGAGGATTACAAACACCTTCACATGTTACCTTTTCTCACTGTAGGATTTAATATTGCATTTAACATGTTTTTATTGACAATCTACTATGTGCTAGCACTGTCATACATGCTGAGGACAGAGGCTAGGGTGGCTGCAGCAAGGTGGAGGAAGAGGTAGGCATCAGGAAGTGCATTCCCAGAGGTCACCATGAGCTAGAACACGAGGGATCTTGGTACAGAGATCCCAGGGCAATGATGTCTTTCTTATCTCAATGGTTAATGTTCCAGTAAAGTAGATTCTAGTGAAGAGAGGAAGGCTGAGGGCAAAGCCGGTACAGAGCTGTGCACAAAGCTGAAAGCGATAGCATGCTCTTTTACTACCATTTACGCCTTAAAACACCACTTCACTTAATTCCAAGCCATAACCAAGAGTCAGGCAAGGCAAGTGCCCATATGCCCACCATAAAGGCTCAACCAGCGTACCCTCAGAGCCATGGAGCCCTCCCCCTAGACTTTCTGAGACATTCATTTTTCTCATTTGTACAACAGGAACAATAGTTTCTTCTCATGGGAATGTCATGAGTGTTCTGTAAGATAATTTTTTAAATGCCCAGCTGAGCATTGCATGCATTAAGGGCTTAATAAATATTTTTCATTAGAATGATTATATAAAGGTACTAAAGTTTTTTTCTTTTAAAGCATGGCTCAGGGCTATTTGGAAAATGATAAATACAGTCATTTGACATGTAGACATATAGGGTCATTTTCTGAGAAAAGATCATCAGCTGTAGTGATTATGGTAATTTAAGTAGAGAATTTCTCTTTTGAATAATATTCTCAGTCTTATTCCACGATATTCTTCAAATGTGTCTTTTCTTTGATCCCCCAAACATTAAATTATACTACATTAGCTAATGAAGTGAATAATGCTACTGATGGACTTGACATTTTCTGACCAGTTGAAAAAATTAACCCTGCTGAATATAAACAGCCAGGAAATTGGTGACCTTTCAGCCATTAGCATCATTATGAAGCATAAAAAAGGTAAAGGGAAAATGATTTATGCCTTGAAAATGAATTGTGGAGTCATTCATCCCTGTGAGCACAACATTGGGTTTCTAAGAAGGCAGTTTTCCCAGCTGCTGTTTAAATGCGTAAACCAAAATGAAGATTAATGCCACAGTATCTCAGAAATGCAGGTTTCAATGTGTTTATCACCATGCTGCAGCTTGATGCTGTGGATATTATGTGCTTATACTGATATGCTATTATTATCAGCCCCATTTTGCAGATGAGGAAGCTAATGCTGAGAAGAACCTCATCAACAAGTTGGTTTCTCATATCCTGCCTTTCAAGATCATAGTGTGAGATTGTGAAGACTCCAATCTGAATTGATCTATGCTTATATCATATAGACATAGAAAATGACACTCCATAGCTTAAATAGCAGTTATAGGACAATTGTGCACCTTTAGCATTGTACCTGTTCTTCCTTTCACTTACTCATTTGTTGAAAAGTTAACAAATGAGAAAAATAAGACACAATGGGTCAGAGTTCTTTCCATGCAGTAAGCAAGTAGGAGACTACTGGCCTGCACCTCTGATCTCCTATCCTTTCATCATTAACCATGTACCAGGCACGCAGGCCTTTTCTCTGTGCCTTAATATATTAAATTTATTCTTACCTCAAAATGTTGCTCTTGCTATTTTCTTTTGACTCATTTCCCGGCAGAGTTCATTTTATTGTCTCTTTCTTGACTTTAGGTCTGGGCTTAGGTATTACCTCTAGTGAGGGGTCTTTCCTGGGCTCCCTCTCCCACAGTCATCAGCTCTGCTCATTCCCCATCACTTTACATTTTCTGGATAATATTTTTTCTATTTATGTGTGTATTAATGAATTGCTTGTATCCTCCACTTGAATGTACAATCAATAAGGTGTAAACTCACCCATCTTTTTCAATATTGAATCCTCAGTTCAGTGCACATAGTAGTCACTTAGTAAACCTTATTTATTGTACAGACAAATTTTGTAACGAGGAGAAATATCATATGAGGAAGTGCTTCTAATGCCTCCATGTAAAATAGTTTTCTATTATATGGATTGTATTGTACTTAGTAATCAGAGCCTGAATGTGAAAATTACTAATTATTATTATTAAGATCAAAACAAGAGGTAGAATTTGCTCAATTATATGAGTCTCTGCTTGACACTCTACAGGAAAATGTAGTCTTGGCATAATAAAACAACAAAACAAGCAGCAGTCCTGACTTAAAATCAAAGAGAACTTGACCCACAGGTTTAGCATAACACAATGTTACAGGGACTCCAGAAAGCTACTATAGTGAATCTTATGTCAGAACTCATTTCTTTTCTCCTTTTACATAATAGTGCCAGAGTATCACAAGAGAAAAAAATTTTTATACTGTAATATACCCAGGGAAATTAAAAAATGGTGTGGCAACAGAGAGAACAATTTAAAGAAGGTTCACAGGGAATCTACAAGCAGGGAGATGTACTCTCAGGCTATAATATTCATTTCCTTAACATATGCACACATACACATGCATTTGTGCACACACACACACACACATGCACACACACACGCACACACACTTACTATTCCACCATCTTAACTTCCTGATTTAGCTTATTTACAGTAAGTATTTCATCTGATAGAAAGCGAGATATTTTTTCTCTTGACAATGTGGGGCTAAAGTGAATTAGAGACCAGGGGCACTTGAAGGGATAAAGTTGGAGCATGGTGGAACAGTGGGCAGGAAGGAAATGTTCTAATGTGCTCTGTGACTGCAAATTTAATCAGAGTTAACATTTAGTAGGATATTACCATGTGCTGTGCAGAATTCTTAGTCCTTTTTTTATATTATTTAATTTTCAAAACAGTCTCCAGAAGTAGGCACTATTGAAATCTGTCTAAAGGATGCCAAAAAAAGAAAAGAAAAAGAAATTTAGAGAATTAAATAATGTGTTTGATGTTACATAGGCAATAAGTAGTAAGTAAGGCTCAGATGCGTGACAAGATGTGCACCACTCCGATGCTCATAATGTTGAGATGTGCCTCCACTGTTATAGTATCATATCATAATGCTATGGCAATAGCACTTAAAAAGTATTTATTATGTACCTAACACTGTTCAAGGTCCTCTCTACATTTTAGCTCATTTAACACTCACAATATCTATGAAATAAGTGTTATTGTAATTTCCATTTTACAAATGGAAAGCATCAAAGCTAGAGTAGTTTAATAGCTTGCCTGAGTTCTCAGCTGGGAACTTTGAAGGTTTTGAACCCAAGCAGTCTGGCTGCAGAATTAGTCCTCTTGAGCAGTGTGCAATACACTTTGACAATATGGGCTATGGTGTTTTTGTATTTCTTGATCCCAAGGTCCCATGATCACTGATTTGGAAGGAAAACCTACTATGATCTGAACTCCTCTGCAAGTGGACACTATCAACCAGTACTGAGTTCTAGACATCAAAAAGAGAAAAATAAATGATCTCTCACAATGAGAGCCCTAGTGGCTGAACAGCCCTGATATCTAACAGTTCCGGGACATAGCTTTTTGACTCAGAGACCCCTTCTAGGAAAGCCCAAAGTATGGACTTTTTTTCCTAAGGGAAAACAGGGGTGGAAGGGCCTGTTTGTTTATATGTTTATTGTGGTTTATGTGTTTACTTGCCCGTTTCCTAGTGTTCCCCCTCTAGCATATATAATTCATCCAAGAAGGGACCTTTTCTGGCTTGTTAAGTTTTACATGTACAATTCTTAACCCAGTACCTGGAAAGTCATAGGCATTCAATAGATAACTGTCCAAAAAAATGAACTTTGTAAGGAATTTTCTGGAGGCAGTAGAAAGTGAAATAGCATGAAGATGTGGGAGTAAGGCCCAACTTTGTTTATAGCCTTGTTCTCCCATATTATAGTAATATGATTGGAGTCAAACACAAGCAAGTTCTTTCCCTGCTCCAAATTTTATAATAAAATAACCTTGGGCAAGTCACATAACCTTTCAGAGTCTGAAACTCCTCATGTGGGAAGTGGGGAATAAACACAGCGCTGTTTTCAATAGCTAAGATTTAGAAGCAACCTAAGTGTCCATCAACAGATGAATGGATAAAGAAAATGTGGTACATATACACAATGGAGTGCTATTCTGCCATAAAAAAATATGAGATTCTATCATTTGCAGCAACATAGATGGAACTGAAGATCATTATGTTAAGTGAAATAAGCCAGGCACAGAAACACAAACATCACATATGTTCACTTATTTGTGGATCTACAAATCAAAAAAATTGAACTCATGAATGGAGAGTAGAAGGATGGTTACCAGAGGCTGGGAAGGGTAGTGGGGGGTTGGGGATGGTGAGGTGAGGATGGTTAATAAGCACAAAAAAATATTTAAAAAGAATGAATAAGACCTACTATTTGATTGCACAATAGAGTGACCATAGTCAATAATAACTTAATGTTACATTTTAAAATAACTTAAAGTGTATAATTGGATTGTTCGTCACTCAAAGGATAAATGCTTGAGGGGATAGATACCCCTTCTCCATGATGTGCTTATTTCACATTGCATGCTTGTGTCAAAACATCTCATGTACCCCATAAATACATGTACCTGCTATGTACCCACAATAATTAGGGATAATAATAATACATAGATTAGATTCCTTCTTGTCCTCTACAGCCCTCCTCCTTGATTGCATTTTGTGTCAACTATAATATGAGCACATACTAAGGTATCAAAAGCATTTTGGTTTCTTCTTCACCTGAGAAAGTTTTTTAAACAATATACTCACATATATTTGGTAATTATCCTTCTTTAAAACATGTAGTAAATATAGATACGAATATTTATGCGATTTCAGTAAGTATAAAAGGGATATAGCACAGGATGCAGAATGCTATTTCATTTATGTAAAAACAAAGGTGTATATCTCCATATTAAAAGTGGCACTAATGGTAAGGATTGTGAATAATTTTCTTTCATTTTTTAAAAGTTTGTCCTTATTTTTAATACCTTCTGCAATGAACATAGTGTTATTTTGTACACAAAAACACCATGCCTCAAGTTGTAGGGCTTGAGTAGTACAAAGCAGAGGGAAAAAGTCTTTATATAGGGTGGAGACTTTATTTTTCAATTAAATTTAGAGAGAATAAAAGGCATATTTCCCAGGAGCAGAGATTCAGATAATTTCCTTTATGCCTCCATAGGTCTTTTTCTAAAAGAACTGGAGATCAGGAAGTTTAAAACTCTGCCGAAATGTGGCATGTAAAGACCTAACAGAGATTTTCTCTGTATAACTGGTGAAGTGACGCAGAAAATGAATGCTCCTTGGCATAACACAATCTGATAAATAATGGTCATTGCTAAGGTGGGATGCAGGCATGGCTCTCACTTCATTCAGATATTCCCACACTCTGTAATAGATAGGCTCCTAGAAATATCCGTAGGGATTGAATTTCTGTCAATTCAATTGTGAAAGGAAGTCACTACATAAAGTCACTGCATAAAGTAATTGCAAAAGGAAGTCACTACATAAAGTAATGAAAATTTGTATGAAAGACAATTAGCTCCTTAGCTCCTCCTCTTTCATTCTAGTTTCATTTCTCTCAATTTACTTTTTACTTTTTTAAGCTAATTCAATAAAATAGAATAACATAAAATAAACATATTTGTGTATTATTAACCACGTAGATCAGTATTTTTTTTAATAGTTGCTTGGTGTTCCATTGGGGATATCTTAAAATTTTATTTAACGAATCCCCAAAAGCTCAATTTTTATTTAGATTGTTTCTGATGTTTATTATTCATAGCATTATACATTTTTTTTTTCTTGAGATGGAGTCTCGCTCTGTCGCCCTGGCTGGAGTGCAGTGGTATGATCTCAGCTCACTGCAACCTCCGCCTCCCGGGTTCAAGCGATTCTCTTGCCTTAGCCTCCTGAGTAGCTGGGACTACAGACACCTGCCATCATGCCGGGCTAATTTTTGTATTTTTAGTAGAGACAGGGTTTTACCATATTGACCAGGCTGATCTTGAACTCCTGACCTTGTGATCCGCCTGCCTCGGCCTCCCAAAGTGCTAGGATTATAGGTGGGAGCCACTGTGCCCGGCCTATACATTCTTTTAGTTATGGATTTGAATACATCCATAAACTATATGTTTTGAAAGAATATATGTTTCTGAGACTCTAGTTACATGATCCCAAATTGTTTTGCAGAAGTGTTATACAAGTTCCATCGGCAGCATAAAAAAGTTTGCATTTCTCACCAACTAATTTTGGCTATTATTTTTTAAAAAAGATAATGTGACCGTTAAAGATGATCTCTAATATTAGAAGAATTTTCATTTCCTTTCTTTCTAGTATGAAAATTTTTCCTAAAGGGTTTACCTAACTTTGCTGTGCCTTTTGATTCCTATAGTGGATCATAGTACAAACTTGGGAGGCAAAATTGTTCATCGGAATGTATAGTATTCCATTTCTCAGCTGAATAATCTTGGTCAAGTTGCTTAACTTCTCCATACCTTATAAAATAGCAAGAATAATAGTAACTAATCCAGAAGACTGATACTAAGATTATGTTAAAATATATAACATTATTGGAACCAATGATTAGCAAATAGAAAGCGTTCAGTAAATGTAAACTTTTATTATTTTTCTGAGTTAACAATTTGGTGTCCTTCTCTGGGCAGTGTTCCTTAAGAGAATCATTGATAAACTGTGAAGAATACAGAGGAGAGTGTTCAGGATGACATGAGGTCTAGATGTGCCATGAACAGTAGATAAAAGCTGATGTAGTGTTTTGACTTGGTGTGATATGGAAGTGTAAGAGATATTTTCAGATATTTGAAGGGATTTACACAGAAGAGGGAATAGATAATCTCCTGATGACTCCATAAGGCAGAGCTAGGACCAAGAAGCAGATTTTTGAATAATTTTTAATAATGAGAATGTAGTGGACATCTTTTTTTCCTGTCCAGTACCCATTTCTCCTCCGTTGGGAACAATAGAATCCTGATTTATGTTTGAGACCAGTTGTCTCCCACTCTAAATTCAGGTGCTCTGAGTGAGATAAACTATTTCCAGTTTGGGCACTTTACTAAGGCCTGACTAACTCATTATTTTATCCCCTTGACACTGTTAGTGGCTCAGGAATTGAAACATAATAATTGTCAGTCCAGTGAGATTCAAGTTCTGGATTTTGCTGAAGCTTTGTATCTGAAGTGGGAAGCGTAAAAAATTGGAGCTGTCAGCCACCATCTTGTCAACATCCCAGAGGAGCCTGTTGGAGAGTGAACCCAATAACAAAAAGCACTGTCCCTGATGGTATTGTGTGAGCCCCTGAATCCAGCTTCGCATGAATGCACACTTGGTATCACCAGTTATGTCAATGTTTGAATTTCAATGAGTTGTACTTCTATCACTTGCAACTCAAGGAAGTGTGGGTTATTTGAGACTAAGAAGATTCTTCATCATTTTAGGTGCTCAAACTAAGGATGGATGAGATCACTCTGAGGTATTGTTAGCAGTTATTCATGCTTCAGATAAGGAATAAAATCAGACCTTTGAATGAATTTCCCATATTAAAATTCCGTGAGAGTTTTTTTTCGTTATTTTGGAGCTTTCCCCAGGTAAGTGAAGGTTGCTTGACGTTTTGCCTGAATTTATATTGGAAAATACATCTATCCATCTGGAAATCCTAGTCATTTTAGGTAAGAGAGGTGTGCCAAATATCTTCCATTTGCCACTGAAGATGCACCTTACACCCTTTTCCATCTCACCCTGTGCCTTGGAAGGGCTGACCATGTGTAGGTTACATCAGTGGGTTCTCTTTCCCTTTGACTTGTGTCAAGAGCTGGTAAGAGATTGGAGGCCCAAAGAGTGTGGTGCTGATGTTCCTTTCTCTGTGTCCATCCCTGCAGCATCACCATGGCCTGACTGCTTCCCTTAAGCAAAGCTTATGGTGCTTTTAAGTGAGTCTTTCTGCACAGCTCTCTCGATCTCTAGGTTTTGTTAAGTGCTCTCTTACCATGTCCTTTCATACCTAGGAATGCCAATGATGCAATTCCCTGCTTAAACCTATGACTCTCCCGGGTGCCCGGATCCTGGCCCAAGAAATGTAGCCATGTTATAAAGTGATAGGCCAGCACTGATAGCTCTAAAAAAAGCCATTTATAATTCAGCTTGAAGTTGTTGATAATTAATCAAATATATCATGGTAAAAATAATTAACTAAACCAGTAAATAATCATGCTAAAAAGTTAATGTTGGAAACTTGTTGAATATATACGTTTTATATATTTTTTTATTCTACACTGAGTCTTGGATAACTGTTAGTTTCAACGCTTATGTAGAGATCTTATTAAAAAGGGTCTCAGGAATCATTAATACAAGATTATGAAGAGCACGAATCGCTGGTTTATTAAGTTGAACATTTTATATCTTATGGAGCCAGTGTGTATATTGATTGAAAGTATGGCCTTGGATGTCAAAGACACCTGCATTTGACTCCTAAATTAAGTACTAACGAGCTGCATACCCTTGAGAAATTAAATAAGTTTTCTAAACTCTACTTCATTTGTAAAATAAAGGTTCTAATACAATAGTATTATGCATTGTATATAAAGCACATAGTAACACTAAATGATCAATTAAATGTTAGCTATTATTATCAGTATCTTTGTGACTACTGTCATGTTTTCTCCATGAATAGGTATCATTTTGCCATCTATATGTAAGGTTCATAAACTCAGAAGTCTATAGGGGCAGGAGGTAATGTATATAAGTGAAGACAGGTAGGCATAAGAAATCATTTTGCCCTCTTAATCTCCTCTTTATGGTCCTTTTGATAGTGATATCGAGAGTGATATTTCACTGCTCTAAGGAAAAATACCATTGAAGCATAATGACAAACAGCAAGTGACCCTGAGCCTAGTTTTTCAGGAAGGGGAACAGTCACATTCCAGCTCTTGGTGAGTGTTACGTTGTAGGAATATGGATCAAGTATTGCCAGACTTTTTCAAGAGAAAAATACTTGCTATTTCAAGATTATTTAGAAAATTTGGATTTTTATGTGAAACATATAAATTTTAAAATATTGTCTTAATGTTTCTTAAGACCATGTCAGGAGAATAAAACACATCTGTAGACTAAATTGAGAGCATAAGTTACCCATGTGAGTTCTGACCTAGTGGATTAAAATTGCCTGGTTCTCTTTAGTCATCTGTTCTAGTCTACAGAAATCAGGAAAATCAAGGGTTAATTCAGCATCCACAAAATTTTCTTCTGTGATGGAGTTCAGGATAAGGCAGCCCTTGAGAAATTAGTGTTTGACTACAATAGAATTTCTCTTCCTTCCTCTGGCCCCGCTGTTCCTAACACTATGTCCCTGGTCCCAACAATGCCAAGTGAAGAAGAGGAGAGAGGTCAGCAGTGAACAGATCCTTAAGGGTAACAGTTTCTCTTGGCAAAGAAGCTAAGAAAGGAAAATCAAGAAGGACCTGGAAACTTTAGTTTTACTTATCTTTTGGTTATCACAGTTAAAACAAACTATGCTAACTGGGGGAAAAGAGATCCTGGCCTGACCTCCTTTCTGTTCTGTTTTTCCACTTGCCTGTGGGCTTCATTAAATATTCAAGAAACAAGCTGGTCTTAGGAAGCTTGAAATTAGCTGAAACCAGAGAGCCATCCCTAAACTAGGCACCCTACAACATGTACATAGTTATTCCTTCTTAAGAAAGTGCTTGGGGTGAAGAAGCATGGGGCTGGAATCTGATCTCCTTGAAGCCCTTCAACTTCCCCAAAAGGATTGAAAATTACCCAATAGTGGGTTTGCAGTGGAAACTGGTAGGAGGATGGAGTGCCATCAAATTCCAAGTTCTTAGGAAGGGATTTAATTTTCTTCAGTGCCCTTCACAGAGTTCATAAATTCTCTATTTAATATTTCTTTATACATTCTTTGTGCTCCACTCTTATTTTCACCTGGGCTTATTCAGTCCTTCAGTTATTTAATGAAACTTCCGTTCATTTAGTTTTTATTAAGTGACTATTATGTATGTCCTAGACACTATGCCAGGCACTAGGGATACTATTGAAACCAAGAAACTGTATAGAGGATGAGAGAAATTTTAAATAACTGCCCAAATAATTACTGACAATTCCAATGGGAATGGGAGTGCAGCCTTTATGATTCCTCCTACCTCATTTGATATACATTTAAATTTTCCACTACTTTGTGAATCCAGAATCAATCAGTCTTATAAACAATGCTTTATGTTTAAATATGCCTTCTTTAATTTTGGATTCAGAATGGCTGGATTTAAATCCTGACTCCTTCATATTTACCAGCTGTGTAAGTTTGGCCACATTACTTAACTTTTCTGTGCCTCAATGTATTTATAAGATGGGATTATTATAATACCTGACTCATAATACCATTGAGCCAATAAAAGAGAAAATAAAATGAGCTTGGCACAATGTCTCTCCTAGTTAATGCTCATTATAATAGCTTCTAATAATGATATTAATATTAATTTGTTATATTATTAATAATCATCTATTGAATAGGTATGTAGATCATAGTAAACAAAATAAATCTAAGCAGATTTATACTGCATGGAAGACTGAGATAATTGAAATTACAAACAACAAAAAAGCAAAAATAGGTAAGAGGAGGGGAGTTGTGGTTTGAATTGTTTAAATTAGCTGTGATTGCAGTGTAGTAACACTGCCATCATAATTTTTCTATGAATTTAATTACTAATTGAAAAAAATCAGGTCCAAGGTTTTCATGAAAATATACAATTGCTTAAAATCTATGTTTTATTTATCCAATATTGACAACTAGTTCTAAACTGCTGAATATATTAGACAGGGCTATTGGATGCAATATTATTTAGACAACTATTGGTTGCAAGTGACAGAAACCAAACATGAATTAGTTTTTAGAGGGAAATTGGCATCAAGAAGAATAGGAGTTGATCAACATTTCTCATTCTCTCTTTCTTTTCTCCGGTGATCTCTGTGTTTTAGCTTTTAAATTTCTTTTACAGATGAATATTCTTCTTACAGCGTGGAACTTGTCCTCATGTCACCATCAGTTTAGGGAGCATTTCCACAATCCTAGCTTGATTTTGAAAAATCTGGGCAAGGAGTCTGGTTGTCACTGCTTAGGTCACATTCCCACACACTGTGGCAAAGGATGGAGGGATGTACTAAGCTACTGTTACCTTCAGTCAGTACCCTCCCCTCTAACCAGTGATTTGAGTGTATTACCAGAAGTAGTGATGCGAAATTGGGTGTATGTAGCACAAGTTTGAAAATTTTGTGAAGCAGTCAGCCAAACCAGTTTGTATCCACTTTATGGGAACAGAAAGAGGTTAATAATCTTTCCTTACATGTGTTTTTCCATAGCATGTGATGATTGTTAGATTTATTCTAAAGGCATTTGGGATATAATGACTTTTTAGAAGTTTTACTCTAAGTTCACTTTTTTCACTTTATGTTTACAAAATTAGACTTCATAATTTTTCAATTTATATCCTAGTCTGATTTTTTTACAATATCTTGTTAGTCCCTTAATATCCATACAGATAATCCTGGCAACTTCAAAACGGACTGTAAGCATTACTAACATTTAAAAAATATTTGTACTTTATTGTTAAAAATAAAATCCTGAGGGGAGAAATAAAAGTGCCATGTTTTTTATCTTTATAATTCCATAAAAATATATGCACAAAAGTGTTCTTTAAATGGGGTAAGGATAAAACATACAGGTCACTGTGGCACATAGTGAGATATAAATTGATGTATACTCCTCTCTTCCATACCCTTTTCTCTGAAGAAAGTTAAGGTATTTCAGATCCAGTTTGCATGCAAATTCTTATACAACAGAACAGATGTTTCACTCTGGATTTCATAATGTGTAATTATTACAAGAGAGAAATCAGGATTCTTAGACACTGAAAACTCAGACACTTTTTTTTTCCTGATAAAGAGCTTTTTCACATTTGTATACCCATTCTTCTCCTCTCAAATCTCTCCACACCTTAAACATTGTCTCTTTAATTTGGCAAATAGAAAAGAAAATCTCCAGTCTATTCAAAACTTATTTTCTAAATGTGTGATACTCATAAAAATTCATGGCAGTTAGATGCGTATTACTCAAACATTTAGGATATGACTACCTGATGTACACTACACTGTGATGAAAATTAAGTTGCTTGATGATGAGTTTCTATATTACAACATTGCAAGAAACATTTGGCTGATGAGAGGCTGTCTATCTTGAAACCAATTATGATTTTATTTTACAACCAGCTTTTACTATCATCTTTTAACTCTGGGGATGAAGCAATTAAATTTCAATTAAAAATCAAGAAGCTTTTGTCTGCAATGAAATGCTTTATTCAGAGAGAATTCATTAAGTAGCTACTGTAAGTAGAACCCTGCACTGATAGAACTAGACTGAATGAAGAATTACTGTTATTACTCTAATGCCATTATTATTACAAGACCAGTGGAAGATTTAGAATATCATAGCAAATATCTCCATAGAAAATGCAGTTGAACTGCACTGTTGATCAATATGATTTTAGATTTTATCAATTTTGTGAGTAATCTGAGAAATACAGAGAAAGAAAGTGGTTTCTCTAAAGTGATAAATGAAATTTACCTAGGTTTTTTGAATCCCAAACTGCCCTGCTCGGAATTTTCCACACATCAGTGGAAGAATGCTATTAAATTTTAAGAAAGACTTAAAAATAACCCTGCTTTTCTCCTTTTTTTAAAGAAAAAGCTGGAATGTACTGTGGCTTGTTGAAAGCAGATGCATTGATTTCTTTTTGAGCTTGGAATTCAACAAGAGGATGCCTTCTCCTTTTGTCATGCTCAATGATACATTTAGGGTGCCTATTACATGTAGTGAAAATACTCATACAAGTTTTAGGAAAAATCCCCAGACTCAGTTACACAAACATAAACTACCTTACTCATCAAAATAAAACAAAAACAAACAAAAACAACAACAGTGAAAACTCTGAAAAGCATCATTCTGCCAAGATAATCACTTGTTGATTACAGTTCAATATTAAAGTCTTTTGTGAGCTTGCAATGAGTTTAGATTTTCCTTGTGTACATTTTGAACTGTTAGCCCAATGCATTCACGTACATTTTAAAAAATGTCATTTGTAGGATATCAGATGGGTGAAATCAACTAGATTGCAAACTCCTTCGGGACAAGGAGAATGTATAATACATTCCTGTAACCCCTGTGAGCATGATGTCTTGCTCATGATTAATATTTAGATGTAGGGTGATGAATGAATCAATAAGTGAATATGTAAAATAAACATTAATCAAAGAAATGAAGCTAGTTCAGATTTGGGGTTGGTTAAAAATAAGAACAAATATGAAAAATTTGATGAATCTGAGTCCTTAAGTTGGTCTTAGAAAGCAGCTTTATGGATGACAGGAGCTAAAAGTACCAGAGTTCTACAGGTTATGAACACCCAGACAATCAAACCCTCTAAAACTCTGGGTTGGAACTAACTCTGCATTTCTTATACGGGTGCCCATGTGTAGCCATTTCCCAAACTGGTGCTCTCAGAACACTTTTTTTCTTTTTCTTTTCTTTTTTTTTAAATTTATTATTATTATACTTTAAGTTTTAGGGTACATGTGCACAATGTGCAGGTTAGTTACATATGTATACATGTGCTGTGCTGGTGCGCTGCACCCACTAACTCATCATCTAGCATTAGGTATATCTCCTAATGCTATCCCTCCCCCCTCCCCCCACCCCACAACAGTCCCCAGAGTGTGATGTTCCCCTTCCTGTGTCCATGTGTTCTCATTGTTCTATTCCCACCTATGAGTGAGAATATGCGGTGTTTGGTTTTTTGTTCTTGTAATAGTTTACTGAGAATGATGATTTCCAATTTCATCTCTGTCCCTACAAAGGACGTGAATTCATCATTTTTTATGACTGCATAGTATTCCATGGTGTATATGTGCCACATTTTCTTAATCCAGTCTATCATTGTTGGACATTTGGGTTGGTTCCAAGTCTTTGCTATTGTGAATAATGCTGCAATAAACATACGTGTGCATGTGTCTTTATAGCAGCATGATTTATAATCCTTTGGGTATATACCCAGTAATGGGATGGCTGGGTCAAATGGTATTTCTAGTTCTAGATCCCTGAGGAATCACCACATTGACTTCCACAAGGGTTGAACTAGTTTACAGTCCCACCAACAGTGTAAAAGTAGAACACTTTTTTTCCATGGCATTAACCTGTAAGCAGTTCAGGAAGAGTACTAGGCTTTGGTAAATTTGAAAACAGTGGGCTAAATGCAAATAAACATCGTTGTACAAGCCCCTTCACTTCTGACTTATAATCTCTAAAATATTAATATATAGTGTGAATCTCTGGGAGGAAATAGAGATATTCTTTTCCCAAACTTACTTGAATATAGAATTGTCCTGTTTGTTATATTTGTTTGTTATAGAATTATTTTATGATGCATCCACTGATATTTCCTAAACTTATATTTATGTGGAGCATAATTTGAGAAACCTTGGTCTAGAGAATTAAAAAAAGCCAAATTTAGCCATGTGGCAAATTTATCCACTTTTGAAATAGCATATCAAATAGATAAATTAATGGATAGTGCAATTAGCATGAAGATAATGAAGGTGATGATGATTATGAATAAAACTTATTGAATGTTTACTATCTGCTAAGCACATGGTCTTATCTCATTTAACTTTAATGAGTCCCATTAAGATAGTTCAGGATTGAGAGACAATATATCAGAGATTTGATTTACTCATAAAAGGGTTGAGCAGATCTGAGGTTAGCTAGATCTTAGTCCATAAGACTATTCTATATGCTTTCCTTTGAATTTTACAATTAGCACCAGGCATAGTAGAAGTAGTGCTGAGTAATAACCCCATTACTTCTTTTTACTCTTTAGTGTAAGTAGAGGTAGCAAAATTATCAACCACATATTTATTTAGTATATTTAACAATTCTTAACAATTTACCATATATGCATACATATGCCATATATACATATGTATATAAGTGTATATAATTGTGTTCATCAATATATTTTTTTTTTTTTTTTTTTGAGATGGAGACGGAGTCTTACTCTGCTGCCCAGGCTGGAGTGCAGTGGCAGCGATCTTGGCTCAGTGCTGCAACCTCTGCCTCCCGAGTTCAAGTGATTCTTCTGCCTCAGCCTCCCGAGTAGCTGGGATACAGGTGCTCTCCATCACCCCCGGCTGATTTTTGTATTTTTAATAGAGCTGGAGTTTCACCATGTTAGACAGGCTGATCTTGAACTCCTGACCTCAGGTGATCTGCCCATCTCAGCCTCCCAAAGTGCTGGGATTACAGGCGTGAGCCACTGCGCCCAGCCACAGTTTCCTTTTTAATGCTCAGATTGCCCCAACTGAGATCTCCTTCCAGTCATCTCCTCTATCCTTTTTTTAAAAAACCCAGTTAGTCTCTAAAAAATATCTTGCCTTTAGGCAAAAGTTGTCCCAAGTATATCTAGACCTCCTCTTCTTCAGGCCTGGAATTAACTCTTTCTCCAAGGAACCCAATTTCTATTAAAATGAATGGTGTTTAGAGACTGAAACCTTGGTGCTGGCATAACAGTGCCTCTAGATTCTTTTAGTGGACCAAGGCAAGAAATATGTGAAAGAGTGTATGTATAAAAAAAAACATAAAATATATTTATTTTCAGTTTTTACTCAGCTTCTTTGATTTTACACTTGTATATCTCTTGTTCTCTTATTTTGAAGATCCATGATTTCTAGCAACATTAACATAATTGTTTATTTACATTTTTATACAATGTTTATAAAATATTCTTGGGGCCAGGCGCAATGGCTCACACCTGTAATCCCAGCACTTTGGGAGGTCGAGGTGGGCAGATCACCTGAGGTCAGGAGTTCAAGACCAGCCTGGCCAACATGGTGAAACCCCATCTCTATAAATATTAAAAAAATAAATAAATAATTAGCCGGGCATGATGGCAGGTGCCTGTAATCCCAGCTACTCAGGAGGCTGAGGTGGAAGAATCGCTTGAACCCGGGAGGTGGAGGTTGCAGTGAGTTGAGATCGTGTAATTGCACTCCAGGCTGGGCAACAGACAAAGATTCCTTCTCAAAAAAAAAAAAAAGAAAATTCTTATATTACATTTAAATATATTGAATACCTTTTGTATTTCTTTTTATCCTTTATATGTATCTCACTATGTATATTCAGTTTAAAAAGCTGTATTTTAAAAGCACACAAAATGATTATTTCATGTGTGTTACTATAACTTTTTTGTGGAGTATTTCATGGTGTTTTAAATACATAAAATATTTAAGTGGTTAAAGAGTAAAGACTATGTGAAATAGTACTCTTGGGCAATTTTCATTTTCTTCCCTGTTCTCTTCACCCCAACTCTCACCTTCTATAGGTAACCATTTTTATTAGTTTTGGATTTATATTTTCACTGATGCTTTTTTCCAGCAGAAGCATATATGCATGCATATTATCTCCTCCCTTTTCTTATACAACATTCAGCCTAATAAACACCCCTCCTTATATCTTGCATTTTCGCTTAAACGTGTATCGCAGAGTTCACTCTGTCAGTACATAGAAATCTTCCTCGTTCTTTTTACAACTGCATAAAATTCTGATCTGTGCTAACAAATTGATAAGCATTTGTTTGTTTTCAGTCACTTGCTATTATAATGTCACAAAAAAATAACCCAAACATAATTCATTTAATACTTTTACAGGTATACCTTTAGTATAGATTTCTAGAAGTGGTACTGCTGGTCTAATTTTGTTAGATATTGCCAGATTTCCTTCAGAGAAAAGTTTTATACTCCTACCAGTTATGTCTGCAAGTACCTGTTTCTTTGTATCAGCTTGGGCTGCAAAAATAACACTCCAAAACTTAGTCACTTGAGACAACCACCATTTAAATTAATTAGTTCATAATATTGTAGGTGAGTAATTCAGGCTAGGCTTAGCTGTACAGTTCTTTTCTCAGCTGGACTCTGTCCTGGGCCTAAGGTCAAATGCAGATCACAGTTTCTTTGTCTATACAATGGGGATCATAAAAGTACCTCACTCAAAGTGTTTTTGAGAGAATTAAATGAGAAAATTTAGGTCAAGTTTCTGCTACATAATAAGTACCAGGCTCAAAAATGTTAGCTTCAATATGGATCAATGACCTAAATCTAAGAGCTAAATCCATAAAATAATGAGAAGACATAGTGGTAAATCTTTATGACCTTAGATTTGGCAATGTATTTTTAGCTATGCCACCAAAAGCATGAGCAGAAAAACAAAAAAAAGAAAAAAATGGATATATCTGACTGCATCAAAATTAAAATATTGTGTATATCAAAAGACATTATAAAGAAGGTAAAAAGAAAACCTACGGAATGGGAAAAGTATTTGCAAATCATATATCTGATCAGGTTTTATTATCTATAATACATTTAAAAAACCTTTACAATTCAACAACAAAAAGACAAATAACCCAATTTAAAAATGACCAAAGGACTTACAGATATTTCTCCAAATGAACGCATGAACAAGATGCTCAACATCATTAGTCACTAGGAAAATACAAATCAAAATCACAATGAGGTGCTACTGCATACCCACTAGAATGTCTACAATCAAAGAAACAGAAAATAACAAATGTTGGTGAGGATTTGGAGACATTGGAGCCCTCGTACATTGTGAATAGGAATGTAAGCTGGTTCAACCACTGTGAAAAACAATTTGGTGGTTCCTCAAAAAGTTAAACATAGGATTACCATATAATCCAGCAATTTTACTCCTAGAATCATGCCCCAAAGAATTGCAAACAGGTACTCAGACAAGTACATAGCACACACATCTTCACAGTAGCACCATTTACAATAGCCAAAAGGTGGAAAATGCCCAAATGTCCATCAAATAATGGATAAACAAATTATGGAATATTCATACAATAGAATAATATTTAACCATAAAAATGAAGAATTAATATATGCTACAATGTAAATGGACCTTGAAAATATCATGTTAAGTGGAAGAAGCCAGACACAGAAGGTTACATATTCTATGATTCAATTTTTGTGAAATATCCGGAATAAATAAATCCATAGTGACAGAATGCAGATTAATGGTTTCCAGGGGCCTGGAGGAGCAGGGAATGGGGAGCAACTGCTTAATTGGTATGGTATTTATTTTAAGGTAATGAAAATCTTTTAGAAGTGGATAGAGATGGTGATTGCACAACATTGTAAGTGCACTAAATGCCACTGAATTATTTACTTTAAAATAGTTAATATTATGTTATGTAAATTTCACCTAAATTAAAAAATAAAAAATTAAAAGTAAGAGGAAGAGAGTGGAAAGTGCTATAGGTAAAACAATATCTTCTATGATTTGACAGTTGTTGAAGCTGGCTAATGGGTATACAAAGGCCCATTATACTAGTTTGCATATTTTGTATATTTTTAAAACTTTTCATAAAAAATAAATAGAAACAAGAAGAACAAATATATATTAGCAGCAGTTTGATTCTGCACCTAATATAGTTTTTGCCTATATTAATTTACCCATTGCAGAACAAATTTTAGTGGTAGATATTTTCTCTATTTTCTATCTTTAACTCAAGCATATTGCCTTTATAGGATTTTGTAAAAAGGGCTAACCACATCCACCCTTCAAGCCATTTCTCTTGCTTTAACCCATCCAAATAATTAAGAAATAAATGTCTCATTCTCAGAAGCTATATTGTGCTATTTTTTTCCCCTTAAATCTACAGAGATAAGGTTCTGAATCTGGGTTTCCAGGCAGTACTAGACAACTTGAAATATTTGCAACATATGTGTTTCTGTATTCTGTATCTTTTGTGTGTGGAGGGCGTTCATAGCTTCCATCAAATTCTTGAATGGGCCTGTGATCTTATAAAAACCTAAATACCTCAGCAAACATAAGAAGAATTGTACATGATAGAGTATCAAGATCAGTTGCAAATGACAGCAAACTCAATTTAACATGGATTAACAATTGAGAGACATATTGGCTGAGGTAACGACAGAGAGGTGGTTCAGCTTCAGGCATGGCTTCTTCTTAGGATTCAAACAATGTCATCAAGACTGGCTCTTGTTCTCTTCTTCTCTCAGCTTTGTGTTCATCCCCCTGACTGTCTTTTCCAGCTTTCTTTATGTGAGTATTAAAGAATCAAATATCCTCTCTTGACTTACAGGTTAAGATAATGCCTACCCACACCACGAGGCTGTGAGTAGGGAAGGATGGGTCCTCAAAGGAAACTCTATTACCAAAAGGGAAAAAAAATGGATGCTGTACAGGCAAATATAACAAATAATTACTGAGAATGCTAATAATGAATCTTCATATGGATAGCAAAGTAAAGTTAGATTCCCTTATGTTTTCACAGAGAGAAAACACATCCAGGTTTTTCCACATTTCTTGACATCTGGGTTTGCCTTGATTAGGAAGACTGGATCTAATAGCAAGAAGGTATTTTGAATGGAGAATAAAGTGAAGAGCTGGGCTAGAGCAAGAGCTGGGGAATCAGCCACTAGCGTTAGCTTTAGTGAAGGGGCCAAGAAGAAGGGCACATCATTCCAACTGAAATTCATGACCTGATCAGCAAAGGGAGAAGAGCAGGGAGTCAATAGGGATAGAGGCCCAGCAACAGCTCACAGGATGAAAGGCAGGAAAAAGGGAGATCTACACTTAGAAACAGGTGGGGAGAGTCACAGGATATATTCTTTTAGTGGACATGATCATCATAATAAAAATAATAACCACTTACTAAGCATTTCCTGTGTTCCAGACACTGCCCTTGTGTGTATTATCCTGACTATAAACTCCTATGAGGTGGGCATTATTATCCTCATTTAATTTGTGAAAAGGATCATTATGTTTACATTGCTTGCCCAAGGCCATGGTGTCTGATTATCACTAAGCTCATTCCCCTTGCCACTTCCATTGCAGAATGGCTCCGTGGGACCACAGAATCCACTGCACTGACAGAATGTTGCTTTATAAAACATGAGATATTATAGAACAAGCTAGAATTAAAATTTTTCTATGTGATGAACACTGTGCTAAGAGCTGCATAAGCATTACATAATTTTATCCCTACAAGAATTCTATCTCCACTGACCAATGAGCAAGCTATGATTTACCAAAGTCACATAGGGGATCCGACCTAAGAATGTGTTCTCATTGTCACTCGCTGATTACAGGATCATCAGAGTGAGAAGACAATCTACAGAATGGGAGAAAATATTTGAAAACTATACATTTGACAGAGGATTAATATCCAGGATATACAAGGAACTCAAATATCTCAACTGCAAGACAAAAACAAAACAATTCTTTTTTTTTTTTTTTTTTTTGAGACGGAGTCTTCCTCTGTCGCCCAGGCTGGAGTGCAGTGGTGCGATCTCGGCTCACTGCAACCTTCACGTCCCAGGTTCATGCCATTCTCCTTCCTCAGCCTCCCAAGTAGCTGGTACTACAGGCACCCGCCGCCACGCCCCGCTACTTTTTTATGTTTTTGTAGAGACGCGGTTTCACCCTGTTAGCCAGGATGGTCTCGATCTCCTGACCTCGTGATCCACTCGCCTTGGCCTCCCAAAGTGCTGGGATTACAGGTGTGAGCCACCACCCCCAGCCAAAACAATTCATTTTTAAAATGGGCAAATGATCTGAACACATACTACTTAAAAGAAGACGTCTAAATGGCAAATGAATATATGAAAAATGCTCGACGTCGCTAATAATCAGAAAAATGCAAATCAAAACCACAGTGAAGTATTATCTTATTCCAGTTAGAATGGCTATTAACAAAAAGATGAAAAATAAATGCTGGAGAAAATATGGGGAAAAGAGAACCCTTGTACAGTGTTGTTGGTAATGTGAACTAGTACAGCCACAATGAAGAACGGTTCTCAGAAGACTACAAACAAAACTACCATATGATCCAGCAATCTCATTACTGGGTATTTATTCAAAGGAAAGGAAATCAGCACATCAAATAGATATCTGTACCTCATGTTTATTGTAGCACTATTTACAATAGCCAAAATATGGAATCAACCCAAATGTCCAAAAACAGATGAATAAAGAAAATGTTGCAATATATACACAATGGAATATTATGCAGTCATAAAAAGAATGCAATCTTGTCATTCATGACAACATGGATGAGCTTGGAGGATGTTATCTTCAGTGAAATAAGCCAGGAACAGAAAGTTAAACACTGCGTGTTCTTGCATGTGGAAGCTTAAAGTTGATCTCATGGGAAGTAAAGAGTAGAATAGAGGATACTAGAGGTTTGGAGGGTAGGGGGAAGGAAATGAAGGATGGGGACGGATTTGTTAAAGAGCACACAAAATTACAGATAGATAGGAGGAATAAGTTTTAGTGTTCTATTGCACTGTAGGATGACTATAGTTAACAATCATGTAATATCTTCAAAAGCTAGAAGAGAGGATTTTGAGTGTTCCCAACACAAATAAATAATACATATTTGAGGTGAGGGGTATGCTAATTACTCTGATATGATCACTATGTATTGTATTTATCAAAACTTTGCTATGTGCACTGTAAATATGTACAATTATGTGTTGATTAAAAAACACTGAATACTCATTACAGTAAAATTTGGGGGCTATATTTTATCTTTACATACAACAGATCATTGTACAGTGATCTCACTCCATCAAGCATGCGTGTTATCAGGGTCTGTGGAAAGAAAATGTATAAAATGCTTTTAACTTGATGAAAAGATGAGAACAGTTCTGGTTTTTATTTTGCCCTGAGCTTTCACTGACTTCTCCTTATTAGATTTCTCCCCTGATGTCAAAAGTTTGATGTTTTCCTCCTTGTTTATTTCTCTTCTCAGAGATGACTTTGATACTGATATGTGATTTGATTCCATTAGCTGGAGTTTCCCTGGGTTTTTGATTGGTGCTGTGTCTAAAGTCCTGGGGATAAGCATCAAAGACAACTGCTTTATTTTTACATGCCAGGGAGGAGAAAATCAATCTTCATCCCTTAGGGACAGAACTTCTGGTGTCAAAAAGTCCTTCCATCCTTCCAGTACCTTCTTCTTATCACTGGCATCCTTTAGCAAGGTAAAGAGGCAATACAGGAGATCATTGTGTGTAATTACTATGTGATAATATTATTCAAAATAGTAATACGTTCTTTCAAAAACTAATTGTTGAGTATACCCTATATTCCAGGCTTTTGGAATGCATTAGCAAACAAAACTCTCAGTTTTAATTCTAGCTTGTAGACATGGATACAAAATAATAATAAAAACATAATAAGTAAAATTTAAAAAATATATAATGCATAGCATTAAGGCCATTTAGAAAGGGGGAAAGGTAAAGCAAAGTAAAAAAATTGAAAATATGGGATAAGGGCTGGCTGTAGTATTAAATGAGCTGACCATTATAAGCATCAAGAAGGTGAGAAATGAATAAAGATTTCAGGGGGTGATGAGAGAGTTGCAAGTGTAAAGCTAGAGGAATAACATTCCAGGTAGAAGGACAGCCAGTGCAAAGACCCCGAGGCAGCCATACGCCCAGCTAGTTTGGGATTTGCAAAGTGGCCAGGGTAGCAGAAGCCAAGAGAGAAGGAGGAGACCAGAAAAAGATGAGGCTGGAGAGATAGACTGGAGCTAGATTGCACAGGCTTTGTAGGCCATTGTAAGGACTTTGGTCTTCATTTTGATTAAAATAAGGTTTTGAGCAGACAGGAATATTATTCTATTCTTTATTTTTTAAATCATTCTGAGATTAGATTGTAGGATAGCAAAGGTAGAAGCAGGAAAATTTATTATTAGATTATTATAGAAATCCAAGAGATGGTTCAGATCAGGTGATAGCAATGAATATGGTGAAGAGATCAAGTTTTTCACAATTTCCTGACATATCTGATGTGAAGTGTGCCAAACAGTGTGATTATCAATGGAGATGGGAAAGGCTGTGAGTAGAGTACTTTTGGGAGAAAGATCTGGAGTTCCCTAAATGCATTTATGTATTCATTCATCCATTCATTTTCACTCATTCAATAACTATTTATTAAGTGCCTATTATGTGCCAAGCATTCTGTAACTAGTTTTCACAAAAAGTAGTGAATGCAGATAAGGAAACAGAGGCTCAGAGAGTTTAAGCTGTTTAGCAAAGATCATTCTGCTAGTAATCAGCAGCATTGTATTTCCAACGTGAGTCTTTTGTATTTTTACCTCACTCACTTGCCTACAGCCTATCACATGTGCCTTGAATGCATGACAGAACCAGAGAAAAATGAGAAAACGATACTACTTTATTTATATGTTGTTAAATACAGGTAATGCTTTATTGCAAATTTAAAAACTTTTCTCTCATGTCCTAATCTTTCTGTAAGATACTGGTAACCCTTCCTTTCCCCATTATTTTTAAGGCCCTTAAAATATCCCATTGATAACTCTAGGTATAAATGACTATATGTTCTGCTATTTGGAAGATATATCAGAAAGACAATCATCAAAGCCTCCAAATATGTAGGTATTTTTGCAACAATTAAAATTTTATGAAATATAACATCAATCATTTATTCATCAAGGATATAAAACAGCAGTGAGAACCCAAGGTATGCAAAGAGTCAAGGTTTTCCATGATAAAAAAAAAAGATTAAACAAAAGACAATTTTTTCTTAAGTTTCAATACTAGAAATTCTATCCCTTTCGATACAAACCAGAAGATCAAAGGTGATAATCTTTCTTCTGAGAGCACCTTTCACAGTTGAGTTAGAAGCTCCCCCAGCCCTCAGGCCCTCCCACTCTTTCCTGACTCTCAGAAGGGAATGTGGCACCCCTAATGCTTTCCCCTGTGCCTCTATGTCCTGGTTTAGGGCTTCATTAATGCTCCTTTTAGTTTTGATTGCCGCTCATGGAGCTGGAAACAACTCACAAGTTGGAAAGAAAAAAATCTCCCTCCACCTTTATATTTTCCCCTTTTAATTTTCAATTTTAGGTAGCTATTTAATAGCTTATTTTTCTTGGACATAGCCTGCAGTTGGGATTTTGAGGCTGTTCTGGGCTTTTTAATGTTTCCATAAAGATGTCCTATTTGCGGTGTGCATAGTTCGTAGAATTTATTTTCTATTACATGTGAAAAAACTAGCACTCCCTTCATCCATCCATGATGGTACATTTGTTCCCCTATGTGCAATTTTGAATTTAATACAAAGAATAGAGCACACAGCTGTGAGAAACAAAGACGTGCTTACAGCACGATCTCACTTTTCCCCTCATAGACAATGCCACCTGAAGAGGAAACAGGAGGCATGGAATGGGAGGTGAGGGAGGATGAGTCACTAATATGAGACAACAGAACTCATGGACACTCAGGGATGCATAGGAAAATAACAGCTGTATTCATTATGTGTTGGGATAACCCAGAGTTATAAATAAGATCTGGAAATTATTAAAAAATGGCAGGTTTGGCTAAATCATAACTGTACTTTTCTTACTCTGCAAGATAGATGCAGAAGCAGATAGAGTCTTGACACATGGATTTCTTTCATGAACAGAGGAGCAGTTCTTTTGCAACAACAAGGGCATTATCTATCTTCCCACTGATTCCCAAATGACAGTTGTGTAACTGCCCAAGGGCTTCTTCCTGCCTGCTGCACAAATACCATGGCATTGCAGTAAAGAAAGAGTTTAATAGATCCCATGCCAGCCACACCACATGGGAGACAAAGTTAGTACTCAAATCATCTCTCCTCCAAAGTTCATAGGTTTGGGGTTTTTCAAAGGCAGTTTGGGGGAAGCAATGGAGGTAGCCAGGTAATAGGTGCTTGTTGATGATTGGTTGGGGCACAGATTAAATCATGGGAGTTGAAGCTGTCCTGCTGTGTGCTAAATTGCTTCTGGGTAGGGCCATAGGAACATGGTGGGTGGGTCCAGGTGGAGCCATGAGTGTCAGACATACAGAAATCCTGAAAAGATATCTCAAAAGACAAATCTATAATAGTGGTTTTATCTGCAGGAATAACTGGGGAGGTAACATATCTTATAAACTCTGAAATAACGGTTGAAAATCCTTTATGTCTACTCCTTAGCAGGACTCAGTCTCCTCTCCTCCTCCCAGCCTGCTGGCCTCCCATTAGCCTTAAAAAGTCGTTGAGTTTGGGAGGAAGGCTTACTATTATTTAAACTATAGCCTAAATGTCTCTTAAAGTCAGCTTGGCCCCAAAAGTCAGGAATAATTAAGGGAAAGTCAAGATAGGGATGGGTGAGTTCAGCTCTCTGTTATAACTTTTCTCACTGATACAATTTTTGCAAAAGTGGTTATATTTGGCACTCATTCTTGCTTACTACTGTGATAGAATGCTTCTGGAAGTTTTTAGTGTCTTAAGTTGGCTTATTTTCATAGTCTGAGAAACCCTAATTATTTTAAACCCTCCACTTTTGAGTAAGTGATAAATAGGTGAGAATAAGTCTACAATTTTTATAATCTAAGAAAAAAACTGATTGCTGAAAAACTAACTTACCTAGCAATTTTAAATACTTTAAACTTTTTAAACTTTTTGTTTTCATGCTAAAAAGTAACACTTTAGCTTCTATCTAATTATTCAAGTAAGTTTATTAGTGTTCTATGGCTTCCATAGCCAATTACCATAACCTTAGTTCTTTAAAATAACACAAATTTATTATGTTATAGTTCTGAAAGCCAGAATTCCAATGTGGAGCTCACTGGGCTAAAAATCAAGGTATTGACTACATTCCTTTCTGTTGGCTCTAGGGTAGTGTTATTAGTCCATTTTCACACTGCTAATAAAGACATACCCAAGACTGGGTAATTTATAAAGGAAAGAGGTTTAATTGACTCACAGTTCAGCATAGCTGGGAGGCCTCAGGAAACTTACAATCATGGCAAAAGGGGAAGCAAACACATCCTTCTTTACATGGCAGCAGAAAGAAGAACATACCAAGCAAAAGAGAGGAAAGCCCCTTCCTTATAAAACCATCAGGTTTCATGAGAACTCACTCATTATCATGAGAACAGTAGCATGGTGTTAACAGTCCCTGTGATTCAATTACCTCCTACCAGGTCCCTCCCATGACACATGGTGGTTAAGGGAACTACAACTCAAGATGAGATTTCGGTGGAAACACAACCAAGCTGTATCAGGTACAGTCTGTGTTCTTGCTTTTTCCAGGTTTAAGAATCCACTGCATTCCTTTAATCATGACCTCACCCATCTTCAAAGTCAGCAATGGCCTGCCAAATCTTTCTCACATCCCATCACTCTGACCCTGACTCTTCCGCTTCTCTCTTCCACACTCATGAACTGTTGTGATTACACTGGGCCAAAATGGATAATCCAGGAAAATCTTCCTATTTTAAGGTCAGCTGATAAATAACCTTAATCCCATCCTGAACCTGAATTCCCCCTTGCCATGAATATTACATGAATATTTAACATAATATATTCACAGGTTCTAGGGATTAGGACATGGACATATTTGGAGACCATTATTCTGCTTACCACAATAGATTGTTTTGGAGGATTGGTATCAGATAGCACCGAATTAACCCTGTCATAAGAAACTACATGTGTTTCTACCCTGGAGTCTTGTCCTCTGTTTATAACAGATATAACAGTGCTAGTTTCTGACAGCACTCTCATTGAGACCAGGTCCATCCTTCTTAACAGAAAGTTCTAAGCATACCTTAGCAACTGACCAAGGTTATTACATGAGATGAACCATTTTGCTACTTATGTTCAAAATTGTTTTATTTCCTCTCAGTGAAATCTAATTTCTTAAAATATAAGGCAAGTTGTGTAAAACTGATTTATTGCAGGAATTCTTAATGATTTTCTTAAGTCTTGCACATTTGCTCTTACATTTGTTCCAAATTATTTAATATTTTAGGCTTTGTTGCACATGGTATTATTTTAGTTTAATTTTTTTTATTATACTTTAAGTTCTAGGGTACATGTGCACAACGTGCAGGTTTTTTACATATGTATACATGTGCCATGTTGGTGTGCTGCACCCGTTAACTCGTCATTTACATTAGCTATATCTCCTAATGCTATCCCTCCCTGCTCCCCCTACCCCACAACAGGCCCCGGTGTGTGATGTTCCCCTTCCTGTGTCCAGGTGTTCTCATTGTTCATTTCCCACCTATGAGTGAGAACATGCGGTGTTTGGTTTTTTGTCCTTGTGATAGTTTGCTGAGAATGATGGTTTCCAGCTTCATCCATGTCCCTACAAGGGACATGAACTCATCATTTTTTATGGCTGCATAGTATTCCATGGTGTGTATGTGCCACATTTTCTTAATCCAGACTATCATTGTTGGACATTTGGGTTGGTTCCAAGTCTTTGCTATTGTGAATAGTGCCTCAATAAACATACGTGTGCATGTGTCTTTATAGCAGCATGATTTGTAATCCTTTGGGTATATACCCAGAAATGGGATGGCTGGGTCAAATGGTATTTCTAGTTCTAGATCCCTGAGGAATCGCCACACTGACTGCCACAATGGTTGAACTAGTTTACACCAACAGTGTAAAAGTGTTCTTATATCTCCACATCCTCTCCAGCACCTGTTGTTTCCTGACTTTTTAATGATTGCCATTCTAACTGGTGTGAGATGGTATCTCATTGTGGTTTTGATTCACATTTCTCTGATGGCCAGTGATGATGAGCGTTTTTTCATGTGTTTTTTGGCTGCATAAATGTCTTCTTTTGAGAAGTGTCTGTTCATATCCTTTGCCCACTTGTTGATAGGGTTTTTTGTTTTTTTCTTATAAATTTGTTGGAGTTCTTTGTAGATTCTGGATATTAGCCCTTTGTCAGATGAGTAGATTGCAAATTGTTTCTTGCTAATATATAGAAATACATGTCATTTTTGCATATTGACCATGTATCTTCCATCTTTGATAAACTCATTGATTAATTTTAGTTTTCTTATAGATTCCATTCAGTCTTTTACATACACAATCATCTCCAAACAATCAAACAAACTCAAATTTTTCTTCTTTCTTCCTAATCTGTTCACTTATTTCTTTGGACAAAACCACCAGTACAGTATTGTATCAAAGTGATTAGAATAGACATTCTTGCCTTGTTCTTGACCTAAGAAGCAAAATATTCAGTATTTTACTGTTTTTTTGTTTGTTTGTTTGTTTGTTTTTGAGATGGAGTCTCACTTTGTCATGCAGGCTAAAGTGCAGTGGTGCAATCTTGGCTCACTGCCAGCTCCGCCTCCTGGGTTCATGCCATTCTCCTGCCTCAGCCTCCTGAGTAGCTGGGACTACAGGCGCCTGCCACCATGCCCAGCTAATTTTTTGTATTTTTAATAGAGATGGGGTTTCACCATGTCAGCCAGGATGGTCTCGATCTCCTGACCTCGTGATCTGCCCGCCTTGGCCTCTCAGGTATTTTACTGTTATATATCATGCCAGATTTCAAGATTATTTTAACTGCCAATTATCAGGCAAGGAAGTTTTCTTTGACTTGTAATTTGCTGAGAGTGTTTATTTTGAATGAATATTGAATTTTGTCAAATGTTTTATATATGCATTTATATTATTACATGAATTTTCTCCCTTATGCTTTACTGTGAATTACACGGATTGATTTTTAAATGTCGAAACAAAGTTGCATTTATGAGAAAAACATCATTTGATTGTTGTAGATTTGACTTACTGAATTTTTTTAAAAAACTGACCTTTCTTCTTTATTTTCTCACAGCATGTATTAGTCTATTTTCACACTGCTGATATAGACATACCCATCACTGGGCAATTTACAAAAGAAATAGATTTAATGGACTTAAAGTTCCACATAGGAAGGCCTGGGAAAGCCTCACAATTGTGGCAGAAGGCAAGGAGGAGCAAGTCACGTCTTATGTAGATGGCAGCAGGCAAAGAGAGAGAGCTTGTGCAGGGAAACTCCCCCTTTTAAAACTATCAGATCTCGTGAGACTTATTCACTATCATGAAAATAGCAGTGGGGAGACCTGCCCCCATGATTCATTTACCTCCCACCGGGTCCCTCCCACAACATATGGGAAATCAAGATGAGATTTGGGTGGGGACACAGCCAAGCCATATCACTGCATATATTGTTTTATCACTGTCTTTGGCTTCCATCAGTTTGACCAAGATGTATATTCAGATGTAAGGTTATTTGTATTTATTTTTCTTCAGTTTCACTAAGCTTCTTACATCTATGAGTTATATTTTGTCAGCTTTAGAAAGTCCTTGGTCCTTATCTATACAAATATTTGCCTACCTCTTCTTTCTTCTTCTGGGACTCTTAATACTTATGTATTAGACCAACTGTTATTGTCAAGTAAACAGCTGATTTTGTACTCTCTCTCATATTTTCACTGTTTCCCTTTGAATACTTTCTCTTGACCAATTTTCAAGTTATTTTTTTCTTGCTATGTTTAGTCTGCTATTAAGACCACCAAATGAATTATTCATTTCTGCTATCCAATTTTTCACTTTGAGTGTTTATTTTTGGTTCTTTTAATAATTATCACGTTCCTTTTTTCTTTGAAAGATTTGTACCTTTCTGGAATTTATTTAAATTTATTTTCACTTGCCATTGAGGATGGCTAAAATTTCCTTTGCTCTTGAGAAAAAAAAAATTACCCATGTTTATGTCTATGTCTTTCTCCTTTTTTGATGATTCTTTATTTACTCAAGTATTTATTAGGCACTCACTAGGTAAAAGTCAGATACTGTAAACCAAAAATAAAATTCTAAGCCCCCCAACTGACTAAATGGACCCTTCTTCTTGGCCAAGGGGATCCTGAAGAAAACCCGAAAAACGAATTCATGATGGGACAGGAAGGGAGGTCGGATATGCCTCTTTATACCCTCCTCCCTTTGGCTTGGAAGCACAGATGACCAGCATTAACCCTAAAATAGAGATCATAACACTGACAAAACAGACTCTTTGTAGCAATAAGATAACAAATTCCAACTTGATTCTCATATAGCATCACATGACAGAAAATAGGCCTTGAAGGAAATCAAAATCTTTCACCCCAAAATATATTTCTTTGACATATTTTGTAATGGCCCTGAAACGTCATTTCTTGTGAGGAAAATTTACATTCTGTTGAGAATCCCTTTCTCTTTCCAAGTCTTTTCTTCATCCAGGAAAGATTAAACTAAGAGTCTGACCCCTTTTAATATCTGAAAATAAACAGCTTCCATCTACTCTCTCTGAAGCCTGTTACTCAGAGACGTCATCTACATAGCCAGAACCTTGGCTTCCATAGCTCCCCTTGTCTTAACTAGAGCATTTTTCTCCGCTGACTTCAACTCCTCAGGCAAAGCTAAACTCTTTCATCCAACTGCCGGTCAGAGAATCTTTGAAACTGCCTATGTGACCTGTGGACCACCACTCCCCTCCGCATCCCCTGCTTTGAAATGTCCCACCTTTTGGGACTGAACCAATGTATTTCTTATATGTACCAATTTATGTCTTTGTCTGTAAATTCTTTCTCCCTGAAGTGTATAAAACCAATCTGTAACCCAACCACCTCGGGCATACATTCTCAGGGCTCCCAGAGGCTGTGTCAAACGTAGGCCATGGTCATTTGTATAAATCTTTTCAAATACTTTACAAAGTTTGGCTTTTTTCATTAATAATACAAAAAAAGGAGAACATGTAGTCTCTTCCCTCATGAAGATTGTAGACTAAAAAAATGTACTCAGAGCAACTGTAACAAAAGAAGTATAGGTTACTATGGGAATATATAATGAGGATTATTCTTCTAATTTTACCTTAAAGGACAAATGAGGTTACTCATCTCCAAGCTCTTGTCAGAGTTGTAGGAAGCACATTGATAGTCATTTCACCATAGCCCTTCAATATCCCATTATTAAACTGACAAGGTAGTAAAACATGGTGCAAAATCTTTGTTGGAGTGAGTAAAATGTTTGTTCTCCACTAAGAATAGGGTGGAAAAAATAAATAAAATTAAGGGTTTAGCATAAATTCACAGATATTTGGATTTATAACTGGAAAAGAAGAGACTATGCCATTTAAAACAAATTTCTCCTTATCCTTCAAATTACAGCTCAAAGTTCACCTCCTCTCTAAAATTGTCTGAGTTCCTTTCCCATCCCTTTCTACTCCCAGAGAAAATTGGTTGCTACTTCATGTTTGATTTCCAAGCTCTTTATTCATACTTCCATTATACTACCTTATCATTGCCTGTTGATTGTTTGACAGGTTTGGCCTCTCTATTTAGCAGTTTTCTCCCAGAGGCAAAGGATCTTCTCTTTGTATTCCTATTTCCCAGCCTAACTGAATTGAAATGAAAACTACTTCCATTGTCTATTTTCATTTTAACAATGGCCATATAATACCTTTTTCTGTTTATTTGCTTAATTCAATATTTCTGTAAACCCTATCTAATGAAAATACATAATGTGTCTTGTTAGTACCCTAATAATTTCATTTATTCATTAATCTTATAAACACGGGTTAAGTCCTGAGCTAGATTCTTAATGTGTCAAGACAAACATCATTCTTTTCCATCTTTTTTCTTTATGTGTAGGGCCTGTTGAGCTTTCATGGAGGTAATTTTCAATCAATATACAACTATTGAAAACCTACTGTGCCAGGAAACATGCCAGGCATTGATGAAATAATTGTGAGCAAATTCAAAGAGAATTTCTGCCCTCATAAATGTACCATCTAGCATCGGAGAAAATATATTAATGAAATAGGTGTATGTAAAATTGCGATTCTGATGACTACAATGAAGAATAGGTACAGCACTATTTGACCTTATGGAATTCTAAAGAGATCAACTATTTCTGTAGGCAAAATTACTCATAAAATGCAGAATATGTCTGAAATTTATCAAAAATAGTTAACATTTATTTATTAATAACTGATTAATTTAAATGAGTGGTATCTTCTATCTTTGCATGGCATTATTTCTCCTCTCTTGCTTTGTCTTAATAGTTTTCCTTAACCATCTGTCAAAAAGAGTATAAAGGAAGTAATCCAGAATTTCTTAGGAAAATAAAATGAAAATTAAATTATTTTTAAAATAAGATTCCAAATATTTCAGTCTTTAAGTTGATTTAACATAAGTTCTGGTGATAAGTGTCTCTTACTCACTGAGGGGAAAGTTTGGTAAGAGAACTTGTATTTGGCTTTATAATATATGCACACATGCACACACATGTGCACGTGCACACAAACAAGCAAAGTGACTTACAAAAATTTGTTTTTATTTTCTAGTGAAATCCCTGGCATAGCTTTTAGCAGCCTGAGATACCCAAGTAAGCCACTTAACCTGTTTCAGTTTTACATGCTTCAAAGATTAGTAAAATTTTACCTACTTCATAGGATAATTATAAGAATTAAAACAGAAAGCCTGGTACTAGGATTAAATAATATAGTAAGCACATTCTATTCTTTTTTTTTTTTTTGAGATGGAGTCTCACTCTGTCACCCAGGCTGGAGTGCAATGGTGCGATCTCGGCTCACTGCAACCTCCGCCTACTGGGGTTCAAGTGATTCTCCTGCCTCAGCCTCCCAAGTAGCTGGGATTACAGGCACGTGCCACTACACCTAGCTAATTTTTTGTATCTTTAGTAGAGACGGGGTTTCACCAGGTTGGCCAGACTGGTCTCAAACTCCTGACCTCATGATCCACTCGCCTTGGCCTCCCAAAGTGCTGGGATTACAGGCATGAACCACCACACCCGGCCAGCACACTCTATTCTATTTCTCCCATTGATTACAACTAAAAATCCTGGAAGAAATATATAAAGCAAAGATGACTCTGAAAAAATATACAATAGCCGGCCAACTAAAAAGAGAAAAGCAAAAACTTGTGGAATGGGCCAGGTGGCAGTGAATTTTTTGGTTACTTCTAACCTCTACTCTCTTTGCTTATATGGTTTCTGATAAGATGTCTGCTATAATTCTTATCTTTGTTCCCCTGTAGGTGAGGTGTTTTTCCCCTGTCTGGCTTTCTTCAAGACTGTCTCTTTGATTTTAGTTTTCTGCAATTGAAATATGATATACCTACGTGGTTTTTATAGTTTTGGATTTGTTCGTGTTTTGTTGTGGGGAGTTATGTTTATCCTACTTCTATTCTCTGAGCTTCGTGAGTCTGTGGTTTTGCATCTGTCATTAATTTTGGAATGCTCTCAGACATTATTACTTCAAATATTTATTCTTCTCAGTTCCATTTTTCTTCTTTTTCTGGTGTCCCAATTATGGTTAATGCTTCACTTTTTGCAATTGTCCCACATTTCCTGGATGCTGTGTTATTAAAAAAAATAATAATTGTTTTATTTCCTTTGCATTTCAGTTTTGAAAGTTTCTATTGACCTATCTTCAGGTTCACTGATTCTTTCCTCAGATGTGTCAAGTCTACTGACAAGCCCTTTGAAGGCATTCTTATTTTCTGTTCCTGTGTTTTTGATTCTTAGCATCTCCTTTTGGTTATTTCTAACCATTTTATAGTTTTCATTTCTCTACCGACATTACCCAATTGATTTTGCCTGTAGTCTCCTTTTTACATTAAAGTCCTTAACATATTAATCATAGTTATTTTAAATGCTTTGTTTGTAACTCCAATATCTATGTCTCGTCTGAGTCAGGTTCTGATGCTTGCTCTGTCTCTTAAGACTGCTTCTTTTTTTTTTTTTTTTTAATTTGTCCTTTGGTTTGCCTTCTAATTTAGAGGTAAAGTTAGACACATGTTACTCAATAAATGGTACTGAGTAAATAGATTTTTAGAGAAAGGATTTTATCAATATGGCTAGGAGCTTGGCTGTGTTTAACTTTTTTTAGATATAGGTACCAGAGCCTTCAATTCCTCTAATTCCTTAAATTTTAGAGGCTCTCCCTTCTAGTCTTTGAGGATTTCCCTAGCACTGCTCTGCAGGGAGAGACTCTTGCAGCTCTTTCAGCTCTAATTCATTGTTATTACACTGTTTGGTGTGGTTAGAGTGTGTGGAAAAAATCTTATAATCTTATTAAATGTTGATGTTTCCATGGGCCTGTATCACAGAGATGTGGCCTTCACAAGTGCTCCCATACCTACTCCAGGAGTAGACTTATTTCTCCTCTCTCCTTTCCTCCTTCTTTCTCTGACTGCATCATCATTAATCTATTGTCTTGAAGCCCCATTGACTATGGATATTCTCTGTTTTCAGGTGAGGCTGGAAGTCTGTAGCGTGCTAACGTGGGGTGAAATTCAGAATTACCTGCTAGAGAATTCCTTACACTGGAGACAGCTCTTTGTTATAAGGAAGAGTCTGGGAGGGCTTCAAGAAGGCTTCTTCTCCTGCTGCCACAGTCCTTCTCAGATCACTTCAGGAGAGGTTGGTGGGGTTCCAGGAAATAAAACTTTATGAAAAGTGGAGGAGCTCCTATGACTGTGGATCCCAGGACTTTGATTCTCATATTAGTTTCTACTCCACTCCTAGAAATTCATCAAAATGCCTAGTAAAGTACATGGTTTTAGCAGTTTATAGTGTTCGACGACTTCTCCAGATAAGCAAATCTAAAGCACTGTATCTTTCTGGATGTACCAATCTCTCCAGATTTTAAGGTGATGGCTTGTCCCATGACCTTAGTTTTCTGATGGGTTCAATAAAAGTCACTGCTTTTTGGTTTGTAAGGATTTTTCCTGTTTTGAGGGTGGTAATGACCACTTACAAGCTCTTTATATATCAGAGGTAAAACCCAAAGCCTCCCAGTTATTCTTTATTTTCATGTGTCTTAAATTCTAGGATACTCTGATTCCTGGAACTACACACAAAAGGTAAACAAAAAAGTACCCCCTACCTAAAAATAAACACTTACTTTATGGCCAGGGAATCAAAAAAATGGGGTATATGTGGGACACAGCTTCTTTAACTATCACAGACTGACCCGAGGCAAGACCCATAATGAATCTGCATCTCTGTAGTGGTAGCACTGGCATTGGCAGCAATGGTAGCAAAACCCCTATAGGCTTTTTAATCTTTCTGCTTTACCCAGAGGCAGTTACAATAATGGGAAATGCACAACAATGCATGGAGTATAAAAGCTCAGCCTTCTAGCTAGGGCAGAAGAAAAGTGACTGCTGAAGAAGATGGTGCTAGATAAACAATCCTTTAAATTTGTACATAAAGTTGATATGTTGTTCATTCATGTAACTGACTGTGATCAACATAGCAAATGCTATGCTAAAATATATTTTAAAATAACTAAATAATTGAACAGATGTTCCATGTATATGAATTGAAAGACAGTATTGTTAACATGTCAGCACTACCTAAAGCAATGTACAAATCAATGCAACCTCTATCAAAATTCCAATAGCTTTTTTTTGGCAAAAATGGAAAGTTGTCTCTCAAATTCAAATTCATTTGTAATTACAAGAGGCTTCAAATAGCCAAAACAATCTTGAAAAAGAAGAACAAAGTTGAAGGACTTACAATTCCTGATTTCAAAACTTATCACAAAGCTACAGTAACCAAGACAGGTACTGACACAAGGATAGACACATTGATGCATAAAATAGATTTGAGGGTCCAGAAATAAATTCATATCCTTTGGTGAACTGATTTTTGATAAAGGAGCCAAGACCATGCAATGGAGAAAGGATAATTTCTTCAACAAAAGATGTTGAGATGAAAGGATATTCACACGCAAAATAATAAACTTAGACTCCTACCTCACACCATATACAAAAATTAACTCAAAATGATTGTTATCTCATATAACAGCTAATGCCATGAAACGCTTAGAAGAAAATATAGAGGAAAATCTTCATGGCTTTGGATTTGATAATGGATTTTAAAGACATCAAAAACACAAGCAACAAGAGAAAAAATAGATAAATTTGACTACATCAAAATTAAAAAATTTGTGTATCAAAGGATTATCAAGAAAGTGAAGACAGCCTTCCAAATGAGAAAACTATTTGCACACCATACCTCTGATAGAGTTCTAGTATTTAGAATATAAAATAACTCACAATTCAACAACAAAAAGATAGACAATTCATGTAAAAAAATGAGCAAAGGAATTTAATAGGCATTTCTCCAAAGAAGATATACAAATGGTGAACAAGCACATGAAAAGATGTTCAACATCATTAGTCATCAGGGAAGTGTAAATCAAAATCACAATGAGATATCACTTCACATACATTAGAAGGACTACTATCAAAACACACAAAAATAAGTGTTGGCAAAGATACAGAGATATCAAAACACTTGTGTATTACTGGTAATAATGTAAAGTGGTTCAACCAATGTGTAAAACAGTTTGGCAGTTCCTCAAAAAGTTAAGCATAGAATTACCATACGGCTAAGGGATTCCATCCCTAGCTATATATCCAAAATAATTAAAAGAAATTACTGACATAAGTACATGTGCATGCATGTTTTTAGTAACAATATTCACCATAAATAAAAGGTAAAAAAACAGCCCAAATGTTCATCACTGGATGAATGGATAAACACATGGTGGTATATGAAAACAATGGAATTATTCAACCATAAAAAGGAATAAAGTACTGATGCATGCTGCAATAGAGATAAACTTGCAACACAGCATGCTAAATAAAAGAAGCTGAACACAAGAGGGGGACACCATCACAGATTGGTTCTGAATGGCTGAAGCCCATCTGCCCATGCCTTCCATCTGAGATGGATATATGGCTCTTTTCAGGCCAGGGATACCCAAAGATATGTTTGTTCATGGTTTATGAATAACAATTCTAACAATAAAGCTTGTTTTTACTCTCTACGTCATTGGAGCACTTTACCCTCTCTTCCTCTGGATAGTGAATATGTGGATGTGAGATCCAAAACGTATATAAGCATCTTTCTACCACAGAAAAGCCAGTCAGATGAGAAAGTGAAAAAATTGAGAAGAGAGCTGCTAAATTATTTGCAGAAAAATGAGATAGGAATCTATTCAATCTGATCCTTAATCTCTCACCTTACCTCTGGATTATCCAGCTAAATGGGTCAATGCATTTCCTTTATTATTAAAACCAGTATTAGTTTATTTCCTGCTCTTTTCAAAAAGTAAGATACCAATTGGTACAGAGAAAATCTTCTTCAGGTAGTTCTACTTTTTGTGTATACATAGGACCTACCAAACATTTAAGATCAAAAGAGGATATATAATATTTTCGAATCTATTAATAGAATTACTTAGCCTGGTAGGTACAATGTGTGAGATTAAAATGACATTTAAGAAAGACTACAAAATCACATGGTCAAAAACTAAGGCAGGTTATTGGCCTAAGTACACCTTGTGATAATTTGTTAAATTTAGTAAGATAAAATAACCTCAATTGAATGACTGACCAGGGTTACCAACTGTGTTTATGCTTGACCTTTCTATGGGGTTTATCATCAGGAGTTTTATAGATGAAGGTTCCTGGTGTTTGACCTTCCTAAATCCAACCAAATTCTCCTCACTCATCTAAGAAAAGTCTGGATATTTTGAGTGTGGTGACTGGAAGGCTAACACTAACCATGTTTGCAATATGATGTGTGCTTTTGAGAAATATTTACCTTCATATGCTCAAAGAACCACTTGCTAAACAGGATAAAATAATTTATTTATAACATACAATGTGTGTGTAATTACATATGAAATGATAACGTGAAATCAGTTGTGAGGGTCTATAGTAATGTATACACATAATAACTTTGAGGAAGCAATAACAATTATTTAGCCTGTAGTTTTTGCCAAATGTTCTTATCCCATGAGGTAATGCCTTTATCTGATTCCCCATAATTCATGTGTTGAAAACTTAGCCCCCAATGTAACTGTTTTAGGAGGATAGGAGGTGCTTAGGTCATGAGGGCTCTGCTCTCATGAGTGGATTAATGCCCCTATAAAAAAGGTGTGGAAATGAGTTCACTGTCTTCTGCCATATAGGGACACAGCATTTGTTTCCTTTTGCCCTCTAGCCTTCCACCATATGAGGATGCACAAGAAGGCCCTCACAAGATGCCAGCACCTGCAAACTTCCTAGCTCCAGAACCATTAGAAATACATTTCTATTCATCATAAGCTAGGGTCCAGTTTTGGTGGCTTATGTCTTTAATCCCAGCACTTTGAGAGGCTGAGGCAGGATTATCCCTTGAAGCCAGGAGTTTGATACAGTCTGAGCAGCATAGAGAGGCCTCATCTCTACAATATATATATATATAACGATAAAAATAAATTAACCAGGAACCTGTAGCCCTACCTACATGGAGTACCATCATCCTTTGTTCAGTCCAACAGGGATCGAGGTCAGTGACATAGGAGTTCAAGGCTGCAATGAGCTATGCTCACACTGCTGCGTTCCAGCTTGGGTATATGTTAGAGAGAGAGATATATATATAAAATCTCTCTCTATATATAATATATAATAGCTCTTGCATAATATATATCTATTTATAATATATACTCTCTATTGTAATATATAATATATATAATCTCTATGTATAATGTATAATACATATACATATAACAAATATATTATACATAGATATTTTATATATATATAATACAGTCTGTAGTATTCTGCTATATAACATATATATTATACATAGATATATATATATATATATAATACAGTCTGTAGTATTCTGCTATAGTAGCATAAAATGGACTAAAACAGACAGGTACTATAATAATAGTTGTTATATATATATATAAAAACATGGAAACAAACTTTAAGCAATTGCATCATTTGCAATACTGGGCATCTGTTGCATTTTCCTTTCTAACACTCCTCAACTCACACTTCTTTCCTTAGGATAATAACAACATTTTGATTTTCCCTGGGGGAATGAAACCAACAGCATTCTGTGTGGCTTAGGGGAAGATGGTGCCACCTGTCTTTAGCATTAGGCCTGTAACCCAGGCCTGACTTAGTCAGCATTAATACAACACAGGCTACAGTGATTGGTGTAGGGGTGGGTACATGACTAAATTCTAGGGGTACTTTCAAGCTGCCATAAACAAATGAAATACATTTTTTTCTGCTGAGACTGCTCACAGTGAAGATGATGTACACAGAAGAAAACACAAGAAACAGAGACCAATTGCTGATCACATCCTTTCAGCCCTTGGATGTAGTCATGCCCAAAGCATTTTTATCCGCAACCTCCCCTTTAACTGTGTCCACATATTTTCTTAAGCTGTTTGAATTGGACTTCTGCCTCTTTCTTGCATACAAGATTGTCCTGACTAATAGATTCACTCAAGGCAAGAAGTTAGTCAGTGAGAATTGGGATTTGAAGTGAGGTACTGTTTTCAAGTGACTATATACATCAGAAACCATACATGTCACAGCTTTCTTACCAAAGCTTCTTTGCTGAAATTTCAACCTGCAGGTCCTGAGTTAGGAAATTATCTTGCCAATTTGCATGGGCCAAGAGGAGAGCTAAATGTTAAGAAATGTGTTTAGTTTTCTATTCCCCTGGGTTGACTCTGGATTATAATTAATTGTAGCTTTGGGCTAATTTGTTGCCTAATATTCTTGTATAAAACTGTAAGTGCCATATTAGATTTAACTAGGAGAAGCAGGGGGTTGTCTTCCGGCAAGCCAGAGTTGTAGGAATGATGCAAATGAGCAGTCACATAAGAATGCCATGTTTGTCTTCCTCATTGCTGCTTTCCCTGCAGGGTAACTCTTACTAATTTAGTAATTAGTGGTAGGAAGCTTGAAAATCTGCAAGCTAATTTACACATAAGCAAACTATGTTTAAAATGACATTAACTCACTGTGTTTTGGTATGTGGCCTGACACACAGCCGTTTCATCCCCTTGGCTATATCCCCTGTGGTGCTTTGAAATGGGAAATAATATTAGGGTCTAGCTTGGAAAAAGAGACACATAAAGGGGGAGGATGTCAAGACAGAAATAGTTCTCTTTGGTGCAGCTAAAATCCTAATGGGCTATATCACTGATTGTAGAAGGTATTAACAGTCAAGCACTAAACAGTAATGATGATATTTCATCTCAACTATTGAGTGTTTCAGGCACTGCTGTAAATACTCTCTCTATATTATCACATTTACTCCTTTAAAAAGCCCAATATTATCCCCATATTATGGATAAGAAAACAGTTGTTCAAGGAGCTTAACTAACTTGTCTAAGCTCACACATTTACCAAAAGCAGGGTCAAGATTCCTATGTAGGCCTAACATTTTAATTACATAGTGTGCTGGCTACTATAATACTAGACTTATGCAGAGAAATTTTTGATACGGGATGTCATCAACATTGGCAGTATAGTCAACCCTATTATAATAAAGCTTATTATTATCTCAAATCCTATAGGCAAGCAAACATCTTCATATCAATTTTTCAAAAACTCACTTTTCTATTTGTGTTCACAGCAAAGTCCTTTAAAGAGCTTCTTTCTCCGTAGCTTCAACCCCTCTTTTCTCCTTCACCTATTCCAATAGGACTTTTGTCCTAATAATAAAAGGGCTCTTATTAAGGTTATCAATGATCTTTAACTTGTCCTCTTCCTTATCCTTCCTGTCAACTTCGTTTGACATAGCAGATCCCTTTCTTCTTAAAGCTCTTTCTTCGCTTGGCTTCCAGGTATCACTCCCTCCTCTCCTGGCTCCTTCAAGGACTTATCAATTTCCTTTGCTGACTTTTTTCTTAAGTCTTAAGCATTAAGCATTGGAGTGCCACCCTGGGCTCGATCCTTAGACCTCTTCTCCTCCTCTTTTACACTCTGTTCCTTAACACCTGTCAGCTCAGTCCTTGACACGTGTTTCAAATCCAATTATTTCTCACATCTCCTGCCACATTCCTTGCCTCAGCCACCAGCTCTCTTGCCTGGACTCTTGCTGTAGCTCCTTCACTAATATTTCCTTTTTTCTTTATTCCCCTAAGATCCATTCCCCCCATAGTCGCTAGAGTGAGCTTCTTAAGGTGCACATCAAATTGCAGGTTTTCTCATTAAGATTCTCCAATGCCTTTCCATTGCACATAGAATTCAATCCAAACTCCATTTCATGGTGAACAAGGGTTATTTTAGATTTGCACATCTTTCTCTCTCTTATATTATTTTTCATGGCTGTCGCCTTTGCTTCCTGCATTATTGCCATACTGGCCTTATTTGCTCGTCCTCAAATACTACATGTTTATTTTCAAACCATGCTCTTTTGCACAGCTAGTTCCTACATTCAAGTTCTGTGTCCTTAGGTTTTCACATAGCAGAAAGTTTGTTATCATTCAGATCTGTTCTTAAATGTCACTTCTTCAGAGACTGTCCCTGTAACCCAATTAAAGATCTTCCAGCTTTCACCTAAACTCTCTAATTTCTTACCCTGCTTGATTTTCTTTATTGCAATGCTTCTATCCAAAATTGTATACATATTTACTTGTTAATTGTCTGTTTTCTCCCCTGGAACTCTATCGTCTTCTCCTCTGTGAGAGCAAGAACTTTGCTATTCACTACAGTTTCTTCAGAGCATAGAATGATAGTAAAAATTTAAATAATTATTAAAATTAAGAAATGAATACTTTTTAATAAAAAAAATTTATATGTGTTTCATAATCAGGACTTCCTCCAATCCAGAATTCCCTGCTTATCTCATCTATTGTAGATTTCTCTCCCTTCTGAACCACGACATTTTCATCAACCTTCCTAGACTATACTTTCATTTCTTTCCTCCATTAATAGTACATATTATAGTGCAGGGATAAATGAATGATGGATGAAGCAAACATTTTATGCCATAAATAAATATTCATTAACTTCTTAAGGTAACTCAGGAGGAGGGGAGGACAAAGAAGGCAGAATAAAAGGAAATATACCCTGGGTTAAATTTGATCATTTTGTGAATTTCTCAATTTGATTTAAAGGTTTTCAGGGCTGTTAAATGTTTTTTATTAGGAAATTTGTAACATTATGTGATTACATGATAAGTAGTGAAAGATAATTCTGTTATTAACAAGGAGTGTGGCTATGGAAAGAAAGAAATTATAGGCAGGGAATACAGGTTGTAAATTATTGTCACAAAAAGAGGTCTAACCCCAGAACTAAAACATAGCTGAACAGAATGAAAATGGAAAATGAAGATTAAGTCAAGCCATCTTAGGGGTAAATTGTGCAGGACTTTGTGAATAACTGGATATGTGTACTATGAATAGAAGACATTGAAGGAAGCTCTGGGTTTCCAACCTAGAAATTTGATTCCTGTTAATCTAGACAGAAGACACATAAGAGGTTATGGAGGGGAGTCTTTTTGGTACAGAAATTCAGCCTGACTTAGTTTATATACACATAGGGGAAATTGTTTCAAGGACACTGAATTTGGTGGGCAGAATAATCGTTCTCCAAAAATGTCCCTGTCCTCATTCCCAGAACTTATGGATATATTCCCTGGCAAAAGAGACTTTGCAGATGTGATTATAGGTAAGGACCTTGACATGAGATTATCTGGGTGGGCCCAACCTAATCACATGAGTCCTTGAAAGCAAAAACCTTTCTCAGCTGAGGTTAGAAAGAAGGGTAACATTGCTAGTTTTGAGGATGGAGGAAATGGCCACTAGCCACAGAAAACATAGAGCCTCTAGAATAGAGGGAGGGATTAGATTCTTTTCTAAAGCCCACAAAAAGGAATGCAGCCCTGCAGATACCTTGATTTTTGCCCAGTGAGATCTTGTCAGATTTCCAATGTGGAGAATTTCTTTAGGAAGCCCAAATATAGGAAAGAGATTGGACCTCAAGAATAGCTACAGTCTAGACTTAAAACAGGATTATTTTTTCACACACCTCTATGAATGTGTACTTCATCCTTTTTCCTCCGGAGATGGAATTTCTCTACTTTGTCAATTGTTAACTATGAACAATGGCTGCTGACCGTTCAGCAGCCTGTGTGTTTTATCTATTAGATTAATTTCCTATTTACCTATTAGATCAATTAACCAAGGAGAGACTGCTTCTCTTTCTTGACCTTATTTCTAAAACTTTTGTACAAGAACTATAATTGCCTTTGCTTTGAGCAATCAGCTGTGGTCAGGAGGAGAGGTTATTAGAGATAACAGGACAGCACCCAAAGATGGAGATTTTTCTCCATGTGGATGGAGAAAAATTTGGGAGAGTCTGTCTCAAGAAGAAGAAGAGAAATGAGAACTGAACATAGCAGCAATGAAGTAACATGGAAGGTCACAGAGTTAATGATTGAAATTGCTTCTTTTTGCATACATGAAATCAGTCAGTCCATAGGTACTTATGAAATGTCTGCTTTGTGCCAAGCACTGAGATAGTCACTATGTATGTTGTTAAGCATAACCAGCAATATCAATGTCTACACTAAGCTTATATTGATACTGGAAAAGGCAGTGATTTAACTGGTGTTTACCAAAATAAGGAAGTAATTATAACTGTGTAAATGGCTGTGAAGAAATGCAAGTTTTAAAAGATATATCTAATTGGGGTGGGAGGGTGACTCAGAGAAATTAAACCTACCTCATATAATGTATGCATTAGGGAACCATTTAAGTTGAGATCTAAGGATAAGAAGGAGTTGACCAGACAAAAAAAATGGGGGGTTTCAGGCAGAGGAAACAGCTTATGTGATGTTATAAAGATAGGAAGAAATGTGCAGGTTTTTTGTTGTTGTTGCTGGCTTTTTTTTTTTTTTTTTTTGGATGGAGTCTCACTCTGTCTCCAGGCTGGAGTGCAGTGGCGCAATCTCGGCTCACTGAAACCTCTCCTTCCCAGGTTCAGGTGATTACCCTGCCTCAGCCTCCTGAGTCACTGGGACTACAGGCACCTGCCACCATGCCCGGCTAATTTTTTTGTATTTTTAGTAGAGACAGGGTTTCACCATGTTGGCCAGGATGGTCTTGATCTCTTGACCTTGAGATCCACCCGCCTTGCCCTGAAACGTGCAGTTTTATAGAAACTAAATGACAGTCAGTGTAGCTGATATTGAAGCAATGAGGACTCAGTAGTGTCAGAGGTTACCAGCAAGATAAGGGCCAGGACATGTCCTTATCAGGTTGTAATGAATCAGATTAAAATTTGGGGTTTTATTAGAAGGCAACATTTTAAGTAGAGCTTGCCTCACTCCTTACATCCAGATACTGATTGTGATGGTTAATATTGAGTGCCAATTTGATTGGATTGAAGGATGCAAAATATTGTTCCTTGGTGTGTCTGTGAGGGTGTTGCTAAAGGAGATCAACATTTGAGTCAGTGGACTGGGAGAGGCTGACCCACCCTCAATCTGGGTGGGCACCATCTAATTAACACAGCTAGGATAAAAGCAGGCAGAGTAACGTGGGAGGACTAGACTGGCTGAGTCTTCTGGTCTTCGTCTTTCTCATGTGCTGGATGCTTCCTGCCCTCAAACATTGGACTTCAAGTTCTTCATCTTTTGGAGTCTTGGACTTACTTCAGTGATTTGCTAGGGGCTCTCAGGCCTTTGGGCACAGACTGAAGGCTGCACTGTTGGCTTCCCTACTTTTGAGGTTTTGGGATTTGGACTGGCTTCCTTGCTGCTCAGTTTGCAGATGACCTATTGCGGAACTTCACCTTGTGATCGTGTGTGTCAATACTCCTTAATAAACTCTGCTTCATCTATCATATTAGTTCTGTCCCTCTCATGAACCCTAACTAATATACTGAGCCTCATCTCTAAACTTCAGAATCAATATTTCTTGGGATGGACACTTAGGAATATTCATTTTAGCATTATCCCCTCATAATTCTTATACATCTCAAACTGTAATAACTACTCTTTAAAAATAAATGAGAATAATAATCTTTTGTTATAATATTGTTTTTAGAGAACTCAAAGTGAATTTCATGTATCTATTAAGAACTGACATGAGAAGAATAGTGAGGTATATTTTTCTGAAATGCAAAAGATCAAGAGTTATTGAAGTTATAAAATCATCAGACTTCACTGATGCTTACATCAGCATATCCTATGTTTTAATTAACCTGTTGACCTCTATCACAATATCAAAATGAAGAATGCATGTAATGGAATATACTGTATATGTGTGTTTCTAGCCTCAGTCCCCAGGAAATACTTGATACTTTGTTTTTATTTATTTTAAAATATAAAAACGACTTTTATACTGGGGAGAAGATGGGGTGTGTGGATTCACTTGTGCTTTGTTGCTCAATGAATTGCCTGTTTGTACTTCTCTAATTTTTATATAGTGCAAATTGATGTGATCTGAACAACTGATGGTTTTCTATTTGCCAGTCCCAGTTACATTAGCATTCAACTAAAATAAAGACATGCAGAGTGTCTACTGATCACAAAGCACTTATTATCTTAGATGTTAAAAATATTACATGGACTTTAGAATGTGTACAATATCTCTTGCATTTTCATTTATCCATAAATAGAGGAAATGGGCATTGTAAAAACTCTCTGAACAATTGCCTGGAATCACTGAACATTCTCTGCTGAACTTCTTTCCTACTACTGTTGAGCTAAATTTAAAGGTGACCCTGCAATACACTGCACCTCATCATGTGCAAGGCAGTAGTTGCTGAAGTTCAAGCATAAACAAGAGGAGCCAGGTTTGTTCAGGTGCATAAATCTGGGTGCAGGGCTAGAAAGCACAGAGAACTCCTTACCAACCATAAAAGCTAGAAGATGATTTGTAATATGTGAAGATTTCTGGAAAGTCATCAGCACTTATATCTCAATCCCTGTTGAAAGTAAAGGCCTGATTCTTCCCTGAAAAAAAAAATTGAATCCAGTGGGGAACTCAATCTTAGTAAACTACAATAAAAACCAGACACAGATAAATCACAAGTTAGCAACCTGGTAAAAGAAAGAGCATGTCCTTCTTTTCTGAATGTAATATTATTTACTTCACTTCTATTGTTCCTTGACACATAATAACCAGCATTACATTTTTCTTTAAAAAATGTGGAAGAAACAAACAAGAAAATGTAAAACTTGAAGAAAGAAAAATGTCAAGAGAACCGACAGAGAAATAATTTAGCTAATGATGATTACAGACAGGGATTTTAACATAACGATGACAATTACATTAATAAATATAGTGGATAAAGTAGACAAAATCTGCAAACAAATCAATAATTTTACAAGAGTTATATGCTCTAAAAAAGATGCCAAATTAAAATGACAAAATAAATACTTGATAGGAAAAATGAAGAATTAATCTGATAATCTTGACAGATGATGGGACATAGTAGAAAAAATGTCAGTAAGCTTAAAGAAAAAAAATCAGTAAGCTTAAAGCTAAACAGAAGCACAAAGAGAAAAAATATGTGAACAAAAAAAGAATGATGCCAGGGAGGCAACACCAGCCAACTAACATACATATAATAGAATACTATCAAGAGAGGAGAGAGAAAATGGTGCAAAAAAAGTACTTAAAAACACAGCCACAACATATCTTTCAAATTGATAAAATAATAATAATAATTATCTTAGGGCTCAACAAACATCAGGTAGACCAAATACAAAAGCAATCAAATAATCAACCTATATCTAGACACAATATAATGGAAATGCTTAAAACTAAGTATAAAAAACAATATATATTTTTAAAGCCATTTAAGGAAGAAACATTACATATGGGAGGACAGTGATAAGAATTATGGCTGACTTTTCATCAGTAAAATAAAGGTCTGAGGTTAATGGAATGATATTTTAAAAGGATAAAAAACAAATAGACATGTCTATCTAAAAAAAGATAAATAAAACTGAGATAATTCATCTCCAATAGTCCTGTATTACATAAAATGCTGAAATAAAATTCATTAGGCTGAAGGGTTGATACTAAATAGAATCTTGGATCTGCAAGAAGGAATAAGAAATACTAATGAGGAAAAATTTAGAAGTAACTAAATTAATTTTTCTCTAATTTTAGTATACTAGTTTAAAACATTTATTCCAATTATTATTGACTAATTCAAACAAAATTTATAAAAGTATACCATAGAAATTTTAGTGTACGTAAAAGTAAAATGTATGACAACAGAGCTTAAAGGGTAGGAGGTAGATAAATAGAACTATTACATATTGTTATAAGATTCATACAATTTTCATTAAGTAGAAAAATGTCATATGAATATAGACTGATATAAATTAAAGATGCATATTATCATCTCTAGAGTAACTGCTAAAAATATGTAGTGAAAAACCAATAAAAATATGAGTTTTTATAAAAAATACACAATTCACACAAAAGAAGGTAAAGAAAGAAGAAACAGAGAGTTGGGAAAATAGAAAAGAAGTTCCAAAGTTCTCTGCTTAAGCCCAGCCACATCAAACTTATACTAATTATAAATGATCTAAATTTCCTGTTGAAGTGGTTGTTACCAACATGTGCAACAGATCTTCAGTTCATAACAATATATTGTGTACTTGAAAATTGCTAAGAGATTTTGCATTCTAATCACACAAAAATGATAAATATACAATGTAATGCACATGTTAATTTGCTTGATGTAGCCATTTAGGCTTTTTTATCAATTAAAAAAAGAATGCAACTTTAAGCAAAATAAAATACAGAGGTTAAGAATAGGTGAGAAAGTAAGACCAAGCTATATGCTTTTGAAAGGAGCATATATTTTATATAAAGACACAGAGAGTTTGAATGGAAAAGAGTGGGAAAAGAGGCCAAACAAACATTAATCACAAGAAATGTGGTCTGGCTATTCTAATGTATAATTTAAAAAAGGATTACCATAAGAAGGAAACTTTATAATGATACATGGGTCTTTTTTATCAAGAAGATGTGTGAATTCTAAATAGTTTTGCATGTAATCTGAAGAAAAACTTGACAGAAATAAAGGGAGAACTATAGAAACCCATAATCATATTAAATATTTTATCCATGTTTTTAAATAATTGATCCACTTGTATATTAACAAATCAATATAGAATAAAATATTTTTTAAACACTATCAACTAATTTGATCTTTTTAACGTATTTAAACACTGCATTCCAGAACTGTAGAATTCACGTTTTATTTTCAAATGTACATTCAAGACGGGTTATATGATGGGCCACAAATTAAATTTCAGCAAATTGCAAATGATTTAAATAATAAAGATTATGTTTCAGGCCATAAAAATAATAAATTCAAAATCAATTCTAGTAAGATAGAAAATTCTCAATTATTTGAAAATTCGAGAAGATCCTTGAAATAACACATGAATCACAAGACAAATCATAGGGAAAATAGAAAATATTTTAAACTGAAAAATAAAACACAACATATCAAAATATATTTGATATTATTTAAGAAACACGTGTTACTTTAAATGCTTATATTCTACAAATACTGAAGTATAAGGGGTATTATGAACAACTTCATGTGAATAATTGACAACTAGGATGAAAGAGACAAATTTTTGACAAATACGCTTAACAAAACTGATGCAAGATGATACAGAAAAGTTTTTCTTTATTTTGTACAGTAATTCAATTCAAAAACAACAAAAACGAAAACAGTGACAATAACAAAATTTCCTACTATCCTTAGAAACGTGTTAACCAATGAAATGCAGCAATATATTAAAAGTATCATGACCAAATGGGATTTTTGTCAGGAACACAGAGTTTTTGTTTGTTCTATAATTTAAAAAGGAATGCATGCAATTTATCACATTAACATAAAGAAAGATAAAATCATATGCACATCTGAATAGATGCAGGTAAAACATTTGACAAAATCTAATACCAATTCATGTTAAAAATATCTAGCAAACTAAAATATACCAAAAAGGAAATTTTCTCAATAAAATAAAGGATATCTTTGAAAAAAATCCAATTATCATTATACTTAATGACAAAATTTGAATGATTTTTCTCTAAGACTTTGGACAAAGCAAGAATATAAAATCTGATAGTTGTTATGCAATATTGCCTGGAAGTCTTAGTGTAAAAAGATAAGCAAAATAAATCAAAGTTATAAAGGTTAGAGAAGAAAAACAAACCTCTCATTATTCCCAGCTGACATGATTGTGCACATAGAAACTCCTATGGAATGTACATAAAAATTCTAGCGCTGATAATAGTGACTTTAGCAGTCATTAATGCAGAGTTAATATATAGAAATTCAAAATACTAACATTGAACAATTGGAAAATGAATAAAAGAAAACTTTTGTGATAAAATAAAAAACTATATAACTTTAAATACATATATGTACAAGACTATAATACATTATTGAGAGAAATTAAAACAGACAAATAATTAGAGAGATATACTCTGCTCATAGGTTGAAAGACTCTATGCTGCTAAAACGATAATTGTTCCCAAATTGAACTATGGTATCAATTTAATCCCAATCCAAATTCCAGCAAGCTTTATATTTAGAAATTGATCAGCTGACTGTAAGATGTATATAGGAATAAGAAGTATGTAGAATAGCCAACAGAATCTTACAGAAGATGAGAGGAGTTGGAGAACTTATACTACCTGATTTCAAGACTTATAAAACTGTCAATTAATGCAGCATGTTACTGGCATAAAGAAAGGCAGATAGATTAAAGTAACAGAAAGAGGATGACATATATGTAGTTGATTTTTAGTTTTGAAGATATCACTCATTTATTTTATTTTATTTTATTTGGAATTTAATTATTTTGAAGTTGACAAATAAAAATTGTTTTCACCACAAATATTTATGGGTATTTTTTCACCAAGGTGCCAAGTCAATTCAATGTGGTCTGAGAAGTTCTTTAACAGAAGAAATTTTAAAAAGGTAACACCATAATGTAAAACAGGAGTGCAGGGAAAAAAGAACAAATTGTTGAGCTCTACCTCACCCCACACACACAAATTAATTTTAGGTGGATCATAGATATAAACATAAAATCTATAATACAAATCTACTTAGAACAAAGCAAATGGAGAATATCTTTGTGATGTCAGTGTAAAGGGTTTCTGTGACAGTGAGAGGTGAAGCTGGCTGGGCTTCTGGGTCAGGTAGGGGACTTGGAGAACTTTTCTGTCTAGTTAAAAGATTGTAAATGCACCAATCAGCACTCTGTGTCTAGCTAAAGGTTTGTAAATGCACCAATCAGCACTCTGTAAAACGGACCAATCAGCACTCTGTAAAATGGACCAATCAGCTCTCTGTAAAATGGACCAATCAGCAGGATGTGGGTGGGGCCAAATAAGGGAATAAAAGCAGGCCACCCACATCAGCAGCGGCAAGCCACTCAGGTCCCTTTCCACGCGGCGGAAGGTTGTTCTTTTGCTGTTTGCGATAAATCTTGCTGCTGATCAGTCTTTGTGTTACCTTTAAGAGCTGTAACACTCACTGCAAAGGCCTGCGGCTTCACTCCTGAAGTCAGCAAGACTGTGATCCCACCAGAAGGAAGAAAGTCCGGACACATCTGAATATCTGAAGGAAAAAACTCTGGACACACCATCTTTAAGAATTCTAACACTCACTGTGAGGGTCCACGGCTTCATTCTTGAAGTCAGCCAGACCAAGAACGCACCAGAAGGAACCAATTCTGGACCCAACAGGACAACATTCACTAACCACAAAATATAAAATTGCTAAGTTGAGCATAATTAAAAAATGTTTGCTGGCAAACTATCAGAAGGACAAAAAACCAAACACCGCATATTCTCACTCACAGGTGGGAAATAAACAGTGAGAACACATGGACACAGGAAGGGGAACATCACACTCCGGGGACTGTTGTGGGGTGGGGGGAGGGGGGGAAGGATAGCATTAGGAGATATACCTAATGCTAAATGACGAGTTAATGGGTGCAGCACACCAACATGACACGTGTATACATATGTAACAAACCTGCACGTTGCGCCCATGTACCCTAAAACTTAAGGTATATTTAAAAAAAAATTGTAAATGGGAGTGGGAAAGAATATTAAAAATACATGAATTCATCAGAAGACTTATGTTAGAATGTAGGCAGAACGCTTACAAATCAACAATGAAATGACAAAAAATAAAAACTGGAAATTTGAAACATGTACTTAACAAAAGAATTTATGTGAATGACCAATAAGTACATGAAAAAGTGTTCAAAATCATTAGTCATCAGTGAGTTTTAATTAAAGCCCCAATTTTTTCTCAAGGCTCTTGAGGAGAGAAAAAAACTAGGCTCCTTAATATGACTTATAATGTCCTTGGCTATCTCTCTAAGTTGATGTCATGCTGCAGTTTCCAAGACTTCTTTAAGGTCTTCAAATCTGTGCACATACTCTTGCCTCAGCCTGACCCAATGCTAATTCCCTCCCCTGCCTTATTTGCATATGTTTATCTGGTGCCTTCTCATTCTTCAGGTCACTGTTTAAAGGTAGCCCCTTCAGATCTTCATAAAATCCATCCTAAATCAGTCTATCTTGTGTAGCCCCTCTTCACCCTATGTTACAGATTATCTCATAGTCAATTGTTTTTCTTTTATAGCACTTATAATTACATATAATAATTTTATTTATATGTTTACTTCCTCCCTCACAACATAATTTTATGAGCAGAGATTCTGTGTTTTTGATAGCCCTTGTATTAGAGTGCCTCACAAAATATGTGGTGCTAGCAGGCACTCTGAAATAGTTGTTAATTGAATGAATTAATGAATAAATAAGATGTAAGAGGTTGATAAAACTAAGCAATTTAGGACATCTGTGAATTCTGGACATCTCTGTGGTTTCTGTTGTATTTCTGCAAAACTGTATCAGTCAAAATAGCAATCTTCACAAATAGAGTTTTTGCTTTAGTTTACTAAGCTGCTACCTAGCAGTCTCTACTGTATCAAGCAGGTACCTTCCCTAGGGATTACTGGTCTTCACACCAGATGCTCAAGCATGAAAAGTGCCTCTTCTGTACTAAGCCAGGTGGTTTCTGATGAAAGCAGTCACATTTTTGAAGGTCTTCCAGGAAATCCGAAATGTTGCAAATGTTTTGTTGATAAGGACTTTTAGAGAGATGAATATATGTCATTGACATGGTCTGAATCAAGCTATTGAAGCTCAATCCCTTCACTTGAGTCTCAGCCGAATACTTCGTTAAATGGGAGAAACTGTGCCAGCAAAACAGAGCCCAGGTCAACAGCCAGAACAAGCATTTGTGCTATTTGATTTCTAGGTATAATAATTCTTGCATTTTATGAATGTAGTGACTATGTCTCACTTTGAAACAAAAATGTTATGTGATTGTGGTTCAACTTTGATTCAGTTGAAGCCAACATTTGAATTTTTATTAAGCTGTCACTCTGAAAAAAAAAGTGTGTGTGTGTGTGTGTGTGTGTAAGAGAGAGAGACTAAAGTATTCCCTTCCCACTTCTCTTTTCTCACTATTTTTACATGGCATTAAACAAAGCAATGGCAGAAGCCCTACTGAAGACTGAGGTCAGAAGCCATCTGCATAGAAGCACTTCCTTTCTTTAGCGCAAAATAATATAGACGAATGCTCCCACAAGCAGTAATGAAGGTTAAATATCTTTGACCATCAAACATTTGTGCTACAGCCAACTCAGGAAGCACAAGTACACAAAGTAACAAATTAGGTATTCCAGACATTTACCTCATTTCTCAGGCAATTTCTGCCACCTAGTCATTTCAGGGCTGCAGAAGTGTGAGTTGATGCTTCTTTGCCAAATTACCTTGTTTAAATCTCCATAAAACATTGCCACCATCAGCAGCTAGAAACTTTGGAAGGCAATTTAGGGTTGATATAATTTGCAAGTAATTTATCACTGTAAGTAGATGGTTTTATTAAACAGCTGCAGGGTACCTGTTTAAAAAGAAAAGGAGAGAGAAAGGTTACATTACCTCTGTCTGTCCTCCCTCCTGTCTTTTCTTGCTTCCATTCCTTTTGTTTTCTTTTTATGATTTAATTATTTAAACTTCCCCTATGTTGGGGGACATTGAAGCAGATAACACCCTAGCAAGTATGGACTAAGAAGATCCATGAGTGTTTAATGACCCTCCCTTCTCATGAAAGCAGGCAGATTTCTGAAAAGAAAAGGCCTAACAAAAGCTGGCCTAAATAGAGAAAACCTTGTGGGCTTTGAGTTGGGGTCAGAAAAAAACAGAAGCAGGAAGAAACTCCAAGACAGAATGAGCACATTGGCCAAGGCCTGGGAGCAGGATTGAGGAGGTAGCGAGGAGAATCTGTAGTAGAATTTTGCTTATTATTTTTGCTTAATACTATACATATTAAATATCTATATGTGTACAGTTGACCCTTGAACAACACAGGTTTGAAATGCACGGTTCCACTTTTGAGCAGCTTTTCTTCTACCTCTGCCACCCTTGGGAACACAGCAAGACCACAACTTCCTCTTCCTCCTCCTCCTCCGCCTACTCTATGTCAAGATGACAAGGATGAAGATCTTCATAATCTACTTTCACTTAATAAATAGTAAATATATTTTCTCTTCTTTATGATTTTCTTAATAGCATTTTCTTTTCACTGGTTTCCTTTTCTGTCAAGAATCCAGTATATAATACATATAATATAAAAAGTATGTGCTAATCCTGTATTTATGTTATCTGGTCAGTGGTAGGCTACTAGTAGTTATGTTTTTGAGGAGTGAGAAATTGCTGTATTTTCAACTCTGTGAGGGGGCTCATTAGGTTTGCTGAACCCCTGTGCTGTTGAAAGGTCAACTATATATTAAATTGGAGATTTAAAATGTCTGTATTTTAATTGTGAATGAATCTACATGCCATGTATCCAAGTTATTCAAAATTCCCAAGGCTAACATTTGTTCACTCATTCATTCAACAAAATCATCTATTTTGGTCAGTGTGTTAAAATAAGTGATACAAAAAAAAAAGATTGAATCAAATTTTGTAATAGGTCAACCTACTGGAATTTAGTGTTTCATTGGAATTTAGTGTTATAGAGTAATTGCTGACTGGAAGCTCTATGTGGAATAGATGTTGTGAGGCATCACCTTTGGTTGAGTAAAGTCAGGCCTTTGCATTATCATCTTTAATGAAAGGCTTTCAGGAGCAGCTAAAGCTTAAATAAGTACATGAGTTAGAGACCTTGAAATGATCAGCATCTATTGCTTGCATGTTCTCCACACTTCACATTAATTCAAGGTGTGTCTGATATGGTCGTATGCCTGTATTGCATAGAAACATGTCTGTGTCCTAGATAATTACTTGAACTAAAAATGCAAAAATGAATAAACCAGAAAGGACATCCACACCAAAAACCCATCTGTACATCACCATCATCAAAGACCAAAAGTAGATAAAACCACAAAGATGGGGAAAAAACAGAACAGAAGGAGCCGATGCGATCAACTGGAAGAAAGGGTATCAGCAATGGAAGATGAAATGAATGAAATGAAGCGAGAAGGGAAGTTTAGAGAAAAAAGAATAAAAAGAAATGAGCAAAGCCTCCAAGAAATATGGGACTATGTGAAAAGACCAAATCTACATCTGATTGGTGTACCTGAAAGTGATGGGGAGAATGGAACCAAGTTGGAAAACACTCTGCAGGATATTATCCAGGAGAACTTCCCCAAATCTAGCAAGGCAGGCCAACGTTCAGATTCAGGAAATACAGAGAACGCCACAAAGATACTCCTCGAGAAGAGCAACTCCAAGACACATAATTGTCAGATTCACCAAAGTTGAAATGAAGGAAAAAATGTTAAGGGCAGCCAGAGACAAAGGTCGGGTTACCCTCAAAGGGAAGCCCATCAGACTAACAGCGGATCTCTCGGCAGAAACCCTACAAGCCAGAAGAGAGTGGGGGCCAATATTCAACATTCTTAAAGAAAAGAATTTTCAACCCAGAATTTCATATCCAGCCAAACTAAGCTTCATAAGTGAAGGAGAAATAAAATACTTTATAGACAAGCAAATGCTGAGAGATTTTGTCACCACCAGGCCTGCCCTAAAAGAGCTCCTGAAGGAAGCGCTAAACATGGAAAGGAACAACCGGTACCAGCCGCTGCAAAATCATGCCAAAATGTAAAGACCATTGAGACTAGGAAGAAACTGCATCAACTAACGAGCAAAATCACCAGCTAACATCATAATGACAGGATCAAATTCACACATAACAATATTAACTTTAAATATAAATGGACTAAATTCTCCAATTAAAAGACACAGACTGGCAAGTTGGATAAAGAGTCAAGACCCATCAGTGTGCTGTATTCAGGAAACCCATCTCACGTGCAGAGACACACATAGGCTCAAAATAAAAGGATGGAGGAAGATCTACCAAGCCAATGGAAAACAAAAAAAGGCAGGGGTTGCAATCCTAGTCTCTGATAAAACAGACTTTAAACCAACAAAGATCAAAAGAGACAAAGAAGGCCATTACATAATGGTAAAGGGATCAATTCAACAAGAGGAGCTAACTATCCTAAATATTTATGCACCCAATACAGGAGCACCCAGATTCATAAAGCAAGTCCTGAGTGACCTACAAAGAGACTTAGACTCCCACACATTAATAATGGGAGACTTTAACACCCCACTGTCAACATTAGACAGATCAACGAGACAGAAAGTCAACAAGGATACCCAGGAATTGAACTCAGCTCTGCACCAAGCGGACCTAATAGACATCTACAGAACTCTCCACCCCAAATCAACAAAATATACATTTTTTTCAGCACCACACCACACCTATTCCAAAATTGACCACATACTTGGAAGTAAAGCTCTCCTCAGCAAATGTAAAAGAACAGAAATTATAACAAACTATCTCTCAGACCACAGTGCAATCAAACTAGAACTCAGGATTAAGAATCTCACTCAAAGCCGCTCAACTACATGGAAACTGAACAACCTGCTCCTGAATGACTACTGGGTACATAACGAAATGAAGGCAGAAATAAAGATGTTCTTTGAAACCAACGAGAACAAAGACACAACATACCAGAATCTCTGGGACACATTCAAAGCAGTGTGTAGAGGGAAATTTATAGCACTAAATGCCTACAAGAGAAAGCAGGAAAGATCCAAAATTGACACCCTAACATCACAATTAAAAGAACTAGAAAAGCAAGAGCAAACACATTCAAAAGCTAGCAGAAGGCAAGAAATAACTAAAATCAGAGCAGAACTGAAGGAAATAGAGACACAAAAAACCCTTCAAAAAATCAATGAATCCAGGAGCTGGTTTTTTGAAAGGATCAACAAAATTGATAGACCGCTAGCAAGACTAATAAAGAAAAAAAGAGAGAAGAATCAAATAGACACAATAAAAAATGATAAAGGGGATATCACCACCGATCCCACAGAAATACAAACTACCATTAGAGAATACTACAAACACCTCTACGCAAATAAACTAGAAAATCTAGAAGAAATGGATACATTCCTCGACACATACACTCTCCCAAGACTAAACCAGGAAGAAGTTGAATCTCTGAATAGACCAATAACAGGCTCTGAAATTGTGGCAATAATCAACAGTTTACCAACCAAAAAGAGTCCAGGACCAGATGGATTCACAGCCGAATTCTACCTGAGGTACAAGGAGGAACTGGTACCATTCCTTCTGAAACTATTCCAATCAATAGAAAAAGAGGGAATCCTCCCTAACTCATTTTATGAGGCCAGCATCATCCTGATACCAAAGCCTGACAGAGACACAACCAAAAAAGAGAATTTTAGACCAATATCCTTGATGAACATTGATGCAAAAATCCTCAATAAAATACTGGCAAACCGAATCCAGCAGCACATCAAAAAGCTTATCCACCATGATCAAGTGGGCTTCATCCCTGGGATGCAAGGCTGGTTCAATATACACAAATCAATAAATGTAGTCCAGCATATAAACAGAGCCAAAGACAAAAACCACATGATTATCTCAATAGATGCAGAAAAAGCCTTTGACAAAATTCAACAACACTTCATGCTAAAAACTCTCAATAAATTAGGTATTGATGGGACGTATTTCAAAATAATAAGAGCTATCTATGACAAACCCACAGCCAATATCATACTGAATGGGCAAAAACTGGAAGCATTCCCTTTGAAAACTGGCACAAGACAGGGATGCCCTCTCTCACCACTCCTATTCAACATAGTGTTGGAAGTTCTGGCCAGGGCAATTAGGCAGGAGAAGGAAATAAAGGGTATTCAATTAGGAAAAGAGGAAGTCAAATTGTCCCTGTTTGCAGACGACATGATTGTTTATCTAGAAAACCCCATCATCTCAGCCCAAAATCTCCTTAAGCTGATAAGCAACTTCAGCAAAGTCTCAGGATACAAAATCAATGTGCAAAAATCACAAGCATTCTTATACACCAACAACAGACAAACAGAGAGCCAAATCATGAGTGAACTCCCATTCACAATTGCTTCAAAGAGAATAAAATAGCTAGGAATCCAACTTACAAGGGATGTGAAGGACCTCTTCAAGGAGAACTACAAACCACTGCTCAAGGAAATAAAAGAGGACACAAACAAATGGAAGAACATTCCATGCTCATGGGTAGGAAGAATCAATATCATCAAAATGGCCATACTGCCCAAGGTAATTTACAGATTCAATGCCATCCCCATCAAGCTACCAATGACTTTCTTCACAGAATTGGAAAAAACTACTTTAAAGTTCATATGGAACCAAAAAAGAGCCCGCATCGCCAAGTCAATCCTAAGCCAAAAGAACAAAGCTGGAGGCATCACACTACCTGACTTCAAACTATACTACAAGGCTACAGTAACTAAAACAGCATGGTACTGGTACCAAAACAGAGATATAGATCAATGGAACAGAACAGAGCCCTCAGAAATAACGCCCCATATCTACAACTATCTGATCTTTGACAAACCTGAGAAAAACAAGCAATGGGGAAAGGATTCCCTATTTAATAAATGGTGCTGGGAAAACTGGCTAGCCATATGTAGAAAGCTGAAACTGGATCCCTTCCTTACACCTTATACAAAAATCAATTCAAGATGGATTAAAGATTTAAACGTTAGACCTAAAACCGTAAAAACCCTAGAAGAAAACCTAGGCATTACCATTCAGGACATAGGCGTGGGCAAGGACTTCATGTCCAAAACACCAAAAGCAATGGCAACAAAAGCCAAAATTGACAAATGGGATCTAATTAAACTAAAGAGCTTCTGCACAGCAAAAGAAACTACCATCAGAATGAACAGGCAACCTACAACATGGGAGAAAATTTTCGCAACCTACTCATCTGACAAAGGGCTAATATCCAGAATCTACAATGAACTCAAACAAATTTACAAGAAAAAAACAAACAACCCCATCAAAAAGTGGGCGAAGGACATGAACAGACACTTCTCAAAAGAAGACATTTATGCAGCCAAAAAACACATGAAAAAATGCTCATCATCACTGGCCATCAGAGAAATGCAAATCAAAACCACTATGAGATATCATCTCACACCAGTTAGAATGGCAATCATTAAAAAGTCAGGAAACAACAGGTGCTGGAGAGGATGTGGAGAAATAGGAACACTTTTACACTGTTGGTGGGACTGTAAACTAGTTCAACCATTGTGGAAGTCAGTGTGGCAATTCCTCAGGGATCTAGAACTAGAAATACCATTTGACCCAGCCATCCCATTACTGGGTATATACCCAAATGACTATAAATCATGCTGCTATAAAGACACATGCACATGTATGTTTATTGCGGCATTATTCACAATAGCAAAGACTTGGAACCAACCCAAATGTCCAACAATGATAGACTGGATTAAGAAAATGTGGCTCATATGCACCATGGAATACTATGCAGCCATAAAAAATGATGAGTTCATGTCCTTTTAGGGACATGGATGAAATTGGAAACCATCATTCTCAGTAAACTATCGCAAGAACAAAAAACCAAACACCGCATATTCTCACTCATAGGTGGGAATTGAACAATGAGATCACATGGACATAGGAAGGGGAATATCACACTCTAGGGACTGTGGTGGGGTGGGGGGAGGGGGGAGGGATAGCATTGGGAGATATACCTAATGCTAGATGATGCGTTAGTGGGTGCAGCGTGCCAGCATGGCACATGTATACATATGTAACTAACCTGCACAATGTGCACATGTACCCTAAAACTTAAAGTATAATAATAAAAAAAAAAGTCTTAGTATTTTTTTTCCAGTTTGTTTCTACATGGGATATGCCCTAGGCAGAATTTTTTTTTTAAGTTTTATTTTTCTTCAAATAAACTCTCACTAAGATTTGTTTGAAGTTTTTCTTTAAATGAAGAAACTTCATGCAACCGAATAGTCCAGGTTATAATACCACCAAAATAAAACAACACACAATCATATTATCATTCTCTAAGGAAACAATATACACGTGCTGACTGGGTAGTTTTTGAGTAAGCTATACCCATTGGAGAACACTGGAGATTCTAGGTATATTGATGCTCAAATTTGGCACTACCTCCCACTAATCACTAACCAGTCAAGTAGCTGCTTGCACTAATACATAGATCTTTGATTTAACCATCTATACTTCATCAGTATTGGTTATATGTGAGTTTCCGAGATCCTTAATGCCAAAAATGGATGAGCTAATTAATAAATGATTCAAAGTGCAAGGAAAAGAGCTTTCCCTTCACTGGCTTTCTGATGTCCTCTAGTGAAATTTGTGCCTACACAACAGGAGGTAGTTCCAGGGAGACAAAATTTCATAGCTGAAGCAACTGTGCTAGATAGGGGAGAAATCAGGGTATGCCAGGAAAATAAACAAAATTTAGGTCCTCAACTTTTGCCAGTCCTACCCTGTAGTAGCTCATGTGGGCTAACTCCACGGTTGCAGTGATGGAAGAAATTTTACCATAATATTGAGATTGTTCTTATGACAGCAAAGTGTGTTACTGTTTTTTGAGTGCCTATTTCATGTCCAGCATTGTGCTTCTATGATCTCTAGTAAAAAAAATACTTTACAAAGTACATGGAGTACTTTTTTTGTAAGTAGAGGAGGAAATTGAAGATTAAGAAGAATAAGCCAGTTGCCCTAGTACATATCCATATGGGAAGAGGCAGGGCCACCAATTGAACCCAGGTCTGTGGAGGGCTGATGCTTTGAGCTTTTTATTACCCACAGATGGTCACTTTAACAATTAAGTTTGAGCTAAAAAGCCAGATCAGTCAGGGATTATTGATCTCACCATCACTTTAAGTCATTATTTGTATGAGGTATCACTGGAACCTGGGAAGAGGGCAAGTAGGAAAATGTATTAGGTGGATTAACAAAATAGTTTCACCTTATCTGAGATGGTGCATTAACAGCTAGAAGAAAAGAGATTACACTACCTCAGAATAACCCACTCATTAAATATGGAGTATAATAGCAACTGCTGGTTAAGAAAAATCATCAAGAGAAGAATTCTGAGTAGGACTTCTGATCTTTAATTGTGATGAAACACAATAATACTTGTGATGTTTGATTATTTTTATTTTTACTCTGTGGTCAGTGGTCCCCATAGGAAACTTATGCATGAAAGTAAGATACTAGTTCGATATAAATAAATTTATCATTGATTTTTTTTGTGCATTTAAGTCTATGATAAGGCAGATAAACAGAAAAGCTGTACTCAGTAACAGAAATTAATATGAATTATAAAGCAACTAGGTAAGAACTAAATAAATAGACTGCTCATTTGAAAAGAAAAAAATGTTAGTCTGTTAAGTCCATATGGTGTAGTGACTAGCAACTTTGCTTTTGTGGTCAGATAGTTACAAGCCCTGACACTAGTCCCTCTAAGACTTTTCATAACAAACTTTTATAAGCCTCAGTCTTCTTGTAGCAAAATGAGGATAATCATACTATCAACTGATTAAATTGTAATGAGAATTTTAGGGATGTTGCATATACACAGATCCTGATCTGCCGTGAGTCTTGATATATTATAGTCATTTTAATGAATTTCATCATTATTATTACCACTGAAATAGCACATAGGAAGATGAGAACACCTTTGGAAAATTTTAAATTGAAGATTATTTTACTGGGTTTCAAACTTGCACCACGAAGCAGGTTCACAAATGGAAAGGCATTTTAATTATGAGTCTTCCAGAAAGATAGATTAACTTTATAAACAGCCCTGTAATCATAATTACTAATAACTCTCTTTATTCAAAAGCTTTGTCATATAATAAGTACTCACAAATACCAAGTAAATTGAGTTGATTTTCATTTGTATTATTTGTTCTTATATAAGGTAGGTAAGCATTTAAAATGCTTAGTACAAAACTCATTAATTGAAACTTACAATCCTTGTGAGAAATATGTAGACTTCTAGCATAAAACTAACACAGTGACAGTGATTATATTTTGTCAAATACTGGCACTACAATAAAGTCTAGTACTATTCAGAATAGATGCTTTGATAGATACTTTGATGTTGTTTTATGACTCAATATTCACTCCAAAATCAAGGAACACAGTCGATTAATATGCTACTAAAAATGCCAGGGCAGAAGTATACCAGATGTTTCTAACTTTTGCACAGAAGGCAGCCATTCCTTTATTTGTGAAGTGTCTATTGAGCATCTTCTATATGACAGGGACTGTTTCAGACACTGGGGATATAGAGATAGACAAGATATGCTTGGTTCTCACTCCTTTGGACTTGCATTTTAGTGGGCATAGACAATACAAAGTGAATGATATACAGAAAGTGATATGTGCTATAAAAATAAAATGGAAAAAGTAATAGAGAGTGACTGTGCTGGGAGCAGGGGCTAGCTCTTTTAGATTAAGAAGTAAGGAGAGCTCCTCTGTTTGTGTAATAGTTTATTAGTCTTGAAAGCATACCTAGATTATCTTGAACGCAGGAGAGAGGGTCTAAAAAACATCAAATTGAGAGTCACTTTCAGAGTTTAGAATGCCCTCATGTAGTTGGATTTACTTTATTCCAAAAGTCAATAGCCATAAAAATCATGAAGCTTCCTCTGTTTTGCATGGCTGTCTGTCTCCAACTCTTTGATTATTCTGGTACCTTAAAACCCTCTGGGAAAAATCCTTGATCTCCCAAATGTGATTTTATATTCCTTATGTGTGCTTCCCTAGCACATTCTGAATACCACCTTTCATAATACTGCACTGAAGAAGTTTATTTACTACCCACACATAAACCCATAACTCCCTTTTCTCTTGAAAGAAAATACTTGCCTTATTTAAATTTGTATATACAACACCAAGTATAGCTACAATTTTCCTACATGTTGGTGGTGAGAGATACATGAAACACGGGACATACAAATTGTATTATTAAGTGCCAGGACTCACTTATTAAGCACTTTTATACTCAGTACATGTTGTGTATTTTCTCACTGATATTTGACCTATTTAAAATTAACTATCTTGTTGAACCTCAGAAGTAACATTGCATTATTGAACCAGTTTTTTATGTCTTCAGAATCACAAATGGTCATAGACTCTCTGGATATAATATTTAAACATTAAGTATTCACTCCTGGAGTATAATTAATAGTCATTCATAGTTAATATATAGAAAATTCCCTACTTTGTGCCATATTCTTATCATCCTTCACTGTAATGATGCCAGTCAACTCAGTTCCTCCCGTAACTGATCTGATCCCTCATCCCTTACCCAATACATGTCTTCTTCTAGCCCTTAGTTCACATTTGAATTTTCCACTTAAAATACATCTTGCTTTCCATATTTTCAGTCCTTATAAAGAGTTGTAGATGGGAAGGTATGCACTACAATGGGAAGAGCTGGTACTGGAGATCTTGTAGGCTAAGAAAACAATTAGTGGAAAATTTATTTTAATTTTGAGAGACTGGCATAATGCCACTATTTCTTGTAAATTAGGATCAACCCTAAATGGAAATGCTAAATGAAATCTTTTAATATGTTCAGCTCAGTGGGCTTCAAAAATATTTTACTTCAAAGCTATTCATGAAGTTTTGGAATTTTGAACATTTTTGTTCAAAGCCCCAGTGCTGTGAAATTCGTGTGCAGATCCAAGAAAAAAGAGTCTCTTTGAGGGAATTTGAGGTAAGCTCTGAAGTTTTATATAGATATTCTCATGGCGCTATATAAATTATTAAATATATGTATTTTTTTCACAATAGAGATGTGATACTTTCTACTTTCTGGATATTCTATTAGAAGATATACAGCAGCAGGTTTAGAGCTGTGCACATGATTAGCTCTCAACAAATGCTATTCACTCACTGATGAAGTGTAGGCTACAACCATATGCTTTAAGTGAAGTTGATTGAGCCTGTATAATATATCTGGCCATGGTTGACCCACAGCACTAGTTTCCCTGCATGATGGTTCTTGGCAGCAAACAAGGCTGATTATTTTACAGCTTGGTGCCCTGTTTTCCCAATGCCTTTGAATCTTGCCACAATCACACTTTTCTTCATGTTATAGGTAAGAAAAATGAGTTATCACAAGTCTATTTGAGAACATTCTGGGAGTCACACTCTGATTTCTATTGCTAATCAATTGCTAATTCTCCTGATTCTATTTGTTGTATATTATGTGTACTTGTTTACTTAGCTTAAATCCCATTTCCTTTGCTTTATTCCATGCTGTATATCTTTTATCAAATTAGATGACATGTGTCTGGTACATAACAGGGGTTCAATATATGATAGATATAATAATTTTTTGACTATCCCTTCCTTCTCCTTTTCATCTATTCTGTACAATTCACTCACATTTATCCTCCTAGAGAATTATTTTACTGATGGCACATCTTTGCTCAAAACCTTTAATGATTCTCAAATGTTTAGAGAATAAAGTACAGACTCCTTATTCTGATAGTCAAGGCCTTCTTTGCCTGGCCCCAAGTTTAAACCTCTTTCTTGGCCATGAAGCCTACGTTTCTACATAGTGTTTAAAGGCTTGGATGATGGAATCAGATTCCAACACTGCTCTCCAATTTATGACCTATATGGCGTAGTATCCTTATCGATAAAATTGGGAAAATAATAATTATTGTTTCATTGGGTTATATGATAATGATTGAGATAATAAATGTGAAGCTCTTAACACTGTCAGTGTCTTAACTCTTATCATATATCTGCCATATAGTAAGTTTTCAATTTTTTGGTATTAATTTTTAGCAACCTCTTTGTATGGAGTACTATATTATGTTTTTATGATGGGAAAATCTGAAAGACATACTCTCCCCTCAATCTATTGGCAGATTATTTAGTGACAAATAGGCAGATGTTTAATGGCCAAGCTAATTGAACAGCTTTAGCTTAGCTGATAATATTCTTTCTCTAAGTTTTCTGTTACAGTTATGCTCAATAAATGGACAAAAATAATTCCCTTGAAGAGAGATTATTTTCCTCTACAATAATAATGTCTAGACAGTGTTTAAGAGTAACTTCACTACTGAGAGTGTCCTATGAACTCCTCAGTGTGCTACAGGACGGCATGTACAGAGGGAACTGTAAGGCCAATCCAAGCCTCCCCTATACTTTTCCTCTCTTCCCAATTCTCTTCTTCTATGTTTTTAATACAATACCTCCCTGCCCTCTTCTTACTCCCAAAGGGGCAATAGAGCTGAATGCTATCAATATATCATTCCACTTTGTGAACTGATACCCATCCAACTAGGAAATGTTACAGAAACACACATAGCAAGCTAAAAAGTTTTGAAACCAAGAGATAACCAATATTCTTCACAAGTATTATTTACTTTACTTCTGTAATTTCTGCCCTCAATTCTCCCCATTTCCCTCTCTTCTCACCATTTTCCCAAGGAATAACATGTGCACAACCCTTGTCCTTATCTCCTTGAACATCAGTCTTTTAATTAATGGGAGGCCTATCACATTGGGCATCAATCTGTTCATTGAAGCTACAAGGAAGGTCATCCAAGAGTTAAATGATGTCAGGGCTTCTCAGTCAGAAGGGATATTATAAGTAACCTGCCAAACTTTGTTCACCTTTAGGACAGTGATTATCAGGAAACTCTGTTTTTAATATGGCAATTCAGTGTTAAACATGTGAAATAAACATGCTCTGAGAGCCTGTATTGATTTATAGCTCCTGACCAACAAAGCCCCAGGGGAGTTCCTATACATAAATCTATATGCTTTGAATCATAAGATCCTCTCTCTCCTGGCCATAGGTTGTTGACATCTGAACTAAAGGCTATGCACCTGTTAACTTAACATGACCTCTCTACATTAGATGGTCACTAATGTACTAGCATTATCTACTGAGATTTTGTTAAAATCACTTGATATGTCATAAAATTATCATTTATTGAGTACCTTCTGTGGATTTTATCAGCTTCTTGTTTACATATGTCTTTTGCCCAATTTGAGAAATTTGCAGCCATTATATCTTTGAATATTCTTTCAGACCCAGCTTTCTTCTCCTCTTTTTCTGGGACTCCAAAGATACACATGTTAGATATTTTGTTATAGTTCTACAGGCCTCTGAGGCTCTTTCTATGCATTCTCAGTCTATTATTTCTGTTGTTTTTACTGGATAACTTCTATTGTTCTTTCTTAAAGTTCACTGATGGCTTTGCCTCTCCTCTTTATTCTGCTGTTCAGCTTATCTATGTGTTCTTTTAAAATTGGTCATTTTATTATTAAGTTCTTAAATTCTTATTTTACTTTTTGTAATATTTCCTATATCTTTTCTGAGACTTTCTGTTACATATAAATTAATATAAATATAAATGTTAATATAAATCATTCTATTACAAATGTTCATGCACACATATGTTCACTGCAGCACTCTTAACAATAGCAAAGACATGAAATCAACCCAAAAGCCCATCAATGACAGACTGGATAAAGAAAATGTGGTACATATATACCATGGAATACTATGCAGCCATAAAAAGGAATTAGATCATGTCCTTTGCAGGGACATGGATGAAGCTGGAAGCCATTATCCTCTGTAAACTAAAGTCATTATCCCATTATCCTCTGTAAACTAATGCAGAAACAGAAAAACAAATATTTTCTGTTTTCACTTGTAAGTGAACAATGAATACACTTAGACAAAGGGAGAGAAACAACACACACTGGGGCCTGTTTGGGGAGGGTGGAGTAGGAGAAGAGCATTAGGAAACAGAAGTAATGCATACAGGGCTTAATATCAAGGTAATGGTTTGATAGGTGCAGCAAACCATCATGGCTCGTATTTACCTATGTAACAAACCTGCACATTCTGCACATGTATCCTGGAACTTAAAAAATAAAATTAATATAAATAAAAATAAAATTTTGTATTAAAAATAAAAACACAAAATTTGAAAAGACAAAACAAGCTAAAGTAACATTCATTTTATTTTGTTTATTATTTGCTATTTATTTTCAACTGTTATTACATTTTATTTTCATTTTTATCTTTTTTTATTTCAATAGTTTTTGGGGAACAAGTGCTTATTGTTGGGTTGGATAAGTTCTTTAGCAGTGATTTCTGAGATTTTGGTGGACCCATCACCCGAGTAATGTACACTGTACCCAATGTGTAGTCTTTTATCACTCATCCTCCTCTCTCCCTTCCCCTCAAGTTCCCAAAGTCTATTATATCCTTCTTATGCCTTTGCATCCTCATAGCATAGCTCCCACTTATAAGTGAAAACATATAATATTTGATTTTCCATTCCTGAATTACTTCATTTAGAATAATGGTCTCCAACTTCATACAGGTTGCTGCAAATGCCATTATTTTGTTCCTTTTTATGCCTGGGTAGTATTCCATGGTGAATATATAACACATTTTCTTTATCCACTTGTTGGTTTATGGGCACCAAGGTTGGCTCTATATTTTTGCAATTGCAAATTGTGCTGCTATAAACGTGTATGCAAGTGCCTTCTTCACGTAATGACTTATTTTCTTTTGGATAAGTACCTAGTAGTGAGATTTCTGGATTGAATGGTAGTTCTACTTTTAGTTCTTTAAGGAATCTCCATACTGTTTTCCGTGATGGTTGTACTAGTTTACATTCCCACCAGCAGTGTAAAAGTGTTCCTTTTACCACATCCACTATAGCATCTATTATTTTTTGATTTTTAAGTTATGACTATTCTTCCAAGAGTAAGGTGGTATCTCATTGTGGTTTTAATTCGCATTGCCCTGATAATTGGCGATGTTGAGCATTCTTTATATTAGTTGACCATTTGTATATCTTCTTTTGAGAATTGTCTATTCATGTCCTTCATCAACTTTTTGATGTGATTTTTTTTTCTTGCTGATTTGTTTGAGTTCCTTGTAGATTCTGGATATTAGTTCTTTGTCAGATGAATAGTTTGTGGCTATTTTATCCTCTTCTGTGGGTTATCTGTTTACTCTGCTGATTATTTCTTTTACTGTGCAGAAGCTTTTTAGTTTAATTAATTCCCATCTATATATCTTTGTTTTTGTTACATTTGATTTTGGTTTCATGGTCATGAATTCATTGCCTAGGCCAATGTACAGAAGAGTTTTTTCCAGTGTTATTTCCTAGAATTTTTATGATTTTAGGCCTCAGATTTGAGTCTTTGATCCATCTGGAGTTAATTTTTGTATAAGGTGAGAGATGAGTATCCAGTTTCATTCTTATACGTGTGACTTGCCAATTATCTCATCACAATTTCTTGAGTAGGATGTCCATTCCCCACTTTATGTTTTTGTTTGCTGGGTCGAAAGTCAGTTGGCTGTAAAGTATTTGGCTTTATTTATGGGTTCTCTATTCTTTTCTACTGGTCTACTTGCCTAATTTTATACCAGTACCATGTTGTTTTGGTAACTATAACCTTGTTTATAGTTTGAAGTCAGCTAATGTGATACCTCTAGATTTGTTATTTTTGCTTATTCTTGCTTTAGGTATGTGGGCTCTTTTTTGATTCCGTATGAATTTTAGGACTGTTTTTTCTAGTTCTGAAAAACTATGATGGGTATTTTGATGAAAATTACATTTAATCTATAGATTGTTTTTGGCAGTATGATCATTTTTACAATATTGATTCTACTCATCCATGAACATGGGATGTGTTTCCATTTGTTTGTGTCATCTGTGATTTTAGCAGTGTTTTGTAGTTTTTCTTGTAGAGATCTCTCACCTCTTTGGTTGAGTGTATATTTCAGTATTTTATTTTTTTGCAACTATTTTAAAAGAAGTTGAGTTCTTGATTTGATTCTTAGGTTAGTCATTGTTAGTGTATAGCAATACTACTGATTTGTGTACATAGATTTTGTATCCCAAAACTTTACCGAATTTATTTATCACATCTAGGAGCTTTTTGAATGAGTCTTTAGGGTTTGCTAGGTATACAGTAATATCATTGGTGAACAGTGACAGTTTGACTTATTTTCTGATTTGGATGTATTGTATTTCTTTCTTTTGTCTGATTGCTCAGGCTAGGTCTTCTACTGCAACACTGAATAGAAGTGGTGAAAGTGGGCATCCTTGTCTTGTTCCAGTTCTCAGAGAAAATGCTTTCAACTTTTACCCATTCAGTATAATATTGGCTGTGGGTTTGTCATAGATGGCTTTTATTACTTTGAGATATATCCCTTCTATGCAGATTTTGCTGAGGGTTTTAATCATAAAGGGATGCTGAATTTTGTCAAATGCTTTTTCCACATCCATTGAAATGATCATATAATTTTTATTTTTAATTCTATTTATGTGATGTATCACATTTATTGACTTGCGTATGTTAAATGATCCCTGCATCCCTGGTATGAAACCCACTTGATCATGATGTCTTATCTTTTTTGATATGCTGTTGAATTTGGTTAGCTAGTATTTTGTTCAGCAATTTTGCACCTATGTTCATCAGGGATACTGGTCTGCAGTTTTCTTTTCTTGTTATGTCCTTTCCTCATTTTGGTATTAGGGTGATACTTTGTTCATAGAATGATTTATGGAGGGTTCCCTCTTTCTCTGTCTTTTGAAATAGTTTCAGTAGGATTGGTACCAATTCTTCTTTGAATACCTGACAAAATTTAGCTGTGAATCCATCTTGTCCTGGGCTTTTTTTTCTTTTTTTTTTTTTTTTTTTTTGGCAATTTTTAAATTACTGTTTCAATCTCACTACTTGTTATTGGTCAGTTCAGAGTTTCTATTTCTTCCTGATTATCTAGAAGGGCTGTATATTTCCAGGATTTTATCCATGCCCCCTAGATTTTCTAGTTTTGTATGAATAAACGTGTTCATAGTAGCTAGTCTTGAATGATCTTTTGTATTTCTGTGATACCTGTTGTAATTTCTCCTGTTTCATTTCTAATTGAGCTTATTTGGATCGTCCCTCTCCCCCTTATTTTTTTTTTTTTTGGTTAATCTCACTAATGGTCTGTCTGTTTTGTTTATCTTTTCAAAGAACTCACTTTTTGTTTCATTTATCTTTTGTATTTTTTGTTGAATTTCATTTAGTTCTGCTCCAATCTTTGTCATTTCTTTTCTTCTGCTGGGTTTGCATTTGGTTTGTTCTTGTTTCTCTAGTTTTTTTTTGAGGTGTGATGTTAGGTTGTCTGTTTTTGGTCTTTCAGACTTTTTGATGTAGGCATTTAATGCTATAAGCTTTCCTATTATCACTGCTTTCACTGTATCTGAGAGGTTTTGATAAGTTGTATCACTATTATCATTCAGTTCAAAGTATTTTTAACTTCCATCTTGATTTCATTGTTGGCCCAATGGTCATTCAAGAGCAGATTATTTAATCTTCATATATTTATATAGTTATGAGGGTTCTTTCTGAAGTTAATTTCCAGTTTTATTCCACTGTGGTCTGAGAGGATACTTAATATAATTTTGAATTTTTAAAAATTTATTGAGACTTGTTTTGTGGTGTATTATGTGGTCTATCTTGGAGAATGTTCCATGTGCTGATGAAAAGAATGTATATTCTGAAGTTGTTGGTTAGAATTTTATGGAAATATCTGTTAAGTCCATTTGTTCTAGTTTATAGTTTAAATCCATTCTTTCTTTGTTGACTTTCTGTCTCGATGACCTGTCTAGTAATGTCAGTGGAGCATTGAAGTTCCCCACTACTATTGTGTTGCCATCTATCTCATCTCTTAAATCTGGTAGTAATTGTTTTATAAATCTGGGAGCTCCAGTTTCAGGTTCATATGTATTTAGGATTGTGATATTTTCCGGTTGGACTAATTCTTTTATCATTATATAATGTTCCTCTTTGTCTTTTTTTAAACTGTTGTTGCTTTAAAGTATGTTTTGACTGATAAAAGAATAGCTACTCCTGCTCACTTTTGGTTTCCATTTGCATGGAATATCTTTAACTTAAGCTTCTGTGAGTCTTTGTGTGTTAGGTGACTCTCTAGAAGACAGCAGATACTTGATAGGTGAATTTTTAGCCATTTTGCCATTCTGTATCTTTTAATTGGGGCATTTTGGCCATTTACATTCAATGTTAGTAGTGAGATGTGAATACTGTTCTATTCATCATATTAGTTGTTGCCTAAATACCTTGTTTAATCTGTTGTTTCATAGGACCTGTGAAATTTATGCTGTAAATGGGTTATATTTTGATGTATTTGAGGTTCCATTTCAACATATATAACTTCTTTTAGCATTTCATGTAGTGCTGATTTGGTAGTGGTGAATTATCTCAGCATTTCTTTGTGTGAAAAAGACTATCTCTTCCTCATTTATGAACCTTGGTTTTGTTGGATATAAAATTTTTGGCTAACAATTAATTTGTTTAAGGAGACTAAAGATAGGACCCCAATCCTTCTGGCTTGTAATGTTTCTGCTGAAAAATCTGCTGTTAATCTGATGGGTTTTCCTTATATGTTACTTGACTCTTTTGTCTCTCAGCTCTTAAGATTATTTCCTTTGCCTTGAGAGGCAGAGTCACAGTTCCTCCCTACTTGGAACATCTACGTTCCTATAGATGAAAATAGGTGCCTGTCTGATCTGAATAGTTGAAACAGTAGGACAGGAGTGTAATTGACTTTAGATAACCTGATGATGATCAACCCAGGTAATGATTTTTTAGTGATGAATTTCCCAAGAGTTCTTTGAGATTCTTGTATTTGGATGTGTATATCTCTAGCAGGGCCAGAAGAGATTCTTCAATTATTTCCTCAAATAAGTCTTCCAAACTTTCAGATTTCTCTTCTTCCTTAGGAGCATCAATTATTCTTAGGTTTGGCCATTTAACATAATCCCAAATTTCTTGGAGGCTTTGTTCATTTGTTAAAATGTTTTTTATCTTTATCTTTGATTGGGTTAATTCAAAAGCCTTATATTCGAGCTTGGAACTTCTTTCTCCTACTTGTTCTGGTTTATTGGTGAAAGTTTCCACTACATTTTGTATTTTCCTAAGTGTGTCTTTCATTTCCAGAAGTTGTGATTGTTTTTTCTTTATGATATTTATTTCTCAGGAGAATTTTTCATTCATATTCTGTATTTTTTTAAATTTCTTTAAGTTGGTTTTCACCTTTTTCCGGTATCTCCTCGAATAGCTTAATAATCAACTTTGTGAATTGTTTATCTGGAAATTCAGAGATTTTTTTCTTGGTTTGGATCCATTGCTGGAGTAGTAGTGTGATTTTTTTGGCGGTGTTATAGAACCCTGTTTTGTCATATTACCAAATTACTTTCTGGTTCTTTCTCGTTTGATTGGGCTGTGTCTTTTTTCAATTTAATTTTTTTCCCTGTTAAGGATCAGACTTTATTATTTATTTTAGCCTAATTTGGTTCTTGGCATTTGTAGGGGTGAGGACTCTATATAAGAACCTTAGTTATAGAGGGTCTTTGTGAGCTGTCTTTCCTTGATGTTGGTTGTAGTAGTTATATTCTTGGTGTGTTGGAAAGTTCACTGTCTCCTGTGAAGTTGGAATGGCAGGGATCTCTTGAAGCCTATCTCATTCTTTCATGGTATACACTTTATTTATGTATTTAATTTTTTTCCTGGTGTTTTATTTACCAGTTGGCAATTCAGGCTTCCTGCCAATAGGGGAGGTATTCCGGGGTAGGCATCAATTGTGGCTAAGGCAGGAGGGTAGATGTAATACCCAGTGGTAGGCTAAGGTCCCTGCCTTGATGAGTGTGGCTAGGGAAGCTATCAATTAGATGTGTTGAGGTTTAATCAGGGTGAAGAATGGGAACTACCTCAGCCAGTTCAGCAGAAAGGCTAGTTACCTCACAGCCTCATTTCTGTCCTAGTGTTTCAGCTATTCAGATCAGACAGGCACCTCTTTTCATCTACAGGAATGTTGATGTCCCAAGTAGGGAGGAATTGTGACTCTGCCTCTCATGCTGGCCTGAATCTCGTGTGTGCTTCTCCTGTGTAGCTGCGCTCACCCTGGATTGTTCCAGAAAGGTCATCTATAAGTGCTGCCACACTGTGTCCCTGTGATGGAAGCCCCAGCTTTGTCCGGAGTGGAGTGCTGGGGGGAAAAAGACCCCTTTACCAAGACCTTTCCAGATCACAAAGTCTGCCTGACAGTTGGGGTATAGGTTCATACTTTCCCTACATGCAGCCAGCACTGCAATTGTGTCTCTCCTGTGAGAAATATGCACCAGTAGAAGGATCTGGAACTCAAGGCCTGCTATTCAGTTTCCTTGGTCCCATGGGGTGATCCCTTGATGTAGTGCTGTCCCCCTTCCCCTAGGGGTGTGGACTCCTGAGAACCAGACTGTAGTGCTTGTTAATACTCGTCTGGGTCTAGCCTTCCAGCAGTGCTACCAGACTCCAGGCTGGTGCTGAGGAATAGCTGCAAAGAATTCTGTGATGTGATTGGTCTTCAGGTCTCTCAGCCATGGATACCAGCACCTGCTCTAGTGGAGGTGGCAGGGGAGTGAGGTAAACTCTGTAGGAGTCTTTGGTTTTAGACAGGTTTAGTGTGCTGGCATTCTCGAATGCTGCTTATGCTAGCAGTGAAGTTGTCACATGGACAGACTCAGGACTTCTGGTTAGCCAGGATGTTGCAGGCAGTGGTATTAGCTGTTTTTTTGTTGTTGTTGTTGTCATCGTTGTTGTTGTTATTCATTTCTGTTTTTTTGGTTTTTTTTCTTCTTCCTGGAAGCAGTGTTATTCCATCATGAGTTGCTGTAATGGCTGAGTCTGTTGGCCTCTAGCCAGGAGGTGGCATTTGCAAGAGAGCACCAGCTGTGGTATTAACAATGGGATTTGAGCTTGCCCTAAGTTGGCCAGTAGAAGTATTTTGGTTTCTCAGGTGATAGGTGGGACCATAAAGTACCTGAGAGTTTATGTCTTTTGTGTTCAGCTACCAGAGTTGGTAGAGAAATGCCATTTGGTGGGAGCAGGGTTGGATGTGTCTGAGTTCAGACTGTCCTCGGGCAGGGCTTGTCACAGCCACTTGGGAGATTGGGGGGTGGTTCTCAGGCCAGTGGAGTTATGTTTTTGAGTGGGTCTTGGCTTCCTCTGTTGTGTCATATAGTTCACCAGAAAAGTGGGGATAGCTAGTAGCAAAAGGCCTCACTCAGCTCCCACCAAGTTGGTGAGGCCAATCTCTCTTCTGTAGTGCCCAACTAACAGTGAAACTTCCCTGCTGAGAAAGCAAGCATAGCTTTCAGGCCACCCCCCCTTCCCCCCCCCCGCCCCCCTGCCCCATTTGCTTGCAATGTTGGCAACTCCTGTTCATCTCCTGGATTCTGCTCAAGAAAGTCTATGCCCAGTCGAAATTACCACAAAATTCAGTTGGAAGCTTCCTGCACCCTGTGACCCCTCCCTAATTCTGCTGGCTGCCTTCCCTGAGGGTTGTTGTGGGATAAAGTCAGGGATGGCTTCCTTTGACTCTAGCTGGAGACTGGGAGTGCCATCCTAAATCTGTTCCAGCTCTAGGGAAGGTTAAGTTCTTCCCTCATGATCTGGATTGTCAGATTCCCCAGTGAGGATGTATGATCAAAGGCAGATTTTCCTCCTCTTACACTTTGGGAACTCACAGTTTTTTGTCTGTCTCCCAGAGTTTGCAGTGGCATGTCGTTTCTTTCAAAGGATCTATGAATTTTCAGCTTTTGTTTTAGATTCAAGGGGTACATGTACAAGTTTTTTGCCTGGGTATATTGTGTGATGCTGAGGTTTGAGATACAAATGATCTCATGACCCAAGTACTGAGCATAGTACCCGAAATTCATTTTTCAAGCTTTACCCCATTGCTCCCTCCCCTCTCCAGTGGTCCCAAGTGTCTATTGTTGTCCTTTTTATATCCATAAATGCACAACATTCAGCTCTCATTTATAAGTGAGAACACACAGTATTGGGTTTTCTGTTTCTGCATTAATTTGTTTAGGCTAATGGCCGCCAGCTGCATCCATGTTGCTGCAAAGGACATAACTTTGTTCTTTTATTATGGCTGTATAGTAGTCTATGGCATGTATGTAACACATTTTCTTTATAAAATTCACCATTGATTGATTGTCACCTAGGTTAATTCCATGTCTTTGCTATTATGAATGGTGCAGAGATAAACATGCGAGTGCATGTATCTTTTTGGCAGAACAATTTGTTTTCTTTTGGATATATATCCAGTAATAGGATTGCTGGGTTGAATTATAATTCTGTTTTAAGTCCTTTGAAAAAATCTCCAAATTGCTTTCCATAGTGACAGAACTAATTTACATTATCAGCAGTAGTGTATAAACATTCCCTTTTCTCTGCAGCCTTACCAATATCTGTTGTTTTTGACTTTTTAATAATAGCCAATCTGACTGTTTTGAGATGATGTGTCATTGTGGTTGAGGTTTACATTTTTCTGATTATTAGTGATGTGGAGCAGTTTTTTCATATGTTAGTTTGCAACTTGTATGTCATCTTTTGAGAAGTGTTTGTTCATGGATTTTGCCCATTATTTAATGAGGTTGTTTTTTGTTTATTCAATTGTCGAAGTTGCTTGTAGATTCCAGATACTAGACATTTATCAGATGCATAGTTTGCAAATGTTTTTCCCGTTCTATAGGTTGTCTGTTTATTCTGTTGATTGTTTCTTTTGCTGTGCAGAAGCTCTTTAGTTTAACTAGGTCTCATTTGTCTATTTTTGTTTTCATTGCTATTGCTTTTCAGAGCTTAGTGTTAAATTCTTTCCCAGTGTCCATATCCTGTATGATGTTTCCGAGGTTTTCTTCTAGGAAATGCTTACAGTTTGAGGTCTTACATTTATATCTGTAAAGTATGTTGAGTTAATTTTTGTATATAATGAAAAGAAGGGATCCAGTTTCATTTTTCTGCATATGGCTTGTCAGCTATCCTAGCAACATATCTTGATTAGGAAGTCTTTTCCTCATTGCTTATTTTTGTTGACTTTTCAAAGATTAGTTGGCTGTAGATGTGTAGTTTTATTTCTGGGGCCTCTATCATTTTCTCTTGTTCCACGTGTCTATTTTTTGTACCATTACTATGCTGTTTTTGTTCCTGTAGGCTTATAGTCTAGTTAGTAGTTGGTGATTTCTTTTGGATATTTGTCCCCCCAAATCTCATTTTGAAATGTAATTCCCATTGTTGGAGGTGGGGCCTAATGGGAGCTGTTTGGGTCCTAGGGGTGGATCCCTCATGGCTTGATGCTGTCCTCTCAATAATAATTGAATTTTCATGAGATCTGCTTGTTTAAAAGTGTATGGCACCTCCCCTGTCCTTGCTGTCTCTTCTGCCGTGTGATGTGCCTGCTCCTTCTCAGCCTTCCACCATAACTTTAAGTTTCCTGAGTCCTCTTCAGAAGCAGATGCTGTTGCTATGCTTCCTGTTCAGCCTCCAGAACCATGAGCCAATTAAACCACTTTTCTTTTAAATTACCCAGGTTTATGTATTTATTTATAGCAATGTAGAAACTGTCTAAAACAGTCAGGTAACGTGATACCTCTAGATTTGTTTTTTTTGCTTAGGGTCGCTTTGGCTGTTTGGTCACTTTTTTGGTTTCATATAAATTTTAGAATAGTTTTTTTTTTCAATTCTTTGAAAACTGATATTGGTAGTTTGATAGAATAGCATCAAATCTGTAGATTGCAATGGGAAGTATGGCCATTTTAACAATACTTATTCTTCCAGTTCATGAGCTTGGATTGTTTTTTCATGTGTTTGTTTAATCTATTAGTTAGCAGTGTTTTGTAGTTCTCCTTGTAGACATCTTTCATCTCCTTGGTTACAGTTATTCTAGGTATTTTATTTTTTTTTGTGTGTGGGGCTATTGTAAATTAGATTGTGATCTTGATTTGATTCTCAGCATGAACATTATTGGTGCATAGAAATGCTACTGATTTTCGTACATTGATTTTGTATCCTGAAGCTTTGCTGAAGTCATTTATCAGTTCCAGGAGTCTTTTGGTGGATTCTTTGGCATTTTCTATGTAGAGTATTATATTGTTCATGACAAGAGGTAGTTTCTCCTGTGTGGATGTCTTTATACCTTTTTCTTGTCTGATTGCTTTGGCTAGGACTTCCAGTGCTATGTTGAATAGGAGTAGTAAGACTGGGCTATCTTGTCTTGTTCCAGTTCTCAAAAAGACTGCTTCCAATTTTTGTCCATTTGGCATAATGTCAGCTGTGGGTTTGCCATAGATGGCTCCTAACATTTTGAGGTTTGTTCGTTTAATCCTAGTTTCTTTAGGGTTTTTATCATGAAGAAATGTTGGATTTTATCAAAAGCTGTTTTTACATATATTGAGATGATCATATGGTTTCTGGTTTTAATTTTTTATATGATAAATCACATTTATTGATTTGCATATGTTGATCCAATCTTGCATCCCAGGAATGAAACTTACTTGATCATAGTACATTAACTTTTTGATGTGCTGTTGAATTCAGTTTGCTAGTAATATGTTGAGGATTTTTGCATCTATGTTCATCAGAGATGTTAGCCTGTAATTTGCTTTTTTCACATTGTTTTTGCCAGGTTTTGGCATGAGAGTGATGTTGACTTTGTTGAATGAGTTGAGAAGGGGTCTCTTCTCCTTGATTTTAAAAATAGTTTCAGAATCATTGGTACCAACTCTCTGTATGTTCAGTAGCATTTGGTTGTGAATTCATCTGGACTGAGGCTTTTTTGGTTGGTAGGTTTTAACTACTGATTCAATTTTGGAATTTGATATTGGTCTGTTCAGTGTTTCAATTTCTTCCTAATTTAATTTCGGGAGATTTTGTGTTTCCAGGAATTTATGTATTTCCTCTAGATTTTCTAGATTGTGTCTGTAGAGGTGTTCACAATAGTGTCTGAGGATCTTTTGTATTTCTGTGAGATCAGTTATAATCTCACATTTTTCTTTTCTGAGTGTGCTTATTTGTATCTTCTTTCTTTTTTCTTTGTTAGTCTAGCTAGTTGTCTATCCTGTTGATCCTTTCAAAAAACTAACTTTTTATTTCATTGATTCTTCGTAGAGATTTTTTATTTTAGTTATTTATTTTTTTCTGCTGGCTTTGGGTTTAGTTTGTTCTTGTTTTTCTAGTTACTCTAGGTAATTAGAGTAATATCTGTTAGATCATTGATTTGAAATCTTTCTTTTTGAGGTAGGCATTTAGAACTATAAACTTTCCTTTTAACACTGTTCTGCTGCATCCCAGAGATTTTCGTATGTTATGTCTCTATTTTAATTTATTTTAAAGATTTTTTTTTATTTCTGTCTTGTTTTGTTGTTTACCTAAAAGTAATTCAGGTACAAGTTGTTTAATTTCCGTGTAATTCTGTGCTTCTGAGAGATCGTGGTATTGATTTTTATTTTTATTGCACTGTGGTTTCAGAGTATGGTTGGTATGATTTTGATTTTTTAAAAAATTTATTGAAGCATGCTTCATGCCTGAGTATGTTGTCAATATTGGAATATCTTCCATGTGCAGATGAGAAGAATATATATTCTGTGGTTGAGGAGTAGAATATTCTGTAGATATCCATTAGGTCCAGTTGATCAACTGTCAAATTTAAATCCAGAATTTCCTTGTTACTTTTCTGTCTTGACCACCCATATAATGCTGTCAGTGGGGTGCTGAAGTTTCACATTGCTATTTTGTGGCTTTCCTTTTGTGGGCCTTGAAGTACTTGTTTTATGAATCTAGGTGCTCTAACGTTGGGCATATATATACTTAGGACAGTTAAGTATTCTTACTGAATTGAGTGTTTTATCATTATATAATGCTATTCTTTGTCCTTTTGAAACTGCTGTTGGTTTAAAGTCTATTTTATTTGATAATAGAATCATGACCCCTGCTTTTTGTCTTTTGTTCACGTGGTAGATCTTTCTTCAACCATCTGCTTTGAACCTATAGGTGTCATTAAATGTGAGATAGTTTTCTTGAAGACGGTAGACAGATGGATTCTTTAAAGAAATCCAATTTGCTACTCTGTGCCTTTTAAGTGGGGTTTTTAGACTATTTATATTTGATGTTAATATTTATATGTGAAGTTTTGATCCTATCAAGACATTGTCACCTGGTTGCATTCTGTTGTGTTTTGCTTCATAGGGTCTGTGGGCTATGTACCTAAAATGTTGTTCTTTTTTTTTTTTCTTTTTGTGGTAACAGATAATACTCTTATGTTTCCAGATGTGTGTATAAGCATGGAACTGGGAAACCTCCCGAGCTTCAAGTTCTCTGCATGGTGATGAGGAGTGCCTTAAGTTCCTAATTCAAGAGAATAGGTGCTCTGGATGCCTGGAGATTTGCCTGGGCATGGAGCAGAGAGGGACCCCCTGCACCAAGATTTCTGCACAGGAGGGGTAGGGAATTTCAGGATGCTGAACCAGGCAAGCAGGTGCTCTTGAAAGCCTGGAGATCTGCCTGGGTGTGGAGCAGATAGGGTCCCCCCAATACCAGGATCTCTGCACAGAAAGGATGGGGTGGGCAAAGCTACTGATCCAGGTGAGCAGGTGCTTCAATTCCTGGATATCTGCCTGATCATGGAGCAGAGAGAGCCGTGCTGCACCAAGATCTATATCCAGGAAGGGTCGGGTGGCACAGGTTACTGAACTGGGTGAACAGGTGCTCTGAATGTCTGGGGATCTGTCTGGGCATGGAGCAGAGTGTGCCACTGCACCATAATCTGTGTCCAGGAAGGGTGAGGTTGGCCGGGCTGCTGAATCAGGTAAATGGGAGCTCAAAATGCATGGATTTTGGTCTGGGAATAGAGCAAAGAGAGCCTCGCTGTACCATAATCTTGGGGGAACAGGTTGGGGCAGCTAGCAATGGCATATACACATCAGTTCCAGGTCACCAGGCTTGCTCTGGCTGCAAGTCGTCTGCCCAGGAGAAACTGCAGCTATAGCAGCTCGCTTTCCACCTTAGGCTTGTGACTGGGAAGAGCACAAATTCAGTGCCTACTGCTGAGATGATTTCCTCAGTTACGGATGTGGAGGTCCCTACCCCACTTCAGAGCAGGTGCTCTAATCTCTGCCCCAAGACTCAAATGCTTGCACAGCCATGCTTCCAGGTCACCAAAGAGTGGCTGACTTTGTGTGCATCTAGATTTAAGACAATCCTAAGCCAAAAGGACGAGGCTGGAGGCATCACACTACCTGACTTCAAACTATATTACAAGTCTACATAACCAAAGCAGCATAATACTGTTACCAAAACAGACATATAGAACAATGAAATAGAACAGAGACCTCAGAAAGAACACCAGACATCTACAACCATCTGATCTTTGAGAAACCTGAGAAAAACAAGCCATGGGGGAAAGGATTCTCTATTTAAGAAATGGTGCTGGGAAAATTGGCAAGCCATATGCAGAAAACTGAAACTGGACCTGTTCCTTACACCTTATGCAAAAATTAACTCAAGATGGATTAGTGACTTACATGTAAAACCCAAAGCCATAAAGACTCTACAAGAAAACCTAGGCAGTACCATTCAGGGCACAGCCATGGGCAAAGACTTCATGATGAAAACCCCAAAAGCAATTTCAACAAAAGCCAAAATTGACAAATGGGATATACTTAAACTAAAGAGCTTTTGCACAGCAAAAGAAACTAGCAGCAGAGTGAACAGGCAACCTACAGAATGGGAGAAAAATTTTGCAATCTACCCATCTGACAAAGGTCTAATATCCAGAATCTATAAGGAACTTAAACAAATTTACAAGAAAAAAACAAACAACCTCATCAAAAAGTGGAAAAGGGGTATGAACAGACACTTCTCAAAAGAAGATATTTAGGTCAGGCACAGTGGCTCACGCATGTAATCCCAGCACTTTGGGAAGCTGAGGTGGGCGGATCACAAGGTCAGGAATTTGAGACCAGCCTGACCAACATGGTGAAACCCCATCTCTACCAAAAATACAAAAATTAGCCAGGTGTGGTGGTGTGCACCTGTAATTCCAGCTACTTAGGAGGCTGAGACAGGAGAATCGCTTGAACCCAGGAGGCGGAGGTTACAGTGAGCTAAGATCGCGCCACTGCACTTCAGCCTGGGCGACAGAGCAAGAATTGGTCTCAAAAAGAAAAAAATATATATTTATGCAGCCAAGAAACATATGAAAACAAACAAACAAACAAACAAAGCTTAACATCATTGATCATTAGAGAAATGCAAATCAAAACCACAATGAGATACCATCTCATGCCATTCCGAATGGCGATTATTAAAAAGTCAAGAAACAATAGATGCTGGCAAGGCTGTGGAGAAATAGGTATGCTTTTACACTGTTAGTGGGAATGTAAATTAGTTCAACCATTGTGGAAGACAGTATGGCAATTTCTTAAGGATCTAGAACAGAAATACCATTTGACCCAGCAATCCCATTACTAGGTATATACCCAAAGGAATATAAATCATTCTACTATAAAGACACATGCACACATATGTTTACTGCAGCACCACTTACAACAGCAAAAACATGGAACAAACCCAAATGCCTGTCAATAATAGACTGGATAAAGAAAATGTGGTACATATACACTAAGGAACACTATGCAGCCATAAAAAAGAATGAGATAGTGTCCTTTTCAGGGACATGGATGAAGCCGGAAGACATCATCCTCAGCAAACTAACACAGCAACAGAAAACCAAACACCACATGTTCTCACTTATAAGTTGGAGTTGAACAATGAGAACACATGGAGACAGAAAGGGGAACAACACACACCGGGGCTAATCAGGGGGTAAGGGGGAAAAGGGAGGGAGAGCATTAGGACAAATACCTAATGGATGTGGGGCTTAAAACCTAGATGACAGGTTGATAGGTGCAGCAAACCACCATGGCACACATATACCTATGTACCAAACCACGTTCTGCATTTGTATCCCGGAACTTAAAGTCAAATGTTTTTTTAAAAAGAAAGTAAATGAACAAAAGCAATAAAAATAAACTTCTAAGTTAGAATTCTATACCTATTATAATATTCTTCAAAATGAGGGTTAAAGACATTCTAGAAAACAATAATTTCAGAAATCCAGCACTGGCAGATCCAGATGCACAAAGGAAGTGATTAGGACTTGATCTTTACTATTATTATTATTATTATACTTTTAGTTCTAGCATACATGTGCACAATGTGCAGGTTTGTTACATATGTATACATGTGCCGTGTTGGTTTGCTGCACCCATTAACTCATCATTGACCTTACTCCATCTCATGGGTCTACCTTTCTGTTGATTTTTTCATATGGTTCATTATTAATGATGACCCTAGGTGGAATAAACCTTACATTTTTATAATTCTGAGTTGAATCAATAAACAGAGATCTCTTCCAACAGTTCAAACTAGAAGTTGGTTATATTTTCAAACTAACTGCCAAAGCCTAAGGATTCAAGGTTATGATTTTCCAGGCATTGGTCACATGGAGCATCTAGTTAGGGGTCATGTTAGCTCACCCAAATCCCCTGGAAGTGGTGGTTCCCCAAAAGAAATTGGAGTTATATTATTTACAACATGGGGAAAGGTGGAAAAGCAAAGAGAGTAAGTGACCATTTTCTTTACCTGTGGCACATTTGCAGTTTCCTCTGGGTCCCATACATTATCTTATGTAAATCAGCATCTCTAAAATGGTTTGATGAGTTTCTTAAGCTTTGGAGTCTCAAAGTCATGTCTCAGACACAAATTCAAGGAAGATAACACAGCTTACTCTTATTTAGTCTGTGTAAGGTCTTCACATGGCTGCTCTTGGTAGGTAATAATCTAGACTTTTCTCAGCCCACATTGAGCTGGCTCCTTCCTTTCGGCTTGCCTGTCTGTACCTGTCTTTCTCCCTCCCTCCCTGCCTCCCTCCCTCCCTCCATATATATATATACACCCAAAGGAATATAAATCATTCTGCCATAAAGACACATGCACACATATGTTTGTTGCGGCACTGTTTGCAATAGCAAAGACATGGAACAAACTCAAATGCCTCCCTCTCTCCCTCCCTCCCTCCCTCCCTCCCTTCCTTCCTTCTACCCTTCCTCCCTTCCTCTCTTCCTTTCTTATTTACTTCCTTCCCTGCCTCCCTCCCTCCCTTCTTCCATCCTTCCTTTTCTTCTCCTATTTTTTCCTTCCGTTCTCTCATTTTTGTTCATTTTTTCCAGATGTTTTTCCTGCATTTATTTGTCCAAGATGACTCTCTCCTAACCCAAGGTTTTCTTCTAGAAACTTATAAAGAAAATTCAACTTTTTGCATCTTTATCATTTTGTATTTATACTTGATTGTACAGTTTTCTAAGTGTCTATAACAGTCTTTGTTTTTTTATATAATTTTAAACTCCTACTCATATTATTTAATTTTTTCTCATAGGCATATGCCTCTTTCATTCATCAAGACTATTCTAGAAACCTCCTATTCACCTTCAGTGGTTAGATCAAACTTCCATTTTTTGGAGAAGATTTTCCCAAAGTTTCCAAAGCCCTAGACAATAAGTTTTACATGTAAAACTTTCATTTCATTTAAATGGCACTGCAATTATATGAGATGTCTCTTTCTTAACAAGGTAATCTCTTCCTTGATTACCTTGATGGTAAGGACTATGTTATATTGAGTATTATATCCTTAGTCTGCCACAGTACGTAGCACACATTACTTGCTGAATACGTATTTGCTGAGATGCATGGAAAAGAGAACAAACAAAGGATTTGGGATTAACTCTGAGAAGCAAACATTCTTCTTTTTCTAGATCATTTTGACATTATTTTATCTACCTTCAACTATCTCCTCTTTTTAAAATTGTTTTATAATTTTTCTGGGAATATACATTTATGAAATAGTATGATAGTGAAATCCTTTTTTCTATCAGATCTTTAGGCCATTTAAAAAGTAATTATATGAACTTACAGTGTTATTAATTATGTTCATTGAATTGGCATTTCCATTATGAATCCATTTTTAATTACATTGGACACATTTTATCAATATTTCATCTGAGAGAAGCAGACTGTATAAAGGTACTTGCAAAAAAATATGTACCAGACGAAATGCAAAACTTCTATACACAGTGATGCTAGCCATGATTGGAAATCTGATAAGGCTTCTGAAAAACTTCACCAACTTAAATATGGTCTTCACTAACAAAGAAAGTAGATAATTCAGTGATTATCCTGATTTGTAATAGCCAAAAAAAATCTAGAGATTATGTAAATAGTTGACTGTGTTGCTCAATTTTCTTCTCCATTAGGTTTGTGAGGGAGAAAAAGACTGAAGTAAAATTCTCAAGTTGAAGCCTTACTGCCATTAACTGACAAAGAGCCAGGAAAGAAAAGCCATGTTGCCATGGTAGTATAGAATGTTGGTATCAGTTAAGACTCTTGACTACGAGTGTCAGAGCCCTAACTCAAGTGGCTTAAAAAAGCAAGGGAGATGTGTGGGCTCATATAAATGCAAAGACAAAGATTTTCTTGCTGGATCTAAAGCTGAAACAAAATACACTTGACTTTTACTAGTATTCTAGGCCAGTAGTTAACAAACTAAACCAGACAATAAATACTTCAGGCTGTGAGGGCCTTATTAGGTCTCTGTTGCATATTCTTGCTTTTTTGTTGTTTTTACAACCTTTTAAAATATAAAAATTGATTTTAGCTCATAAGTCATACAAAAACAGGCCATGGGATTTGGCCTACACAACATAGATTGCCAACTCCTGGTAAAATAAAATCCATATTCAAAATTTTTGTTAATTCTTCCAATAACATTTTTATTACCATTTTTCCAGGCATAGGACTCATTCATAATAACTTATTGTATTTAGTTATCATGAATCTTTAGTCTGTTTTAAAACACATATTAGAGTTTTTTCCTTTTTTTTCCCCCTGCAAGACGGTAGATTAGAGGCTTTTAGCATGCCTTAGCCATGTGAAAATAGCAAGATAGTCCATAAGGACATCCCACATTCAGGAGAGAATGCCAGCACAGAATCCCCATGGTGACTGCCTGAGAAAAGTAGATGAAGCCTCTGTATGTGAGAGAGGCAGAAAGCCTCCCTCTGTGTATCACATTTCCAGTAGGGGTCTGAGAAACTCAGGCCATGGGAGAGCCTTAGTTTCTCCCTAGACCTGTAGCTAATCTGAGGAAAGTTTTGGAGACACTGTGAGGAAAAGACACCAGAAAAAGATGCAGACATTTTATTTTTTCTTTTTTTTTCTTTTTTTTTTTTTTGAGACGGAGTCTCGCTCTGTCGCCCAGTCCGGACTGCGGACTGCAGTGGCGCAATCTCGGCTCACTGCAAGCTCCGCTTCCCGGGTTCACGCCATTCTCCTGCCTCAGCCTCCCGAGTAGCTGGGACTACAGGCGCCCGCCACCGCGCCCGGCTAATTTTTTGTATTTTTAGTAGAGACGGGGTTTCACCTTGTTAGCCAGGATGGTCTCGATCTCCTGACCTCGTGATCCACCCGCCTCGGCCTCCCAAAGTGCTGGGATTACAGGCGTGAGCCACCGCGCCCGGCCAGATGCAGACATTTTCTAAAACCTGGGACTGACAGCAGCAAACCATTTTTTCTTTATTTTATTTCATGTATTTTGTTTTACATTAAGTTCTAGCATACATGTACAGAAACTGCAGGTTTGTTACATAGGTATACATGTGCCTTGGTGGTTTGCTGCACTTATCAACCCGTCATCTAGGTTTTAGGCCCCGAATGAATTAGGCATTTGTCCTCATTCTCTCCCTTCCCTTTCCCCCTCACCCACTGACTGGACCCGGTGTGTGTTGTTCCCCTCCTTGTGTCCACGTGTTCTCATTGTTTAACTCCCACTTATGAGTGAGAACATGTGGTGTTTGGTTTTCTTTTGCTGTGTTAGTTTGCTGAGGATGATGGCTTCCGGTTTCATCCATGTCCCTGCAAAGAACATGATCTCATTCCTTTTTATAGCTGCATAGTATTCCATGGTGTATATGTGCCACATTATCTTTATCCAGCCTGTCATTGATGGGCATTTGGGTTGGTTCCATGTCTTTGCTATTGTAAATAGTGCTGCAATAAACATATGCATGCATGCATCTTTGTAGTAGAATGATTTATATTCCTTTGGGTATATTGGGATTGCTGGGTCAAATGGTATATCTGGTTCTAGATCCTTGAGGAATCACCACACTCTCTTCCACAATGGTTGAACAAATTTACATTCCCACCAACAGTTTGTAAAAGCATACCTATTTCTCCACAGCCTCGCCAACATCTATTGTTTCCTGATTTTTTAATAATCGCCATTCTGAATGGCGTGAGATGGTATCTCATTGTGGTTTTGATTTGCATTTCTCTAATGATCAGTGATGTTGAGCGTTTTTTCATATGTTTTTTGGATACATAAATGTCTTCTTTTGAAAAATGTCTGTTTATAACCTTTGCCCACATTCGGATGGGGTTGGTTGTTTTTTTTTTTCTTGTAAATTTGTTTAAGTTTCTTGTAGATTCTGGATATTAGCCCTTTGTCAGATGGGTAGATTGCAAAAAATTTTCCACATTCTTTAGGTTGCCTGTTCACTCTGCTGCTAGTTTCTTTTGTGGTGCAGAAGCTCTTTAATTTAATTAGATCCCATTTGTCAATTTTGGCTTTTGTTGCAATTCCTTTTGGTGTTTTTGTCATGAAGTCTTGGTGGATAATCTTTTTGATGTGCTTCTGCATTTGGTTTGCCAGTATTTAATCGAGGATTTTGCATTGTTGTTCATGAGAGATATTGGCTTGAAGTTTTATTTTTTTGTTGTGTTTCTGCCAGATTTTGCTATTTGGGTAAAGTTAGTTAGAGAGGAGTCCCTCTTTTTCAGTTGTTTGGAATAGTTTCAGAAGGAATGGTACCAGCTTCTTGTTTTATCTCTGGTAGAATTTGGCTGTGAATTGGTCTGGTCCTGGACTTTTTTTTTGGTTGGTAGACTAGTAATTACTGCCTCAATTTCAGAACTTGCTATTGGTCTATTCAGGAATTTGACTTATTCCTGGTTTAGTCTTGGGAGGGTGTATGTGTTCAGGAGTTTTAGTCTTGGAAGGGTGTATGTGTTCAGGAATTTATCTATTTCTTCTAGATCTTCTAGTTTATTTGCAGAGAAGTGTTTGTAGTATTCTATGATGGTAATTTATGTTTCTGTGGGGTCAGTGGTGATATCCCCTTTATCATTTTTATTGTGTCTATTTGATTCTTCTCTCTTCTTTATTAGCCTATCTACTGGTCTATTTTGTTAATTTTTTCAAAAAAACAGCTCCTGGACTCATTGATTTTTTTAAGGGTTTCTTTTTATTATTATTATTATTATACTTTAAGTTCTGGGATACATGTGCAGAATGTGCAGGTTTGTTACATAGGTATACATGTGCCATGGTGGTTTGCCACACCCATCAACCCCTCATCTACATTAGGTATTTCTCCTAATGCTATACCTCCCCTTGCCCCTCACTCCTGACAGGCCCCAGTGTGTGATGTCCCCTCCCTGTGCCCATATGTTCTCATTGTTTAACTCCCACTTATGAGTGAGAACATGCGGTGTTCGGTTTTCTGTTCCTGTGTTAGTTTGCTGAGAATGATGGTTTCCAGCTTCATCCATGTCCCTACAAAGGACGTGAACTCATTTTTTATGACTGTGTAGTATTCCATGGTGTGTATGTGCCACATTTTCTTCATGCAGTGTATCATTGACTGGCATTTGTGTTGGTTCCAAGTCTTTGCTATTGTGAATAGTGCTGCAATAAACATATGTGTGCATGTGTCTGTATAGTAGAATAATTTATAATCCTTTGGGTATATAACCAGTAATGGGATTGTTGGGTCAAGTGGTATTTCTAGTTCTAGATCCCTGAGGAATCACCACACTGTCTTCCACAATGGTTGAACAAATTTACACTCCCATCAACAGTGTAAAAGCATCCCTGTTTCTCCACATCCTCTCCAGCATCTGTTGTTTCCTGGCTTATTAACGATTGCCATTCTAACTGGTGTGGGATGGTGTCTCACTGTGGTTTTGATTTACATTTTTCTAGTGGGATGGTGTCTCACTGTGGTTTCAATTTGCATTTTTCTAATGACCAGTGATGATCAGCTTTTTTTTCATGTTTTTTTGGCCACGTAAATGTCTTCTTTTGAGAAGTGTCTGTTCATATCCTATGCCCACTTTTTGATGGGGTTGTTTTTATCTTGTAAATTTGTTTAAGTTCCTTGTAGATTCTGGATATTAGACCTTTGTCAGATGGATAGATGGTAAAAATTTTCTCCCCTGCTGTGGGTTGCCTGTTCACTCTGATGATAGTTTCTTTTGCTGTGCAGAAGCTCTTTAGTTTAGATTCCATTTGTCAATTTTGGCTTTTGTTGCAATTGCTTTTGGTCAGTTCTCTAGTTGGTTCTGATGGCAGAACCTGGATACCTCAGTTGCCGGTTCAGGATTTGCATGCTGTTATGGTTGTTTTTGATGAGTGCCTCCACTTACCACTGCTTCTTGTTGGTCATCTTGGCCCCGACCCCATTTATTTTCTTTTAGCTTATTAAAAATGTCATTCCATCATCTTATTGTTTCTATTATTTTAGTTAAATAAAAATCTTTTGGTTTTATTTTAATGATTTAAAACTGATGTCTATATTCTGTCTCCATTTAAGATTTTTTTTTCTTGTTCTCAAACTTTGACTATAATATGCTTGGGTGTGTTTCCCTTGTATTTATCCTCTGTGGGATTTGTTGAGTTTCTTGAAACTGTGGGTTGATGTTTTGGGGTTTTTATAATTAGCTGTAGAAAATTCTCAACCATTTGACTTCAAGTATCATTTGTATCTCATTTTCTTTCCCCTCTGCAACTCCAATTACATGTATGTTGTACATTTTCCATATATTTCTTATGCAACTTTCTATTTTTCAAACATATTTTCTATTTGTGTGCTTTAGTCTGGTTTTTCCATCCTACATTCTCATTCACCAATAATATCTGTTTAATATTTTTCAGTTTTGTAATATTTGATTTTTAAAAACTGAGTACAGATTTCTGTTGAAACTCTCCATGTTGTCACCTATTTTCTTGCACACATGAGTCATAATTTTCTTCAAATCTGTGTCTGATATTTCAAATATCAGCATTATTTGTAGACAGGTGTTTGTTGTTTTTTGTCTTTGTTACTTTTCTTGTCATTCCTGGTAATTTTTGATTAAATATTTGTGGGAAAAATTGTAGAGGTTCTGGATGATGATATAGTCTTCAAGAGATTTGTTTACCCTCTCCTCTGGCTGTTAGCTAGAGTTGAGCATATACACCCAAAACAATTGAGGAGAGAGAATTTTTAAAAGACCAGTGTAAAGATCAATAATCCTATGGTGTAGGTCTCCAGGCGTTCCAACTGAGAACCTGGAGTGATTATTATGACTCTTTCTCCTTAGCGGATCCTGAACTCCAATTTGTATTACTCAGTATCACTGAAACGCTGAAATGTCTGTCCTGTTTAATACTCACAGAATTCTTATTCCTAAATGGCAAAAATTGTTTGGTACTCAGTGACTCCTTTCTTCTTTAGATGTGGCATACACTTTCTAGCTCACTACAGATCCCACCACTCAATATTGTTTTGTACCCAACTCGCCTTATTCATTTTCATCACCCATACTTGTCTATAGTCATTTGATTTCTACATCCTCAAATCAAGTAGGACAATAGGATATTCTCTGTTCTTCAGACTGAACAGAGGAAGAAGCTTCTGAGGCAATAAAATGGATTTATGTTAGGCATAAAGTGAGGCACAGCTTAAGAATTTGCAAATGCTTCCATGGGAATCCTACCGAGTTTTAGGCTGTATCTTTCCCCTCTCTTCTCCCAGGAATATTTATCCCTCTCATACTAGCAGTGTTGGCAGCCTCAAACTTCAATTTTGTCTCTATAGTCCTGTGGAATTGCCAAAACACTCTGCTGACTTTTCTACCTTTTTATAGCTGCCTCTTGACTATTGGCTTCTTAGCCTCTCCTCTTCTGCTAAAAATGGACAAATTCTCCCAGTAGAAAAGTGGTATTCACTATGTGCAACTCATCCTAATGAGCTTCACTTTTCTAAGATACTGGCCTCCCATATCTTGTTGCAAAGTCATTTTTACTGTCTCCACACAGACTGTGTGTGTGTGTGTGTGTGTGTGTGTGTGTGTGTGTGTGTGTGTGATTTGCCTTTTTAGTTGCTGTCAGTGAGAAATGCTACTCTATCATAGCTTGAAGCCAAAGAACTTTTACCTGCATATTATTTTAGACATTAGTTCATTGTATATAAAAGTTCAGATTTTTTCCTCCTGAAAAATAACAAACTATGGCAACATAAGATTCTTATTTCATTCCACCAGGCATGCATTTTCCAAGACACACAATCATCACCCCTCTGTATTGTCTTTCACTCTTCTAGCTTCACTTATTTCCATCACCTTCATGCCCCTCTGTAATAATTTTATTTTGCATATCTTGAAGTGTATTAAGAGAATAGTATGTTCTCTGCCTATCAAGCTTCAATGGAGGAAAGGAACTTCAGTGGCCATAAAAGGGATTTTTCTTAGACATAAAGCATTTCTACATTGTAGGTACCATACAGTATAGGCAAGGTATTTCTATAATATGTTACAAATAGACTAGACGCTCCATCCCTACAGTGTAGATGGGACTATGTTAGGTGGACTTGGTGACTGTAGCTTCGTTAACCTCTGGCATAATGCTTAAAAAAAAGAATATGTAATAATTATTCAGGGATTTGGTATAAATGTCCATCATCCTTTCAATCATTCATTTAGTCATTGTTTATTGCATATGCTGGCCTAGTTTTTAGGCACTCAGAATCAATGTAAGCTTTGGTTTTGTTAGGATAATAAAGATAATAAATGAATAAAGAAACAAACAAATATGATAACTTAAGATAATCTTAAGTACATATGATAAGCAGAATAATGGCTCTAAAAGATATCCACATTCTAATGTGTAGGATCCGTAGATATGTTACTTTACATGACAAAGGGGACTTTGCAGATGTCACTAAGGTTTAGAACTTTAAAATGGGGAGATTATCTTGCATTAACCTGAATCTGAGTCTTTAAAGACTGAGAATCTTTCTTGGCTGCAGTCAGAGGTAGATATAACTATAAAATAAAGGATCAGAGAGATGCAGCATTGTTGGCTTTTAATACAGAGAAAAGGGTCTGGGAGCCAAGGTTTGTGGATGGCTTTGAAGAACTAGTCAAGACAGAAAAATGGCTTATTACCCAAAGCCTCTAGAAAGAAATGAAGGCTTGCTAACATCTTAATCTTAACCATAGTAAGACACTTGGACTTTTGAACTACAGAATTGTAAGATAATCCAGTTGTATTGTCTTAATCTACTAGGTATGTGGCAATTTGTTACAGCACCAACAGAAAACTAATAAAATATTATAAAGAGCATAATATAGGATAGTGACATAGAAAATGGTGGTGTTGGTGAGATGTCAGCACTAGCTAGGGTGATGATAGAAAACTTCCCAACAAGGAAACATGACAAGTAAGTCAGGAGACAATATAGGGAATCTTTGCCACTTGGGGACTGGAAAGAATATCAGTGTAACTAGAGGCTAATTGAAGAGTGAAATGTATGTGTTTGGGGTGGGCATAGAGACTAGATGATTGGAGAGATGATGGAGGGAGAAGCAAGCAGGTGCCAGATTGTGTAGGTCCCAGTAAAGTATTTGAATTTTGTTCTCATTTTGTTTAGAGGGTTTTTAGCAGGAGAATAATATAATTTTATTGGCCTTCTAGGCCCCATCTGCAGAGAATCTGATTTACTCAGCTTACAAAGGGATCTGAGTATCTGCATTTGTGTAAGCATCCCTGCTATTTCTGATGCAGGTGATCTTTGGATCACCTTGTGACAAATGCTGCTTCAATTTCTATACATCTTTTGGGATTCCGCCTCTCCTCCCCCTACCCCGGCTCATATAGATGTATTTCCTGTTCCTGCCCTGATGCTTTTTCTTCCTTGCAGACACTTTCCAAAAATATACCATAATCTTGAGAGCATGGAACATTTTTTAGGTTCCTTCCATCTTGCTCATGGAGCCTAGCATGATTCAGGGCACACAAGACAACTCTGTATGCATTTATTTAGTTGAATTGAGCAATGTTTGCATAATGTCACAATTTTAGATCACCTCTTTTTCAGTTAGAATATATATATTTTAATATGCACTTTTAATGATACTTATACTGTGGAAATAATACTACTGTGGAAATTCTACTTTTTCTCTTGCTTTCACTGCATCCTTTAGGACTATGCAACATAGGCAATACCATTCAGGCCATAGGCATGGGCCAAGACTTCATGTCTAAAACACCAAAAGCAATGGCAACAAAAGCCAAAATTGACAAATGGGATCTAATTAAACTAAAGAACTTCTGCACGGCAAAAGAAACTACCTTCAGAGTGAACAGACAACCTACAGAATGGGAAAAAAATTTTGCAATCTGCTCATCTGACAAAGGGCTAATATCCAGAATCTACAAAGAACCCAAACAAATTTACAAGAAAAAAACAAGCAACCCTATCAAAAAGTGGGTGAAGGATATGAACAGACACTTATCAAAAGAAGACATTTATGCAGCCAACAGACACATGAAAAAATGCTCATCATCACTGGCCATCAGAGAAATGCAAATCAAAACCACAATGAGATACCATCTCACACCAGTTAGAATGGCGATCATTAAAAAGTCAGGAAACAACAGGTACTGGAGATGATGTGGAGAAATAGGAACACTTTTACACTGTTGGTGGGACTGTAAACTAGTTCAACCACTGTGGAAGACAGTGTGGTGATTCCTCAAGGATCTAGAACTAGAAATACCATTTGACCGAGCCATCCCATTACTGGTTATATATCCAAAGGATTATAAATCATGCTGCCATAAAGACATGCACACATATGTTTATTGTGGCACTATTCACAATAGCAAAGACTTGGAACCAACCCAAATGTCCATCAATGATAGACTGGATTAAGAAAATGTGGCACATATACACCATGGAATACTATGCAGCCATAAAAATGGATGAGTTCATGTCCTTTGTAGGGACGTGGATGAAGCTGGAAACCATCATTCTCAGCAAACTATGGCAAGGAAAAAAAACCAAACGCCGCATGTTTTCACTCATAGTTGGGAATTGAAAAATGAGAACACTTGGACACAGGAAAGGGAACATCACACATCAGGGCCTGTTGTGGGGCGGGGGGAGGGGGGAGGGATAGCATTAGGAGATATACCTAATGTAAATGACAAGTTAATGGGTGCAGCATACCAACATGGCACATGTATACATATGTAACAAACCTGCACGTTGTGCACATGTACCCTAGAACTTAAAGTATAATAATAAAAGAAAAGAAAATTGCTCTTTATTAAGGGAATAGGCTGATATCTTTGTTTCAAGAAGCAATAGATTGTTTCTTTTGTGATGGGGTGGGATATGAGGAATATAAAAGTGGAGAGGTTGGGCTAGGGAAAGGATGCATCTCTAAAATGGTCCAAACCTATACATTGGATTCAGAAAAATAGACCATGACTTGGAACACCATGGAGTTTGGAGATGGCTTTACAAACCACCACGATCTTAGGCCTTTTCTTCCGTGTATACAGCCATCACACTTGATTTGACCTTCTTACTTCTTTAAAGATAACCCCACAGAGCTCTTGGTCATGCTTATTTGTGAAAGCAATTCTTTATCACTCTCCATAGACACCGAAGTCAAGTAGGGAGCGTGGAGAGGAGTCCCTCATTTAAAAAAGGAAACCAACTTTATCTGTCTTAATTTGCTTCATCTAGCATGATTGAAAGCCTGCAATATTTTTTAAATTGGTAATCTTTCTTTCCTCATAACTATGTTTATTTGTGGGGACTGATGATTGCCATGCATACTTTCTGTTTAAAGAGATGCCTGTTTTAGAGGTTTCAAAACCGTCTTTGATCTTAGGCAGAACTGAGCAGCTATATGTGGAATTATTTTTTGAGTTTTCATATAATTTTTTCTTTCATCTCTGACTTTGGTTAAGGATTGCGCTTGCATTTTTCACAGAAGAATTATCTTTAATTGACAGCATTAAATAGATATGAGTGAATATTCTTATATAATTTTCCTGAGGCTATGTCTACAAGGAGAACTGATATAATTGTCTTGGTAATCCAGGCTCCTGGACCCTTTCTGTTTTGTACTGGTGTGACCTGAATGTTCTGTGTCCTCTTCTGTCCATGATGGCAACTGTATGCATGCACTATTTAGAACACAACAGTGTGTCTCTTCAGAAGCCTACCCATCAACTCCTGTCCCTGAGTACATGAAGGACATGAAAATGAGAAAGAAAACTAATACCAAATTAGACCCAAAGCCCAGTTATCCATAGATTGTACTTTATGCTTTCTAATTTATACTCTTTACTACAAGGATTTTTCAAAAATATAGATCTGATGTTGGCAGTTGCAAGCTCAAAATCTTCAATGGTTTCCTTTGCCTGTGGAAGAAAATATAAATTTCTTGCCTTTAAATAGGGCAATCTCTTAATTCATTATCAAAACTGTGGCATTTGGATAGTACAAGGAATGCTATGAATGACAATATTTGGTGACAGAATTAAATCCATACTGCTCTGGGCAAATGAGACAAAGCACCTTCAAACACATTCTCTGTCTCTCTCAGTCACTATGCTCCAATCACCATAAAAGTGCGAAGCTTTCCCACCTCATGGCCCTTGCTCTTACTATCTATGTTCCCTAAAATATCTTTTGTGTAGCTGCTTGCTTGGCTGGCTCCTCATCCATTAGGTCTCAGCTAAAAAATTTCTGACCATCATTCTGATGACTTACACTCACTTTATAATGCTATATCATGGGCTACTGTTTATTTTTCTGATAGCAATTATTATAATCAGAAACTCTATTTTTTGCCTATCTGCTAACTTTTCAGTCAACAAGCTCTCCCTCATATTCAGTCCATATGGAAGGCACATATCTTCATACCCTCTTTTGTTGCTTTTTAGGGTTTCAGTTACACAATGAGGCTGTCTTTTCTTGTCTCAATTCTAACTGCCAGAGGGGTACTTAATTGCCTCAGCTTGGTTCAGGTGATCTGCTCTGGTGCAGTCAAGCATGGTAGGGCCATTGTTCAAGGTATATAAGGATCCATACCAAGAGCCCACGTTTTTGGATGGGGAAATTAAGAAGGCATGGGGGAAGTCATGTACTCTAAAAGGTGTCTTAACACATCCCCAGATGGTTTCCTTTCTTTCTTTATGTCTGTGGTTTGCCGGGGTAGGATTCTGGTGCTGTGCTCCCATTTTTTGTTTGCTCTTTTAGTTTCTGGCTGTATCTAGTTACATATTACATTCAATTCTTCTAAATGGACCAATTTGGAATTGTTTTCTCAGTGATTTATCCAGTTTTACTGAATTGAATGGTTGTTTTGGCATTTTTCATAACAAACTGATTTCAACCTAATGAATCATTTGTTTGATCAAAACATGTGCACTGTATCAATATTCTGAACTTGACCCCTACCATTAGACCAAGGGGTTTATTTTGACATTAGCCATTTTTCTTTGGAAATTGGAGGGTTTTCTCTGTTGATTGTGTGTGATTATTTTATCTGCATAGGCAGATTAAAATCAGATGCATATTATGATTCTACTGTTTCTACAGCTCAATCTATCAGTTTTCTCCCCTTTTGCACAAAACACTAATTAAACATGAATGTCCTGCTCAGAGTTAGGAGGCTCAAGTTCTAGGTTGAGTCCTGTCACTAACAGTGTTGTAGTGGGACAGTGGTTAGCCTATCAAATTGTTCCTTATCTTTGAAATGATAGAATTGATTAAGATTATTTCTAAGTTGCCTTCCTGCCCTAAAATTTTGAGACGCTGTGACTGCCTGAGAAGGGATAATTACACTTTTCAGCTAGTAATTAGTTTTGAAAAAGCCTTTGGATAAACTGCTTCTAAGATAAACTCTTTACGGGAAGTTTGAGTGTGTGTGTATATAGTCAGTGGTGTTACTATATTTTAAAGAATTAAACATCCTAAGAGAAGTGACTCAGTCCTAAAGTAGATGAGTTTTTCAGAATCAGTTTTCTCTATTAAAAGAATTCACTGACATTTTGCTCACATTTTGTCTGGGGTGAAAACAAAGAGACAAAGTGGCTGAAACGCCTGTTGACCTGGTTCGTGTTCAGAAAACTCAATTAGATGACAGGGCCAAGAGACTGGCCAAAGTAAGGTCATTATTTCTTACAGCAGATTAATAAGAACGAATTAGAGAAAGCTTTCTACTGTAAAAAGTCCTACTTGTGCTCTGTATTGAACATATGGCTCAATACAGAATAAGAAGTTGAAACAGTCATTGGATGACAAAGGCCAGAAACTACTCATGATGCAATCTCAAGGAGAGTGAGGGACACTCTGACCCACTTCTTTCCCACTTGGCATTTCCAGTAATGAGAATGAAGATGCTTTGTCAGTTGCAGAGCGACTTTCCTATAACCTCTCAAAGAGGGTTCACAACATCTCCTCACCACACACTAATGACATGAGCAATATTGCTCTTGGCACAGTCCCTCCCATGAGGAAGGTGGCCATCCAGTCCTTCTTTCTAGAAGACGTTTGACAGCACTTAGCAATTCACAAACGTTTAATAAATATGTCTTGGTGAAACGGTTGCTATTGGGACATCCTGTGGCAGCTCACTTCATGGATTTCTATGCCTCTAAACCTTATGTGTGTGCTTTAAATGTTGTTTTGGTTGGCTTCAGTTTTCAATTATTTTTACTAATGGAAGGGAATGGTTAATTTAATATTGAATATTTTTCAAGAATAATCTTGGCATTGGTATAAGTTTTGATAACAGAGATTTTAACAAGAGTTTGCCTGATATTTTATAAATTCAGATCAAGACTCATCCTACATAAAAAGATAAACTGTGAAAACTAGAATGTTTCCCTTCAGAGTCTCCTAACTCAGAATTATTTCATTTTTTAAATTCATTGCTAGAAATAGAGAATCATATCAGACAGAGGACAATTACTGGCCTAAAGCATGGCTAGCTTAACTCTACCATGGTCTTTGTATCTCCCTAGTCCCATTCACATTTCCATTCACATTAACCCACATTTAGTAAGTATTAAGCCACTATGTATGAGGCATGGAATGTGAAGTGACGCTGTACTCTGCCCTCAAAGAGCTGACAGTCTAGTGGAGGACACACGCACCTAGGGAAATAATTATAATGCATTATGACAAAGGCTACATATAACTTAGATGCAGAGATAAGGATTCAAGGTAGAAAGGTCCAGGAGAGTTACAGAGAAAATATAACATTTGAGCTGGGTTAGAAGCTTCAGTAAACAATTTTAATGTGGACAAGGGAAGGGGAGGAGGGTTTCTAAGATGAAGGAACACGATAAGCATAGCCATGGGGGTGTGCAAGTCAATGACTGGTTAAATGATGGAGACTAAAATCTTTAAAAACAACAAAAAACAAAAACAGAGACTAATTGGATGTGAATTAAACCAAGAGGTGAACTGTGAACAGGATGCAAAATGTTGAAAATCTGTAAACAGCTGAGTAAATCTCAGTCAGTCCTGCCTATTCTTCTGGGACATCTTGACTGTAAACTTAGCAAAGACCAAAGGTCTGTACACAGCTGGAATTCTGCTTGTGGCAGAGCATGTCTGCATACTTAAGGGTGCACTTGGACTGTGGGCAGCTAGCACTGTACTTGTTTAGGCCATGTTGTAGGGGGTCTAGAAATTTCAAACAAAATTCCTTTCCAGTAGCCTGAGACAGAAGATGCCTAACAAACATGGCATTTACCATTCTTTGTTGAGTGCTTGCTAATATAGAGAGCTCTGTGATGAGTGTTATAGAGGATTCTGCTTCAATAACTTACTGGATCTATGACCCAGAGAGAGTTATTTAATTTCCCTAGGCTTCTGTTTCCTCATCTGTAAAATGGGGTCAATCATACCAACCTCATGGAATTATTATGAGCATAAAATAAGTTAACATATGTCCATAGGACAATGCCTAGAATTGAACGGTCCTCAGTAAGTGGTCATTTTTATTCCGTACTATTATATATTATTATTATTTATACCATTTTCATTTTAGACATTGTACAAGACCTATCTATGAAGAACATGTAGACTAGTTCAAGAGGCAAAACATAGGTACATAAGACAGAGCTAATAACTAAAGGCAATAGATAAGTGTGGATGAGACCTACGAACATTAAATGCTACAGATATTCTAAAAACAGAGAGACTTAGGATCCCAGAGACTGAGGGGTCCCTGGAGGACATCCATGGAGAAGAAGGAGTGAGAGGTAAAGCTGAAAATGAGACTGCAACACAGAATTTCAAGAAGGTCTTCCCTTCTTGAAAGAAAATAATATCACTCCTTCACTTCACAGGCTTTGAAGTTGTGATCACCTTATTCATGTGAGGCTGTGGCTATTAAGTCACACAACATTACTATGTTCCCTCCCCACACACATATAAAGCCTGGTTTTAAAAGCAATGCATGTTGATTTTAACAAACAAATAAAATGCAGAAAAACATAAAGAAGAGAATAAAAAGTATTCATCATATACTCTCTAAAGAAAACTTGTATTAATATTTTTGTGTATATAATACCAGATTTCATGAATTATATATATATTATATATGTTAGCACATATAATATCTTTTAAAACAAAGTTAGAATTATGTATAAATACATTTTATACTCTCTTTTCTAGTTAAGTAGTGTAGATATCTTTCTTTGTCAATAAGTATGTACAACATCATTTATAGTGGTTGCTTCATACTCTCTTACCATATTCCACGAACTATGGTAAATTTAACCATTTTAGGAAGGATATTTAATTTGTTTCAATTTTTAAAACTTGTATATCAGGTGCTCTGTGTTTTTGGTTCAACATGTGAGAAGCTTGGAAGTCACCACTTTGCCCTAACACGAAGTAAAAAGCTGATCAAAGTGAAAATTCAGCCCTTCTTCGATCCTTAAGAGAAGTGAGGTTACAGGGCAAACCACTGTCCCCAAAATCAAAGACACTGATAGGTGAATACAGAGAATGACAATTTACCAGAGCAGGAACCCAAGAGCAGAAACCCCTTTGGGAACCAATGCCAAGGCAGGGAAACCTGAACTGTAATTGAAAAATTGCTTGAGGCTCAGTGTGAACAAGACTAAGTGCTAAAAACTCCAAGGAGACCCAATCATCAGGAGAGGGGGCACGCTTTCATGAGCTTTGTCTCTTAGAGTTCCACAAAGTCCTCACAGTGAATATCAGAGAAAAATCCTCTTGTGCTTTTGGTAGTGGGAGGGGAAAAGGAACCATTTGAGATATATCGAATATTCTTTTCTTCTTCTCAAGTTTTGCAGTCAGGAAAAATATTTAACCAGTGCCTAACCTGCTGGGGTTTTATGAGAGCTTAACTGACCTAGGGGAAAGAGATTCCCAACTCCAGCCCCTTCTATCCTTCCATGTGGGAGAAAGGGAATACTCAACACCAGCACACTCTAGCCATCCCATCTCACGTAAAGAGAGGGCAAAACATTGAGAAGCACTTACAGAGTTCATAGTACAAAGGCACAGTTCCACTAAAAGACAAGACCTAATTACAGGACTGTAGTAAGCTTCCCCTCCGCCCACAACTTACCACCACATTACTAAAGGCCTATTGCAGCAGTTCTTTCATTTCTAATTTTCTTTGAGTTTTTCTCTTTTTTAGTTATTCTAGCCAAAGATTTGCCAATTTCGTCTTTTTTTAAAAAAAAAAAAAGTAACCTCAGTTTTGTTGATTTTCTTTTACTGTTTTTCTCTTCTCTATTGGGTTAATATTTGCTTTAATCTTTGCTATGTCCTTCCATTTCTATCTTTGTACTTGGTTTATTCTTTTTCTGGTTTCTTAAGATATAAAGCTCTGATGATTATTTGAGATTTTTTTTTCTTTTAATGCAGACATTTACCCCTATAAACTTCTCTCTTAGCACTGTTTTTGCTGTATTCCATAGGTATTGATGTGTTTTTACTTTCATTTGTCTCAATATTTTCTAATTATCCTTTTGATTTATTCTTTGACCCATTGGTTGTTTAGGAGTATCTTGTTAACTTAAACATATTTGTGAATTTTCAAATTTATTTTGCTATTGATTTTTAGTTTCATTTTATTAAAAAGATAATTGGTATTATGTCAGTATTCTTATATTTAAGTCCTGCTTTGTGGCCTAACGTGTGGTCTATAAATGTGTGTTTGAGAAAAATGTATGTTCTGCTGCTGTTGGGTAGAAATTCTGCACATTAAATGGATATTTTGTCTTCTGTTTCCCTCTCCAGAGAGAAGCCTGGAGCTGGGATTTGTCTCCAGTCATGCTGCGTTGAGCTGTAGGTAGAGGCTAGGGTAAGTAGATGCCACAAATTTTTCTACTGGCTTAGAGGCGTTGGTTTTGCACTGAAAGGTAGGGGCCTCTTAATTTTTTTCTAGATTACTCACAAAGGGAATTGATCCTTGTACGGTTGTTGAATAGTGTTTTTGAAGGGGTAGGAGGCTTTCTGTTCTGCCATCTTGCTGAAGTCACCTTGAGTGTCACCTTAAATCTTTGTTATTGTGGGTACTTAGGACTGGACTTACGTACAACTTATCTTTGTGTCTTATGGCTGCTGCATAGTGAATGCTCGTCAAATGTTTGATGGATGGATATAAATAGTGATCAAGGTAGGCATAAAATGGCCAGGTACATATTCTTGCACCCATTTCTTACATGGGCTTGGGTAACGTAAGGGTTGTTTTTAATAAGTACTTAAAAGTGATATTTGTATTTTTATGCTATTTTTTTTCCATGTTCATCCTTGAAAGGAAAAAATAAAGTGCAGAAATCTCCAGGTTGATTTAGCAAAAGCAACTCAGTGGGACTTACTTTTTCAATACTCATGTCATTGACTTCCTTTTCAGAGCTAGGATCACAGGATTATTTGACCTGTAACGTAGAGATGATCTAGCCAACTCCTCCCATCATTGATTTTATACATGAGGAGATCAAGGCCTGGGGAGTTTAAGGGTTGTTCGGAAATCTAATTGTTAGTTAGAGGAGGAGCAAGCACTAGAACTAAAGCCACTTTGAGTTTTGCTCTTTCTAAGATATCAAACCATGTCTCAGGTCTGGAATAATTAAGAAGCGTGAGAAATGCCTTAAAATGTTTGAGTACAAAATGCATTTCAAAGGTGAATTTAATATTCAAAGATCATTATTTCAGATCTCCTGCTGTTAGAGAACAAGGCTGCCTAAAACCCCAGTGTTAACAGATGTCTGCTAAATACTTACTACTAATAATTGAAATAGTAACAGCAGTGCTGCAATTAGTCTGCAGGAACATAACACACATACACACAAGCACAGAGTGTGCACACACATTTTTTCTATCATTTTCTTTTGTGAGTATTAATGCATCTGTGTAATACTTACAATTAACATCTGAAAGAAAATTGAAGAAAAAAGGCTCAAAATAGAATATACACTGGGGAGATTAGTTTAAGCTATTTAAAAATCATTTGCTAGACAGTACATTTTGGTTAGAGATTTAGGGGAAAATATACTTGTGAGAGCAAAGAAATAAAACAAAGATAATTCTAAGCAGGCTGTTTATTTGCACGGAAAGTTCGGATGATGGCTCTAGCACTAGGGAAAGAAAAAGACATGAAGATGACGTGACCAAGTATTTTCCTCAGTGTTTTCCTCTAATGCTCCTTCACTATTCAGCACAATTGTGGCTCATCTCTGAGGTTAGATATTTATTAAACCACTTACTCAAAAGCCTTAGTTTATCCATTCATTGACTCAATCATTCATTCATTTGACAAATATTTAAAAGCTCTGTTATTCTCTACTTACATATAAGAAAGGTAAACACGTGATCTGATCCATTGGAAATTTTATTTTAAAATATAAATAAAAATAGCCTCAAGTACTTACTATGTGCCAAGCATTTTCCCTATGTAATATATTTTTAATTCTTTAAAGCAATCTTACAAAGAATATTTTATAATTGTTCTTTATTTTTATTGACAAGAGAACTGAAATACAAAGAAATTATGTAACTTGTTCAAGGTCAGAAACTTAGTATTTTGAGGAGTAGAAAGGAAACCCAAGAGTTTGACTCCAGAATATATTATTTTAACCACTATAAGATAGTGCCTCTAATGGATAGAATTAGACAGTGGCTCTTAGGATTAGAGCAGTGGGGTTGTTATAAACACTTTGTAGAATCCAGCAAAATAAAACTATTGTCCCTTAACTCAGAACAAAAAAATGAGGTAATGGACATACACATGTATTTAAAATATATGTCAGTGTTTTTACAACCTTTTGAATTTAATTCAAAGGCCTTGCATGGGGTGAGATGAGAGGCAGTCCTTAGGTCCAAGGTTAAGTCCACCTAAGGAAGAAAGCCACCTTTGAGCTAATCATTTCAACTTTTGTGTTGTTATATGCGAGGAAACTGAAGCCTCACAAGCTCTAAGCTTTCTTACAATGTTGCACAGGGAGGCTGTGATTAATGCCCTCCTTTTTTTTTTAACACTGCTGTCCTCCCTACACATAATTAAATGGAAAACTCTATTCCTAGTAGATAGATCATAACCAGTTCTCTTTATGGATGAAGTAAATACAAGTTTAGGGATGTTGTCAAAGATTCTTACGCTCCTTGAAAGAGGGAGTTAAGGTATTAAAATTATTTTTAAATTAATGCATTACTATTATTTAATTTTAGATATTATAAAAATCTCAAGTATGAAATGAGTCTCCAAATATTTTTAATAATCCAAATTGCCTCAATTTACTTCTAAATACAAATAACTCAAGGCTCAATGAGTTTCCACCTTTCCCATTTCAGTCTTGGAAGGGGAGAATATTTCTATTTCTTAAACTTTGTCCAACCTTGAAAATGAGAACTTAAAAGAGAATCTTTCTTTTTCCCTAAATTAAATAATTTATAAGTATTTATTTATTATAACATTTAAAGACTTTGAGGACCTTGAAAGGAAATCTGTAAATTCTGACATTAACATACAGAAAATCAATTTGATAAATGTAGGATTTGGAGTTACTTTATTTTAGGGTAGAAAATACATGTGAAATATGGGCTTGTGAGTTTTATTAATGTTTTTATCCTCGGGGCCCAAATGCTGACACTTCACCATTAGGCCTTTGAGAATTTATGGTGATGGACAATCTATCAGTAAGCCTTAGGCCATAGACCTTTCCAGCAGCCCAGTGGTCTAGTGATCAATATGGAATAAGCTAGTGAAAACTCTTGCCACTCTTGTCATCACATTGTAACTTGCAAATAATACAAATCTAGCCAGTCTGATTTGTTGTGATATTTATGTGTTCTCAGGTTTTTTATTCTTGGAGCATGATTTTTATCCCAAATGCCCAATAAATTACCATGTAAAGTTCACTCAACATAACATAGCAATTACGATATCAGTGTTTGGAATAAAAAAAAAAAACAGCTGTGTGAACATGGACACCTTACTTAAATCTATCTGAGTCTCTCTCTCTCTCCTCCCCCACCTCCCATCCCCCAATCTAATAATAGGATTTAGGATTTACTGGAATAAAGTTATTGCAAAGGTTAAATGTGCTAAAGCAGTTAAGACACTTAATGCAATGCTTGGAGCTTAATTGGCATTCAATAAATGTCATCCATCACAATATTATTATTTATCAATTTTCAGAAATATTTAAATGTCCTTAGAATAACTGTTAGAAATGAGATAGAAGTAATATGTGTGATAAAAAGAGCTCTTGACTTTAAATTAAAATATTGGGGCTTTTGCCTCAGCACTATTATTGGTTAGTGGGCCACAGACTCCCAAACTTGAAGAAGATATATTAGATTCATTTATTGAAAAATGTTTATGGAGTCTTGCTATGCATGAAGTGCTGAAACTAATCACTGTAGATACAACTGTGAACAAGACAGATGAGACCTTTGCTGCACTGGATTTCCCATTCTAGTTGGAAAAGCAAGGGAAAATATGCAAACATATATATATAATTGACAGAAGGTGATAGCTACTGTAAAAATAAATAGAATAGAAAACTGGTTTAGAGAATAACTAGGGGTGGGGGAAGTTCACCTTAGGTAGGGTGGGTAGATAATGCTTCTGAGGTGAAATTTGAATCAATGCCTGAACGATAGAAATGGTTTAGCCATGGAAAGATCTGAGGAGACATCCTATCAGGCAGAGTGAATGGTGGTGGAGGGGAGTAATTTTGCCATACTCAAGAAACATAAAGAAGATCAATGTAACTAGAACGTGATGAGAGCAAGAGATATGTAGGGGATGAGGTTGGAGACATGCAAAGGGTCTTTTGATGATTCCTATGCTCTTTCCTGATTTAAGTTTTACAGTTTCTGACACTGGACATTAATTCTGACCTTTTCCGTAGCTTAGAAGAAAATAAGACAGCATATTCACTTACTGATAATAATTCTGGGATAACTCACAGAAAAGAACAACCATTTTGAAAACATATTTTGGGGTGTGTGTGTGTGTGTCTGTGTGTGTCGTACTAAATTATAATTATTAAATGGCTCAAATATTTTCAGTATCATAAAGATTAAGAATGAAAGGGATTGTATACCAGACTTGCTAGAATCTAAGGCTGAGATGTAATCAGAGTCATTCTATGTTTTCTACAGAACTAAGATATATTTATTTTAAATAAATTAAAAATAAAAATGCTTCATGAATCTAAGTACTTTCTGCTATTTGGGGTGTTGCTTCCTTTACACTAGGAGATTAATCTAGTGATGCCTATAGATACAGCAGTAACTTCCTAATGAGATATTGATTTCTAAAATTAAAACCTTACTAGTATCATATTTTCAATTTATATTAATGCTTCATTAAACTAATTAATAACATAACAATAACTAGAACTTTTATAGATTTTAATTAATCATAATCACACAGTATTCTTGTACCAATTTATAGGTGTAATGTGATCTTTTGGAAGTCAGAGATTTTTTACATATACTTAAAGTAAACTAAGATATAACTTTATTTTATGGAGTGCTAATTCTGGTATATAATTAGATATACAGCATAGTATAAAGTATATATATATATATATAAAATAGTATAAAGATGATAGACTGTATTTGGAGAGATGAGTTTTGACATACTCTGTCTCTGCAGCTTCCTGTCTATGTGGTCCTAAACAAATCACTTTCCCTTTCTGGATAGTTCATTCATTTGAGAAATAGGAGAGTTGGACTAAATGACCTCTAAGATTTATTATATTTCTAAAAACGTTATTTTGGGAGTACTCCATCCCTTAGGGAGAAGGTGACTTCAGATGTTCCTATTGTTTATTTTAACAGCTGTATGCCTGGAGCCTCAAATCTGCAGCTCTATTTTTTTTTCCTTACTCTCAGCCTTTGTATCTAATAATCAACTGGACATTTCAACTTAAGTGTGTTGCAGGTGCCTAGACTAGAAATTGACTGAGCTCTTCATCTTCTTCAACCAATTTACTCCTTTTGAGCTTCTTGTTTGAGTAAATTATACCAACATCCATGCAGTCATTCAAGTCAAAATATATGGTTATTATAGCCCATAAATAGTTACTCAGACTTGTAAGTTATAACTTCAAAATACCTCTCTAACCCACCCATAATTCTCTATCTCTCTGCCGTAACATTAGGCTATGATAGTATCTGCTCTTACCTGGGCTGCCTAAGGATCATCTATGTGCTTTCACAGCCCACCATTATTATCTCCCCTTCTTTCGTTCTCTTCACTGCCTCCAAAGCAATCTCTCTGAAAGGTGAAAGCAGTGATGCTGCCCCTGAGCTTAAACTCCTTTTCTAGCTTCCCCCTATGCTAAAGCCCCAACTATTATACATGCTCTTCAAAGCTCCCATGAGTTGGTCCCTGCCTACTGATTGAGTTTTATGTTTTGCCACAATATTATTATTATTATTATTATTATTATTATTATTATTATTATTATTTACTACTGTGACCCATCTACCTTCTCTCTTGTCTGAGACTATATATATCACAGCCAATCATTGGGAAAGCTATTCTTCCCAATAAGCTTTTTATTGTGCCTGGGCTTACTACAACTCAACTTTAAAATCAGGTAAATCCTATCCTGTATTAAACCCTCCAATAGCTTTCAATTCTAATTAGAATAAAATATGCATTCTTTTTTGGTCTGTGGTATTTCTGTGCATTCTGAACTACCAAGGTATTGCTAAAGAGTAGTTTGAGATTAGCTTCTTCAAGTTGCTGCAGATAGTAGTTTTACTAAGATAGATTTTATGTTAATTTCTTGGCTTATGGACTCTAAATGTAATGGATTCTGAACTTAGTATAAGTCCGAATTTCAAAAATATGATGGTTGTTTACAACCAAAAGTAGTTCCATATTTTTCTTAACATGGTCCTAATGGCCATGTGGCCTCCCTTTCTCTATATCATGGACCTCCTTATTCTTTTCCTATCCTTGGCTGCTTCAGTCTTTAGTTATCTTGCTGCTTCTATCTTTAGTTACATACCTTCAAGTGTTTAAAACTGATCTCTAACTGAACCATGTAATCTTTGAGCCAGTTAACATTAACACCAGTCATGAGTAGAAGAGTATAGCTGTTGAAAGTTTAGCCAAATAAATATGACTTACATATTATATGCCAGGTAAAATTCATACTCCATTAGAGTCTTGTCTCATAGTGCGTTTTCCTTTAGCTAGAATTATATACTATATTGGACATACCAGGACACTTCTGGGAGTGAAAGGGGATGGCAGAATAATTAAAACGACATGATTTTAAAGTGCTGACTTATTGACCAACAAAATGGACTTGTATATTTGAACATTCAAAATAGTCTAACTCAAAAAATTTTCAAAAATAAAAATTCTGATGGACAACACCCTAGACAACAGGGATGATCACTCTACAATCTTCTGTCCTCTAGTCATACAAGTCTTTTTAAAAACTTAATTCAGCAAATTAGCTTCTAATTAGTGTCAGGTGCTCTTCTAACCACTTGGAATACATAAATGAGAAAAGAAAGTACTAAGTGTCTCACCTTTATAGATTTTAGAGGAGAATAAAATAAATGAGTTAACAAATAAAACTTGGTGATGACAAGTGCTCAGGAGTGGATAAAACAAGTTAGAGAGGCATTGCCCAATAAAACTTTCTGCAATGATTGAAATATTCTGTATTATCCAATACAGTAGTCACATGTGACTATTGAGGATTTGAAATGTAGATGGTGTTAGTGAAGAATTGGACTTTTAATGTTATTTAATTATAATTAATTTAAATGCAAATAGATAGATATGACTAGTGGCTATCATATTGGGCAATACAGGATTAGGTCAAACAGTTCCTTGGAGATGGGTGGTATTTTACACATACTGGCCATAGAAGGGTTCTTTGAAGAGGTGAATTTCAACAGCATGTATAAATGAGGTAAAGGAATTGACCTGGTTGGGGATCGGGGGATGGCGAAAGAAAAGAGAACAGCACATGTCTCAGGCAGGCAAGAAACTGGTGGTTCTGTTTGAGGAAATGCAGTTTAACACAGCTGGAATGTAGAAAGCAAGCTGGGAGTGTTGTTTGAATGTGTTAAAGCCCGTTTTGGCCTCATAGTTATCAAAGGTCTTACCTTTACACAAATGCTCCTACCCCAAATCTTCACTTAGTTAGCTCCTATACATCATTCTGATCTCAGTTCAAATTCTTTTTTTTTTTTTTTTTTTTTTTTTTTTTGAGACGGAGTCTCGCTCTGTCACCCAGGCTGGGGTGCAGTGGTGCAATCTCGGCTCACTGCAAGCTCCGCCTCCAATATTCATGCCATTCTCCTGCCTCAGCCTCCCCAGTAGCTGGGACTACAGGCGCCCGCCACCACTCCCAGCTAATTTTTTGTATTTTTAGTAGAGACGGGGTTTCACCCTGTTAGCCAGGATGGTCTCGATCTCCTGACCTCGTGATCCGCCCGCCTCGGCCTCCCAAAGTGCTGGGATTACAGGCTTGAGCCACCGCGCCCAGCCTCAGTTCAAATTCTAATACCAGTCCACCACCAGTCAGTCTCTTAATTGACCTCATAATACCACTTTCTGAAATTACTTAGCCTTTTATTTTCTCATACGATTATTACTTTTTTATCCATCTATATCATAATCCCTCTGAGGGAAGGGATCTTATCATCATTGTTCAGTATCATCCCTTACATCCGGTTTCTAGGATAGTTTCAGGCATATATTAGGCATTTAAATCATGTTCTAAAAATTGATAGTTTCAGGCATATATTAGGTATTTAAACCATAGTTTTAAAATTCATTGTTCATACTTCAATTCCTAAAGGGAGAGGGACTTCTCTGATTTGTCAGAGCACTCCCCAAAATATTTTTGCAGTATGTTTCTTACTTACCATATGTAGGTTTTTATTACATTCATCTCAATTGTAATTTCATGTTTAAGGTCCGTGTTCTCAGCAAGGCTGTAGGCTTTATGAAACTCCATGAGACTGTCCTGTTTATCACTATTTCCAGCATATTGACCAAATGTTCTAGTTTGCCTAGGACTATCCTAATTGTACTGAAATTCTCATAGCCTCAGAAATCCTTCAGTGCCAGATGGAGCCAAGACAGTTGATCACCCTAAGCAGCTAGCTAAGTGTCTGGCACATAATCTGTGAATAATACATATTTGGCTAAACTTTCAGCAGTTGTACCCTTCTACATGTTACTGGTATTATCTGGCTCAAAGATTAAGTGGTTCAGTTACAGGCCAGTTTTGAAAATTTGAAGATAGGTAACTAAAAACTGAAGCAGCAGCTGGGTGCAGGAAAAGACTAAGAAGGTCCATACTATAAAGAGAAGAAGGACACATGGCCATGAGGAGCATGTTAAGAAAAAAAAATGGAACTACTTTTTGTTATAAACAAGCATCACACTTAAGAAATTCAGACTTACACAAAGTTCAGAATCCATTAAATTTAGAGTTCATAAGCCAAGAAATTAACATAAAACCTATCACAATAAAACTACTGACCATCAAGACCAACTTGAAGAAGCAAATCTCTAACTACTCTTGAGGAATACTTTGGTAGCTCAGAATGCACAGAGCTACCACAGATAAAAAATTCTGCCACATATCAAAACACCATAAACAATTACACACTACACAGGGAATAATTCACTATGATGGAAAGTCCTGTTTATTTTTCAAATAAGAAGATTATCATCCTGGGAATCTGAGATAATAGAACAATCTGGAGGAATGGGAATATAACAAAATAGTATGTTAGAAGATAGAAAATTATAGCAGAATGAATAGAAACCCCAGTGAAATAACAGAATGCTACACAAACTTAAGCTAGTTTGTAGAAGAACAAAAAAGGATTTCTAAAAATGAAAAATATACAGATATTGATATTAAAAACTCAGTGGAGGGGATAAGCAGCAGATTAGGTATAGCTGAAAAGACATTAAAAAGCTAAAAGATAAGGCTGAGGCAATTACCCAGAAAGCAACCTATAAATCATGAAAAAATGTGAATGATAGACTAAGAAATATTTGTGATAGGATGAGGAGATCCAATATTCTATTAGGAGTTTTGGAAGAAAACAATGGAAAAAATAAGAAATATCAAAATTAAGGGGTGGAAGTTGGTTAGTAGAAGAAAAGGTAGCAAATGTGCAGAGAGAGTCAGAATAGACAAGTGTGTGAGACCCAGCCCTAACTTCCTTTGGGTCCTGACAGCTTTCTTCTTACAGTAATATTTTACTGGATGATGGTTTCTATATGGTGGTCTTTGCAGAGGTCTGATTCCTTACAACACACCTCTTTGCATAAAGCAATTCTGAGTGAACCTCTGTTCTTTGCAGTGAAACAGGACTTAAGTAAATATAAGATTTAACTAAGAGAAGTTTGCACAGATGCTTCTGGGTGATAGAAAGATAAACAGGACTCTAATTCATGAATATGCTAATTAATTTTCTGCTTTGGAAGTTAATGCTTGTTAGCTGACAATAGATATTAGAAATAATAGTTATTGTCTCTTTAATATCTATAGAGCATATTTAAGGGTATCTTTGTTATCTCAATAACACAAGCTCAGAAAAACTGGCTTCAGAAATATTGGCTCCATTTGCAGCCCATTTAGCTAAGTGGGTGTACCCAGTGTCCTCCGGCTTGGCCTCATGGCTGCCATCTCTCAGAAAGTACTGCCTGTACCACTCTTATACTCTGGCTCTCTCCACTTTGAACTGAATGTTTCCCACTGAGCTTTAATTTGTGACTTTCTATGTTTGTATGTATTTATTTAACATTTTAGACATAGAGTCTTGCTCTGTCACCCAGGCTGGAGTGCAGTGGCACAATTGCAGCTCACTGCAGCCTCAAACTCCCAGGCTCAAGGGATCCTCCCACCTCAGCCTCCCAAGTAGCCAGGACTATAGATGCATGCTACCACACCCAGCTAATTTTTTCTTTTCTTTTCTTTTCTCTTTTTTTTTTTTTTTGTAGAGATGAGGTCTTGCTATGTTACCTAGGCTGGTCTCAAACTATTGACCTCAAGTGATTTTCTTGTCTCTGCCTCCAAAGGTGCTGGGTTTATAGGCATTAGCCACCGCTCATGAGTTTTTCTCAACTCAAGAGTTTTTCTGATAGCTATAATCCAGCCTTCCTACAACAACTGGTTGGCAGCCCAAACTAATATTTTCCTTTAAGTACCTTTGACATCTACAGAGGGTTCTCTTTAGGCAACCCAAGAACTTTGCAGATAAAAGTTATTTTTTTTGATCAGTTTTCTTAGCCTGGGCAGAAATGATCTCTCAATGTCAGACAGAAAATAAAGGCAGGAGATAAAGAGAGTGAATCACCCAGCATCAGGTAGAACCAGAATCAGAAAGTTTCTTCCAACCTGTTAGGTAGTTCACACTAGCTCCCAAATCCACGCTTTCTCTGTATACAAGTCAAATGCTGGAGTTCTGTAGTCAAGCATCATCAATACAACCCAAGAATTGTCACTTGGGAAAAATAATGTAGCCCCTTAAACTTGATCGTCATCATTTGTGGAATGAGGATAATGAAAGTAACTGTCTAATAGAATTTTTGTGAGGATTAAATGAGATAATGTATGTAAATCATTTGGCAAGGTGCCTAGTACACATTAAGTGATGTAAAATATTTCCTACCACTGCAGTAGCAGTGCATAGTGTGATCAATCATTTATAAATGTTAAGTAAAATCAATCAGTAATGTTTAGTTAATTGCTTATTCCCAGTGCCTTGTTATATGTCCTGGAAAAATGCAAAAGAAATATAAATCAGCCTTTAATTTCATAATGCTGATAAAGTAGTTGGGCAGAAGAAGTTACCTGTGAAAAGTTATTCATTAAACAAGTGCTTGTCAAGTGCCTACTAGCACTTTTTCCTGATGAAAACAAAAATTCTTACTCTAGTAGACTTTACATTTCATCTGGGGGCCCAGGGGGACTGGCAATGATAAATAGTCTTAATAAAGACGTTATTGTAGAAGATGAGGGTAAAAGATTTTAAAAAGTAGATTGAATGAGTGCAGTTTGAAATAGAGAAGACCTCAATGTAAGATGATATTTGAGCAAAGATTTGAATACAGTGAAGGAGTTTGCCCGGCAATCATCGAATTGAACACTCCCTGTGTGTTAGAATATCTAATCTGCTTATTCTGCATCTTGAAATAAGTAAAGGACTCAAAGGAGAATTGGGATATGGCATTCTAGATGGAAAACAATAATAAGGTGGAGTCCTTAGTTTATTAATACATTCATTAAACAATTTTTTTTTTTTTTGAGACGGAGTCTGGCTCTGTTGCCCAGGCTGGAGTGCAGTGACACAATCTCGGCTCATGGCAAGCTCCACCTCCCGGGTTCACACCATTCTCCTGCCTCAGCCTCCCCAGTAGCTGGGACTACAGGTGCCCGCCACCACTCCCAGCTAATTTTTTGTATTTTTAGTAGAGACGGGGTTTCACCATGTTAGCCAGGATGGTCTCGATCTCCTGACCTCGTGATCCTCCCGCCTCGGCCTCCCAAAGTGCTGGGATTACAGGCGTGAGCCACCGTGCCCAGCCAACAAATCTTTATTGCATAATCACTTAGTGCTAGCTAGTAAAGGAGGATTTAAGGGAGTTATTCAGAACAAGAGTGAAAGAAAAAGTAGCTCACGTGCCACCATACCTCCTTCCCTTTCTACTCCAATGATAAAAATTATTAATGGATTATGTCAAGCATACAAGCAGCCTCAGAATTCCTTTTAACATATCACTCCAAGAAAGCTAAATCAGTACATCAGAAGCAGTTCTGAGATGAAGTCTATTTTCCAGCCAGTGGTATGATACTGTGAGATTTTACTCACATCTAGGATAGATCTGCTATTAAGAGTCTGTTGACATTCTGGTCCATATATAGGCATTTTCATCTTTCTCTCCTTAGTATTTTTATACCTATTACATTTCTGAAACCCTCTCCACTAGCCACTTGCCACAGCACTTTTAGACAATGAGGCATTTTTGTTCACTACAGATCAGAGCCTTGGTCATAAATAAATGTAGTGGGTAGAGACTTACGTGGTGTGATGAAGAATACTCATATCAAATGATCTGCATTGTGGATTTGTTATGATAACCAACAATTCAACAATTATAGATCTGTTTATTGTCAGGAGTCATGGCTCTCACCTGTAATCCCAGCTATTTGGGAGGCTGAGGCAGGAAGATCGCTTGAGCCCAACAGTTTGAGGCTGTAGTGAGCTATGATCAACCCACTGTACTCCAGCATGGGTAACACAGTGAGACCCTGTCTCAAGAATAAAATTTTTAATAAAGCTAAGAATAGTTCTATTTATTTATAATGATACATTTTCAATATGGCTCATTACCTGTACAAGTTGACATTCTCACCATCAGTAAACCTAAACTTGTAATATTGTTCTTTCTCTCCAATTACTCTGAACCTAGAAGTTTCTTCTGGTTCCTAAAGCAATGATGTTTAGAATGCTGGTACCTTATGGTCTGATTTCTTTTTCTTGTCCATGATGGCTTCTTTTATCCCCATTCTATTGACTTAAAAAGCAAGCAGCTCCACTCCTGTACTGCCTAAGTGGCATGTTAAATTACAACTGTTCCCACTGTCTGTAAATAATTGCTTAGGACAGAAAATACAGTCCTGTATTATTGATTCAGGAGCTAGGGCTTTTTAAGTACAATATAAAAGACCAAAAGTAAATCAAAACCAATTGCTTTGGAATGAAAAAAGAAAAAGCAAGTTGCCTCATCATTACAGAACATTTTAAAGGAATTGAAAAGGCTTTTTCCAGGCTGAGATAAAGTGTTTGGTTCAAGAAAAAAATGTTTGCCACCAAAAAGCCAGTTTTTAAAAATGAACATCAAATTTGTAGAGCGAACTGAGTTCCTCTTGAAGCTGTTGCCCTACTTCCTGCAAGTTGGATAATGGTGCTCCAACCATGAAAGTAGGGCCCTATGACCTGTACCTCCCATGTCCCACATGGCCTCTTGCTATGGTGACAAACCCAGGAATCATGCTTTGTGGAGGATGGAGGCAGGGTGAAGGGCAGTGCGTTGAAAAACACTTTGGAAAACCTTCAGTCTCCCACTTCAATCAGGCTTGTAAGGCGAGGCTACTAGAAACTTAATCACACCCTTATGTTAGTCATGGTGTTCCTATGGTCAGTACATGCATAACCAGGAATATGAGTTCAACTAGAAATAATGCACAAACTAATTCACACACAGGTTGAAAGAAAGAGAGAGGATTCTACAGGCAGAACATAAAACAGAGGGGTAATGGTTATATTTCAGAAAAATCTGAAAAATGGGAAATCTGTGAGGAGCTGAGCAGAGTAGTTCGTTTTAAGGTTAGCTGAGTGAAAATTAAAATGTGAGTGTGTATGGATGTGTGGGTGTGTGGTTTTCCCAGACAGGCTCCAACTTACCATTTGTCTTTATGGGGATGATTGGCTTTTGGGTTTATGTCTACAGGCTCTGGAAGGAAGGCCTGGGAGTTCAGTGGAGAGCTCACTGAATTTGAAGGCTTTGGGCCTAGCTCTGCTTCTGCCATCTTCAGGTTGTACTATCTTGGGCCAGAGTCTTTTTTACTCTGAGCTTCAGTTTTACCATTAATAAACAGAGAGCTTATGGTTTTCATTATTTTTTACAGTTCTAATATTGAGCTCTATTCAAAAACACGTGCACACATTTATACATTCAGGCATTTAGAAAGAGCTAAGTATTCCTGGAAGAAGGCCTTTTAGCATTTTCTTATTTAGTTCCCACAACAATCCTTTGGGGGTTTGCTGTTATCATTCCCATTCTATGGGTTTGGGATCAAGTGTGGGCAGGCTAGGTAACCTGTTCATGGTCACCCGATTATGAGGGAGGGATGCTGGAATATGAAAGCTAAGCCTTAACATAGGATCAGTGCTTTCAACCACTATACAATTCTTTCTCTCCAGTATTCTGTGATGCTGTGAAACTTTTTATATGACTCAAACCACTAAAATAGTTTCTGGAGTACACCGAGGTATATAATGTGATGTAGACTGGGCCTATGTAGCTGTGGTGAGATTTAATCGTGCTAATTTGAATCTCTTAATGAACGAGAAGAGTCAGGGAGTAATGGTTTTGCATTCTGTAGTGACAAAACTTGAGAAAGGGAAGGCTTCTTTAATGATCAGAGAAGATAGATTTTCAATCATTAAGCCAAATCACAAGAAAATGACTCCATCTAGATATGCTGCCTATGCCTTTAAACAAGTATATTAAAATAAAATCTCTCCACAAGGTTAATGATGCTTTGCATATATGAACTCAACTACATTTTTTTTGCAATTATATTTGCAACACAAGAAAATTGTGGCTAAAGACTGAAGAATAGCTTTGTGTTCTAACGGAAGGCTCTTCTAACATTGCTAATGAATTTTTTACCCTTGAAAACCTTCATGTCACATCCTGTCATCATCACCAATATCATTCTCATCCTCATGGTTGTCTCCGTCCACATTCCATGTAGTATATTGGTTCTAATATAGAACTACTGTTAAAATCAACAAATTAAGTGCAGCTTAATATGAAATGTTAAAACATAATTAAGAAGGTAAGTTTCATACATGTAATGGTTATAAGTCTCTTTGTGGCAACAGAAACCTAACTTTTAGTGGTTTAAGCAAAACAAGGAGAATAATTGGCTCATGAATATTGAGGATCCAAGAGTATAGTTGCCTGTAGGCCCTGCTAAATCTAAGAGTTAAAAAATGAGGTTTGGGCTGTTTCTCTCTTTTGCTATCAGTCAGCTCTGTTTCCTTCTTTGGGTATCAGCTTTATTTACCTGAATTCTCTGGTCATATCTTTCTATGTTGCGGGAAAGAGCCACCAGAAGCCCATACGATTATAGCTCTTGATCCAAAAGACAGACTAGAGCTCTAGCGCTTTTGCCTATGTCAGCTCTTCCTTGGGCTAATCTCTTTGCCAGGGGTCTGAGATACTAATTAACTTTGTCTTGTGTGCATTTTTTTTGTTTGGCAATTGAGCCAACATCTATGATTGACAACATTACAGAGAGTATGACTTAGGGAACATTGGTTCTTCAAATAAAATTTGGTTGAAAATAAAAACAGCGTCCAGATAGCAGACTCTACATTTGTACAGTGTCTACTATATGTATGCAGTTATTTGTAACTAATTTACATATTTCCCTCAAAAGTGTTTGAAGAACCTGGGAATAAAGGAATGAAGATAAATAAGTTCAGGTAAAGAAATCAGCCTAAAGTATAAGGTGAGACTGAGCTTATTTGCAGAAAATCAGAGTAACAACCATGAAAACTGAAAGGATGAAGCAAATCTATTTACAGTTCCACCTGTTGAATCAAGACTACTAACTGTTAAGGAAGAGGTATTACCAAATTAACTTGAATCACTCAAGTAGTTAAACATTACATGTTCTGTCCTTAAAGTCAACAAACTCATTCTCTTTATCTAACTCTCCATATTTCCCCTACTCTGCCTCAATTATTTTCTTCAAACATACGTGAATGCTGGTGTTGAAATATCTTTTATAGAAACTAGTTTGTGGTCTGGTGTAAACCACAGGGCAGAAAATCCAAATGGTTATGTGTTAGTATCACAGTTAAGATTGCAATACTATTACAACTTTGCTGTTCTACTAGTAGTCAACCAATTGCTGCACAATTAATTTCCTCCTAGATGATGAGGATGGTAGCTGTGCTTTGTGGTGATAAAGATCCAGATGCTTGTGAAGTATGCAAAGCCAAGTAAATGAAAATAATTCTGGGTTCAGTCAGTCTCATTTAAAAAAATAAGCTTTAAAAGCTCTATTACTTAAACATGTTGCCATTGTTAATGCTATTATGTCCTTTTCAGAAATGCTTTTGCTCCTAATTTGAAACAAGTGCTTCCTTTAGGGATAATTAAGCAGATGAATGGCACTTTTGAGGACCACATAGTTAAAGTGTTCAGTCTTTAGCAAAGCCAGGGATGCTGGGTATGATACCTCAGAATTTGTACTCCAGAAATAACAACTCTCTTTACTCTGGGAAGACACTGATTGGTTGAGAGATGAAAACAACTTCATTAATGTTTGAGGCTCGTTTTATTTTAGCATTTACCCCTTTCCTACCCCTCTCTACTCTGAAGTTAGACTTGTTCAAGTTGTAGAGGGCGTTTGTTATTAGATCACCAGCATTCCTCATTTTCCTCCCAAATAGCAATTTGTTTCGCCATTAAGAAGTATACCCTATTTGCAGCGATGTAGTTGGGTGAGATTGATTGCACTCTGCACTTCAGGGATGGGTCCCAATTCTCTTAAGACAATCCAAGTGTCCCGGGGCCATTGTAATTAGGCCAGGGACGGACACATGACCTAGATGGGTTTAAAGGGCTAGGAAGAGTCCTAGTGTATTTAAGGACTAAAAATCTGAGGAAGAAAGTGAAAAATTACCCATAACCCACCAACCCAAACATATTTATCATTCCAATATTGATGAGATGTTAGGAGGTTTTTTTGGGTTTTTTTTCCAGATGAATTAGAAATAATGTTAGGAAATTATTGCTATTCTCTTGGGATAAAGCAGGACTTCCTAAGTATTTCACCCAAGCTAGAAACTATAATGAAAAATATCAATCTCACCTCATAAAAGTTTACACCTTTTATATAGAAAAATAGACAAATAAGAAAAGACATATGCAACAGTGTGTTAAAGAATTAATGCTTTTAATGCTACTAACGTGAACAGCTTTTACAAATTAGTAATTAAAAGTTGAATACCCCATAAAAATAAGCACAAACATTAAATAGGCAATTCACATGAGAAGATTAGATAGATAGATGATAGACAGATAGATAGACAGATCTATTGATCTTTGGTGTGTGTGTGTGTGTGTGTGTGTGCGTGCATATACACCAAATAACCAGCCTTATTCCGACTAGCTTTGGGACTTTGAGACTTTGAGCAATTGACTTTACCTCTCTACTAAAATTGTAGTTTTATCATTGTTTAAAACAGGATAATGATAACTAGTTAAAACAGGTATAATGCTACTTCACAGCATTCTTACACACTCAAAACATATAAAATTGTATGTGCTTGAAGAAAGATTGTGATCATTTATGAATATGAGGAATTGGATTTAGTAAATGGCCTCCAGATTTATTCAGATAATTGCCTTATCTTGCTCATTTAGTTTGCTTGTGGAAGAGGAAGAAAAAACAGCCCTTGTGATTCAGAAAGTTCAAACACAACATTAAATTGCTAAGATAATTGCTAATTGGCGAGCTTACATCACAGCATCCCATTCGGATCAATAAATTCAATGACCAAAATAATGTAACTACAACTAAAACAAGAAGTTTGCCATAAAAGTTATTCATATATTGCTACAATGTGCTCATGGCTAAGGCTAGGGAGGAAAATTATTACAATTATCAGGTGTTTATTCTGTTAGATAATGTATTTTGAATAACGTGCAAGTGTTATTTTACTTAATTTTCACAATGGCTCTATAAGGGTATTATAAAACCTGTGTTTTTGAAAACTAGGGTTCCAAGAAATTAGGTACCTTGCTCATTTATTAAGGAGCAGAGCCAAAAATGTGACTTTAGGACAAATTCATATGCTCATGTCACACATTTTTTAAATGCGTCTTTTATAGTCAGTTAGCCACTTTGAGTTTTTTAGAAATTCCAGAAGAGTGTGAGGATCATATACACTGCCTTTTTCTTTTCTATCTCTACTTTTAAGTATATACTAGTGTTCCAAACCCTATTTCAGAATGGATATTGAGCCAATATTTGAGAAGCCAATGAGTCCCAAGCATTGCATTTGATGTGATGATTTTTAAAAATGAGGTTAGGCAGAGTTTCTGCCCACAGGAGCATATTATTTCTTTTTAGTCAGTTCGTAACACATGCTGCTTTTTTGTAGGTACTCATTGAATGCATCAACATTTTTAGTTGCCTTATTAGGCTTTCTAAAAGTCAAGGCTTTGAAATTTAACTCTTAGATTGAAATCCTCATTTCTTTAACTTGCTAATGGTACAACTTCTGTGTTTTCTCAGCCTCAAATTGGGAATAATAAATATCATTTGATACCAGTGGCATTTGAATTATTTAAGATCCCTTATATTAATTAATGCAACTTATCAGAGTGCCTGGAACACAGCAAACACTCACCAAATGATACATTTTATAACAGTCTTTATGGCTGATTCCCGTATTGAAGTCTCAAGTTTCCACATTTGAATGAAAAACCTCAGCCTGCTTTGGTCTCATAGAAAGTGATGATAAATAGAACCAACGTTGTTCAATAAAGGAAAAGATAATGAATTTTAGTTTGAGGACACTGGTATCTTTCCAAATTTTTGGTTTTCATGACATTTCCACAAAGAAGGTTAAGATATTCAACGGAGATCCATCACAGACTTAGAAATCCTTAGGAATTCCTGCTGGGGCTAAAGTGCCCATGAACTTCATCTCAGGGCAAAGTATGCAGCAGCAACAGCCTCAGCTGGAATAATCCTATATTCTCTATGGCTCACTATATTTAACATTACCTACATTTTTATTTTCATATCAAGTCCTTTGACCCAGAGGATTCTATCAAGGATAGAATAGCATCACATTGCATCTCTTCCCAAAATGAAAATATCATTGATTATTACATCAATGTGACATTGCCTAGATTAGAATATTTCAAATACACACACATTTACATAAGGTTAAGAAAACCATTTTCCATGAGGCATAAAGTTTTCCATCCACCTCTTTTATGTGTTTCTTTTGTCGAAGGGTGATGCCCCTTAACAGAAGAAATCTAGTGTGCAAGTTGAATGTGACAGTCCAGCAGTTAGAGTCCTTAGTGTGGGCTTTAGATCTGGCTGGACAGAAGCTCTATTGTGCCTAACAGGACATTGGGAAACTCTTCATTTTCTATAATTCATTTCATTTTGTGCATTTTCTATTTATTTTCACTACTCTATAAACCCTTTAAACTTCTGGCAGTATTCACCAGTATTTTAAAAATTATTTTGTCTTGTTTGTGTGGGTGGTAAATTTTCCCTTTAAATTAATCTTTTCAGGATTTTGGTTTAGATATCTGATATTTTTCTTCCAGGTTGTTTTTCTTCCATATAGGAGCTGTTTCTATATATGTCCATTGAGACTCCTGGGAAACAAATCCGGAGACAAAGTTAAGAGTGAAAAAAAATGTATTGGGAAGAAAGGTCTGTGAAAGAAAAGGGGAAAATACAGAATTGGGAAGGGAGACATGTCAGACTACAATATTGATCTTACAAATTCTCTAGCAGTGCAATGAGGTGCCTCAGAGCAAAGATTACCCATTAGAAGATTCCTGTGTTGGCAGAAATGGCTCAGCCCTTGTATCAAAGCCTTTCCAGTCACCGACTTGAGCCAAACATGGTCAAAAAACTGAGGCCACCTCCAAGGAGCTAGTAGCTGGAGGCTTTCCGCTGGCCAGAGTCCTGGAGCTGAGCAGCAAGGCCTTTCTTGAAGTGGGATCTGAGTATACATTATTGGGTGTGTCAAGTGGGTTCTACCCTAGAAGTACAATGCAAAAGCTAATTGTTTTTCCTTAAAGTTGGAGACTTGGAAGACATGATGAAATATATGAAAACGTGTGACTCTGTTCCTGTTCTAAAATACCTGTATAGCTGCAACATCCTGTGTGCCTAATTTTGAGATTTGGAGGAAAAGACTGATAGCCACCAGCAGCTTGCTAGTCTTCTGGAAGTACCTCTGGCATAAGAAAAACCGTTGAATTTTCCTTTTAACCTTCAATCCTAAAAGCCAAGTGGAAGAAAAAATGAGTACATCTTATTGTTCCAAATGAGCTCACCAGAAAATTATTTCCATAGTTCATTAAGAGTTCAGTGCAGAGTAATATGCATATAATGCCAAAGATACTGAAACTACTACCATTGGCCGTGCATTTCAGAAACTAGTTAGCCACACTAACCCAATCAAGAATTTCTGTTGAACAGGAATTGGATGCAAAAAAGCCCCTTCATACTGTTTCAAATAATAAATGTACATGTTTCCATGAATGCTTATAACCTGTGATATTTCCCTCAATATGTGTTTTTCCCCATTGTAATCCCTTGCCCTAAATAAGAAGTCAGTTCTGTGTGTGCTTATTACTCAGTGGATTACACTATGGGCTCAGTGTTCGGTGACTTCGGGTAGTATTTTACAATTTCCAACTATATTTTCTGCTTTATAAATGTCTCCTAGAATATTTCATTAGGCAAATTAGGCTGACTCCCTGACTGATCCTTTGTAATTTGTAACGTTTTATTGCTTAACTATAGACATAATTAGGGATGCCTAAAATTCTGACTTTGAACTAAGAGCAGTTTCAGGCATAATGTCGTTACCTCTTGGGCCATCTTCTTCTTTTCTCTAGATTGGAAAGGGCTCGACTAAGACCCTTGGAAAAATATGTGCTTCCGTAGAAAAGCCCTTTTCCACCCAAGGGCCTCATTCTTCATCTGTAAAATGATGGAGTTAGACTAAGGGACCTTTAATGTCTCATTTACATCTGTGTCCATGTGTTTTAGAGGAAATGACTTTCCTCTCTGAAGACTAATAAGAAAGAATGACTGGTCTGATTCTACTAGACTTACTCACACTCACAGGAACAGGCAGAATATGATACAAGGCTCTGGGAGGGAAAAGAGAGCACCCTCATCTCCAGAGGCCTCAGGAGAGTTTGGCATGTGACGCATACAATCGAGCCCGGAATTAATAGTACTTACTCCTCACTTAGTGCTTATAATGTGCCCATAACTACAACCAGTGTTTTATATTTATTACATTTATGACAGCCTCAGGAAAATGTTATCATTGCCTGTATTTTATAGATAATAGGAATGAGTCTTACAAAGAATAAGCAACATGGCAATTGTCATTGGGCTTTTAAGGAGTTGACATGGATACAGACAGATTCTATCCATCTCAATAATCATGCTATTCTGTCTGGTCATTTTATCATTTCATTCATTCAATACCTAAGTATTCAGAGCTTGCTTCTTACTGGGATTGATCAAAGAGAGAGTGAGTATTTGGTGAGAGGGGGTCTGCACTGGGGATAAAAAGTTTCTCTGTACCCCTAATGCATTGGCTGTTTTGTCTTTGCATGGTGGGTCTTCTCTGATTGTGACACCATGAAGCATTTCCTTTTCAACAACCCTGAAGCCAGTGCCTCATCAAGAGGAGCTCTGGAGTGCTAAGTTGCCAATATCTTGATCACAGCTTTTAATTTGCTAATTTGTTAGCTGGAAGAAAGTGTTAGGAATTGCTAGGAGGCACAATGAGAGCATCAGCTTCTCCCCCTGAAACATGTTAAAGACTATAAGTGTGCATTGTAGGGTGAGACAGGGATCTTTGTGGGAATACAATAGGGAAAGAGGTCATAATTATGTAAAAAATGTTAGGTCACATTTTCTCCTTATTTTGCAACACTATTTTCCATTCACGATTTCAAAAAGCACAGAATTTCCTTGTGCTTATCTCTGTCTTTAAACTTATCACATAATAATTGACTTTTCAATCTTCCAAACAAAACTGAACCTCATCTGTCTTGTTTACTTTGATGTTTTTGATGAGTCAGATCTGGGGTTAAGAATATTCTAGATAGTAGAAAAAATAAATAAAGTCTGGAAATAGGGTTGAATTTGACCTTTTTGAGGAATAAAAACAGGTTATGCAATGACATAAACAAAAAGAAAATGTTAGGTGAGAATTCACAGTGATGGGGTAAGCAGAACTTTCATAGAGGGCCATGAGGCTATAGTAAAGAGTTGGAACAAATTCTTGCTCAACAACTGTTTGCTGAATAGTGACTATGCAACAGGCATTATTCTAGGTGGTGGAAGTATAAGTATAAACAAATAATAAGCATTTTTTCCAGCCATCAGATTATATTATTAGGGTAAAGACAAACATTAAATTATATACTATACACACACACACACACACACACACACACACACACACACATATTATTAATGAGTGATAAGTGGTAGGGAGAAAAAAATTGAAGTAGAAACGAATGATATCAAGTATTGGGACAGAGTGAAGGAGGGTTTGGAAAAACAGAGAGAAACTAAAAGAAGTGAAGAAAAAAGCTGTGTAATTCTTCTTGGGGAAAGAACATGCCAGACAGAGGCAATAGGCAATGAAATACCAGGAGAAGTGAAAAGGCCAGTGTTGCTAGAATGGTGGGAACCAGAAAAGTAGCAGTTTATGAATAGTAATAGTATGAAGTGAGTGTCAGATAGAAGAGAGCCCTGCAGATTATGGTAAAGACTTTTTTATTTTCCTAAGTAGAAGAGAAATCCGTCTTTAGGAACAGTAGTGCCACAATCTGAATAATATTTCAACAGGTGGCAGATTTGAAAATAGACTAAAAGGAAGCAAAGGTAGAAGCAGGGAGACAAATTAGAAAAGTACCATCCAATAGAAATGTATTGCAAACCACAAAACAGAGCCACATGTGCAATTTTCAATTTTCTAGTATCCACACAGAAAGTCAAAAAAACCTAGGTGAACTTAATATTAATGATGGCTTTTATTTAATCCAGTGAGATATTTTTCGAAGACTTACATTAAGTCTTTGAAATACAGTATGCATTTTACACTTCCAGCATATCTCAATCCAGACCAGCCACAATTTGAGCACTCAATAACCACATGTGGCTAGTGGCTACTACACAGGATGTCACAGTGAGAAGAATGTTGCAATCAGTCATGTGGTATAAGATACCAGTGCACTGAGGAAGATGAGGAGGCAGGCTCTGGATATGTTTTAAAGATAGAGCTAGTAGAGTTTGCTGGAGAAATGAATGTATGGATAAATGAGAAAAGGCATTAATTGAAATAAAGGAAGTTGTAGAAAGGAAATTAAATCATAAGAAAGTTAAGATATTTTTAAAAGTTGAAAAATATCCCAGAGCCATTTTACACTTAAGCTATTAATATATAGTGCATTCTTTTGCCCCATCCTTTGTTATGGAGGCCTGCTATGAGTATTTTCAGGTTGCTAAGGTATGTGGGCTCAGGAGCAAGCCAACGACGTTGTCACAGGAAAAACAAAGCATGGAGGGCAGCATAGTTCCATGATGTGGTTCTCATGGTGGCTTTCTTCTCCAGTTAAGAGAAGGAGAACTGGGACACTACACACCTTCTAAGGTCTTGAGTTACAAGGTCACATCACGTAACCATTGATCTTATTCTGATGTTTCCGAAATAACAATCTCAAATTATTGAGCCTTATCTAATTCCAAAGGTTTGAACACCCAGAGAGGGTTGCTTTTACTAATTCATCCATCCAAAATGGTTGCGTATTTGTGATTTATACAAATGTTCATATCCATATTCCTTTTCACACAAAGGCATGAGATGTGCTAGGGTAGCTCAGAATTTGACTTGATTTTTTGTTTTCTTCAGTCGGACATCCCTTGTTGTGAACTCACGACTTGAATGCTCTTAGCACATACAATCTCTATCGAATGTTGCTCAGTCTCCACTATTTTTTACGTGGTTATGCTTGGTCCTTGGTACCTTTGCATTCATGATGGTACTGTACTTTGTGTTTTTCTGAACTGAAATTCTTCCACGGACCATAGCAAAACACTTTGTGCCGTACTTTTTTTTTTCTAAGTAGGCTCAGCGGGATATTCTAGAAAGAACACTGCAGCAGGAGTCAAGAAACCTCACAGGGAACTGCTCGTTACTTGAGGGAGTTTGGAAAAGTTGCTTTGCCAATCTGGGCATTGTTTCTCCTCACTGTATATTAAATGTGTCAAATCCAAACACTGGAAGCAGGGAAAGGAAAGAAGAAGATGAAAGACTCCATGTTCTGAAATGATGTCAATGAGTGCAAGTAGCTTCTTGAGCAGACAGAGCTGAACTTTTTGTTTTGGCAGAGTCTTCAATAATGTTACATACATCAGTTCCTAAAGCCTGATTAAGTTTGGTCTCAAGGGTGAAATACAAACTCCCTTGGTAAATCTATTGTGGAAGCCAAATGATGAAGGGTTTGCAGCAGGAGGTGGGAATGTGGGCGGGGGGGTGGGGGGAAGAGGGGTTGATACGATAAGCACAATAATCACCCAGCATTTCGGGTTTGTTATTTGGAAAATCAACACATTGAGAACAACAAATAAAAATTATGGCAAAAATAGTGCATCTACTAAAAAACTGTGATGTCTGAAATAAGAGAACATAGTTCTGGTCAAGAAGTTAGCAATCTCTCTGGTGCTATAGAGAGTACCTTCTCAGTATTTTTCACAATATCTTTCACAAAGGGGTGAAAATTGGGTCTTGGACAGGAAGGATAAAAAAACCCTTAGTCTTTATATGTGTAAAGCACAAATGTGCATACAGTACATTAACACATGGACTGTGTCTGTGGAATTAAAATGTCATAGGAATACTAGAAAAAACATGTCTAAAAAGTTTCCTTGGAGAGGAATAATGAAAAAAGTGTTGAGAAACTGTGCTATAACATTACCCATTTGTAGGTGGGAGAAAGAACACACTGAGAATGTCTTGGGATGTAGAAAAATTGAACACTATACTTCGTGCTACAAACTGTTCTTTATAAAAATATGACCAGTTTCATCTGGGGTCAGGTGATACCTATTCTATGAAGACTTTAATTTATCAGCTCCAGCTCTTGTTTCTCTTTTCCTCTCTCATAGAATTTGTAATCCAAATTATCCGATTTAGCTCTTAGGGATATTACTCTTTATTATATTAATTCATTAATTTCACAAATGATATTAACATGTACTGTGTGCTAGGCACTCTTCTATGCAGTGGTGAACTATAAAGGTCCTTCTGCAAATGGAGTGAAAATTCTAAAAACAAAATAAAGAACTAAGTAAACAAGGTGATTATACAAAATAATAAGGCCTATATAGAAATTCCACAGTTGCAATAGAGAATGACTGGGCATTGGGAATTGGGCATTGTTGGTGAATTTAGATGCAGTGGTTAGGAATCGCTCTGTAAACAGGAGACATCTGACTAATTCTTATTTTGTAAGTAATTTTTATTCCTTTAAATAAATTAAATTTAGGTCTGAGGAGGAAGGAATGATCTTGAATTCAAATCATGCCCTGTCATTATTTTGTTCTTTTATTTACTCATTCATTTGTCCGTAAAGCATTTGTTGAACTCCAAATTTTGTACCAGCAACTATGCCAGGGAGTAGACATTTATTCATTAATTTATTTAAACAAGGAATAGTTATTGAATGCCTAGTAAGTACTCTATTCGAGGTATTTGTAACCATCAGTGAAGTAAACAAATATGACTAATCATGGCCAAGGATACAGTTCTGATTATGTTAAATTGCAATGTTTACTGATCCTCCAAATGCAGACATTGAGTAGGTGGTTGTTTGCTGGCTAGGATTTGTGAGAGATGTATGGCTAGGAAACCCAAATTTGGGACTTATCAGCACAGAGATAGTAAAGAAAGTATCAGATTGGATGGCTTCACCAAGGGAGTGAGCACAGAGAAGTGAAGAGGGTTCATGACTGAGCACCAGAGCACTGCAATATTAGGAGGTTAGGAAAAGAGAAGGAACTATGAATCTACGAAGGGGGAGCCAGTGGCATAAGGGGAAACCAAGAGCACACCAAGAAAGTGTGTTGTTGCAAAATTCAAAGGAAGATAATGTATCAAGGGAATAGAATAATCAATTGTGTAAAATGCTGCTAGTAAGTCAAGTAAGATGAGGACTGAGAATAGACTATAAATTTTAGCAAGAAGGAGGTCACTTGTGACGATAATATGCCCAGTTTCAGCAAAGCCAAATTAAAGTAATTTTAAGAGAGAATATGAGGAGACTAACCAGAGACAGTAGGACAGACATGTTTTCAGAAGAGTTTTGCAACAGAAGATAGCAAGAAATGGGCTGGAAGCTGACAAGAGAAATTGAGTAATAAGATGGGAGTAATAGTAACATTTGCATAATAATGAGAATGATACGACAGTGAGTAAAACATATATTGATAATGTAGGAGGGTCAATTTCTGTAGAGTTGTTCTTAGGTAGATAAAAAGAAGTGAAATTTAGTATGCAAATGGAAATATTAGCTTTGGAAGGGAGCATGGATATTTTCTCTACAATTATAGGAAGGAAAGTAGAGTATACGGGTTCAGATGTTGAAGGTGGGTAGGCAGCTCTGGAGATGCTTATCTGTATAAGGTCTCCTACTGTTGCATTAATATTCTTAGTGATGTAGGACACATGAAGACAGAATCAGTTTCCATATCACTTAGAAGGTGTATACTTTCAAGTAAGCAATTTAATGTCTTAGAGTCTCAGATTCTTCATCTGTGAAATGGGAATAAAATATTTGTGTTTATGTTCAGTAGTACTAATTAAATGTGACATTTTATCAAAAAATACTAGCCTAGTACCTGTGTCACTGATTAATGGTGGCCAAAGTTGACCTCCATCAGAGTATGAAAGGATTAGCATATTAAATATCATATGCCACCTGGATTTTGGTCCGGGGAACTCTTCAGTACAGAGAGACAGCCTAGAGTTAACAGAAGCATAAAATGAAGATGAGATTAGCTTAATCCTTAAGAAGTACGTTTATAAAAGAATTGCTATGTTTGTCATCTGGTCTTTGACCAAGGAGAACTCACCAAAATGTTTTAACCATAATATTTGCCATACACCTGTTGATACCCCCCAGCTTGGAATGACAGTGATCCACTGAACATAGGGAGAAAACAAATGTCAATGTTCAGTCTCCTGTTCCAGCCTAAGTGTTCCAGGTGTGTGAGATATCACCCTGATTAAAGTGTCAAATGGCCCCTAATCACATTAAAATGAAATGTGACTCAACCGTACCAAGAAATGGGACATTCCTGTCACCTCTTCTCTTTTCCCCATAATAGCAATATCTATCTGTTATATTCCAGATAATACAAATGTCTACTCATATTGTGGGGACAATGAGATGACTTGCATTTGACAGGTCTTATTATGCGAGAAATCAGCTGCTCCAAAATTAATATAGACCCTTATTAAAAGTGATTATGCATAACTTCTCTGGTGCCTGGGATTTTAGCCAAGCAAATCTCTTCCTCATATCTTTCCTTACTCCTTTTCCTCTTTATGCATATTTTTAAATTGGATCATAATATAAGGATCTAGTACAAACATAAGCAATGCCAGAAAGGCTAAAAGGTTTATCCACTATAGATATTTACTATCACATAGCTGGTGCTGATTAAACTAGATCAGTCAGTACTGAAACTATAGCTCAAGGCCTTTGGGTATACATATGTAACAAACCTGCACATTGTGCACATGTACCCTAAAACTTAAAGTGTAATAACAATAAAATTAAAAAAATAAAAATACAAAAATAAAAATACAAAAAAAAAAAAGAAAAACTCATTTTCTCTATCTTTGAGCCTAGAAAGTCAACTTTGTGGGAGTAGCGAATTTACACTATTCAAATGGTTATTTTCAGTTTCCTAGAATTCTCTTTCTAATACCCAGAATAGTATCTGGTACATAGTAAGTACCCAAAGAATGCTTGTTGGTTGAATTAATGTTAGTTAATAGTTATCTGGTAAAATTATTCCTGCCATTAAAGGCTGTTTATGAATAATTACAGAAAATTACTGCCCCTTGGATCAGCTTTTTTTTTCAAAACCCACCTTCAGTGCATGTCCCAAATTGAAATAAATAGCCTAGATTCTGTACAACAAATATAACTTTCTCCCTGTTGAAATAGATTAGGAATAGTTTCCCCCATTTTTCCACTGACCTCTGAAGAAGGTAAATGTAAAAGGATAAAATTTGTCCAAGAAAGAGCCAAAATCATGATTTTTAAAGTGTTTGTGGCTATTCAGTTACTCTTGCATGAGACTTAAATTTTTTATTGTGGAAAATTAGGTTTGTTCCAAATTGAAATATAGAATAAGTTTAAAATATTCAAAGTAAAATAAGGAATCTAGTTACTTCAATTTTGACAGAGAAAGTTATGATGTCAGGTAAGACTCTCAGATGATTTTCGAAAGGATAATCAAGTTTATTGGTCATGAATCAAATGTCTACAGAGAATAAACAGATTAATATAAAAACCTTGAGTACAAGAAAATAATTTGGGTTAGAAATGCGGTGAACTGACACATGCCTTATGTAAAACAATGCAAATTAATTCTTTTGAAAAATATATATTTTACCATGCACTAAATAGATGCATAGGTATATCCAGGTTTTTAACTGTTAATGTTATTGTATTATGAAAAATGGGTAAGACAGAAGTGATTTAAGTAAGACTGCATAAGAAACAGAGTTTTTCCTTAGAGATGGAGCAAAAGAAGGATGCATTCTTATATGCCTAATTGTGTCCTTTTAAAGTTAAAGTCCTCATTTTAATAATGGAAACAAGTTCAATAAAAATCTTTTGACTAGAGAACTCCATTTTTTTCCTTTGATTGTACACCAAACCCTAGGATCAGAGTTTCATATCAGAAAGCACGCATTTTTTAAAAGATAAAAAGTATAATGGGAAGAAAAATTTATTAGTATTAAGACACTAGTATATGTTTGAAGTTCAAAAATAGAATTGAAGTTGAGAAACTGAAACTTTCATAGGAAAGGTTCACATCTTGGTGATTTGTTCTCTCAGATTCAATTGCTTTTGGAGATGAATGGGAAGAAAACACTGAAATCTTCAGTGACTACATGGGAGGTTTTTAAACTTACATGCTGCTTACCTTCCTACACACACACACACACACACACACACACACACACATACACCCCACATACAAACATTTTCACATTCCTCTCCTGAAATTTTGGTCTGCTAGGTCTGTAGTGGGATCTCTGTTTTTAGAATACTCCCCGAAGGAATTCTAATGTAAGCAGTTATGGACTATTATTTGTAAGACTTTGTTTGAAGCCATATAGTCCCTTCAGATCCTTAAATTCATCTGCTACAAAAGAGTTTGGAAACAAAAAATAAAGAAAAACTGAAGATTGAAGGAGGATAATTACCATAGCAATATTGATGTGTTCATGAAGAAAGAAGATGGAAAAGGATGACTGAGAATTTTTCACTGAAATTTTAACAACTAATGTTATGTTAGGAGGAGCTATAATGTATAAACATTTGGAGGTGTGGGGAGATTTTTTTAATTTATTAAATAAACAAACATATGTTTAGTGTTTACTCAGATTGACTGTTGAAGGGGATTTAGAATGTGTAAACTATATGGTGTTTGGGAAAATTACACTTTCAACGCAAGGGTAACAAGTAAGTTTCAACTCATGTGCTAACACAATTTAATTGGCAGAGGTTGCCTGGAATGCTATGTAGACAGATTGCATAAGACTCTAGCTGGGCTCAGAAGTAAAGCATACAATAATTGATAAGTGATGTCTGACATGAAAACAGAGATGAATGTAGTTGCCCTCATGAGAAAGGTTCTCTTTTCCTAAGATAGTCTATTATTTTTTAATGCCTGTCTTCTACCTCTCAAGTGTATGCATTTTAAATTGCCCTGGCACCCAGAACAATCCTAGACAGTTGTCAATGCTAAATAATTGGTGTATACCTGAATTGATGTCTTCTGTTTAATTGTTAATGACAACCAGACAAATTCTACAAGCTCACATCTCCTTTGAGAGAGCCACAGTTCCTTTTTCTCTATGTCTTAATAAATATATGGCTGAGGGTGCTCATTAAGTAGTAAATATTTACAAGTTGGAGAAGTTAGAATTGTTAAATGGCTAGTTGAACATCACTGAGCATGGCAATTTGTGGAAAGATGGCTGAGGCAGATGTCCCTGTCACAGACGGTCTTTCAAAATAGTCAGAGCGATGACTGAGAATTGCCAACTGAATGCAAGGAGAAAGAGTAAATTCTCATTTTGAGTTGGCAGCTTCTCCTGAGAGTAAGAAAGAAATTCAAGCTAGACCCATGACTGAGGACAAATCCGACCAGATACTCCAAAACAAAAGCAAAGGGCCTTCCTGGCATATTATTTATCTGCTCCCTTACCTGACCAACAAGAGCATCAGAGCTTAGGATACCTGAAGTTTTCTTACACTTTAGGTTTGTGTTTACTTCCCAATCCACATATTAACCATTTGGGTAACTTACTTAGACTTAAGAGTATGTATGATTTTAAAACAACAGTTGTTTTTTTTTTTGTTTGTTTTTGCTTGGGGAAAGCCAGAGAAATATTATACCAATATAAAAAGATATTTCACCCTTGACTAGATTTTAATGCTGTGTTTTTCAGCTCCAGGGAGGTAGCTGTTCCATTTATCCACATGTGCTCTCACATGCCGATTGACTTGTACTCAGAAACGTTGTATAATTACATGTGTATGTTTGTAAACCTAATTAGGTTTTGTTTTACTGAATTACATGTTAAATGGAATTTGATAATTCTCTCCAGGCTGTAAAAAGTGGTTTATCACCTTAAACCTAGATTGCCCTTTTCCCTCATCTCTTTCTCTGATGTTTACATTGTTGTTTCAGGTTAGCAATAAAATTGAATTACTGAGAAATACCCTGATCACATTTTCCAAAGGATTAAAAAAAAAACATAATAAAGGAGGAAGTATTTCAAGCAAGAAATGCCTAGTGCAGCTATATTCAGTGCACTGTGATAGATGGTCTCTCCTAGTCCAGGCCAGGTGGTCTAGTTTTAAGCCCAGTTGTGGATGATGCAGTTAGACTACCCAGTATGGATTTTTTGTAACTAAAGATAATTTCAATTACACATATAGGAATAGAAAACTGAGAAGTAAGCCAGGAGAAGCAGAAGTAAGCTAGGAGGGACACAGGTATGCAGGATTGTTACACTCTATTTCTACCAGGTGGTGGTTCTGCTCTGAAAGCCCCTCTCAAAATTGAGAGTTAATAGTTAAGGACTAGGTAAGCCACTTGATGTTCATTAGAAAACGTGCAGTACCTTTTATTGATTGAGCCCTATGGGCCAAAGACAGGATCCAGGGACAATAGAAATTAGAGAATCTATGAGATATCTCATTGGAAACAAATAAATATAAAGGCCATAGAATAATGTTCCAATCTCTAATAGATGCTAAGAAAAGCCAAACAGCAAATCTGGATAGCCAAAAAGTCTGACACTTTTAATCAAAGTATGAGTGGACCAGGGAAAACTACAAAGATCCACAGGGAAAGATTGTTTCAGTGTATCAGTGATACAGCATCTGACAAATCACCGGTGACTAGTGGCCACCAAATAAGCAGAACTTGGTATGATTCCATGCTGGACCTACGGGATCCTAGGGCACACCTACAGTCAGAGTGAAGAGATGATGAGAATAAGCATCTTTGTGACTGAGAGATCATAATGGGGAGTTGAAGAGTGGAAAGATTGGTAAATGAAGAATTAGTAGATATGAATTACATGACACTGGAAAGGCAGTTAACCTCTGAGGTTGTCTTCTCTTAGGAGTTATAATTCTTATGCTGTACATTCAAATATTAAAATCCATGAAGGATTGGTCCCAGGACCTCCATGGATATTAAAATCCATGAATGCTCAAGTACCATATATAAAATAGCATAGTATTTGCATAAAACCTATGTACATGCTCTGTATACTTTAAATAATCTCTAGGTTACTTATAACACCTAAGACAATGTAAATGCTATGTTAAGAGTTATACTGTATCATTTAGGGAATAATGTAAAGAAAAAACTGAAATATTCAGTACAGACATAACCATCCATTTTTTCCCAAATATTTTCAATCTATGGTTGTTTGGACCCACAGATACAGAACACCAATTACCTTTCTTAGGATGGCTAGTGAAAATCGAATTGGAAAACACAAGTACATGATAAAATGCAATGTAAAGTTTATTATCTCTTGCATTATCTAGTTAAATAAAGGTCAAATTATAACTTGGTTTTAACTATTAGCACATTGTAACTTCTTTTGCTTGGATATTTCCTTAAAACACTTGGGAAATTCAGTGAGCTGCTTCTTTGAGCAACAACTTATATCTTTTTTTCTGAAACACTTGTTAGAGATACTTTGTTCTCCTCTTCTCCCACAGATCCATCAAATGTTTGAAAAATATTAGAATTGGAGCCAACACACAAATGTAAAAGGTAATTGTAATTATTATTGTCATATGAATTTCTCTTAGTACTAGGAAATACATATTTTCTGTGATAGTTGTTAATGTACTTAAAGATCTGATTGCATTCATTAACCCATTCACTTATTTATTCATTTAAGAAACCCTTGTTATTAGAAAGTATTTACATAAATAAATAAGACATGGCTTTATTCAAAATAATCCAGGAAAATAATTAATATGTTATATAAAATGTAAATTTCAAAGAAGTAAATTTTATAGTATATAAAAACATTCAGTTGATAATCGAAAGAAACTTCTCCCACATTTTTTTTTATTTTAATAGTTTTGGGGAATAGGTGGTATTTGGTTGCATGGATATGTTCTTTAGTGGTGATTTCTGAGATTTTGGTGCACCTGTCACCCGAGCAGTGTGTACTATACCCAATGTATAGTCTTTTACCCCTCACCCTCTTCCTTCCCTTCCCCCGGAACACTTGTATGTTCCCACTGATAAATGGGAACATACAATGTCTGGTTTTCCATTCCTGAGTTACACCACTTGGAATAATGGTCTCAACTTCATCCAGGTTGCTACAAATGCTTTTATTTTCTTCCTTTTTATGGTGGAGTAATATTCCATGCTATATATATACCACATTTTCTTTATCCACTCATCAGTTACTGGGCATTTAGGATGGTTCTATATTTTTAGCAATTGTGTTGCTATAAACATGCATATGCAAATGTCTTTTTTTTTTTTGTAAAATGACTTCCTTTCCTTTGGGTAGGTACGCAGTAGTGGGATTGCTGGATCAAATAGTAGTTATATTTTTAGTTCGTTAAGGAATCCCCATACTGTTTTCCCTAGTGGTTGTACCAGTTTACATTCACACCAGCAGTGTAAAAGTGTTCCCTTTTCATGACATCCATGCCAACATCCGTTATTTTTTGATTTTTAAATTATGGCCATTCTTGTAGAAGTAAGGTGGTATATTATCGTGGTTTTGATTTGCATTTCCCTGATAGTGATGTTGAGCATTTTTACAACTGTTTTTTGGCAACTCGTGTATCTTCTTTTAACAATTGTCTATTCATGACCTTTGCCCACTTTTGATGGAATTATGACTTTTTTTTATTACTGATTTCTTTGAGTTCCTTATAGATTCTGGATATTAGCCCTTTGTCGGATGCATAGTTTGCAAAGATTTTTTTTCCCACTCTGTGGGTTGTCTATTTACTCTGATGATGATTTCTTCTGCTGTGCAGAAGCTTTTGAGTTTAATTACGTTCCATCTATTAATCTTTGTTTTTGCTGCATTTGCTTTTGAGTTCTTGATCATGAACCCTTTGTCTAAGCCAACGTCTGGAATGGTTTTTCCAATGTTATCTTATTGAATTTTTATGGTTTCAGGTCTTAGATTTAAGTCTTTGATCCATCTTGAGTTGATTTTTGTATAAGGTAAGAGATGAGGATCCAGTCTCATTCTTCTACAGCTGCTTGCCAATTATCTTAGCACATTTTTAGAATAGGGTGTCCTTTCACCATTTTATGTTTGCTTGTTTGTTTTTTTGCTTTGTCAAAGATCAGTTGGCTGTAAGTATTTGGCTTTATTTATGGGTTCACTATTATGTTCCATTGGTCTATCTTCCTATTTTTATACCAGTATCATGCTGTTTTGGTAACTATAGCTTTGTTGTATAGTTTGAAATTGAGAATGTGATAACCCCAGATTTGTTCCTTTTTGCTTGTTCTTTTTACTTTGGCTATGTGGGGTCTTTTCTTGGTTTCATACAAATTTTAGGATTTTTTTTTCCAGTTCAGTGAAGAATGATCATGGTATTTTGATGGGAATATCATTGTATTTGTAGATTGCGTTTGGCATCATGGTCATTTTCACAATATTGATTCTACCCATCTGTGAGCATGGGATGCATTTCCATTTGTTTGTGTTGTCTATGATTTCTTTCAGCAGTGTCTTGTAGTTTTCCTTGTAGTGATCTTTAGTCTCCTTGACTAGGTATATTCCTAAGTATTTTATTTATTTATTTATTTTGGCAGCTGTTGTAAAAGGGGTTGAACTCTTGATTGATTCTCAGTTTGGTTGTTGTTGGTATATAGCAGTGGTACTGATTTGTGTACACTGATTTCATATCCTGAAACTTTACTGAATACATTTATCAGATTTAGGAGCTGTTTGTATGAATCTTCAGGGTTTGCTAGCTATGTGATCATATCACTAGCAAACAGTGACAGTTTGGCTTTCCCTTTCCTAATTTGGATGTCCTTTCTTTCTTTCTCTTGTCTAATTGTTATGGCTAGGACTTCCAGTACAATGTTGAATAGAAGTGGTAAAAGTGGTGATCCTTGTCTTTTTCCAGCTCTCAAGGGAAATGCATTCCCCTTTCAGTATAATGTTGGCTGTGGGTTTGTCATAGATGGCTTTTATTACCTTGAGGTAAGTCCCTCCTATGCTAAGTTTGCTGAGGTTTTTATTCATAAAGAGATGCTGAATTTTCTCAAATGCTTTGTCTGCATCTATTAAGATGATCATGTGATTCTTGTTTTTAATTCTGTTTATGTGGTGTATCACGTTTATTGACTTGCATAGGTTAAACCATCCCTGGTATGAAACCCACTTGACCATGATGTGTTATCTTTTTGATATGCTGTTGCATTCGGTTAGCTGGTATTATTATTATTTTTTTTTTTGAGATGGAGTCTCACTCTGTTGCCTGGGCTGCAGTGCAGTGGTGCCATCTCGGCTCACTGCAACCTCCACCTCCCAGGTTCAAGCGATTCTCCTGCCTCAGCCTCCCGAGTAGCTGGGATTACAGGTGCCTGCCACTTTGTCCAGCTAATTTTTTGTATTTTTAGTAGAGACAGGGTTTCACCATGTTGGCCAAGCTGGTCTTGAACTCCTGACCTCGTGATTTGCCTGCCTGGGGCTCCCAAAGTGCTGGGATTACAGGCGTGAGCCACTGTGCCCTGCTGGTTAGCTAGTATATTTTTGAGAATTTTTTGCATCTATGTTCATCAGGGATATTGGTGTATAATTTTCTTTGTTATGTCCTTTCCTTGTTTTCCTATTAGGGTGATACTGGCTTTATAGAATGATTTAGGAAGGAGTCCCTCTTTCTGTATCTTTTGGCATGGTTTCAGTAAGATTGGTGTCAATTCTTCTTTGAATGCCTGATAGAATTCAGCTGTGAATTCATCATGTCCTGGTTTTTTTTTTTTTTTCTTTCTTTCTTTTTTTTTTTTTGAATTGGTAATTTTGAATGGCTCTTTCAATCTCACTATCTGCTATTGGTCTGTTCAAAGTTTCTATTTCTTCCTGATTTAATCTAGGGAGGTTGTATATTTCTAGAAATTTATCCAGCTCCTCTAGACTTTCTAGTTTCTTTGCATAAAGGTGTTCATCGTAGCCTTGAATGATCTTTTGTATTTCTGTGGTATTGGTTGTAATTTCTCCTGTTTCATTTCTAATTGATCTTATTTGGATCTTCTCTCCTCTTGGTTAATCTTGCTAATGGTCTATTGATTTTGTTTATTTTTTCAAAGAGCCAGCTTTTTGTTTCATTTACCTTTTGTACTTTTTTTGATGGAATTTTGTTTAGTTCTCCTCTCATCTTTGTTATTTATTTTCTTCCGCTGGGTTTGGGTTTGGTTTGTTCTTGCTTCTCTAGGTTTTTTGAGGTGTGATGTTAATTTGTCTATTTGTGCTCTTTTAGACTTTTCGATGTAGACATTTAATGCTATAAGCTTTCTTAGCACAGCTTTCACTGTATCGCAGAGGTTTTGATAAGTTGTGTCACTATTATCAGTTCAAAAAATTTTTAATTTCCATCTTGATTTCATTGTTCAACCAAAGATCATTCAGGAGCAGATTATTTAATTTCCATGTATTTGTATAGTTTTAAGGGTTTCTTTGGAGTTAATTTCCAGTTTCATTCCAGTGTGGTCTGACAGGGTGCATGATCTGAATTTTTAGGTTCCCCAGTGGGGTTGTGTGTTCAGAGGAAGGTTTTCTCCCTCTCACACTTTGGAATCTCACAGTTTTACATCTGTCTTTTGGAATTTGCAATGGCATGCCAGTTCTTTCAAAGCTTCAGTGAATTCTTTCAGTTTTCCTGGTATGTTCCTGTGGTGGTTTTTGGAGCAAAAGTTCACAGTATGAGCCTCCACACACTGTTCTGTCTGTTCAAGTTGGGGGTGCATGTTAGGTCTGTCTTCTATTCACCGTCTTCCTACCAAACCACATTTTAACCTCATCAGAAAATTGCAAGAGATTTGGTACCAGAATATAACACTACAAATTTTAGCTTTAATTTAAATAGAAACTCTTAACTCAATTATCCCCAACAGATCTTTTATTGGAAAATACATTTGAATATATATTTCTGGCATTTTATATTTTACTGTGGTATCTTCACATATAATTACTTTTATTAGGTTTCTACTGTTAAAAATTGCTATTCTTTTTTTGAAATCACTTCAAGTTTCCTTCATTCTTTTGTTTTCTTTATAATAAATTTTACCTTACTCATGATTATAAAATAATCTATTATGCCAAATGCAACAACTTAGTAATAAAAATATAACATAAGCTTTGCATGAGTCTCCTCTGATAGGGGAGCTGACCTGTTACTTTTTCTGTCTCTAACAGCCATTCATGAATTTGTGATATTTGCAAATTAGCAGAATAATACATTTTTTTAAAAAAGTTTGATTTATTCTATAATCTGAATTAATCTCTTGGTTCAGATAATTTTATTAAAAATGTAGATATACACAGGCCTTTCATTATTCAAACAATGAACACTAAAATGTTTTAAATTAGTTAAAAATAGAAGTATTTTTCACTCAGTAACATTTTCCTTTTCATGTGTGTGAATATATCACCTCATATATTCCTGATAGAATAACTCAAATTGCCAGAATCTACCTTATCACAGGAACAAGTTGGCTTCAGCATCACAATGGAGTGAGGAAATTACTGTGAATCTAACATTTTAGGCCTGTCTGGAACCAACAGAAAGTCATGTCTTCTCTCTTGGTTCTATTTGGGATCTACTTAGGAAGCAAAGAACTGCTCATGGATCCAGCATATCCATTTGGGGTTTTGCCTATGAAATAGATTACAGAATATCTTTCTCAGGGACCCAGCAATCTCTGTTTGTCTGTGAACTCCTGAAGGTTCTTTTCTTTTTCTACATCTAATAAATAAGTTATATTTGGCAGGAGGCAGCCTTGCTTTTTCTCATGATGCTTTATTCTGAATCATTTTTATGGGCCAGTAGTCCTTTTTGTTTCCCTAGAGCCTGTATATTTGACAATCAAAAGTCAGGAAAATCTGTTTTGTCCTCTGCTTTCTGCAGCAACATCCTGTCCTTAAGGCAGCAAAAACAGACCTGCCCAGATGCCTGCATGTGAGGAAGGACAATGTGGGAAAAGGGAACTTTGTCATATCCACGATATTTTCCTGTCACTGGGTAGTATCTCTCTATTATTAGCAGTCAAAGCAGCCTGTACATGTGCTATTACAATGTTCATATTTTATTTTAAGTAATATTCTGGCTTATTCATTATCATATTTTAAGTTCTGTGACAGCAGAGACTGCTTTTATTTTCACTGCTTAGCATGTGGTAAATTCTTAATAAATAACTGATGAATTAACACATGAATAAATAAGCCAATCAGACCAGTATTGAAGCCTCTTAGTGTAACTTAGTACAAAATCATTATAATATTTGGGAAAAAACCCACAATTTTGAATGAGTTGGACTACTTCAGCTTACAGTCATACCCCCATTTTCTGTCTCTGGCCCCTGTAGATATTTGGGTCTAGGGTGATTTGTCCTAGTTCTACAATGACATCCAGTGGAATGGAGCGAGAAACCATACAGGCCAATGTGGTTCCCACATCAGTAAATATTCTGTTATGTAGATGAGCAGATAGAGATAGTCTTTGTTTTCAGGAGGGCTACAGAGAAGTTAGAAGAAAGGGTAAATAGTCATAGAAAGAGACTGTTCACTCAAAGGATAGTTAGTAAACCCATCATGTTCCTACAGCTACTCCTATTCCTACAGTTCCTGCTTTATATAATTATGTGATGCATGTACCCCATGAAACATAGAAGATACACAAATTAATAATTTATGAAGTACATGCTGGAATGACTGCTTTTATGTACATTCCTAATTTCATAATAATGTCAATGATAACTAACATTAAGGCTGGGTGAGGTGGCACATGCCTGTAATACCAGCATTTTGGTAGGCTGAGGCAGGAGGATTGCCTGAGTCCAGATATTAAAGACCAGCCTGGGCAACATAGCAAGACCCCATCTCTGAAAAAAAAATAGCCAGGCATGGTGGTACATGACTGTAGTCCTAGCTACTCTGGAGGCTAAGGCAGGAGGATTATTTAAGCCTGGAAGGTTGAGGCTGCTTTAAGCCATGATCATGCCACTGCACTCAGCCTAGGTGACAGAGTGAGATTCTGTCTCAAATAATAGTAATAATAATAACTGGCATTTATTGTTTGCTTACTGTCTTTATAATATTCTGGCCACTGCCCTGAACATTTTATGTGCATGATCTCATTTAATCCTTTTAAAAATTCTATAGTATATATGCTGTTGTCATATCCACTTTACAGAAAAGAAACTGGGGATCAACGAAGACAAATGACTTTGCTCAAAGTCATAGAGTTAGTAGAGACTAATCCAGTACTTGAGCAAATTATTTGACCACAAAGCCCATGTATTCCACTACAAAGCCTGGCTGCCTCTATCATATTACTGAGGAGTAGGCAAATACCCAAATAACAATAATTCAAGGTAACATATGTTACATGCCACCAATATAGGAGGGAAAGACGGCACCTGCTTAGGGAAGCTTAACTTAGTGAAGGAAAATAAATCACTCCTATTTTCATCATCCTTTTCATGAATCTAGAGGACTTTACATTTTTCTGAAGAATCTGAATTTTCAGTTTAAAAGTGCCCTTAATATCCCCTTTGTCCTATGGGTTATTGGCTGACATTCTATATACTTAATTTCCTCTCTTCTTTTTTCCTTTGTCATTGCTTTTCCTACATAATTTATATAGATCTGAGTAAATCTGAAGGCTGGCTTTCAGCAAAATCCACTGCTTCATGAGGGAAACAGAGGTAAAGAATAAAGTAACTTGAGGTGCTGCATTGTGGGGATGCAGCCAGCCTCAGGTGTGGCTTCAGTTGGCTGAATTCATCATTCTGATTGAGCCCTGAGTACTAGGAATTATGGTCTTTTTTCTCTCTTAACATGAACTGAAGAAAAATCCGAGTCAGACACTGCCTCTTAATCAGTCAGTTATCAAGTAGTATTGTAATCACTTTTTATTACTAGTCTTACTGTGAAAAACTCAGAGAGACTTTTGTATCTTACTCACATCTGACATGTTTGTCTCAAGAAGTGGTTTTCAAGTCATAAGGTCTCCAGACCTGGACAAAGATGTGCCAGGCCTCATTTCCTTAGAGATTTGGTGGCTTTTCCCATGAAACTAAATGCATTAACTGGTCCATCTTGTTTCAGAGATCATTAAAAACATTCAATTTAGCATCTCCTAAAATCAGCATCAGCATCCTGGAAAGTCTTTGCAATTTATGTGGAATTTCTCATGTGGAGCTCTACACATTTGTAAAGGCATTTGTAGTCCTGATAATAGTCTACTTGTCAAAGTGTGAATGAAAAGATTATTTGCTGTAAATTCATTCCTGCAGTAGCTGTCAGAGAATGGCATAGTATTACAATGGGAAGTGCCTTAGGAAACTCTCTAGCCAGTAAGGAGGGGTGAAGAGCAAAGTGCTGTAGTCAGACACATTCCAGGTGCAGGAAATGGGGAAAGTACTTAATTTTCTGACCTTTAGTTTTCCTATTCATAAAATGGCAATAAATGTTCTTATGCTATAATATTATTGCATTACGTTACATAATATTTCTCACAATACCTGACATATGGCAAACAATCAAAAAGTTTTAGCTGACTGCTTCAGTGCTATCATCATCATCCTTGTCACTATCATCTAGACCAGGGATCAGCAAACTATAGCAGACAGCTGAGTCTGCACCACAACCTGTTTTTATAAATTCAATTGTATTGGGACACAGTCACACTTGGTTGTTTATGTGTTGTGGATGGATGGTTTTTTCCTACAATTGTAGAGTTGAATACTTGCTGCAGAGACCTTTACAGAAAAAGTATGCTTACCCTAATTAGTGGTTCTGAAGACCCTGCGAAATAAAGGAAAAGACAAGACGCAAACCCTGATTCCTGCCCTTACACATATCATATATTAGAATTTTATTTATGATTATATGGGATGAAAAATGAAAGTAGTAGAAAAGCTGAGTAAATTAGGCTAGTGGTTTTGTTTTTTTGGTATAGGAAAATCAAGCCCCTCTGAGATGGTAGGGAGGAGTCAGGAAGAAGGGACAAGGACATATCAGATAGGTAAGATTGCCCCAATTAAGACACATTAGCAGAAATGATACAGAATGTCTGTGGCACTACATAGGTGGTTCTCATTTATGGAGTCTTGAGTATGGGGTTGGGAGCATAAATTTGGAAGATGACATTGGGCAGCTTGGTGACAGCCAGAATCTGCTAGATCCTAGGTGTTATCTTGACGAGCCGGGACTTTGTCTTCTAGGAAATTAGAAATTTTAAAGAGTAGAAGATAAAAGTGAAATTCTAAGTTTTTGTTTTGATTTGGATCACAATGAAAGTGAATATGCCGAAATAAATGACAGATAATGAAATACAGGCAAGGAGAACAGCTGGGAAGTGGTATCAGTGGTGCATATCATGTGTATTTTTCTAATTGTCACATGCAAATTAGTCAAGTATTGCCAGGACTGGGAACTTTGGAAAATTCAGGCTGGCTAGAAAGTCAATACAATTTTTCTTTCTGAATTTTGAATTAAATATTTTTAATTTATGCAAATCCAAATCAAGATAGTTACCATGTCTTATGAAGACTGGATTAAATAAATAGGACAGGCTTTTTTACAGTGACAATGGGAGCACTTCCATATGATTTCATGAATGCTAGGCCCATGGTAGGAGTAGTAACAACTATTAGTATTTATTTATTGAATGATAAATTGTTAGTGAGTAACTTTACAAGCATTAGCTCTTATAATGCAACAACTTTTGAGATACACACTGTTATCATTTATGTTTTACAGGTAAGGACACATATTGGAGTAATATGCCCAAAGTTACATGGGCAGTAAATAGCAGAGCTAAGATTCAGATGTAACTCTTGTCTCTCCCCTCTATAGAATGCATGATTCATGAATGCACAATGCTTTATTTTCTTCTGTTCTTCAAGGAATGAACAGCATGCAGTGGACTCTGAATAAATATTTGCTTTATAAAGAATGAAAATGTTAATGGATTATTTGAAATTTTATGTCCATAACCACTATGATGTAGCACCTGCTCAGTAGTATAAAATTTTAGCAGTGTTTGTCAATTACTTGAAACAGAACCAGATATTTTCCCTATGCCTGTAATTGTGTCAAATACCATTCAGTTCATCTAAAATATATTTCTTCAGTCTTTTTTTTGCTATTAATGCAATATATTTATATTACTTTTTATAAGTAACCAATAACTTTACTGTGCATAATCTAATTTAATCTTCATGATAACTTTATAAGGAATTTGTGCAATTTTACACATGAAGAACCTGATATTTAGTGAGGTTACCTGCCCAAGGTTGCATGATAAAAAATTGAGGTCTTCTGAATTCAAGTTTTTGTAGTTTACATTTTATCAGAACTGCTACTCTTGTATGACAAAAACTTGGAGCTGGAATGGATGCTAAAGAAAAAAAGGAATAGTTTTTCACTTCTATCAAAGTATTATGTGTTTGTATACTATAAGTATGAGAGTACACTATAAGTATACATATACATAATACTTACACACATATGTGAGTATATAAAAATATAAATATATGAAATATATAAATACATATAAATATATGAAATATATGTGAATATATGTGTGTAAGTATATGTGTGTTAACAATGCACAAACCATAATTTTCACATACCCATGTCACCAGCACCAATAATAATGATATTATTAGTGCCACAGGATCTCTTATGCTTCATTCAAACCACTAACCTCTCCCTGGAGGATACAGTACCCTGACTTCTAATAGAATGGATTGGCTTTACCCTGGTTTGCACCTTGTATAAATTCAAGCAGACAATGTGTATTCTTTTGTGTCTTAGTATTTTTACTCAATAATATTTAAGAAATTCACCAATATTTTGTGTCATTATAATTTATTTTCATGGCTTTAGCATATTTCATTATTGACTATATCATCATTTTGTTTTACAAGTCTATTATACCATTGAATGACACTGGGGCAGTTTTGAGGTTGAAATTTCAAACAATTTAGCCTTCAAATAGTGCTACTCTGAAGATTCTTGTACAGTGTCTTCTGGTAAGCATACATGGGCATTTCTGTTGCATGTATAATTAGCCATGGGATTGCTGGGCTTTGCTACAGAGATTTGTACAGTTATTTATTTTTTATATTTATAATTTTCTGTATTCTTATTTACTGGTTTGGGCTTAAGTACAATAGAATTAGGAATGACGAAAAACATATTTGGACGAAACAGAAGATGATCAAATGGTAGAAGCTCTGAGAAGTGATCAGGATACCCCATTTACTACTTCTAGCTTATTGGACACTCGGAACAGCAATATAACTGCCTCCCAGAGACCACCTAAATGATTTTACTTTCGTCTCCCACCCAAAGATTAGCTACAGTTTTTGTACCGGGAGTGTTGAAAGGCTGTTGCTCTAGAGAGTTACAGAATATCTTAAGGACTCATATACTCGGCCATCCAGGATCTTGATATTAATTGCAAAATTTTTGCCTTTATACTAGTAAAACATAAAGGGAAGAAATTGCAGAGAAATATGAAACATTTCTTTCCCCTTTCCCTGTAATGGACATAATCTTCTCTTTTGTACAAATAGATATTTTCATAATGACTTTATATATCTGACTTCTCAATTCTGTTACATATTAGAATAGTTCTGTCAAGGGCTGGTACAATCTTAGCTGAAGACTAGCCTTAGGACTACATAAAAATGTATATAGACTGGGAAATAGATAATTTCTGTTAGTATTTTATATGTAAACATCTAGATAATTTAGAATTTTTAAAGTAGCCAGGGTTTATCAAATGTCTGGTCCTGGCTACTCTGCCAATCTGAAATGGAAGTCACTTGTACAACGGTAAGTTACACATTTGCCCCAGTCTTTAATATTAGGGAGACTGAAATGTCAAGGACTAGAAGAGATATGTATAAAACATTGAAATGGTGGTTGACATTTATAAAACTTGGTGAAAATTTTTTCTATCTGAGCCAGGTATGGGCAAAGGCCTTATTTCACTCCAATATTATGAATATCCTATATAATTATCTAATAATTATCCATATTTTTATTATATTATCTGTGATAATTTTTTTAAGAGACTGGGTCTCACCATGTTGCCAAGCCTAGTTTCAAATTTCTGAGCCTCAAGTGAGACCCCCATCTTGGCCTCCCAAAGAGCTGGTATTACAGGTGGAGCTACCACACCAGGTCAAGATTTTTAAAAGAGGTAGAAAAACAGGTAAGTATCTTGTTTGAAGATGGTAGATTGAAACAGGGCTATCTTTTCTCTCTTTCTATTATATAAACTTTTGAAGCCATGGATATTAAGCCAGACTCGTTTCAAAAAGAGAAAGTGATGGAAAAATCAAATTGTTATCTGATCTCTACAGTAAGTCAGTCATTTTATAAAAAAGTATTTTACTTGATTGGAAGAGTAGTTGGGAAGATTAACAACCATATGTAAGATATGGTCTTAGATTAGATACTGGCTTAGATAAAGAAGTTACAAAGGATATTTGGTATCGATAAGGGGAAAATAGGAAGTAAATCTAAATATATATATAACAGTGTGTACAATATGGCCTCACTTTAGTAAAAAACAACTGTGCACATGTGTAAATGTGTGTGTACCTGAGCATGCTAGAATAGAGAAAATCCAGAAACATATGAGCTGAACATATTATCAGTTGAGATCTGCGTTGGTAGATACGCAAGGTTTTTATCATTATTATTATTGTTTTTAACAATGTCACTTGTCTTTATTTTCAACATTTCTACCATGGGCAAATTCTGATTGTGTGTTAATGAAAATGATTATTTTAAATATAAATAAATACATAAGGATATTTTAGATTAAGGTATTCAGCACCACAAATTACTTGATGGTTGATTAGTGCAAATAGACTAATAATAACAGTGGCAATTAAAAACAACATTAATTCACATTAAGTATGCCAAACGCTGTGATAAGTTTTGTAGAAACATCATGTCAGTTGATCCTCATTAAATCCCTATGAAGCAGGTACTATTATTATTTACATTTTATAGATGAGGATACTGAAGATCACAGAGGTTTACCAAGTTGCCCAGGGACATAGCTAGCAAATGATGGGACATAAGACAAAGCCTAGATCTGTCTGAATGCAAATAACTTTTACTTAATTACCATATACACTGCCTCTTATTATGCTATTACCAACATCATCATTATCTCATTAGCAACTCCATGATGGTTTCTCTATTCTGCTAGATACGGAGATCATTCCACAAATTATCAGTGTCTGTTACATTAAAAAAAAAAACAACCTGCTAAGTTCTTGAATACAGAAAATTGGAAAGTAGGAATAAAAACGTTTTAATAAGTGGCTGAACATGGATTCAAAGAGTTCATAATGTAGTAAGATTGTTACCCTGTAGAAAAGTAATTTGAATGTATTTATTTTTAAGAAGTCAATTTTAGTGCAGAGAAAAAACAAAAATAAAATGAAAACATTTTCTGTAGCATATGACTAGCCTAATAAACTAAGGTAGAACACTTAACATTATTTTATATAGATCTTTATATAAATACTGGTAGATACTTATTGAAGAATAAATGTGTAGATAGAAATTTCTTAATATTTTTGATGGATAAGAAAAAATTACTAAGTCTTAATTAAATACCTTCATAAACGTGCCTTAGATACACTTAAGAAAATTTCAGATATCCCCTTTTGGTTGAAAAGAATTGTTCCAAGAGACACATTTTGCAGAATCACATATATTTCATGTATGTGCCTAATTTCAATTTAAAGTTCACTGGAATTTATATTGCAATTAAATGTAATTGAACAAAATAAAAAGTATACAAAAAACCAGCAGAGTAAATAGCTCAAGAAAAGAAAGATTCCTATTGGATGTTTTTCTTTAAAATGACACTAATATGTCAGACTCTTCCAGAGAAATAAGGAGATTTTACTGATGTAATTGAAATTATTGGTATAAGGACAATTAAGAAATAATAGAAAAGTATTTCAAGAGTGGACAGAACTAATCAGTTGGTATATGGACTGCCTTGACTGGAGATTTTAGGTAGGCACAATAAAAATTAAAAAAAAAAAATTCTGGAAACCCTTAGACCTATTTTGAACATTGACATTTGGGCTATAGTAATTTTTATTGATTGCATGGAGACAGGGAGAAAAAGAGACAAAAGTTTAAATTTAGGTTGCAATTTAATAAATTCTATTCATACTTTAATTTTTTCCCACTGCCACTTCAAAGTAAACACTACATTTTTTGGCCCATTTATCTCTAAATATTTCAGTTTGTATTTCATAAAAATAAGGAATTCATTTATGTAACCACAGTATAATTATAAAAATTAAGACAACTGGTCGGGCGCCGTGGCTCACGCCTGTAATCCCAGCACTTTGAGAGGCCGAGTCGGGCGGGTCCTGAAGTCAGAAAATCGAGACCATCCTTGCTAACACGGTGAAACCCCGTCTCTACTAAAAATACAAAAAATTAGCCGGGCGTGGTGGTGGACGCCTGTAGTCCTAGCTACTCGGGAGGCTGAGGCAGGAGAATGGCGTGAACCCGGGAGGTGGAGCTTGCAGTGAGCCAATATCATGCCACTGCACTCCAGCCTGGGTGACAGAGTGAGACTGTCTCAGGAAAAAAAAATAATTAAGAAAACTGATACCCAAAAATATTATTATATAATTTATAGACCTTATTGATAGTTTGTCAGTTGGCCCAATAATTTCCTTTACAGCAAAAGAAAATTGAAAATCTGCATTGCATTTAATTCAGACTCCTGTATCTTGAGTCTTCTTTTAAACTGTGTCTTTCTCTACAGTTCTGGGATTTTACTTTGTAGTTCATGACGTTGACATTTTTGAAAAGTGTAGGTCAATGATTTAGTAAAATATCTTTCAATGGATTCTGTCATGTTTCCTCATGAATAGATTCAAGTTAAGTACTTTTGGCAGTTGCAGCCCAGAAGGCAATACTGAGTTGTCCTCAGTGCCTCATATCAGGAGGCACATGCTGCTGATTAACCCCATAACTGTTCATGCAACTTTTGTTTTTAAATTGATAAATAATATTGCATGTATTTATCATGTATAACATGATGTTTTCAGGTACATATACATCATTAGATGGTTAACTCTAGCTAATTAACAAATGCATTATCTCATACAGTTATCTTTTTGTGCTGAGAGCACTCAACATCTACTCTCTTTGCATTTCTCGAGAGTACAATATATTAACTATAGTCACTCTGTGATATAATAAATCTCTTAAATTTATTTCTTCTGCCTAACTGCCATTGTGTGTCCTTTGGCCATTTCCTCATCTCCACTCCCCACCCCAGTTTCTGGTAACTACTATTGTATTCTCTACTTCTATAAGATCAACATTTAAAATTTCCCCATGAGTGAGATCATGCTGTATTTGTTTTTCTGTGCCTGGCTTATGTCATTTAACAAAATGTCCTCCAGGTTCATTCATGTGGTCACAAATTACAGTATTTTCTTACTTTTTACTTTTTAAGGCAGAATAGTATTCCATCCTGTACATATACACCACATTTTATTTATCCATTCATTTGTTGATGTACATTTAGGTCGATTCTATATCTTGGGTATTGTAAATAGTGCTCCAATAAAAATGGGGTGTAGACATCTCTTCAAAATATTGATTTCATTTTCTTTGGATATACACCCACTTCACTCTGGAGATTTTAGGGAGGAAAAATTTAAAAATAACAATAAATAATTTTGGAAATCTTCACTCCTATTTTGAACTACTGGGATTTGGAATCTAGGTACTTTTACTGAATGCATGGAGACAAGGAGACAAAGAGACAAAAGTTTACTTTTAGAGTACAATTTCTTAACTACTAGAAAAAATCATAAGGGAAAAGCTTCATGACATTGCTCTGGGTAAGGATTTTTTTTTTTATAAGACTTTAAAAGCATAGGCAAAAAAAGTAAAAAATGGACAAAGGGAATTATATCAAGCTGAAAGGCTTCTGCACAACAAAGAAAACAATCAATATAGTGAAGAAACAACCTACAGTATTTGCAAACTATATATCTGATAAGAGGCTGATATCCCAAGTATATACATAACTCAAAAACCTCAATAGCAAATAGATGGATAACCTGATAATAAAATGAGCAATAGACCTGAATAGACATTTTTCAGAGAAGACATAAAAATGGCCAATAGGTAAATGAAAAAAGTTCAACATTAATAATCATCAGGGAAATGCAAATCAAAACCAAAATGAGATATCATCTCATTCCATTTAGAATGGCTATTATCAAAAAGACAAAAGTTAATAAATGCTGGCAAGGATGTGGAGAAAAGAGAATCCTTACACAGTTTGGTAGGAATGTAAGTGAGTACAGACATTATGGAAAACCATATAGAGGTTTCTCAAGAAATTAAAAATAGAACTACCATACAAAAACACTGTTCTAATTAAAAGTGAAAAAGCTCAATATCACTGATCATTAAAGAAATGTAAGTCAAAACCACAATGAGATACCATCTTACACCTGTCAAAATGGCTATTAAAATTGAGGAGGAGGGACTCCTCCCTAACTCATACTATGAGTACAGCATCACCTTGATTCCAAAACCTAGCAGAGATACAACAACAATAACAAAAAAATTTCAGGCCAGTAACCTTGATGAACATCAATGCAAAAATTCTCAACAAACTACTGGCAAACTGAATCCAGCACCACATCATAAAGTTTATCCACCATGATCAAACAGGCTTTATCCCTGTGATGCAAGGTTGGTCCAACATATGCAAATCAATAAATGTGATTCATCACAAAAACAGAACTAAAGACAAACCACATGCTTACCTCATAGATGCAGAAAAGGCTCTCAATAAAATTCAACATCTATTCATGTTAAAAACTCTCAATAAACTAGGTTTTGAAGAAAAATATCTCAAAATAATAGCAGCCATACATGACAAACTCAAAGTCAATATTATCATGAGTGGGCAAAGGCTGGAAGCATTCTCCTTGAAAAGTGGTGCAAGACAAGGATGCTCTCTCTCACCACTCCTATTCAACATAGTATTGGAAGTGCTGGCCAGGGCAATCAGGTAATCAAAGGAAATAAAGGGCATCCAAAAAGGAAAGGAGGAAGTTAAAATATCCATTTGCAGATGACGTGATCCTGTATCTAGAAAACCCCATAGTCTCAGCCTAAAGGCTTCTTGAGCTGATAAACAACATCAGCAAAGTCTCAGGATACAAAATCAATGTACAAAAATCACTAGCATTTCTATATGACAACAACAGTCAAGCCGAGAGCCAGATTAGGAACAAACTGCCATTTACAAATGCCACAAAAAAATAAAATACCTAGGAATACAGCTAACTAGGGAGATGAAAGATATCTCCAAGGAAAATGACAAAGCACTGCTCAAAGAAATCAGAGATGAAACAAACAATAGAAAAAACATTCCATAATCATGGATGGGGATAATCAATAACATTAAAATGGCCATACTGCCCAAAATAATTTCTAGGTTCAATGCTATTTACATTAAATTACCACTGACATTTCTTTGCAGAACTAGAAAAAAACTATTTTAAAACTCATATGGAACCAAAAAAAGAGCCCAAATAGTCAAGGCAATCCTAAGAAAAAAAAAATCAAACAAATAAAAAAAAAATGGTGGAGGCCTCACACTACTCAACTTTGAACAATACTAGGGGGCTACAGCAACCAAAACAGCAGGGTACTTGTACAAAACAGACACACAGGCCAATGGAAAAGAATAGAGAACCAGAAACAATACTGCACACCTACAACTATCTGATCTTTGACAAACCTGACAAAAACAAGCAATGGGGGAAGGATTCCCTGTTTAATAAATGGTGCTGGGATAACTGGCTAGGTATATAGAGGAGATTAAAACTGTATCCCTTCTTTACACCATATACAAAAATTAACTCAAGATGGATTAAAGACTTAAATGTAAAACCCAAACCATCAAAACCCTGGAAGACAACCTAAGCAATACCATTCAGGACACAGGCATGGGCAAAGATTTCAAGATGAAGGTGCCAAAAACAATTTTAGCAAAAACAAAAATGGGCAGATGGGATCTAATTAAACTAAAGAGCTTCTGCATAACAAAACAATCAACAGAATAAACAGCCTACAGAATGGGAGAAAACTTTTGCAAACTATGCATCTGACAAAGGTCTAATACCTAACATCTATAAGGAACTTAAACAAATTTACAAGAAAAATATAAACAACCACACAAAAAAGTGGGCAAAGGACATGAACAGGCACTTTTCCAAAAAGGACATACACACAGCCAACAAGCAAATGAAAAAAAGCTCAACGTCACTGATCATTAGAGAAATGCAGATCAAAACCACAATGAGATATCACGTCACACCAGTCAGAATGGCTATTATTAAAAAGTCAAAAAATTACAGATGCTGGGCCAGGAATGGTGGCTCATGCCTGTAATCCCAGCACTTTGGGAGGCCGAGGTGGGTGGATCACGAGGTTGGGAGATCAAGACCATCCTGGACAACATGGTGAAACCCTGTCTCTACTAAAAATACAAAAAATTAGCTGGGCGCGGCAGTGCGCACCTGTATTCCCAGCTACTTGGGAGGCTGAGGCAGGAGAATTGCCTGAACCCCGGAGGCAGAGGAAGCAGCAAGCTGAAATTGCACCACTGCACTCCAGCCTGGGTGACAGAGCGAGACTCCATCTCAAAATAAATAAATAAATAAATAAAATAACAGAAGCTGGTGAGGTTGTGGAGGAAAAGAAATGCTTACACATTGTTGGTGGAAGTGTAAATTAACTCAACCGTTGTAGAAGACAGTGTGACAATACCTCAAAAACATAATGACAGAAATACCATTTGATCTAGCAATATTATTACTGGGTATATACCCAAAGGAATATTAATCATTACATTATAAGGATACATGCATGTGTATTTTTATTCCAACATTATTCACAATAGCAAAGACATAGAATCGACCGAAATGTCCATCAATGACAGACTGGATAAATAAAATGTGGTATATATAAACCATGGAATACAATACAGCCATTAAATAAAAAAAGGAGATCATATTCGTTGCAGGGACATGGACGGAGCTGGAGGCCATTATCCTTAGCAAACGAACACAGGAAATTGACAGTGGAGTGTGGGAGGGGGGAGAGGATCAGAAAAAAATAAATATTGGGTACTAGGCTTAGTAGATGGGTGACAAAATAACCTGTACAACAAAGCCCTATGACACGAGTTTACCTATATAACAAACCTGCACATGGACCTTTGAATTTAAAAAAAAAAAAGTTTAGAAAAAAATCCAAAACCTTACCCCCCCAAAAAATAGTTTCAAATATTTTCCATTACACTAGTAGTATACTGTGAATTTACTGGTGGTAGTAATTTTCTGAAAGGGCAAGGTCGGTTTCAACAGAGAAAACAAACAGTTCGCCCTTTCTTCAGAATTTTGTACATGCAACAAAAGAAAGGTACCTGAAAAAATGAAGGCGCTAGAATTTTTAAAAATAAAAAAAAATGTCTTCTTGTGGGACAGAGGTACCCTTTTTCACTAACTTTCCTACCAGACTGAGAAAATTACCAAAGAAGTTTCTAATATAGCTGGGATAAATTATTGGGCATTTTAGAGTTATGGTTATCTCAGAGCAGGTCTGTGCCCTAGGAATGAGCAGTGGAGATAGTTAATCTACTCATTTCTTGTGTGTAGATAGCATTCCAGAAGCTAATCATGCCCTCAGCTGTCACCTGTAGGAAAGAGATAGACTATATCCACTACATTTGTATTCAGCCTCCTAGGCTGTTTAAATTTTTTTTTTTAAGTTAAAGGCATTCCCTATTCTATAGAAAATTATGTTTACAGTAAAGCAGAGGATTTAATGCTGCTCATTTTCTCCTAAAGACCCCCAGAAATAGTCTTTTTGCCACCACTATGGCAATCAGTTCATGCATTTTATGAGCAAATGCAATGCTCTGGTTTTGCAGAATCAGAAAATCACAGACATTTTCTCTGATGAAACACGGACAGTGAAGACAGTGTAAGTGCAAACTCTGGATTCAGAATTCAGAACCTGGCCCCATCGGCTTACCTGCTGTGGGATCTTGGGAAAGTTCTTTAATCTTGCACTCTTTCTCTTCATCATAAAATTGGGATAATAAGAGCATCTATTTCATAGGATTGTTTTAAGGGTTAAATGAGTTTAGAAGCACTTAGAGTAGTAAATAACAAACAGTATGTTTTCTCAAAACATGAAACATTATTTTCACAAACATTCATGTCCACTATTACATAGCATTTTAACGAGTAAATATACAATCATTGACTTTGCCATTTAATATCCCTATTTTATGAATTTCCTTGTAATTAGATTAACTCCGTTTGATTTATTAGTTATATTCGCCTTGTGGTATATCAGAATTAATCAGAAACAAAGTACTCAAATTGCAAAAATAATTGTGTTTCCTTTTTTAGCTCTTTTATCTATTTTATTATATATATTCTCCTTGGTTTCTTTTCAAACACACAAACAGAAATAAAGTAATCTTAATCAAGAGAGCCCTCTAGACAGTCTATCTGAAAAATGTTCCTTTTGTCCAAAATATTAGTAAATTAATAGTGCCATGACAATAAAATATTACCATAACAGTAGTCAATGTAATATTTTCAGTGAGTCACTTTACCTTAATCTTGTAGAATAATATAAACTCCAGTTACAAAAAATCAAAATTTTCTCTCATTGAAGACAGAGAACTTGCCAAAAATATTATCTTAAAAACCATTGGTTAGACATAAGGTAATGGGGATGTGGACAAACTTCATCTACCTGAAACATTAATCTATGAACATTTGTTCTATAGGCACACCACTTTAGTAAATTATTATACAATGTTAATTTACATAAAAAGCTGTATATTTAGTAATCGTGTGTATTTCAGAATTTATTAGGTTTCCATCTTTATACTTGAGAAAAAGATTACAAGTTTTCTCCTAACAGGCCAGATATAGTAGAGTTTTAGGAAGGATGCCTCAACAGAGTTTTTGAGCTGAACACTCCTGGTGAGTCAATAAGAGTACATGTTTTGTCTGTAACCCAGTTATACAGTGAGGGCATATAAAGTGGAGGACTAGGCAAATGTCTGTAAGTTTTATAAATTTAGACAAGTAATAGGTTTTCTCAACTAAAAGATTTGTCTACAGATTACTAAAACTGTTTTTTTCAATGTTTGGATCACTTTGCCTTGTTAGTTCAGTTTACATGAGTTACATTAAATAGACTGGGATAGACTCAGCCAGATCCTATCAACCATATTAACTGGACATTGACCAGTATCAACAATTATACTGACCTCCACCACATATTTCCACTGGGTTGTGCTCTAGTAATCTAACCTAAAATAAAAATAATAAGAGCCAGACACAATACATTGTCATCTCCTTCCCCATGTATGATTTAAAAGAGAAAGAATGAGAAAATATTTAAGAATCCCACAGTTACTATAGCCAGGTATGAGGTTTAGGAGACATAAAGAATGATCCCATAAGTAGAATCTGAGGCTTTCATGCTATTTTCTCCCCCTCACAGGAAAAGATGGCACTAAAAAGATTCTATCCATTGTTCTTAAGCTATGAGTATGTTCTTAAGCTGAATCCATAAGACAGGCTGTCTCTCTCCTCATTGTGCCCAGTGGAAGGGAACATATATTGTGTGGAAATGCTGAAAGTCTCTTTGATGAGAAATTATGCCTTCTTACTCTTTCTGCTTTGTAAGCATTCATATAAATTATATATGTAAAATACCTTGTATACTGGAAATTGCTGAACGAAAGCATTGAATATATAAAGTGAAAGACCAACAAATTCTGCCCTAAGGACAGTAAAACAAAGGGTAAGAACATTCCTCTCACTTTTCTGGAAAAGTCTCTCCTTAGTCCATATAAGGAGTTAGTATCTGTGCTAAATACCCTTTTATTGACCATCCCCCCTTGCCATATGCGGGCCTAGAACTGTTTATATAATTGAAAATTCCCACCTTTAGACGGACAACTAGGAGTGATTCTGTTAACTTGCTTGGTCTGAATTTAGTAAGCGCTGGTGAAAAAATATTTTTTAATGTGGATCCCTTGGAACACTGGGGAATTGTAACTAGGTTTTACTTTTATATTGGGAGATGCCAATGTAACAGATTAAACATGTTAATTTACTTCTGAAGATACGCAAAACCATTGTTCACAACCAGTGTCATAGTCACATTATGTACTTGCTGAGGCTTGACCAGACAGAGGAGCATAAACCAAGCTCATCCAAAGACAAACTGGAAGAAGGGAATAGAATTGCTAAAAGACTTTTGAGTCATCTTCAGCAGCTTCTCCCTTGTGTTCAGCTGGAAGAAGTCCAAATCCTATTGCAATAAACTCACACATAAACATGAAACCCAAGCAGATGAGAAGATGCCTTTAATTCCTGAGAAGTTGTGCTGACAACTCACAATGATGCAATGCTTGGCAGCGAACTCTGAAGACATCTCTAAGTACTAGTTCTAGTTAGCCAAGGATCTTTGGCTATAAGCAACAGAAAGAGAGACAATGACACGTAAGCAAAACAGTTTTATTGTTTTTTCTTATGAACTCAAACTTACTATAATGACTTGGGTAGCATAAGAAATGAAACATAAAGAGGTAGGCTCAAAAAGAGTGAAATAATAGGAGGATTATATCATTTTTGAAGACATATGCTACAGGGAGTAGTTTGATTAATATACTACGTTTTGGGGCCATCGATGTTGGCATGAATTCACTGTGCTTGTTTCTGTACTTATTTCACTGAGGATTCAAAGTCTTAGAAAAGAAGAAGAGCCCAGCTAGGCTCACTTAGGTGAAATGAAAACCATTTATCCAGGGTCGGGCAAGATATCTTTTTTGGTAATCTCATCAAAACTGAAGTCAAATATTTTTGATCTTTTCAAAAGGATATCAGGGGACTTCTACTAGAACAATGGGAGTAGATAATGGAAAATAAGCCAACAAAAATCCATTATAACAACTATCTATCCAAAGTTTCCTTTGATTAATCAATGTATCTATAAGGGGTACTAAGGCTACCTAATATACTCAAATTATCCTGCAAATATTTCTTATGTATTGCTGATGGCCCAATATGCTGTTTTGCCAAATTCCTCAAACTTGGCAAGACTCAGCGCCAAACTCTGAGGACCATGCCATTTTTATTGAGGCTTGGTTTTGTCTCTGTTAGTAGAAATCCAGAGTAGACTTTACCCTAGACCATGGTCCTTAGTCCTAATGTGTGATCTGGTGTCTCACCTGGATGGCTATGGTGTTAACAAGATCTGTTTATTCGGCATGGTCCAGAACTGCATTATCTTTCAGCATTACTTTATTTGTTCTTTTATCTCTATTCTGTCCCTAACCCAATAGCAGTAACTCCCTAGTAAGCATCTAAAGTCTAGCCACTGCCAAATAATTGCTTTTAACTTCCTTCCACAGACTTCTAGATTTGTTTTCTCTGTGAAACTCCCTTCTCTTTAGTACCTTGCCCTGCAGTTTTGAGACATTTCAGCAGCCTAGAACTCTACCCTCTGCCATCTAAGCTCAGTAGGACCACCATTTTCTGCTTGTATTCCATATCTGAAACATTCTAGAAACTGTTCCTATGCAGAAAGATGGGACAAAATAGGAACTTTACGAGTTTTCTATGAGTTTTCTCAGGGATTGTTGTCATGTACTGCTTGTTGTCTGGTGTCTGAAAACAGTTACTTCACATATTTTTATTTTATTATTTTTTAAATTTTAATTTAATTTTATTCATTTTTTGAGACGGAGTCTTTCTCTGCTGCCCAGGCTGGAGTGCAATGACGTGATCTCGGCTCACTGCAACCTCTGCCTCCTGGGTTCAAGCTATTCTCCTTCCTCAGCCTCCCAAGTAGTTGGGACTACAGGTGCCTGTCACCATGCCTAGCTAATTTGTTTATTTTTTAGTAGAGACAAGGTTTCACCATGTTGGTCAGGCTGGTCTCGAACTCCTGACCTCAGGTGATTCACCTGCCTCAGCCTCCCAAAGTGCTGGGATTATAGGCGTGAGCCACCGTGCCCGGACCCAAATATTGTTAATGAGTTTTAGATATTGACAACAGAAAAGCTGGTCCAGTACCAATTATTCTATAGTGGCCAGAAACCCAGCAATATATAATAACATTGTAAGCTCCAAAACATAAATATTCCTTGCATATTTTAGTAACAATTTAGAAAATCTTGAGAATATCATATTTCTGGAGGCCATGTATAGAGAAGATTACCCTAAAAGGTAATCAAGTTAATATACAGAGGATTCAGAATACTGGTTAGCACAGGTGGACAAGGCAGGATTTCAACCTGCCTGGTCAGAAAACATAGGTAGATTTGAGTTATTGCCAAGATATTACCTTGTGAGTTGGATGGCAGTTTCATAGATGCTTACTGTATTATTAAAGTAGACAAACAAAAAAAGATAAATCAATAAAAATGGACCTTGCATCTATGATTGATAAAATTGCATTATGAACAAAACAGTATAACTTCTCCAATTCTCTTCTTGTGAAGGCATTTTTAAAAATTGCTTATAAACTGGACCACAGGAGTTGTCTTTTCTTTTTTTCCTAACAAAGGCAAAAACAAGACAAAAACTACTACATATAAGTTACTTTATGGGTAAATATGGGGCATTTTCTGAGAGATACTGAGATGCTCTCTGAGTAACGGGAAACTCTTGTATTCTTCCATAAAGCTGAGCCCTAAAAAAACCACTTTAGATGACTCAAAATATTTTCAGTTGTGCTCAGCATTCAGGGATGAAATTTTATGACTGTTTAAGAAAGGAGCACTATATAATAGCCTCAAATTAGAAATAACCCGACTTCTAATAAGTATTAAAATAGATAAATAATATGTAGTAGATTTATACAATGTAATGCTTGCAGCAATTAAAAATGAGCTACTACTAAATGGAACAACATAAGCAAATTCTGTAAACATAATATTGAGCAAAGCAACCAGCCACATAAGAACACATATTAACTATATGATTCCACGTTGTGGTGGTTAATTCTGAGGGTCAACCTGATTGGGTTGATGGATACAAAGTATTAATCCTGGGTGTGTCTGTGTGGGTGTTGCCAAAAGAGATTAACATTTGAGTCTGGCACATTTGACCAATTGGAGATGTGCTTTCTGGCCCTGAGCTCTCTTTCTATTGAGCCAACTTGTCTAGAATAAAATATATGAGTCCAAACTTTTCTTGTGCTCCAAAGTGATTTATCACAGATCAGAAACTTCAGTTTGACAAATTTTTAACTGTCAAAGTGTCTGCTTTCTCTGTAGATGACATTCCATTATACCCATGCACAACAAGTCATCTTGTCAAGAGGTTAACTGAAGTCAAATCATGACTTGCTTTAATTACTTGGCCTCTAATAGAAAAGAAAGGCCCCTTGTTAGTACATAATTTGATGTCTTACTGAGTAAAGCAAGAATGTTTTTTGGGAAGATTTAAGCCAAGATGCACTTACTCAAAGATATAATACTTGGAAATAATAAGTTAACACTAGCACAGCATCTACTACACTTTACATATCACATTAATCTGTATTTAATCAGCAGAAAAGAACCACTATACGTATTATGGAACTAAAATTAGAGCTTATGTAAATGGGGAGAGGTCTGGGCAAATGAAAATATGAGAAATCACACTTGGAGGGTTGCATAAATGGTCACTATACAGTCCAAAGCACTGCATTTGGAGAAGAAAGCCACCAGTCATGAGTACATCTGCATAGTACCAAGACCAAGGAGGCGAACTTGTAAAGAGATGTGGAAGCCTACCACTTCTGACTACCACAGCCTTCAAAAATAGTAGCTTCTGCCTCACTTTGTCTGTTGATGTCACATGACTTCCTCTCATTCGAAAATTCAAAACTGGCCTGTATGGCAAAGGGGATTCTGGAAAGTATAGTTTCTAGTCTTAATAGGAGTGATGGTTGTGATGGTTAATTTCATGTGTCAACTTGACTGAGCTAAGGGATGCCCAGATAGCTAATAAAATATTATTTCTGGGTGTGTCTCTGAGAGTGTTTCTGGAAAAAATTACCATTTAAATCAGTAGACTTAGTAGAGATCCCCCTACCAATTTGGGTGGGCATCATCTGATATATTTTTGGCCTTAACAGAACACAAAGGCAAAATGATGATTTTTTTACCCCTAATAATAATATCCCATGGAAACAAATGTCTCATTCTCATTCTCTCTCTCTCTTTCTTCCCCTCTCTGCTCTCTGCTTGAGCTGGGTCATTCATCTTCTCTTTCCCTCAGACATCAGTGTTTCTAGCTCTTGGGTCTTTGAACTTGGACTGGGACCTATATTGTTGACTTCCTGAGTTCTCAGACCACAGGTTTTCCTGGGCGTCCAGCATGCAGACAGCAAATCATAGGAGTTCTCAGTCTCCTTACTTGCATAAGACAATTTTTCATAATAAATCTATTTCCCATTGGTTCTGTATCTCTGGAGAACCTTAACTAATACAAAAAGGGTTGGTGGTGATGTTGCCATGTGGACAGCATTCATTCACCCATTCTGGTACACTGCCCTCTGTCACTTTAGCATTTTTATTTCCTTTTATTCATATTTAGGTTCTAAATAAAATGAACAATATCCTGCTTCTGCTTCATATGATGCCACTATCTCATACACAACTGTATCTTTTCCACATACAGCTGAAGACAAATTAATCTCTCCCTGAAAGAGGAAGCACTAATCTAATGGATTCTGTCCATCTTTGGAGAAACTTATTGCTCTTCCAATTGAGTTTTACTCCGGCTTTGATATTCTAATACTTAGATACTGAGATGTGGGTTGAAATGTGATTGTCACATTTACATTAGATAGTATGGGGCTGAGAGAGAGAGAAAAAATAACAAATATATGCAAACATATTAATAGCAAAGAAAACAAAAAATTCACAACATGATTACAGTCTTTGTTTCTGAACTGGTCTTATGATTCATACTTATAACTTCTTTCTTCCACTTTCCACTCCATTTTTCCTTTGCCCTGAGAAAGGAACTCAGTATGCTGGTTTGATATAAATCAAATCTCTGGGAATTAAAACCACTGAAATAATAGAAACCAAATTTGCAGAGTTAATGAGAAAAAAATTTAGAAGCTCATTCTGTTTAATAATGACAGGCATATATTAGTTTTCTATTGCTGTGTAAAAAATAACTACAAGCTTGATAATTCAGAATTATTTTCCTTAAGGCTGAAAATGTCATAGTAATGTCCTTTTCAAATCCTGTAATGAGAGAGAAAGAAACTGTTGATATTCCATGGGATATTATTAGGGGGAGAAAATCATGGGAAGCATTGTAAAGTATTGTATTAGTTAGGATTCTCCAGAGAAACAGAATCAAGATGTTGTATGTATGTATGTATGTATGTATGTATATTTATTAATTTTAAGGAATTGGTTTATGTAATTATGGATGATGACAAGTTAAAAATCTGTCTTATGGGCCAACGTGTTGGGGACCCAGGAGAGCAAGTTGTGGTTCTAGTCTAACAGCAGGCAGGCTAGAGACCCAGAAGAGCTGATAGTGCAGATGAAATCTAAAGGCAGTCTGCTAGAGAATCCCCCACTTCCTTGGGGAGGCCAGTCTTTTTGTTCTAGTCAGGCCTTCACCTGATTGGTTGAAGTCTACCCACATTATGGACTACAATCTACTTTACCCCAAGTTTATCATTTTAAAAGTCAGTTTCATCTAAAAATACCCTTCATGTTGACACATTAAAATTGACCACCACAGGCATGTCCACTACTCCTAAAAAAAGTCTTAAGAAGGAAAGTACTGTATTTCTTCTTTACAAATAAGAAACCAAAGTACAGAGAAATTAAATAGCAGTTAGTTATCTATAATAGTTAAACATAGACTTATGACATAAAATCCCTGCTGATATTTCTGAGGAAATGGAAGCAGGACTGAGATGTATTAAATACATTATCTATACCAAGTATTGTGAAGGGTTTTAACTATGTTCACATTTTAATTCTCTTGACCGCCTAGCAGGACAGCAATCATTATTTTTAAATTACTTATGGGAAAAGAAATGTCAAAAAGTGACTTGTGAAAAGTTCTGCCGTTGGAAAGTGGCCTTAGAGGGGACCCTTTGTGACATTTCTTTGAATAACATCTTTTTTGTTTATTTCTTTTTATTTTTTACTTGACCCATATCTCATTTACACACATTCTAGTATATGAAATTCTGTTAAATATCCTTGTCACATTGTGCTTATTACTGAAAGGAATATTTCTGTTATGAGTGATCCAACCAGAAATGACTTAAGCAAATAGTGATATAATAATTTTATTACAAATAGGCACAATGCAGATAATGCTATTTAATGATGGTGCCGTTAATTTTTCTCATTTGCATTTTCCAAAATATTCTCTATCTTCTCTATAATTTTGGTCAGTCACTCATAATATGTCTGTTTGCAAATATGATGAGTCTGTTTTTTCTCATTAAAATTGGTTTCAAATACATACTTAGCAAGCAACTATCTTGAAATAGCTAGGTATTAAATTTAAGCCTTTACAAGTACCTGATTGCCTATCTAAAACACAACTTTATATGCTATTTTAAATTACAGAATTAATTTTTTTGTTGTTTTTTTTTTGAGATGGAGTCTCATTCTGTTGCCCGGGCTTGAGTGCAGTGGTGAGATCTTGGCTCACTGCAACCTCCAGCTCCCTCAGCCTCCCGAGTAGTTGGGACTACAGGCACACGCCACCACCACCAGCTAATTTTTTGTATTTTTAGTAGAGACAGGGTTTAGCCATGTTGGCCAGGCTGGTCTTGAACCTCAGGTGATTCACCCACCTTGGCTGAGATTACAGGCATGATCCACTGTGCCCGGCCTAAATTATAGAATTTTTTGACAAAGATAATAGAACAATTAAATTCACTAATCAAAGAGTACTTCCAGTGAAAGTGCTCGCAGAAACACCTAATTCTAATTTATCAACCAAAACCAATTTCTATGTGTGTTTTTATTTATTAACATACTGGGATAGCAAGTTACATTGTTTTGTAAACAAGTCAGGTGAAAACCTTTCTGGAGTGTTTGGTCTTTATAAACTTTCAGGGTTTCATGGTCAGTTTCCTACAGGCAAGGTTTGTGTCAAGGGTAACCAGTTTGTAGGATTCCACATACGGTGTTCATGGCTTTCAAAGCTGGTTTTGAGATTGTCTCTGTAGATAAATCCCCAGGACACAGGAATGTCTAAATATTCACTGTTAACTTGAACACACTGCCAAAAATGAGAACATTGTATTTCAGTTTAATAGAATTTCTCTGTATTTCATTCAGTGCTTTTGAAATAAAAGCTTAAAGTTAAATCAGTATAGATGATACCTTTTCCATCAACTTACTTTATATTTCAGGACTTTTAAATGTATCTGTGTGAATATAGCAGGCAGATTTGGGTGCTCCACCCAACATCAATTCCTAATTCCATTCTCCTGGCCATCTCCCACATAAAACCAAAAAAACCTAAAGTCACTCTCCTGGTCTACCTTGGAGGCCATTTGACTTAGCTATGTCAAGGAAAAATCTGTGGATGTCTTCTAGTGGGGTGCAGAGATGGTCTTCTGAGGAAAATTTCATTTTTGTCATGAAAGGAGCAGTCACCACTTGTACTACTTTTTTTTTGTTCCTTCTATTCCCATCTTCCTAATTTGAATACAAGTGTGAATCTTGGATCTCTGGAAGATATCCTGAGACTTCCAGAATTAAAGAACAACAAGCTAAATGTAGTGGAGTAAAAAGACTGAAAGACCTTTGGTCCTTGAGGGTATCATAAAACCATGAAACCAAGGCCAGGAGCTGCCTTTTTCTACCTCTAATTACATGAGGAAAAGCTATGTTACTATTTGCTTAAGTCACTTCCAGCTGGATCTCTGTTACTCAAAACTGAAAGCATTCCCTTCATGCTGTAAGTAACAATAATCATAATAATAAAAGTACTTAGAAACCTAGACTAAGGAATATAGTGTTTCCTACTATGTGACAGCAAAGGTCTAAGAGATTTAGGCTTATCAACTCATTGAATCCCCTTAACAATCCTATAGCTATTAGTATTACTAAGATACCCATTTACGTCTGAGGAAAGAGAGGTACAGTATGACAGTAAAATAGGACCACTGCAAGCAAAGGTGCCAGAATATTGGACAAAGACCTAGAATGAGAGCTTTTCATATTATCATGAGAGATTCACTCACTTCCCCAGAGTATGTATGGCTATGCTGTCAATATGGTAGACCAATAAACAATATGGGCTATGAACTCAGACACATCTTGGCCTCAATCTAAGCCCTGCCACTTATTAGATGTCTGATCTTGGGTAGTATAGTAAATATCTCTAAGCCTCAGTTTACACATACTGCTGAGTATGTACCTTTTTATTTAAGACAGAGAAATAAAAGTATCCTGTAGTATTCTCCAATGTGTTTCCGAGCTAAAGTAGCTCATCCTCCTTACTGTCATCATGGCTCAGCTTTTACTGAGTACTCATTGTGAGTTAGGTACAGACTTATACACTTTATATGTAAAATGTATTCATTCCTCACATCACCCCCTCATCATATCACATCACATCAACACAGCATTATTATTTTTACCTCTTGCAAATGGGGAAAATTGTGACCACATAGCTTTTAAGTAGAAGAGCCAGGGTTCATACTGAAGTATGACTGATTCTAAAATTTATGTTTTTAGTCACTAGGCCTTTCTCTCCCCAGGAGGCACTGGAAACATAAATAACAACCATAAAATGTTTTTATTCCCTGGGGAGGGTCTGTAGGGGGAGACCAATAAGGAAATAGTATTTTCTTTTTCTTTTTCTTTTTTTTTTTTTTTTTTTGAGATAGAGTTTCACTCTTGTCACCCAGGCTGGAGTGCAATGGCGCGATCTCGACTCACTGAAACCTCCACCTCGCAGGTTCAAGCAATTCTCCTGCCTTAGCCTCCCAGGTAGCTGGGATTACAGGTGCCCACCACCATGCCCCACTAATTTTTGTTTTTAGTAGAGATGGGGTCTCGCCATGTTGGTCAGGCTGGTCTTGAACTCCTGACCTCAGGTGATCCATCTGCATCAGCCTCCCAGAGTGCTGGGATTACAGGCATGAGCCACTGCACCCAGCCAGAAATAGTATTTTTAACACTATGATATGGTAATGCAAAAGGATTAAAAGTTACACCATTTCAATGTCTCATTTGTGTCCTGATCTCACATTTTGCTAAGAGGATATTAAAATTTGTGTGTGTGTGTATGTCTGTATGTGTGACCTTTCTTATGTTGTTGCTTCTTATGGTATGCTGTTCTGTGATTTTTCCTAGGCCACATTTTCTGTAGACTACTGGGTGCTGCTTTATAATGAAGATAGCATGACAGAGGACAAGTAGGCTGACATGGGTAGGAGGAAAATGAAGTCCTGGTCTCCAAATAGACTCCTCCCTACCCTTTGAGAAACAGAGTCACACTGGTTGTGTCCTTGAAGAAAACAAAGGAATAATTGAGACCATTAATATTAAAGATTTTACTAGGGACATATGCTACCCTTTACAGAAACTCTGGAATGAGTATTGTTCAAGTGATTTAAATTCCCTAAAAGATCATTCTACTATGTTAGTTCAAGACTAATGAGCTGAATATGAACAGTAGGGCAATGGAAAGAAAAAAAAATACATTCAAAGTCTATTTCCTGGATTTCAGCCCCAATCCCTTTAACTGAAACGTGACAGTTGTCATCTTTATTTTACTATGCCATTCTAACTCAGATCATGATGCCTTCATGTATTTCAACTGTGCAATTCAATCACAGAATGGAAGACTCTACTTGCAAAATTTAACAATTACTTTAAAAATCACTTGGCAATTTAAAACATTTTAGACAAATAAAAGTGAACATTATGCCCAGGCAAAATATTAATAGGAGACTGTGGAACAATCCATCTTTGCATAGCAATTTGTGAACATATGGTGATACATTCAAACAAAAGGCCACGTTCAAGGTTGAAACAGCCTTTGTGCAATGGGGCCAGGCAATAACTCATGGCATTGATTACATAAAATGTAGCTGGAGGCTTCTTTGATGGCTTACTGTTTTGTAGGTCCGTGCTGGGTAAGTAATAAGGAAAGCTGGAAATGTGCTAAGGTTTACAAGGCAAACCATACATCTCTTGGTCATTTATTTACTCATTTTGTTAATTTGTTTTTATGATCTTATCCTGTAAGAGATAGCATGTAGTGACTTAATAGTCCACCCTAAGTGTGAGATTTGGAAACAACCTTCTTTATCAACCCAATTTATTCATTGCCAAAAGAAGGAAAACACGGATTTGGGGTAAGTTATGTTCTTCTAGTGTTGAGAATAATAGTTGAGTGTGTATAGAGCCTTTTAAAATTATTGTTAAAAACTGGTCATGGAACTGTAACTCTTTACAAACATGCCCATAATTTAATCACAACACGATAAGACTTACATCCACCGACAAAGATATAACCGAAAAACCACCTTGTGCCAAATTAAATATAAGAAAATTAAATATAAGATACAGACTGTGGATGCTCAATTTCTTGTCTTCCATGTGCCACATTGGACAAAGAATTGTCTTGAGCTGCACATGAAATACACTAACACTAACGATAGCTGATAAGCTAAAAAAAACACAAAAATGTCTCATAACACTTTTTTTAAATTTTATTTTATTATTATTATACTTTAAGTTTTAGGGTACATGTGCACAATGTGCAGGTTTGTTACATATGTATACATGTGCCATGTTGGTGTGCTGCACCCATTAACTCGTCATTTAGCATTAGGTATATCTCCTAATGCTATCCCTCCCCCCTCCCCCTACCCCACAACGGTTCCCGGAGTGTGATGTTCCCCTTCCTGTGTCCATGTGTTCTCATTGTTCACTTGCCACCTATGAGTGAGAACATGCGGTGTTTGGTTTTTTGTCCTTGCAATAGTTTGCTGAGAATGATGGTTTCCAGCTTCATCCATGTCCCTACAAAGGACATGAACTCTTCATTTTTTATGGCTGCATAGTATTCCATGGTGTATATATGCCACATTTTCTTAATCCAGTCTATCCTTGTTGGACATTTGGCTTGGTTCCAAGTCTTTGCTATTGTAAATAGTGCCGCAATAAACATACGTGTGCATGTGTCTTTATAGCAGCATGATTTATAATCCTTTGGGTATATACCCAGTAATGGGATGGCTGGTTCAAATGGTATTTCTAGTTCTAGATCCCTGAGGAATTGCCACACCAACTTCCACAATAGTTGAACTAGTTTACAGTCCCACCAACAGTGTAAAAGTGTTCCTATTTCTCCACATCCTCTCCAGCACCTGTTGTTTCCTGACTTTTTAATGATTGCCATTCTAACTGGTGTGAGATGGAATCGCATTGTGGTTTTGATTTGCATTTCTCTGATGGCCAGTGATGATGAGCATTTTTTCATGTGTTTTTTGGCTGCATAAATGTCTTCTTTGAGAAGTGTCTGTTCACATACTTCACCCACTTTTTGATGGGGTTGTTTTTTTCTTGTAAATTTGTTTGAGTCCTTTGTAGATTCTGGATATTAGCCCTTTGTCAGATGAGTAGGTTGTGAAAATTTTCTCCCATTTTGTAGGTTGCCTGCTCACTCCAATGGTAGTTTCTTTTGCTGTGCAGAAACTCTTTAGTTTAATTAGTTCCCATTTGTCAATTTCGGCTTTTGTTGCCATTGCTTTTGGTGTTTTAGACATGAAGTCCTTGCCCATGCCTATGTCCTGAATGGTATTGCCTAGGTTTTCTTCTAGGGTTTTTATGGTTTTAGGTCTAACATGTAAGTCTTTAATCCATCTCGAATTAATTTTTGTATAAGGTGTAAGGAAGGGATCCAGTTTCAGCTTTCTACATATGGCTAGCCAGTTTTCCCAGCACCATTTATTAAATAGGGAATCCTTTCCCATTGCTTGTTTTTGTCAGGTTTGTCAAAGATCAGATGGGTGTAGATATGTGGCATTATTTCTGAGGGCTCTGTTCTGTTCCATTGATCTATATCTCTGTTTTGGTACCAGTACCATGCTGTTTTGGTTACTGTAGCCTTGTAGTATAGTTTGAAGTCAGGTAGCGTGATGCCTCCGGCTTTGTTCTTTTGGCTTAGGATTGACTTGGCTTGGCAATGAGGGCTCTTTTTTGGTTCCATATGAACTTTAAAGTAGTTTTTTTCCAATTCTGTGAAGAAAGTCATTGGTAGCTTGATGGGGATGGCATTGAATCTGTAAATTACCTTGGGCAGTATGGCCATTTTCATGATATTATTTCTTCCTACCCATGAGCATGGAATGTTCTTCCATTTGTTTGTATCCTCTTTTATTTCATTGAGCAGTGGTTTGTAGTTCTCCTTGAAGAGGTCATTCATGTCCCTTGTAAGTTGGATTCCTAGGTATTTTATTCTCTTTGAAGCAATTGTGAATGGCAATTCACTCATGATTTGGCTCTCTGTTTGTCTGTTATTGGTGTTTAAGAATGCTTGTGATTTTTGTACATTGATTTTGTATCCTGAGACTTTGCTGAAATTGCTTATCAGCTTAAGGAGATTCTGGGCTGAGACAGTGGGGTTTTCTAGATATACAGTAATGTCATCTGCAAACAGGGACAATTTGACTTCCTCTTTTCCTAATTGAATACCCTTTATTTCCTTCTCCTGCCTAATTGCCCTGGCCAGAACTTCCAACATTATGTTGAATAGGAGTGGTGAGAGAGGGCATCCCTGTCTTGTGCCAGTTTTCAAAGGGAATGCTTCCAGTTTTTGCCCATTCAGTATGATATTGGCTGTGGGCTTGTCATAGATAGCTCTTACTATTTTGAGATACGTCCTATCAATATGTAATTTATTGAGAGTTTTTAGCATGAAGGGTTGTTGAATTTTGTCAAAGGCCTTTTCTGCATCTATTGAGATAATAATGTGGTTTTTGTCCCTGGTTCTGTTTATATGTGGATTATATTTATTGATTTGTGTATGTTGGACCAGCCTTGCATCCCAGGGATGATGCCCACTTGATCACGGTGGATAAGCTTTTTGATGTACTGCTGGATTCGGTTTGCCAGTATTTTATTGAGGATTTTTGCATCAATGTTCATCAAGGATGTTGGTCTAAAATTCTCTTTTTTGGTTGTGTCTCTGCCAGGCTTTGGTATCAGGATGATGCTGGCCTCATAAAATGAGTTAGGGAGGATTCCCTCTTTTCTATTGATTGGAATAGTTTCAGAAGGAATGGTACCAGCTCCTCCTTGTACCTCTGGTAGAATTCAGCTGTGAATCCATCTGGTCCTGGACTTTATTTGGTTGGTAAGCTATTGATTATTGCCACAATTTCAGAGCCTGTTATTGGTCTATTCAGAAATTCAACTTCTTCCTGGTTTAGTCTTGGGAGGGTGTATGTGTTGAGGAATTTATCCATTTCTTCTAGATTTTCTAGTTTATTTGCGTAGAGGTATTTGTAGTATTCTCTGATGGTAGTTTGTATTTCTGTGGGATCAGTGGTGATATCCCCTTTATCATTTTTTATTGCGTCTATTTGATTCTTCTCTCTTTTTTTCTTTATTAATCTTGCTAGCGGTCTATCGATTTTGTTGATCCTTTCAAAAAACCAGCTCCTGGATTCATTAATTTTTTGAAGCGTTTTTTGTTTCTCTATTTCCTTCAGTTCTGCTCTGATTTTAGTTATTTCTTGCCTTTTGCTAGCTTTTGAATGTGTTTGCTCTTGCTTTTCTAGTTCTTTTAATTGTGATGTTAGGGTGTCAATTTTGGATCTTTCCTGCTTTCTCTTGTGGGCATTTAGTGCTATAAATTTCCCTCTACACACTGCTTTAAATGTGTCCCAGAGATTCTGGTATGTTGTGTCTTTGTTCTCGTTGGTTTCAAAGAACATCTTTATTTCTGCCTTCATTTCTTTATGTACCCAGTAGTCATTCAGGAGCAGGTTGTTCAGTTTCCATGTAGTTGAGCAGTTTTGAGTGAGTTTCTTAATCCTGAGTTCTAGTTTGATTGCACTGTAGTCTGAGAGACAGTTTGTTATAATTTCTGTTCTATTACATTTGCTGAGGAGTGCTTTACTTCCAACTATGTGGTCAATTTTGGAATAGGTGTGGTGTGGTGCTGAAAAAAATGTATATTCTGTTGATTTGGGGTGGAGAGTTCTGTAGATGTCTGTTAGGTCCGCTTGGTGCAGAGCTGAGTTCAATTCCTGGGTATTCTTGTTAACTTTCTGTCTCGTTGATCTGTCTAATGTTGACAGTGGGGTGTTAAAGTCTCCCATTATTATTGTGTGGGAGTCTAAGTCTCTTTGTAGGTCACTCAGAACTTGCTTTATGAATCTGGGTGCTTCTGTATTGGGTGCATACATATTTAGGATAGTTAGCTCTTCTTGTTGAATTGATCCCTTTACCATTATGTAATGGCCTTCTTTTTCTCTTTTGAACTTTGTTGGTTTAAAGTCTGTTTTATCAGAGACTAGGATTGCAACCCCTGCCTTTTTTGTTTTCCATTTGTTTGGTAGATCTTCCTCCATCCCTTTATTTTGAGCCTATGTGTGTCTCTGCATGTGAGATGGGTTTCCAAAATACAGCACACTGATGAGTCTTGACTCTTTATCCAGCTTGCCAGTCTGTGTCTTTTAATTGGAGCATTTAGCCCATTTACATTTAAAGTTAATATTGTTATGTGTGTATTTGGTCCTGTCATTATGATGTTAGCTGGTTATTTTGCTCGTTAGTTGATGCAGTTTCTTCCTAGCCTTGATGGTCTTTACATTTTGGCATGTTGTTGCAGTGGCTGGTACCGGTTGTTCCTTTCCATGTTTAGCACTTCCTTCAGGACCTCTTTTAGGGCAGGCCTGGTGGTGACAAAATCTCTCAGAATTTGCTTGTCTGTAAAGTATTTTATTTCTCCTTCACTTATGAAGCTTAGTTTGGCTGGATATGAAATTCTGGGTTGAAAATTCTTTTGTTTAAGAATGTTGAATATTGGCCCCCACTCTCTTCTGGCTTGTAGAGTTTCTGCCGAGAGATCCGCTGTTAGTCTGATGGGCTTCCCTTTGTGGGTAACCTGACCTTTCTCTCTGGCTGCCCTTAACATTTTTTCCTCCATTTCAACTTTGGTGAATCTGGCAATTATGTGTCTTGGAGTTGCTCTTCTCGAGGAGTATCTTTGTGGCGTTCTGTGTATTTCCTGAATGTAAATGTTGGCCTGCCTTGCTAGATTGGGGAAATTCTTCTGGATAATATCCTGCAGAGTGTTTTCCAACTTGGTTCCATTCTCCCCATCACTTTCAGGTACACCAATCAGACGTAGATTTGGTCTTTTCACATAGTCCCATATTTCTTGGAGGCTTTGTTCGTTTCTTTTTCTTCTTTTTTCTCTAAACTTCCCTTCTCGCTTCATTTCATTCATTTCGTCTTCCGTCACTGATACCCTTTCTTCCAGTTGATGGCATCGGCTCCTGCGGCTTCTGCATTCTTCATGTAGTTCTCAAGCCTTGGCTTTCAGCTCCATCAGGTCTTTTAAGGACTTCTCTGCATTGGTTATTCTAGTTATCCATTCGTCTAATTTTTTTCAAGTTTTAAGAAAGTTTACAAATTTGTGTTGGGCTGAATTCAAAGCTGTTCTGGGCTGCATGCAGCCCATGGGCCGTGGGTTGGACAAGCTTGGTATAGACCTTAACCACAAGAATCTTACAGCTTAATTAGCTAGAAATCTCTTTTTCTGCTATTATCTTTGATTATTGGAAACTTTCTAAAATAGTTTATTCCCAGCTTTATTAGGAGGAATATACTAGAAATAATTTCATTGTTCTTAGGTGACAGACTTTGCACTGGCTTACATTTATTTTTCATATTTGATCATTTATGGATACATTTAACAAATATTCATCAACACAACCATGTGCCAGGCATTATAGGATTAAGAACTGAAGGCCAGGCATGGTGGCTCAGGCCTGTAATCCCAGCACCTTGGGAGGCTGAGGCAGGTGGATCACCTGAGGTTGGGAGGCTGAGGTGGGCGGATCACCTGAGGTCAGGTGTTGGAGAGTAGCCTGGCCAACATGGCAAAACCACATCTCTACTAAAAATACAAAAATTAGCCGCTTGTGGTGGCTACTCAGGAGACAGAGGCAGGAGAATAGCTTGAACCCAGGAGGCAGAGGTTGCAGTGAGCCAAGATCGTACCACTGCACTCCAGCCTGGGCAACAGAGTGAGACTCCACCTCAAACAGCAACAACAAATAACTGAAGCAGTGAATGTGTTAGATATCACTTGCTACTCTTATGTAACTTGCAATTCTAGTGAGTAACCTATAATACAATATACCAATATCTATGTTAATGAGATTATAGGATGCTACAAGGGCTTGTGGAACATCCACCAAATCCAAGTTTGTATGGTCAGAGAAGCTTCACAAGAGAAGTTGCTTGAGATGAGACCAGAATTAGTTATGTAGAGCAAGAGTTATGAAAGAATCTCGACAGGTGATTCCAAGAGAGAGAAACGGAGAGAGAGGGGGAGTAAGAGAGACTGGTTTTCAAGTACTGAAATACTTTTACTGTAAAGGGACTGTTGATCTCCAAGTGGGCGGGTGCATTGAGAAGGTGAGAGGGGTAGCAGGAGGCCTGAATGTGTAGGTCCTTATAAAACATGGAAAGAAGTTTAGATATTATCCTAAGATAAGATAAAACCCTTTGAAAGATTCTAAACAGAGGAGTAGCATAATTAAATTTGTGTGTATCATTCCTGCTATGGGTGTATAAGGGTGAGAATTTGAAAGTAAATATGGAGATATTACAGAATATGTCCAAAAATGAATTATGTAATTAAAAAATAATTTTTATGTTTATTTGTATACATTTATGGGATACATGTGCAATTTTATTGCATACATAGGCTGCATATTTGCCAAGTAAGAGCTTTCAGGGTATCCATCACCTGAATAACATACATTATAACCATTAAATAATTTCTTATCATTTTCCCTCTTTCCACTTTCTCACCCCTTTGAGTGTCCATTATCTATCATTCCATTCTCTATGTCCATGTGAACACATTTTTTAGCATCCACTTATGAGTGAGAACATGTGATATTTGTCTTTCTGTACCTGCCTTGTTTCACTTAATACTTGCTTTTTAATGACTTGCTTCTTTCTCCTTTCTTCACCTACATCTAAAATTAGAGTGTCATATTAATTTGAGAAAGAGAAGACTTATGTTTGTCATTTTAGAATGAAAAACTATAGCCAAGCTAGAGGAAAGAAGATTTTAATTAGAACTTGATAAATAATGATCTGATAATTAGAGCTGTGTGAGAATCAAATAGGCAATCTCGGGAAGTAAGTCGCCACTCCTGGAAACATTTCTGCAGGGAAAAGATGATCACTAATAAAGGGATGTTGTGGAAGAGATGACTATGTTGCCAGGAGGTTGGACTAAATTGCCTCTAGAGTTTCTTCTGGTTCTCAAATTCTTTGAAGGTTCCACTTGGTTGAATTATGGTTAACCAAGGTTCTAGCATTATATTTAGATTGCTGCATTGTCTCAAATTTTTAAATCATTCCTATTCTTTTTTTTTTCTAGACATACAGGATTTTTTTTCAGATATTAAGACTCTGTGTTTCTTACTACAAGACATGGAATGAAATAAGTTAGGAAATGAATTGTTTGTCTGCTGCCCTGAATTTTTTAGACCCTGCTGCCTGGCACAAGGATTATTTTCAGGGCTGCAGGTACATTTTTTGAAATGTCTGCTCCATTTTGAAAACATCTTGGAGAAATAAAATGAGCAACATTACTCAAATACATAACCCAAAACATAACATTTCCAAAAACCTTATTATACACATTTTGGCACAGTAGTGCTTATCCAATTAAGTATATTCACAACCAAGACACTCTCTCCTCTTCTCTCACTTCTCCAAGTGAATTCCTCTATATGAATAAATGAACAAATGTATTAGAGATTCACAGTTGATGTAACAGACAATTTTGGAAGATTTTCCATGAGCTAAAAGGAAGATATATGGAACAAAGGCTTAGCAATCTCTGAATTGTCAGCAGTATTTAGGACTTCAGTCTTGTTTTAATACTGTGCCTTTTCAGGAGTTTCAAATTCACTGTGCATAATTGGAGGTGGTGTTACTTCCCATAAATCAGACTCAAGGTAAAGTGAGTTAGAGTAACTTATCATGCACCTAATTTTATTTAAAAGGTCTTTACATTCTCAAGGAGTATTTCACATATTTTGCTTTTATTTCTTTTTAGACTTGAGAACAAAAAATATAGAGGTTACTAGCCACCTTGGTAAAATCTTAGGATAGGAATTTTAGAATCAAATATACACAGTTATGTGTTCCTCATGTAACTCATTCTAATGTTGAAATTTGGAATGAGTTAACTTACATACAAGTCTCAGAGGACTTAATACTTCTATTATAATTTCTATTATAAATAAATTCTTGATTTTGAAGTCTGGTTCATTTGTAGTTGGTATGTTCTGTGTTTGTTATTAGAATATATCTAGGAAGATGACCATATGAGACAAATTACAATTGAAAGTTTATAAACAGTAATTGCAGAAATTGTCCTCACCACTTGCTGATAGTCTGCACTAATGGTACTACTAGTGAATCCAATAAGGGCAATTGGATTTTCTTGGATACTTGAAATTTATTATGTGGGTATCTTACCTGTGCCTTATTAGGTAACAAGAAAATTTATATTAAGTTCTGTGTCTCCTCTAACTCCTGTCTCAAAAGAAGGAGGTGAAATCACCTAAACACGTTGTTTGAGATAGTGTTTTTCTGTTGTGAAAGGTCCAGCTGAGATTATGGGAAAAGTGAAGAAAGAGATTTCTACTTGTTGTATTTAAGGGACAGGCTGTTAAGCACCCTCTCAAGCCAACTGATGGAAAAATAATCACATTGATTTGTGGTTGTAAATTGTCTTCCTCTTACTTATCGAAATCTTTTTTTATTTGGGGTTTGATGTATCTGTACATATACCTTACAAAACTCAAAAAATTAGAATCCACCATTCAAAATCTAGGGTTTGGCTGACTGATCTTAGGGCAATGATCTCCTTTGACAAAGACTTACTGAGTAACAAGAATTCACACCAATGAGTTGAAAGGAGCAGACTTGGGGGAATTCTCATTAAAATCTCCCTTTCTTTTCTGAGAGACCATTCAGGGATGGCTTCCTCTTTGTTACTCATCTGGATAGGCTAGGTTATTAGTGGGTTACAAGAGCAAAGATTTATATACTTTTCACATTAATTTCTATCACAAGTGTGATGGGAGTTCCATGCTGTCCTCTCCCCAGGACATAGGCCAGCAGAACAGCCCCTATCTAGAACAATGTTTATCAATGTAGTGGAGAAAAATGTCCTTTAGAGCCCATACCCAGAAAAAACTCATATCAATTCCATTCACATTGCACAAGCAAAAGTGAGCCATGTAACCACCTCAAACTTCAAGGGAGCAGGAAAATGCAAATCTACATGTGCCTTTAGAGCCCACACCAAGGAGGGACCTCACATTAGTTCTATTCACACTGTACTAGCAAAGGTGATCATCTCTAACGTCAAGGGAGCAGGGGTATGCAAATCTGTATGTGCTGGGGAAGAAACCAGAAATATTTGTTGGTCAAAATTAATGACCATCGCAGTCTTCCTCTGAGCATTATCCTCTGAAGTACTAAATACCACTGTCAATTCAGAGACTGGTAAGCCCTTGTTCCCTATATCTTCCTTTTAATCTGTCTTATGTCTGGATTTCCAGTCTTTTGAGCTGATTAATTTCCAAGTGTTTACAGCAATCTCAGTTGAGTTTTCTGCAACTTGCAGCCAAAGTTACCTAACTGATACATATTTATTATGAAATGCTTTTTGAGTAAATATCACCAGCCAGTCCCAGTTCTAGAGAGAGAGAGCATACTATTGTTTATGATTCAGGCCAAATCCCTGCCCTTGGGATCTTACATTCCAATGAGATTTACTTCTGAGAACATCTGAGTAGTAAAAGTAAAATGGAAGCTCTGCCCACATGCAGTGTACAACTCAGATATGCTTCAGTAGAGCACATTTTCCTTTCTATCATATATAAAATCCCTAGAAATAAACAAAAGAGAACTCATTATATCTCATTCAGAAACTGCCTGGAAAGGCAGATGCCTGCTGTTTATTTCCTGGCTTTGGACTCTGGTCTATGTGGGGATTGGTCACTGGGTACCTGGCTATCTCTTCAAATTCTGCTTTGAGTGTCACAGAGAAGCAATGAAGTTTCAGTGGCAGTCTATGCAATATTATAAGCTCTATCTGGGGTATATTTTTGATCCGTTCTGAATTATGTTTTACAACTCTAAAGGCCAAATGAAAGTCGAATTGAAGGTTATTGTTTTTAGTTTTTAAGAGCATAGAAATTCAGTAGTGTGAGTTTAGCAGAGAGTAAGGAGAGAGTGAGTCAGGAAGTAGACTTGAGTGGAGGACCAAGACTCCCTTGCATTTTCCAGGTCTACTGTGCCAAGCTCTATCGATTCTTACTTTGCTTGACCTGATTTACTAGCACCACCCTGGCCTCAACTTCCTTCAAATATATCAGCATTCACAGGAATGCTGGAAACAGGAATCACGAATCCATCTGTATTCAGTTGTCCTTGTGTTGCCATAAAGGAATGCCCAAGGCTGAGTAATTTATAAAGAAAAGAGGTTTAATTGGCTCACAGTTTTGCAGACTATACAAGTATGGTGCCAGCATCTGCTTGGCTTCTGGGGATGCCTCATAGCTCAGTGCTGTTCACCTGATAGTGAGTGAATTCAAATGCGATCTGGTTGTTTAGAAATGTGTGTGTCTCCTCCCCCTCTTTCTTGCTCCTGATCTGCCTGTGTGATATGCCTGCTCCTACTTCACCATCCACCATGAGTAAAAGTTTCTTGAGTTCTGGTGGGGATATGCTTTTCCTAACATCCATTTAATAACTCTATGCTTTATTTTATCACAGTAATTTTCATACTTTGAGAAGTTTGCCTATTCACATATTTCAGTCCCCATAGTATTGGGAGCTCCTCGAGGGGTTAGATTAGGTGTGCTTTGATTGATTTCCACAATTTGGTCTGGATAGAATTTAAAGTAACTTGTAAATGTGAATCTGTGAAAGATAACACAAGCCTAATTTAGTATACAGAAGGAGAAAAAAAACAAAAATGTAAAATATTACTAGAAATGAGACTTAAAATGCAAGACACAGTGCAGTGTTCTGAGAATGCCAAATGGGTTTCAGCCATTGTTCCAACTTTCACTGTTTGGTAGCAATTTCCAGAAGGGCTATGTTGCAAAGGATTCTGAGGCCACATTTCATGGGTAATAGTACTGTGTTTGATTTGTGGCATCTGCATTGGAGACTGAAGAGGGATTTATGACTCATAATTTGCCATTCATGGTCTATATATTTGCTTAAGGATGCATGAAAAATTTGGGTCTAAACTCTTGGTAAAAGAGAAAAAAAAGGTCAGTTGTACAAATTATAGTTCCCCCAATAAAAAAACACACATAATGTTTAGAGGGAAGCACAGGTTTTTTTTGTAGTCTCACTGAGATGGAATCTTTCTTGACAATCATCATGAAGTGGACATTTTGGTATAATGAACATCATACACGACAACATTCTAAAAAGGGGATACAGTGACAAAATTTATAGTGTTATTTTTTTCTCACTAACCCTAGATAACAATCAGGGAAACTCTATCTAGTACAATTCATTAAAAATAACCCTTGGTATGACCAGTATGATATAGTATATGCATTCTCTTCTCCACCTATCTAGGTAGATTCAAAAAATATATGGAGGAATAGAAAAAAAATGAATATACTTCAAACAGTCTTCCATGAAAACTCCTACTTCCAGATAATTTCTGATACATAATTTAATATTTTGATACAACAAGCTTAATATTATATGTCAAGAAGACTAGTCCCTAAAGTTCAGCTATTCTATTTGGCCAGATAATTATAGAAAATAGCAGGCTGGGTGCAGCGGCTCATGCCTGTAACCCCAGCACTTTGGGAGGCAGAGGCAGGAGGATCACCTGAGGTCAGGATCACCTGAGGTCAGGCTAACATGGTGAAACCCCGTTTCTAGTAAAAATACAAAAAATTAGCTGGGCGTGGTGGCACGCGCCTGTAATCCCAGCTACTTGGGAGGTTGAGGCAAGAGAATCACTTGAACCCAGGAGGTGGAGGTTGCAGTGAGCCGAGATGGCGCCATTGCACTCTAGCTTGGGCAACAAGAGCAAAAGTCCAAAAGTCCATCTCAAAATAATAATAGTAATAATAATAAATCATATTGGGTTTTTCAGAATCAATAAGAGATATAGGAGATAGATTAGATAGATAGATAGATAGATAGATAATGTACATACATGCATATATACATAGATAAATAGAAATATAGATAAGAAGATATTTATTATAGGAATTGGCTTATGTGGTTCTGGAGGCTGGGAAGTCCCATGGTCTGCCATCTGCAAGCTGGAGATCCAAGAAAGCCAGTGGTTCATGTAATTCAATCTCAGTCCAAAAGTCTGATAATCTGGAGAGGTAATGATGAAAGAAGTCTATGTCTGAGTCCAAAAGCCCAAGAACCAGCAGCACCAAAGTCTGAGGGTAGGAGAAGATGAATGTCTCAACTCCTACCCTTCCCCCTACTTCTTTGGTCTATACAGGACTTCAGTGGATGATGTCCACCCACACTGAAGAGGGCCATCTTCTTTACTTAGTTTATCAATTCAGTGCTAATCTCTTCCAGAAACACCCTCACAAGCACAACTGGAAATAATGTTTTACCAGTTATCTCAGCATGCCTTAGCCTATCAAGTTGACACTTAAAATTACCCATCATATAATTACCCATCATAATAAAAATTATAATATCTGACATCTGTTGAGCACTTACTCTATACCACAAACTCTGCTCAGCTCTTTACCTACATTACATTTTATTTATCTATTATAAAAATTAGTTTATTATAAAGTAAATCACTAAAAAAAGTGACCTTTTTCAAAAGAGAAAATTACTAGTGTTAAGATTAAAGCATTTTCACTAAAGCTCAAGTAGTAAATGGGGAGACCCTTTGAGTCCAAGGTCTATAATATTGACGTGGCCAATTCTACCAATAAACATGCTTCAGAAAAAAAAAGTGAGCTATAAGTACAACTGTAACTATCTTAAGAAATACTAGCCGCCTAGTTGGAATTATTTTAAAAGTTAGTCATCCCAGCTTCAATGTAGTATGGGTCTTTGTCTTTTCTGTTCCATCTTCAAGTTCCCAGTAATCAGCACAAGAAAGTACTCAAAAATAGTATTGGAATTAATCATGTCAGTGAAGCAATTAAAGACTAGAAATTTTTGAAAATCATTTTTGTGCAGATGGACACAGTTGACTGAATATTCTTTCAGTCAAACAAATTAGTTACGTATTCTATCTGCCCACTTTCCAAGATAGTTTCCTATATGGGTAATATATTTAATATTAGCTTTAAAACTATTGTCTAAACATCCTCTTTTTTTGCCTCAAATATTGCAGGGAAATACATCTACCTCCTCCATTAGATTATAAGGGATTTAGTTAAGGATAAAGGGAATTTCATATAAAGGGTATTTTTAAGCACAAAGTGTCTGATTTTTCTCTTCATTTGACAATTAGGCATACACCCAGAATTAGTGCCAACTTTAAAGTGGGATTTTTTTTTTCCCACATAGTAATCTGAGGCAGGTAATTCAGCAGGGTGCAAAATAAAGTCATGTTTACTTGATCACTAGGCTTCTAACCATTTCCAGTAAAGATTCTAGGGGGTGCAGTGGCTCATGCCTGTAATCCCAGCACTTCGGGAGGCCGAGGTGGGCGGATCACCTGAGGTCGGGAGTTTGAGACCATCCTGCTCAACATGGGAAAACCTTGTCTCTACTAAAAATACAAAACTAGCCAGGCATGGTGGTGCATGCCTGTAATCCCAGCTACTTGGGAGGCTGAGGCAGGAGAATCGCTTGAACCCGGGAGGCAGAGGTTGCAGTGAGCTGAGATCATGCCACTGCACTACAGCCTGGGCAACAAGAGCAAAACTCCGTCTTAAAACAAAAAACAAACAAACAAAAAAAGTTCTAGGAACAAGAAAATTATATTTTACTTCACAGAAATTTATTGGTGAGAAATTAATTAAAAGTAGTTGAACTCAATCAAAAGATGAAAAAGTTGATTAAAGTGAGTCGAGGGACTACCCCAATCTCTAAAGAAGACATTGTGACTAGCGCACATTTGTCCTAATTTTTTTTTTTTTTTTTTTGGCATGTGCCACCTTCAGAGATGGAATTCTAGTTTTATCCACCATGGATTGACCTAAGATGATACTTTTATTTCCTCACATTTAGCTTGAATTTCCACATAAATATTTCAGTGGTCATTTGATGTTTTCCTCTTTTATAATCATTTTCTCTTTTTTCTTCCTAGCAGTACTCCAAATTTCCCAGCTATATAAATGAGTGGAATTGATTTCACTGCTAGTTTTATAATTTAATTGAAATTTTCTTAAGGTAATTAGCCTTTTATCTTCCTGGCAACAGCAATAAACTCAGACATGGGCACAAGACACAAAAATAGGTTAATTCAAAGTCAGCGAAACTCAGTTAAAGGTGTTTAGCTATGGAAAAAAAGATTGTTTCTTCCCTATATGGACTTTGACAAAAAAATATGGAACAGTTAATATGCTGATAGTCATCTTGAGATCATGTGGAAGAGGTTTGCTGAGAAAGAAGATGGTTCTGAGAAAGTATTGCTGAGAAATGGTGAGGATGAGGATGGGGAGATAGTGAGAAAGAAAGTCCTGTTGTGTCCTTTTTACAGCTGCATTGAGGCTATTTTCACTCCTAAAATCATCAGCTACTTAAACCAGTTTCACGTATGTATGTGTATATTGCATGTGTCTAGGAACTTCAAGCCCCAAGCTCTCCTTATTGGGAGTTTGTGGGTTTTATTTTCAACTCATGTTTTGCAACAGAAAAAAATAAATATGAGAGATAACTTTAGTTTATACTTTAATGTGAAACTAAAATAACTATTTCTTTATTTTAAGCTGTATCCTCACAATGCTGCAATCTGTTGCTTTCTTCCTAATTTTTTTCCAACAAATCACTTGAAGTCTTATTAATATTCATTAGTATCTCAGAAATAAAACTTCAGAATATTTGAAGAGTCAACTACATTAAATTGTCCCCCCAAATTTCCATCAAGTAAAGTGATAAAAATAAGGAATAAGATTTTTAAAGGTCTTATTCTCTTTCTTCGTTATCCTTTAGAAAGATACTCATAGAGGACAAAATAGAACTGTGTGTACAAATACACAAATTAGTCTAATTTGAAATGAACGGAAAGAGCCTAGCAAAAGAAAGTGTGAATGAGATACCGAAAAATTGGCTGCCACAGCCAGCACTTTGCCATACATAGGGCTTTGCAGTCAATTTGAATACATCTGCATATGGAAAACAAAATTACCTAGATTAATTTAATTTATGAAATATATTCCTTTCTCAATTTTACAAATTTTTGCTTAAATAAAAATTACAAAGCTTGTCAATAAAATAAAGTTAGAACAAAGATCATGGTCTAATGGAGTTTGTAATATGTCCATTTTGTATATGAGTAAGCTGTACAAAATGGAGCAAATCGGGAAAAGTGAGAACTGAAATAGTCACCAGTGCTGAATTATATATATGGACGAGTAGTTCTGTTCCTAAAGAGGCAGCAACACAGAAAAGCTAACCTTTGTTTTTCTTAGACAATATCTGGTGGTGCTTAGGAACACTCATTTTGGAGACAGATAAAGCAGGGCTTGAATCTCCACTCTTACTTTTCACATCTGTGTGACCTCTCCGGTATTTTGCCATCTGTAAATTGGAAATAAAAATGGCATTTCCCATGTCGGTTTGTTGAGAAGATTAAAAGAGACAATTCACAGAAACTGTTTGCATCAAACACTGAATGAAGATTTAGAAGCATATCTTGGTGACTATGAATTATTAGGCTCAAAATTATAGAAAGATGTCAAAGGAAAGACCACCTGTGAAAGGAAAGCAAATGTGAACAGATAATTCCATCCATTTACTAATTCATTGTATGTATATTTATTAAGACAATGGGTTCTAGAGTAATTCTCTCTGAATTTAAATCTCAATTCTTCTACCAAATATTATTTTATTATAAAATATACATACAAAAATATATAAACTGCTTATTGTACACACACAAACATACAGGTAAAAAAGTATTAATAAACAAAGAATAACTTTAGCAACTGTGATCCATCAATCAGATTACATATGAAAGCATACCAGTATATATTCTCTCTGTGCCCCTCTCTAATTATATAGCTCACCTCCCTCCTCAGAGGCAATGAATAACCTAATGTTATATATTTCTTTTCTTTCCTTTATGGTTTTGCCTCTAATATATCAATTATGTATTATAGTCTATCTATCCCTCTATCTATCTATCTATCTATCTCCTACCTACATTTCTATCTATATTATCCCCTTTAATATGTTGATTATATATTAGTATACCTAATCACTATATTATTCATTGTTTCTACTTTGAACTTTATATAATAGTGTATGTAGTTTACTAACATTTTGATGTACTTTTATTTTTGAGTTTTATTCTTGTAGATCTATGAATGAAGCCATATTTCATTAATTTTCACTGGTATATAATATTTCTGTGTATTGACAAAATTGTATTTTGTCTATTCTACAGTTGATAGGCATTACTTTTTTTGTTTTTAGCTATTATAAGCAATTATAAACAATGCTGCTGTGAATATGCAAGCACATGTCTCCGGGACACATGGGCAAAAGCTTCTCTAAGGTCTACTTGGTGGTAGAATCACTATGTCAGATATACTAGTTAATGCCCAAACTATGTCACAGTAGTTGTAACAAATGACTTTTCATATTCTCAGTGTATAAGAATCTTATTTGCCCTAGCCTCACCAATACCTGATATTGCTGGACTTGATTTATTTATATTTTTGATGGTGTAGGGGAGTGGAAGGTGGAGCAATGAGTTGAGCATGAAATAATACCCCAGAGTAATTTTATTTTCATTTCCTAACAACTAATGTGGTTGACCATCTTTTAACATTATCTTAGTCATCTGTGTTTCCTCTTCTGTGAAATACCTGTTGCTATCTCTGTTCCTCTCCCAGCAAAAATCAGCTATTCTCTGCTAAGTTTTGTGGCACTTTGCACTACACATGCAAACCCAATCAAGAACCCATGATAGGCCCCCTTGCAGAATTGTGGGGTTCCTTTTATATATCTCCCCTTTTCCTGTAACCATCCTTAATTTCCAGCTCACCTGTTAGTCCTGAACCCAATATCTGATTTGTTAGTTTGTGTGCCTCTTCCTGCATCACAGAAGGAAAAGTGAGACTTACCTATATGTTTCCCTTTTTCTTTGTCAAGGACCACAGGGATTATATTTCTGCTTCTCCTATACCTGTTGTCCAATGGCAGAAAATAGTCATTTGGTTTAGTTTTATAGTTTTTGTTATAGTTTAATACTCACTCTTTTATTATGGTTGGACATGGAATTCCTAAATTTCAAGTATTTTCAAATTTGTACTATGAATTCTTCTTTGGCTTATGAGTTTCTTAAATTTTTCTTAAATTTTCAAACGTGGGGTTTTTAAAAATTCTTTTTGTTGTTAAGTTCTAACTTCATAGCATTATTATTTTTGAATATGGTCTTTACTGTAACGATCCTTTCAAATTTTATGAAGTTAGCACAAGGGTAGAAGACATAGTCAATTTTCTTAAGTGCTTGAGAAGAATATGTATTTTCCATTTTTAAGTGTAATACTCTATTCCATCCCATAGATCAAACTTTTTATTATACTCTTAAGAAGTTCACTAATCTTACTAGACTTTCTATTTAATGTACCATTTATAGAGACATGTGAAAATATGTTACTATGTGGGTGAATGTTCTACTTTTTCTTTATAGGTCTATTAACCTTTTCCATCTTATAATCCAAGGCAATAATATTAGGTCCATGTGAGTTTTAAATTGTTCTTGTGGAGTTTGGGAACTGGATATTTATTGGAGATCAACACCTGTACAGAGAGAGAGAGGAAAAAGGATTGTGCAAAGAAAAAACTCAAATTGCAATGCAGGACCAACAAAGCCTAGAAGAAGCTGGCAGCAAGCATTTCCTTCAGAGTATCCTACATCAGACTCAAATGACCAAGCCTTTAAGCACCACCTTCTCGAGTCACCAAATGCAGGCTGCCCTGAGAAGAGAGGGGCTGTTTGTATCTGAAGTAGACACGCCACTGAATGGTCTCCACTGACTGCATTTCCTAGAGACAGGCAGCAAGTCCCTCTTTGCTGTGGGGTCTGGGGAGTCTGTCTCTATGTTCTTGTCATTGTGCAGTGAAATTCACTTCTCCATGTATTGTTGAGAAGCAATTTCTTCTCCAAGACTCAACTGGGCTTTCTTTCTGGGGAGAAACTTAGGAGAGAGAGGTATGTTGGGACAAACTACAGCTTCCACAGCTTCAGTGAATCTGGTTTCTGGACTGCAGTGGATATTCATTGTTTCCTCTCTTCACCATCCATTCTAAATTCACCTTGCCCTCAGCTACCACCTCTGTTGACCTCACTGCCTTACCTGGTAGAGGTGGCTCAGATCTTATTTTTGAGGTTTCCAAACCCCCGGTCACCAAGTCCTTCTTAGGGTTGTTGCATGTCTCCATTTATACTCACAAATGTGTAGGACAGTTGCAGGAGGCACACATGTGGATCACCTTGCTTTATTACTCTATTCTTTCCAATTGGGTAACAATATGTCTACACCCTCCTAATGATCCCGTCTACCACCCCTTCACGACAGTGACTATTTGCCTGTCGGTCCCTGGACACAAAGAGCTTGTAGTGCTCAGGGGGCCACCATAGCTTTTATTCAATGGAACTCTTACTGTGTTTGCAGGTAACAGTGCGCACCCTTTGGGGACCAAGATCTTCAATCCCATTGATCCATCAGTTTGGAGAAGCAGAGTCAATATATGGAAGTAGTGGAAATTAGAGCCACATTGTCTTCCACCCTTGCTTTTTGGATCCATGCATTCATTTTTTCCAACTGAGCTCACAGCTCTGTACAAATATCTTCATTTCATGCATATACTGCATCCTGAAGGATAGCACCTGGAGAATAGCATTTATGCTTGCAGAGTTTTACTACTAATCTAGTGCTTCAGGTATTTCTTCAGCAGCTTGTTACACCTTATTATCAGCTTTTGGGTGATGCAGTCAGGGAATCCATGGTCATGAGCTCACCCCACACCTCCTTGGCAGTGAACAATGAATACCCTGGTCCAATGCAGTGTTATATTATAACAAATATAACTGGAGCAAATATCTTTTTTTTTTTTGAAATGGAGTCTCACTCAGCCACCCAGGCTATAGTGCAGTGGTGCAATCTCACCTCACTGCAATCACCGTCTCCTGGGTTCAAGCAGTTCTCCTGTCTCAGCCTCCAGAGTAGCTGGGATTACAGACACTCACCCATGCCAGGCTATTTTTTTTTTTTTTTTTTTTTTTTTTTTTTTGTATTTTAGTAGAGACAGGGTTTCACAATGTTGGCCAGGCTGATCTTGATCTCCTTACCTCAGGTGATCCGCCCACCTTGTCCTCTCAAAGTGCTAGGATTACAGGCATGAGCCACCGCGCCTGGCCTGGAACAAATATCTTTAAGCCCTCACATAGTAGTGCTGGTTGAGGTCTTTCATGCAGGAACAGAAAATCTATATTTGGAACATGTCTACATCTGCATATCACTGACACCTCCATTATGTACGTACCCCAATGAAGTCAATTTGCTCCAAGATGTACATGAGTCTCCTTGAGTCTGAAGATTCAGCATTAGTCTCTGTTTTGGCAGTTTGGACATTTACCAACAGCTATAACTAAACCAGTCTTGGTAATCACAAGTTCATGTTGTTCTGACTTTGAAAAACTCTCATCTCTTATAATTTGGGCACTTTCATTCACATACCCATTGGGTTAGTATTGGTGGAGAAACCTACAATAAAAATTGGTTGATGCCAACAGACTAGGGTAATTTTTCTACTTGGTTGTTTAGTACCTGTTTCATTTTACATCTGAAAGGTGTAGATACATTGTAAAATGGTCATCACATATTCTATCCACTCCCATATGTTCAATCCACATGGCTCTACTCTAGAATTTCTTGTTCCCAATATCCTGATCTTTTTCCTTCTAGATCCCTGACCATCTGGCCAGGCCATTTGTCATTTCCCTTGGGACTCTATCTATCTATCTGTCTGTCTATCTATCTATCTATCTATCTATCTATCTATCTATCTATCTATCTATCCATCCATCCATCTATCCATCCATCCATCCTTACCTCAGGCCACTGTTCTTTCCAGGCTAGCTGAATAAACAGGTGCACTGGCCAATACTTCACCCATTGAGAAGATTTCCCCTCAGCACCCCTTGAAGGGCACCCTTAAGTGGGCCTCAGTGCTGCCATCATTCATTTAAATTTCAACCACATATTAGGACAATTAAAGACCAATGAAAGACAGTTAAAGATGAATATGAAATCAGTAGCAAGAGGTCCCCATGTAGTCATAGACATACACTGAGGGAAGCAGCAGTGACGCAGAAGTTGTGGGTGTGGGTTACCTGATCATAACATTTGCTTGGGCCTTCTAATCCTGTTATGCTCAATCTTGAATTTCTCACTTCCATCTTCGAGTGGATTGTTGCTTGGCCAGACCTTTTCAGTTGTAGGGTTTGCCAGTTCTAGGCACATGGGCTCATGGTCTGAAATTCCAACTTTATCAGTGCTCAGTAGCAGGCCAAGGGTTGTTTTTTTCTCAATGTGCATATAGTTCTTTACCACATACAGCATAGCCTTACTCTAGTCTCCTTTGGCCTGAGATGTTCTTCTCCTACTGGGTTTTGCCACAAAATTGATACATTTAGTTGCCTCTAGGATGTAATCAGTACCACAGAGTCTGCTGGATTTTATGGATTAAGCAGCAAGAATATTTAATTACAGTTTAGACTGTTGCACAGCTATTTCTGGTTTGGGGTCCTGCTATAGTTTGCTGTTTGGATCCATGCATTCTTCCCACTGGGGACACAGCTACACAAATACTTTTGTTTCACCCATACACTGCATCCTGGAGGATGGTACCCTGTGCTTGCTATAGTTTGGATGTTTATCCCCTCCAAATCTCAGGCTGAAATTTGATTCCCAGTGTTAGAAGTAGGACTTAATGGGAAGTATTTGAGTCATAGGTGTATATCCCTCATGAATAGTTTAATGTTCTCCCTGGGTGAGAAGTGAGTGAGTTCTTGCTGTATTCATGTATACAAATCCTTTGTTTTATGCATGTATTATAAATATCTTCTTCACATCTTTGAATGCAAAGATAATGAAGAATGAGATGTTGAGAAACATATTACAGTGTCTTGCTTACATTACAAGATAATGATGTTGGCATTTATGGAATGCTGCAACTTAGTGCATCTAGAAGCTTTGGAAAATGATTTATAAAGCTGCGCTGGGGTAATAAGAAGCAGCTTTAGAAACTGATGTTATCTATTTTCTTCCTGTTTTCTCTCTCTTTTTTTAGTTTGCAAACTTAGTTACCAGTGTACTTTTTATTGAAATTTACAAATTCACATGCATTTGTAAGAAATGCGCAAAGTGATCCAATGTAATCTTTACCCATTTCCTTCAAAAGGTGACATTTGCAAAACTATGCTACAATATCACAACTAGGATATTGTCATTGATACAGTTAATCAATGTTACTCAGGATTTCCCTATTTTTACTTGTACTCGGGTGTGTGTGTGTGTGTGTGTGTGTGTGTGTGTGTGTGTTTGGTTCTATGCAATTTTACCACCTGTTGGTTTCCCCCATCACAGTCAAGATTTGGAACAGTTCCATCACCACAAAGATTCCCCATATTACTCCTCACGACCGTGTCTACCTCTCACCCATGCTTGCCCTCCCATTCCTAACCAATGGCAACCACTAATATGATCTCTACATGTAAAATTTTCTAATTTCATCAATGCTGCATAAGTGCTACTATCCAGTATATAACTTTTGAAATTGGCTTTTTCCATTCAACACCCCATCTGGAGATTCATCCCTGTTCTAGTTAGTATCAATAGCTTGTTCCTTTATAGTATTGATTAGTATTCCAGGGTATGGATGTACCAAAATTTGACAAAACCATTCTCCTATTGAAAGACATCTGCATAGTTTTCAATTTTTTACTATTATAAATAAAGCTACTGTGAACATCAGTGCACAATCTTACATTTGTTGTAAATTATCTGTAAAATGACAGGTAATTTTCTGGAATAAATACCCGAAAGTGCAATTGCTAGGTCATATGGTAAGGGAATGTTTAATTTTATAAGAATATAATCTGTTTTTCAATATGTCATATCAACTTATATTCCCACCAGTAATGTATCACAGATCTGATTTCTTTATTTTAATTTTAGTTAATATGTAATCATTCTTTATGTTTATGAGATACACAGTGATATTTTAATATATGTATACAAGGTTTAATGATCAAATCAGTAACATTCTCGACAATTTTTGGTGCTTCATTATTTTTTATTTTAGTCATTCTAACAGGTGTGTACTGGGTGATATTAATTAGCAAGTTTGCTAATAACTAATTATATTGAAACTCTTTTCCTGTGCTTATCATATTGCTCTTCTGGGTAATAATTCTCCAAGTCTTTTTTCCACCTTCTAATTGGAATGTTTGATTTTTTAACTGTCCAGTTTTATTTTAATTTAATTAACTTCATTTTTAGAATAGTTTTAGGTTCACAGCAAAATTAAGTGGACTGTACAGAAAGTTCCCATATAACCCTGTCCCACACACAGCCTCCCCTACAATTGAAATCTTGCACCACAGTAGAATATTTGGAACAATAAGTGAACCTACACTGACACATTATAATCACCCAAAGTCCATAATTTACTTTAGGTTTCACTTATGATGTGGAACACTCTATGGGTTTGGACAAACGTATAATGACATGCATCCATGATTTGTAGTATCAGGCAGAATTGTTTCACCTCCCTAAAATTCCTCTGTGTTCTTTCTATTTAACCATCCTTCTCCCCAACCCTGGGTCTTCACTGATCTTTTTACTGTATCTATAGTTTTAATTTCCGTAATACGCTAATATATTGATGAAATTGTGTAGTGTGTAGCATTATTGAATCATTTTGTCTTAAGAATATGCATTTAAGATTCCTCCATTTTTTATAGCTTAATATCTCATGTATTTTTAACTCAAAATAATATTCCATTGACTGGATGTACCACAGTTTATTTATCCATTCAGTTACTGAAGGACATCTTGGTTGCTGTTAGGTTTAAATAATCATAAACAAAGCTGGCCGCTATAAACATCTTTATGCAAGTTTTTGTGTAGATATGTTTCCAATAAATTTGGGTAAATACAAATGACTACAATTGCTGGGTTATATGGGAAGACTATGATTCATTTTGTAAGAAACCACTAAACCATCTTCCAAAGTGTTTGTACCATTTTGTTCACACCAGCAATAAGTGGAAGTTCCTGTTGTTCCCACATCCTTGCCAGAATTTGGTGCTGTTGGTGTTTTAGATTTTGGCCTTTCTGATATGTATGTAGTGGTAACATATTGTTTTAATTTGCAATTCCCTAACATCATATGATGTTGAACATTTCTTTCTATGCTTATTTGCCATCTGTGTATCTGGGTGAGGTATCTGTATAGACCTTTTTGCCCATTTTTGCCCATCTGATTGTTTTCTTATTGTTGAGTTTTAAGAGTGCTTTGTATATTTTATATAAAAGTCCTTTATCTTTTGCAAATACTTTCTCCCAGTATGTTTCATTGTGTCCGGAATTGGTTCGTTCCGGTGGGTTCTTGGTCTCGCTGGCTTCAACAATGAAGCCAAGGGCCCTCATGGCGAGTGTTACAGTTCTTAAAGATGGTGCGTCCAGAGTTTGTTCCTTCAGATGTTCAGATGTGTCCGGAGTTTCTTCCTTCCTCTGGGTTCATGGTCTCACTGACTTCAGGAATGAAGCCGCAGACCTTTGCAGTGAGTGCTACAGCTCTTAAAGGTGGTGTGTACAGAGTTGTTTGTTCCTCCTGGTGGGTTTGTGGTCTGGCTGACATCAGGAATGAAGCTGCAGACCCTCGCGGTGAGTGTTACAGCTCATAAAGGTAGTACAGACCCAAAAAGTGAGCAGCAGCGAGATTTATTGTGAAAAGCGAAAGAACAAACCTTCCACAGTGTGGAAGGGGACTGGAGTGGGTTGCTGCTGCTGGCTCGGATGGCCAGCTTTTATTTTATTTTATTTATTTATTTATTTATTTATTTATTTATTTTTAATTTTTTAAAATTTTATTATTATTATATTTTAAGTTCTAGGGTACATGTGCACAACGTGCAGGTTTGTTATGTATGTATACATGTGCCATGTTGGTGTGCTGCACCCATTAACTCGTCATTTAGCATTAGGTATATCTCCTAATGCTATCCCTCCCCCCACCACACAACAGTACCTGGTATGTAATGTTCCCCTTCCTGTGTCCGTGTGTTCTCATTGTTCAATTCCCACCTATGAGTGAGAACATGCGGTGTTTGGTTTTTTGTCCTTGTGATAGTTTGCTGAGAATGATGGTTTCCAGTTTCATCCATGTCCCTACAAAGGACATGAACTCATCATTTTTTATGGCTGCATAGTATTCCATGGTGTATATGTTGGGTGGCCAGATTTATTCCATTATTTGTCCCTGCCCAAGTCCTGCTGAATGGTCCATTTTACAGAGTGCTGATTGGTGTGTTTACAAACCTTTACCTAGACACAGAGCACTGATTGGTGCATTTCTACAGAGCGCTGATTGGTGTGTTTACAAACCTTTAGCTAGACACAGAGAGCTGATTGGTGCATTTTTACAGAGTGCTGATTGGTGCTTTTACAAACCTTTAGCTAGACACAGAGTGCTGATTGGTGCGTTTTTACAGACTGCTGATTGGTGCTTTTACAAATCTTTAGCTAGACACAGAGTGCTGATTGGTGTATTTTTACAGAGTGCTGATTGGTCCATTTACAATCTTTAGCTAGACACAGAGCACTGATTGGTATATTTACAATCCTCTAGCTAGACAGAAAAGTTCTCCAAGTCCCTACTCAAGCCAGGAAGTCCAGCTGGCTTCACCTCTCAATCCCCCCTCTAAACACAACACGCCAACTGCTGTTGGGAATTGGGAGATGACTACTCTAGCTACTTCCTGCTGGATAGGGGTGAAGAAGGGGCCCTGCAGTTGTAGTGTCCTCCAGAGGGGAACCCTTTAGGTCAGTGAAATGGCCAGTGGGTCAGTCCAGGGGTCCTCGGGAGAAGTTGTTAGTTGAGCTCATTTGGGGTTCCATTTGTAAGACTATCTATAGCTTGATGGCCTCAATCCTAGAGGAAGCACATTTGACAAGGAGGTTAAAAATGCAGGGCCTGAATGTGAGTAATAGCAAGATGGCTGACACGGGACCTAGAAAGGGGAGAAGCCATGTTGCCCAACTCCAGAGGTTGGTATAAGAGTTTGAAAGGTGTTGTCTGATTTCAGAAGGCTTTTCCTGTAATGCCAGGTGGCATCTCTTACTATCCCTGACTGGTTAGTGTAAAAACAACACTCTTACCCTAAGAAGGTGCGGAGTCCTCCTTTCTCAACAGTGAGGAGGTCTAGGCCTCGGTGGTTTTGGAGAGTCACTGCTGCCATATTCTATTTGGGATTGTAGAGTAAGGATACATTTTATTATTTCTTGCAAACTGTCTGAGAAATCCTTTGAGAGTGTGTGGTAGTAGGATAATGAAGTAGATAAACTGGTTATTCCAGTTCCTGTGGCAGTAGCCATTCCTAACCCTATAAGTAGGGGTATTAGTTGTGTGGCTCTGTGCTGAGGGACTTGAGCTTTGAGGGGTACTGATAGGGTCTGATTTCCTAGGGCAAAGTTAATGTTGGGACTTAGACTAAGGTGCAGGTGCCTGTCCAGTTAGTGGGGAGGCAGATACAGGTTGACATTCCACATAAGAAGAATATACCTTGGCTGGGTAGACAGAACTGGCTGTGTATGTTAAAAAGGTGTGTGAGTTTGTTGTTTTCATTTTCCCATACTCCTAGAGTACTGGCCAAGGTAGCTCCAGCAAGTGGCTGGAAAGGGGTGTTGGGAGTGAACTGAGTGGCTCCCTGTGTTCTCTTTTCCCATTGGAGAAAAAATCATTTTTTATCTACCAGGAACCATGAGAGAGAGTGATTGAAAGGGGATGAGAAGGCATTCACTAGTGGTGGGGGCGCTGCTGCAGGGGGTCCAGGGGTTAATGGTCATGCAGGGAGTACGTTTGCCATTACAAAACATGGACTGTTTGTTAAGCAGGGAGGAGGTGATGATTTTTGGAGGCCCTGAGAAATGGACAAGCCGTCTGAATGGAGCTGTTTGGGTGACTAGGAAGTTACTATGATCAGTTGGGGCTTGAAGTTGTAGGGTGTAATTACACTGATGGGGTAGTAGGTGCCCCAGGGGCAGGCCTGATAACAGGTTGTGTTGGATGCATAAAGGGGCTTGGAAAGTTAAGATGGTATTCATCGTTACAGGGCCGTGTATGGGCTTTTCATTGCTTGTATAATAGGTGAAGTTGGAAATGTAAGAACATAAAAGTTGGATTGCACATCCTGTTAGGGTAATCTTGGTCCTATCAGAGATGGGGAAGTCGGCTAATGATTGCATATTTAGAAGTCATTTGAAATGGTCTTTTCCTTCATAACGAGGGTGGTAGGTTAAGTTGATAAAGACCCAGTTTTTTGTGGGAATGGGAGTGGCAAAGTAAGCAGAGGTTGATAGAGAGATACAAAGCCAACAGACATTTGCCAGGGAAGGATTGGACTGGTTTAACAGAGAGTGGGATAAGTAGAGAGTCTTGTAGAGGTAATTAGGAGCTAGTGGAAGGGGAGGGGGGTGCGATTGTATGAGGTATCCAAGGAAGCAGGAGGGATAGATACGCAAAGAGTAAATAGGAAGGTAAAGAGGGTGCTCTGGAAAGCGAGATCATTTTATCCAGTCTGAGTTAAAGGTAGGAGTAAATTGCTGTCAGAAGGAAGGAAGATAGAAGATAGATGTGATTAGGATTTTCATCCCAGCAGGAGCTACAGTATATAGTCCTATCGCAAAGAGTATGGTTAGTATGCTGCTTAATAATATGATGAAATAGTAAAAGGATTCCATTAAAGGGGAAAGGAGAGGTGTTAAAGATTATGTAGGTCTTCACATATCTTTTTTAAGAAGGAAGGGGTTTTTCCTCAGGATCAGTGGTAGGAGCCTTTTTAATCTGGGATGTTTCCTTCCGAAATAGGAGATGCAAGTCTACCAATAGTTCACAGGTGTATCGAGGCTAGTCTGGCTGATCTTGGGACTCCTGAGCTGACAGTCCCACAGATTTCTTAGGGGGTGTCCAAAATTTAACTCGGGTGTGGTGAATCGAAGATTCCACTCCTGCCACCTTAACTGCAGTGGGAGGCAGAGAGGATTACTGAGTATGGTCCTTCCCACAAAGAATCCATAGATGGGGAGGTAGAGGGGAGAGATTTGACCAACACTAGATCTCCTGGTTGAAACAACTCTGTTCCCTTTTCTCTGTGACATCCTTCAGGTGGGTTTTTAAGGTTTCATTGATATTTAGCCAAAGAAGTTATATATTTGACCAAATTGGCCGTTTCCTGATCAAGTAGGAGGTCATTTGTGAGAAAAGCTCATCAATACAGCATTTCATAGGGACTGAGCCGCATTTTGTGAGGAGAATTTCAGATTCTCAACAAGGCCATGGGCAAAAGAGTAGGCCATGGGAGATGAGTCTCTTGTGTTCATTTTCTTAAGTGTTTCTTGAGTGTTTCATTTGCCTTCTGGATCTTCCCTGAGGACTGTGGCCTCCAAGTGCAGTGAAGATGATATTGTATCCCTAGCGCCCTGGAAATTCCCTGAGTTACCGTGGATTTAAAAGCTGGACCACTGTCACTCTGTAGGCTTTGGGGAAGCCCAAATATAGGAATTATTTCATGAATCAGGACTTTAATCACTTCCTAAGCCTTCTCTGTCTCGCAGGGGAAAGCTTCTATTCAATTTGTAAAGGTATCAACACAGACCAACAGTATTGAAATCCCTTTGACTTAGGCATATGGGTGAAGTCTAACTGCCAGTCTTCTCTGGGATAGTGACCTATTCTTTGTTCCCCCAAAGGGGCCTTACGATGGACCAAGGGATTATTCCTTTGGCACATCTCACAGGCTTTGACTACCTGTCGGATGGTCCGGAGGAGATTTGGCCCTGTAAATAGGGATTTGGCCATTTGATGAATGTTTTCAATACCCATATGAAAAGTTTGGTGGAGGGTGTAAGTACCTTTCCTTCTTCTGTTGTTAACCACCCCGAGGGGAGAAAACTATGCATGCATGAAAGTCCCCATTCTGTTTCAGTCGGGGAATACTGAGGCTTAATCTCTTGGAGGGGGTTGTTCCATACCAAGGGTCCTTCCATAGGTATTTCTAATGGGAGGTTCTGCCTGGCAGCAATTTTGGCCTCAGCATCTGCCCAACAGTTTCCTTCTGCCTTTTCTCGTTCAACTTTCTGATGGCTTTGGTAGTGTAGGACTGCCACCTCCTTGGGTTTTTGTACTGCATGCAATATCATGTCTTCTCATTTAGCTGATGTTGTCAAAAGTCAAAGCTTTTACTTTTAATAAATTCCAGTGTATTGATTCTTTCTTTAATGGATCATGCCTTTGGTTTTGAATCTAAAATATTATTGCCATACCCAAGGTCATCTTGATTTTCTCCTATGTTATCTTCTAGGTGTTTCTGGTTTTATATGTAGATTTATGAACCATTTTGGGTTAACTGTTATGGGTTAATGTCTATAGCTTTTTTTTCCTTTTTTTGCATGTAGTTATCCAATCGCTTCAGCAATATTTGTTGAAAACTATCTTCGTGCCATTTTAATACCTTTGCTCCCTTGTCAAAGATCTATTTCACTTCTGCACTGTATTTATGTGGGTAGTTTTTCTCGGCTCTCTGTTCTGTTCCACTGATCTATGTGTCTATTATTTTATCATCATCACACTGTCTTGGTTACTGTAGCTTTATATCAAGTTTTGAAGTCACTTAAGTGTCAGTCCTCTTACTTTCTTCTACATCAATGTTAATTTAGAAATTCTAGGTCTCTTGCCTCTCCATATAAATTTTAGAATGAGTTTGTCAACACACATTAAATAATTTGCTGGCATTTTGATTAGGCTAACCTTGAATCTATAGACCAAATTGAGTCTTTCTAGCCATGAACATGGAGTATACCTCTATTTGTTTAGTTTTTTTTTATTTCTTTCACCAGTTTTATGATTTTTGTCTTATAGATCGTGTACTTTTTTTTTTTTTTTTTTTTGAGATGGAGTCTTGCTCTGTCGCCCAGGCTGGTGTGCAGTAGTACTATCTCGACTCACTGCAACCTCTACCTCCCGGGTTTAGGCAATTCTTCTGCCTCATCCTCCTGAGTAGCTGGGGCTACAGGCACACACCACCACACATGGCTAATTTTTGTATTTTTAGTAGAGAGGGGGTTTCACCATGTTGGTCAGGTTGGTCTCAAACTCCTGACCTCAAGTGATGCACCTGCTTCAGCCTGCCAAAGTGCGGGGATTACAGATGTGAGACACCACACCCAGCCCGTGTACATATTTTGCTAGATTTATACCTATTTATTTCATTTTCAGGGGGTGCTAATGTAAAGGGTAATATGTTTTTAATTTCAAACTTCAATTGTTCATTTTTGGTAGTTGGTGTATAGGTAACTGACTTTTGTACATTAACCTGCAAACTTGCTATAATCATTTATTAACAAGTTATTACAATAATCTCCTTTCAAAAGATATTTTCAAATTGATTCTCTGGGAACTTTTACAAAGATGATCATGTCATCTGCAAACAAAGACAGTTTATTTCCTCCTTCTCTATCAATCAGTATACTGTTTCCAATTCTTGTCTTATTGCATTAGATAGGATTTCCAATTGGATGTTGAAAAGCAGCAGTGAGAGGAAACATTCTTGCCTTGCTCCTGATTTTAGTGTGAAAGCTTTGAACTGTAGGGTTTATGAGACTTCTTTATATAGCATAGATAGTAGTTCTTTGTCACATATGTGATTTGCAAGTATTTTCTCCCACTCTGGAGCTTATCTTTTTATTCTCTCAAAAGGGTCTTTTGCAGAGCAATATTTTTTATTTTGATGAGGTCCTATTTATCAAATTTTCCTTTTCTAAACCATGACCTTAACGTTAAGTTTGGACTTCATATGAAATGTTTGCCTACGCCTAGATCACCAAAAATTATCCGTTTTTTAAGATTTTGTGGTTAAATATTTTATGTTGATTCATTATTCATTTTGAGCAAATTTTGTATAAAATGTGAGATTTAAGCTACAGTTCAATTTTGCCTATGGTTTTCTAATTGCTATAGTACTAACTGTTGAAAAGCTTTCTTTCTTCTGTTGAATTGCCTTGGCACGTCTGTCAAAAATTTGTTGAGCATATTTGCTTGGGGCTAATCCTGGTTTCTCTATTGTGTTCCATTGATTTGTTTGTCTGTTTCTGTAACATAGAACACTGTCTTGATTACTGTAACTCTATAGTAAAACTTAATCTCAGTTAAAGTGATTTCTGTTACTTTATTATTCTTTCTAAATTTTTTTAATGTATTCTAGGGGCAGTGGTTTATCCTAAAAATTGTGAAATAAATGTGTCTATGTCTAGCAAAAGCATTGTGATATCTCATTGTGGTTTGGTTTTATATTGTAGATGACTAATAGTATTCAAAATGTTTTTAGGTGCTTATTTGCTATCTGTATATCCTCTTTGTTGAAATGTCTCTTGATAGAAATTGCATTAAATATATACATTAATTTGGGGAGGATTGCCTACTTTACCCATGCTAAGGCTTTTAATCTATGAAAGTTGTATGTTTCTTCATTTATTTAGATCTTTATTTTATCAGCATTTTGAATTTTTATTACACAGATACTGTGCATGTTTCATTGAGACTATACCTAGCTATTTCATTTTCTTTGAATCAATTAAAAATGGTGTTTTATCTTTACTTTCAGTTTCTGCAAGTTCATTTTTATTATACAGAAATGCAGTTGATGATTTTGTTTTGATCTTGTATTCTGCAATCTTGCGGAACTGACTTCGTAGTCTAAGAAGATTTTTTTTTGTAGATTCCTTGGGATTTTCTCATAGACAATAATGCCAATTTTTTTTGTTTCTTTCCAATCTATATGTCTTTATAGTTTCTTTGTTGGTTTGTTACAATGTCTTGTATTTCCAGTACTCTAAGGAATACGAATAGTGAGAGAAGACATCCTTCTTCTGCTTCTAATCTTAGGGGAAATCACTTAATAATATTTTATAATTAATAAATATTTTAGCTATAGAATTTGGTAGGTAATTTTTATCATTTGGGGTAATATCCCTCTAATTCCAACTTTCAGGGAATTCTTATCTTGAAAAAAAGTTAGATTTTATCAAATATTATTTCTATATTGATATAATCATATAATTTTTCAATACGCTGTTGATGTTGTGGATTATATTCATTGATTCGCAATGTTGAACCAGTCTTGCATACTAGAAATAAATTCCACTTGTTCACGGGGCATAATTCTTTTTATACATTGTTGGAATTTTATGAAATATATGAACAAATTATTTTTCTTCTAGGATTATTGAGCTATAATTGACAAATGAAATTGTATACATTTAAGATGTACAATGTGATGTTTGTTATAGGTAGATATTGTTAAATGGCTACCACAGTCAGGTTAATTAATATATCCATCACTTTGTAAAGCTACTTTTGTGTGTGTTTGCGGTAAAGACATTTAAAATTTAATCTCTTAGCAAGTTTCAAGTACACAACACAGCATCGTTAGCTGTAGTCACTGTGCTTAGTTATTATTCATCCAACACAACTAAAAGTTTGTACCCTTGGACTAACATCTATTTTCTTCACCTGCCACACAACCCCCTTGTCAGTTTCTGGCCACCACTCTCTTATCCTCTGCTTCTGTGAGTTTGATGTTCTAGATTCCACTCACAAGTGAGATCATTTGGCATTTGTCTTTCTGTGCCTGGCTTATTTCACTTAGCATGATGCCTTTCAGGTTCCTCCATGTGGTCAGGTTTTGATTCCATTAATTATTCACTTCCTAGTCTAAATTGTGTTGATTTCTGCCCTTTCATTCCTTCTGCTTGCTTTGGGATGATTTTGCTTTCTTTTCTAATTTCTTGAGGTATGGTGTCTTAGATGATTGCTTTGAAAACTTTTCTCATTTCTAGCATAAGAATTTCATGCTATAAATTTCTCTCTCAACACTGCTTTAGCTGTATCCCACATATTTTTGATATTTCTTTCCCTTTCATTTAGTTCTATGAGTATTCTTGTTTCCTTTTAGATATACAAAGATTATTTAAAAGTATGTTTTGAATTTTTACATTTTCAGAGATTTCACTGCTATCTTTCTTTTATTATTTCTAGATTGATACCATTATTGTCATTGAATACACTCTGTATAACTTAAATTCTTTTAAATTTGTTAAAATTTGATACATAAGATATGATGTGGTCTATCTTGGAAAACTTCCTTGGACACTCGAAAAAAATGTGTGTTCTGCTGTTGTTAGGGGACCATTCTATAATGTCAATTATATTCTTGACTGTGTTTGTTACTTAAATATTCCATGTCTTTGCTAATTTTATGTTCACTAGCTCTACCAGTTGCTGAGATGGCATGTTGAGTTGTTGTCTATTTCTCCTTTTAAATCTTTCAGTTTTTGCTTCACATATTTTGAGGCTCCATTGTTAGCCATGTACACACTTCAAATTGGTATGTCTTCTTGGTAGAATGATCTTTTTATAATTGCTCCATATCTCCCTTTATCTCTGGTAATTTCCTGGACTCTAAATCTCTTCACTTTTAAATATTATTGTACTGAATATCACATGGTATTATAATAATTTTTTGTTTCAGTCATCAGATATGTTTTGTCAAACACAATAGAAAAAAGATAATCTATTTTATGTACTTACATGTCTGCTTTTTTTCATTGTATCTTTATTTTTTCCTGGTTCTCCAAGATTCTTTACCATTTTCTTTCTGTTTAAAGAATTTCCTTTTGCTATTTTTAAGAACAGATTTGCTAGTATAGATTATTTTAATTTCTCTTTATCTAAGAATGTCTTTATATTCTCCTCATTTCTAAGGAATAATTTTGCTGGTAGTAGAGTTTATAGTTGACTTTTGTCTCAACACATGAACATTTTTTTTTGCCAGTTCCTTCTGGCTACCATGGTTTCAGATTATGTCATTCAAATCAGTTTTCCCCTTTGGATTTTCTCTGGCTCCTTTCAATTCTTTTTTCTCTGACGCCAGTTTTCAGAAGTTCAATACAGTGTGTCTTGTCATGGATATCCTATCTGAGTTTAAGTCAGTGTCTTAAATCTTGTATATTTCCCCAAATGTAGAAGACTATTTCCATTACTTTTATGAGACTCGTTCAGCACCACTCTCCCTCTCTCTCTTCCATGTGGAATTCTGATAATACAAGTGTTGGATCTTTCATTATTGTCCTGTAAGTCCCTCTTTGTTTTTTATTCAGTATATTTTATCTCTGTTGTTTACATGGGCTAAATTCATTGTCATATCCTCAAGTTTACTGATTCTAACCTTTGTCATCTCCACTCTACTATCAAGCCCATCTAGCGAGCTTTTAATTTGTATTAGAGTATTTTTCAGTTTTATAATGTCCATTAGTTCTTTATAAGCAACTTCTTTTTATTTTCTAATTTCTATTTTTTTGTTTTAATGGAATTTATTTTAATGGAATTTCTTAATTATTCAGTCATTTTTATGATGACTGATTTAAAATGCTTTTCAAGATCGGATTCATCTCAGTATTGCCATCAGTCGATTGCCTTTATTCATTCAGTTGTGATTTTCTGGTTTTTTTTTTTTTTGTATGACAGATGATTTTCTTTTGCATCCTGGTCATTTTGTTTGTTATATTAGAATACTCAGGGTCTCATTCAAATCTTATTTTAGCAAGTAATCATGCTGTTTCAAGTTCACATAAAGGTCCTGTACTATTTTTATGGAGTGTGGTTCCAAAAACACTTTAATTTTCAAAGTTATTGCAGTATTATTTTGCTGTGCTTGGTTTATCTTTGCTACTGAAGCTTCCCTGGTACTTGTTGGTGCTGGCTGAGAGGGTAGTAGGTGGTTACTCAGGCAGGGCCACCTGATGTGTTCACATAAATGAGGGAAGTCTCAGACCCACAAAAGAGAAAAGGTTTCCTGAACTAGGTCACTTTTGTGCCTGAGTTCCTCTTACTGATATAGCCTACCACCTTGATATTTGTCAATAACAGAGAAAAGTCTTAGGCATGTCAGAGAAGAACACTTTGGCCACTTATTTTTTGTGGGACTTTTGATTAATGTTTCTTGACAATTATGTTAGCCTTGATTGATAGCACAAGCTCTCCTAATCTATCCAGGGGAGGAATAAGCCTGACTGAGCTTCCTTCAGTCGCTGGGTCAGGGGTTGTGGAATGTTGTGTCTGAGTTGCTGTCTTCTGTTGGGTAAGGGAACATAAGATTGTATTCTGCTGTGAATTTCCTCCTTTTCTAGCATTGAAAGCCAGTTTTCTTCTTAACATCTTTCACAGTTCCCCTTTGGCTGCCTCTTGCATTAATTCCAGAGTTTGTAGCTGTGCTTCACAAAGAGGAACAGAGAGTAATGGGTCTACATCTCATCTTCCCTAAGCCAGAAGTTCTTTCATGCCCTTTTACATGGACCTGAGCATCCACAGGAGTCTCCTTTCTTCTTTCTTCTTCTCTGGCATTTGACTGAGTGGATCTGAGCTCTCTGCAATGACAAGAAGAAGCACATCTTTAACTCAATATGTTCTCTGTGTGTTTGAGCCACATTTAATTTGTTGGCTTTGATATCCCTTTGAATTCCACTCCAGTATAAGGTTTATATAACCCTAGGCTGTTTCACCCAGGAGCTTCCAGTAAGTGACTGTATTTTGTTTGCTTGCTTCTTTTCTGTTTTGTTTGTTTTAAATCACAGGTCTTCCATAAAACTGCCATGCCAGGCAAAGGGGAAAGAGGAAAACAAACTAAAACTGATTTTCATTTGGCTACTAGATATGACAGCTTAATAAAATATCTTCAACTTTGAAATTTGCAAAATTATCAATGTCACATGAAAACATTCAGATTTTTTTGAAATTTTTGTATTTGTGTGAATATATATATATAAGATGGTATTAGTTATATGAGGGCTGCAGTGATAACATTTATGCTTTTATCAGTCACTTGCCTTCATAACTTTCCTTTCTAGTTCAGAAGAAATTGGACCACTTTGACTTTTTAGAAACTTTGCATGATGCATATGCCCATACTCCTAGCAAGAAACATTAGCATAAACTTGATTCACATGAATGTTTTCCCATTTCCCACCTGAAAAAAGGCATTAGATAGTAACCAAATATTTTAAGTGGCATGGAAGGTTTCTGGTGGAATTGTTGACTCACTTGAGTTCACTTCCACAGTTATAAGATGAGAACATTAATGAAAGGGAATCTTATAGTATCCTTGTTCTCAAGATTAAATGTCTGCTTCCTTTTCAGTTTTAGGTACAAACAAGCTTTAAAAAGTTGGTAGCTTCAAAGTCTTAATAGGTAACTATAATCTAGAAGATAGCGTTTTAGACTTCTTAACCATAGTTTCAAGTTCCCCAATAGAACAAATAACCTGTCACCTTTATGGTAAGTTAAGTTTTTATGTATTTACCTACTTATTTGAAATCAATTATTTAATTCATTAGTTTGAAAGATTCTTTTAGGATTCCTACTGTCCTGGAACAGATTAGAAAGTTACTGAGCCAGTCATTCATTGCTATCAGATATGATATGTCTATTCATCACAGTACGGTTTGTAATAGTATAAACACTTCAGAAAAAAATGGATAATTAAAGCCTGATACATTCATATTTTGCAATGCTATAGCCATTATCTCTTTATATTGGTGCTGCCAACCTCTTTATTCTTCTGATACAATTACAATTTACTTTATGTTAGATATTGCATCTCTATTCTTCATGCCTTTTAACTTCTTTTCTGTGTTTTTTATATCCATCCATCTATGCTGAATTCTTGCTCAGTTCTTCATATCTATCTTACAGGTTAAGAGTTATGTCTTCTTCTGAGAAGAGTTTCCTAATAAACTCACTAACTCACTGAAGCTTTAATTTTAATTATATATCTTAATACCTAAATTTTCTATTTGATCTCTTAATTATTTCAATTATTGGTATTGGAATGCCATTTTTATAGCATCTTGTTATTTACTCAAGGTTTTTGTTTGATGTCAGTCTACTAAACAAATTTATTAATTTAAATTTTGGGTCAGATAACTCCAATATCTAAAATATTGCTAGGTCTGGATTTACTGTCTGTTGTTTTCACCAGCCCTTGTAAAGGTATCTTATTTCATTGTGTGTTTTGTTATTTTTATCAATAACTTTATATTTCATAAAATTTCATTTGTAAGAATTCTTTAGTCCCTAACTGAAGAAACTTCAGTTTTTTCAGATTACCCAGATAGTATGAATTCATGATGCAAACCTGCAAAAAGCATTATATCTTTTGAAATTCACAGAAGAGGTTTATTTTCTTCATCATTCAATGTGAAGTTTCAAGACAACACATTTTTCTTGTGGTTACTTGGAGGACACATATTTCTATTTGTCACTTAACCTGAAGGTATGCCCTTTAAGATCACAGCTCTAACATGTGAGATCTCCAATTAAACTTCCCATCACTGGTGCACACTTAGCTTTATATGCTTTATATTTACATTTGCAAGACTCTGATTAGGTCTTCAGATCCTTTAAATGTTCTTCAGGAAAATGCCAAACTCAGATTTTTTTTAACCAATCAGGGATAATAATTTTAATCTCTGATTAATGCATTTGAGATTTTATTTTTTTAATTTATTTCATCTAACTTTTTTTCTCTTTTATTTTTTTTAGTAGAAGGGTTTATTGATATAATTAGTCTTCATTTTGCCAGAACTAGAAGTCCCATGACTAACTCTGGATGCTATTTGTACTTCCAAACTTTCCTATGGCAAGAGAAGAGATCAGTTTCCAGTGGTCCAGCACAACTGTTCAAATAGCAGTTGCTGCTTAAATACGGCAATGTAGGTAATGAGTACACATGTCCCAAAATCCTGGCTAGACATTCCTCTTCTGTGCTTTGACAGCATCTTCTACTTCCTTTAAAATTTTTTCATTTCAAATTTTAAATTTCTTGCTTAGAAGGCTATAAACCTATTGGATATTATGTTCCTTGAGGGAAGAGCCTTCTTGTTTGTTCTTTTTAAAAACGATTTTAAAATACATTTTTTTTTGTAGCAGTTTTAGGTTCACAGCGAAATTAAGCAGAAAGTTCCCATATTTCCCTACCCTCACACACCCACAGTCTTCTCCACTATCAACATCTCACACCACAGTGGTATAATTGTAACAACCAATCAATCTATATTATCACATCATTAATACCCAAAGTCCATAACTTCCATTAGCGTTCACTCTTGGTGCTGTGCATTCTATAGGTTTGGACAAGTGTATGATGATATGCACCTACAACTGTAGGATCATACAGAATAGTTTTACCTCTCTGAAAATCATGTGTTCTGTCTATTCAACCCTCCCACCTCCCTAAACTGGACAACCACTGATTTTATTTATTTTTTACTGTCTTTATAGTTTTACCTCTGTATTTTGGAAGATATGGACATTGTAGAGAATTTATATCATTTATTTTTTAAATGTTTGGCAGAATTGCTGCTGAAGCCATCTGGGCCTGCTGCTTTCTGTTTTAAAAATTATTCATTATTATTTAATTCCTTTAATACATATAGGCCTATTAAGATTGTCCATTTCTTCTTGTGTGAGTTTTGGCAGATTGTGCCTTTCAAGAAATTGATCTATTTCATTTAAGTTCTCAAATTTCTGGGCACAGACTTGTTCCAAATATATTTTTTATCCTTTTAATATCCATGGTATCTGTAGTGATACCACCTTTCCCATTTCTGATATTAGTAATTTGTGTGTTCTCTCTTTATTTCTTACTCTGTCCAGAGACTTATGAATTTTAGTGATCTTTTCAAATAATGTTTGGTTCTGTTGATTTCCTCTATTGAGTTTCTGTTTTCAATTTTATGTATTTCTGCTCTACTCTTATTTCTGTTTTTCTGCTTACTTTAAAATTAATTTGCACATTTTTTAGTTCACTAAGGTGGAAGTTTAGATTATTGATGCTCAATCTTCCTTCTTTTCTAATATATGCATCCAATGCATTGCTTTCACTGTATCTCATAAATTTTGATAAGTTGTATTTTCATTTTTAGTTTAAAATATATATTTAAAATTTTTTCTTGACCCCTGTGTTATTTGCAAGTGTGTTGTTTAATCTCCAAATATTAGAAATCTGTCTACGATCAATTTCTAAGTTAATTTCATTGTGGTCTGAGAGTAGATATTGTATAATTCCTATTTTTAATTTTGGTAAGATGCATTTTATGGACTAAGATGTGGGATAGCTTAGTGAATGTTCCTTGTGAGCTTGAGAAGAATGTTTATTTTGTTTTTGTTAAGTAGTCTGCAGGTGTTAGTGATATCCAGTTGATTAATGATGCTATTCAGTTCAATTATGCCCTTATTAATTATCTGCTTTTTGGATCTATTCATTTCTGATAAGGGGGTGCTAAAGTACTCAAATATAATAGTGGATTTATTTATTCCTTTTTGCAGTTTTATCAGTTTTTACCTCGCATATTAATATTTGGATGCTTTGTTGTTAGGTACATGCACATTAAAGATTGTTATGGATAATTAAAGAATTGAGACCTTTATTGCTATGTAATTCCTTCTTTGTCTCTGATAACTTTTCTCTCTCTGATGTTATCTCTGTCTGAAATTAATATAGCTACTTCCACTTTCTTTTGATTAGAGTTAGTTAGTTAGCATGATCATTCTGCATCCCATTACTTTTTATCATCTATATATGTCTTGATATTCAAAACGGGTTACTGTAAACAACATATAGTTGGATCTTATTTTTGAACCCTTGCAATCTCTGTCTCTGAATAGTTATATTGAGACCATTGATGTTTAAAGTGATTATTAATACAGTTGACATACTACCTATCACACATGTTACTATTTTCTGTTTGTTTTCCCTTTTCCTTACTTCTATTTTTATCTGCCATACATTTTCTACCTCTTGTGGTTTTAATCGAGTATTTATATGATTCATTTTTTTGCTTCTCTTAGTATATCAGTGAGACTTCTTTATCTTCCTTTTTTAGTGGCTGCCCTAGAATTTCCAATATACATTAGAAGCCAATTAAAGTCTACTTTCAAATAACACACAATACTGCTTCAAAGCAGTGCACATGCCTTATAATACCAAAATATTCCTAGGTGTTCTATCCTGCCCCTTACATGACTGTCACTCATTTTACTTATACATAAAACATATATACATATTACATACATAATGTATATTCAAATATGTTGTTGCTTTTATTATTTTGAACAAACTAATTTTTATTAGAATAAACTATTACCTTTTAAAACAAAAGAATTAGAAAATAAAAGGCTTTTTGTACTCTCACTCATTTCTTCCTTTCTTTAAATACATATGAGCTTGTGACCTATGTTATTTCCTTCTCCCCAAAGAACTTTTAACGTTGCTCACAAGGCGGTTTACTGACAAAAATTTCTTGAATTTTTGTTTGTCTGAGAGGTCTTTACTTCTTTTTCACTTTTGAAGAATAGTTTTTCAAGGTATAGAATTATGAGTTTGTGAATTTTTCCTCTCAACACAAAACAAAAACAAAAACAAAAAATGGCTTATTGCTTTGCAGACTGTAGGCACTTGACAAGTGTGTGCTGAATGAACATACAAAAGAATGAATAAACAAATGGATGAGAGAATGATTACATGTGGCCCTTCACTTACTTTGCTCCCACGGAATTTGAGGTAGCCATAGATGCCAAGAGGACACACTGATTTTTTGACACATCTGCAGACTTCTTGTCGGACTTGCTAACTAGAAGGTCCTCTTAAGATCTTATTCCTCACAATGACACAATCCCCAGTGTTAGAGAATTTGAGATAAATCAGTAATTTGTGCCCTAGTCCTCCTTAATACTCCCTCCTTCTTGTTTCTAGAAGGCAGGGATTTATTTAGCATAAAACAATGAGAGGCCATCATTTCTAGCAAGAGACTTTTGGTGTGCCTGGGAGATGCTCCACTCTAAAGAATGAGAAGACTCAATGATAATGGAATTTGTGGCCTCATACGTAAAAGCCATTAACAAGATGCAAATAGAATTCTGGGGAAAATGGCAGAGAAGCAAAAATTGAAGTTGCAAGGGAAGGCCAAGGGTTAAGGAATTCTTCATATTTCCTCTAATGGAAAGCTTGCTTGCACTAACATATAATCCCACAGGAAGAGTAACCTTTTTGTATCACTCAAGAACCACAGAGTATGGTTTAATCAAGAATGGGTACAATTGGCTTCACTCTGGCATAGGACTCTTTCCCTATCCGTTTAGACATTTCAGGCCATAATGACAGGATGACAACGGCCTAGGAATCCATACCTTTTGGGAGTGTCTCTAACTTTTGGAAGTACAACCCGCTTATATATTGAGAAGAGGCAGTCTGCTGCTCCATTGCTAAAACTCCTAGGTTTTGATTGGCATGAAAAAAGCTACAGGACACTTTTCACCGTACCTCTTGTGTGAGATCGTTTTGGGACAGTAAAACATCTTTTGTTTCTTGGCCAAGCAAGATAATTAAAACGTTAAAAATAAAAGCCCCTCAAATGTTGGCACATCAAATTGTAGTGCCTAAAACTGAAGAACAGGATCTTCTCTGCCACCTGTACTCATCACTAACAACAACAAAAAAAGAAAAGATAATAGAACAATGCAGTTGGGATCAGTTACTTTGTCAATGGGTCATTTTTAATAGCATTGCAATATCAAAGTTACAGTCATTCTTTCCTGGATTCCCAACAACATAGGATGACACCTATTCTTGGTAACTTTGAGAATGTTATATAATGCTGGGTGCAAATACAAACTTTAGGGTATTCAGACTTTTGGCATGTGAAGAGTAACTTCCATGCCTCTACTTCCTCCCACTTTACAGCTTGCAGAGGGGATGTAATGGGGACCAACATTATATAGAGACTTTCAAATAGGGTTAGGCTGCTATTAAAGGTGCACTTGTCTGCTTCTCTTGGCTAGTCACCCTTGAATCTAATTTCCTGGCAGACTCTGATCTGATTTCAGTTCCACTTGGCAACCTGCCTAACTCTAAAATGCTTCCAGAATGTAGTAGGTTACTGTATGTATTTTTACCTTGAGCTGTATTATACTTTGATTGATTGACTCACTCTAGCTGTAATGCTCAACTGAAAACTTCTGAGCTTCATATATTAAAGGGCACAGGACTACCTTTTGTTGGCTATTAAGCACGTGGATGAATGCATTATTCTGTAATGTGGCGGAAAGACCATCCACTTTGTAATCAAACAAATATGAAGAAAGTTTCTAAGATCTGGAGTGTCAGTATGCTCATTTGTAAATAAGACGGCTAAGATAAACCGTACCATGGAGCCATTAGGAAAACTGAACTCACATGGAGTCCCTAGCATAGTCCCTAGCATAGAGTCCGTGCTCAAAGTAGCTTTGAAAAGTAAATAAATTTAAACAGAAAGCCAGATATTGTCAAAGGCTTAGGGCACAAGAGAGCCATGACTGAACTGTACAGAACTGATGTTTTAAAGGCCAAAATTTCAGGCTGGGAACGGTGGCTCATACCTGTAATACCAACAATTTGGGAGGCCAAAGTGGGAGGATTGCTTGACCCAAAAGTTTGAGACCAGCCTGGGCAACATAGGAAGACTTTGTCTCTGCAGAAAAACATAAAAATAAAACATTAGCTGGGCATAGTGGCTCATGCTGGTAGTCCTAGATACTTGAGAGGCTGAGGCAAGAGGATTGCTTGAGCCCAGGAAGTCAAGGCTACAGTGAATCTTGATCACTCCACTGCACTCCAGCTTGGGCAAAGTGAGGCCCTGTCTCAGTAAATAAATACATAAATAAATAAAAATTAAAAATAAAGAACATAATTGGTTAGCAGGATGTGTTTTTCTCAATCAGTGCTTTAGCATGCAATCTGATACACCCAATTGTTCAGAACAGATTGAGTACCTTGCTTATTGCTGATACATTAATTTTGTGCCAGATATTTGGAATAATATTAGATCCAACAAAATGCTATAAAATTATGCATAAAACTATCTCTTATTTTGGGAATTTGCAAAAGATTTTTTTTGGACATTTTCAATGGAATAGTTTGATCTGATCAACTCTTTGGTAAAACAATGGTACAGAAAGTCCACTAGGTTCACTTTTTTCAAACTGGTATTTTTCTCTGAATAAATACTCATGGAAATTACAGTGTTTTTATTCATTGGATTTTCTTTCCTCCTTTTCCTTTTTCTCCAGCGAGGCAACCTTTCTTCTAGAACGTATGTTCTTCAGAATAGATTGAGTATCACGCTTATTGCTGATACTTTAATTCTGTGCCAGATATTTGGAATAATATTAGGTCCAGCAAAATGCTTTAAAAATTATGCATAAAACTATTTCTTATTTTGGGAATTTGCAAAAGATTTTTTTTGGACATTTTAAATGAAATAGTTTGATCTGATCAACTCTTTGGTGAAACAATACTACAGAAAGTTCACTAGGTTCACTTTTTTCAAACTGGTATTTTTCTCTGAATAAATAGTCATGGAAATTACGGTGTTTTTATTCATTGGATTTTCTTTCCTCCTTTTCCTTTTTCTCCAGAGAGGCCACCTTTCTTCAAGAATGTATGTTCTGACACTCTCTGCACTGTTTGTTCACATCTCTCTCTATTTTCACTGAAGCTAGTAGAATTGAAATATTGACTCTTCCCTGGTGTGTTGGTGAAAGGATCGTCTAACCATTTTCCACTTAAGAAACCCATTTCTGAGGGGACTCTTTGGAGGCGCTCTTCACAGTAAGTTCAATCTTCTGAGGCTGAAATAGCATACTGTTAATGCTTTTTGAAGATCACCTGCAAAGGGAGCCCACTGCTAAATTTCCCAACTGACAAGAAAATGCCCATCAGGCTATGTAGCTGTTGATAGATTCTAAAGAAGACATCATTCTAAATGCGTGTGCGTGTGCCTGTGTGAGATGCTGCCGTAGGGAGTTTGCTCTGGGATATGTTTCTGAATTGGAAGTTGATTTTCAAGTCATTTTGGGAATTCAGGAAAGTTTTTTTTTTTAATACTTGCATCAGGCCCATTATCAGAGACTCAATCATAATCGACCTGTGAATACAGCCACATTGTTCCTAAGCAAACTCATGAATAAAAAAAGCAACTATATTTGCCTGTGACTGTGGGGGCAAAATTTGATAAGGAAACAGATGGCATGTTGTAGCTTCCAGGAATTTTCAATAAATAAGCTGATATTGAAAGAGATTTACAAAAAAAAAATCCAAATAATATTTTAGCTGTGTGTTTGTGCATGTGTGTGTATGTTGAAAATTAAATACTAGAGTTCAATGTTGATTAATGTCAATGTCAAAGCTTACAAACCTCAGAACTGAATAATTCTGAATACATATTCTATGATATGCAGAGCTCATTGTTAACCTTAGCCTTCCTTTGCATTGATACACCACTTTTGCCAACTTGGAGGCCTGAACACCACATTAATTCCATAACAGGTGGCAAAACTCCTACTACCCAATGAGTCAAGAGTGAAGCACATTTTAAGCAAATATTGTGTAGGCTGTCTTCTCTCAAAAGAGGTATGTTTCAGGGGGCAACAGTATTTTCAAATGGGAGTAGGAAAATGTAAGTATTTTGAGTTTTCCAAAGAAAGCAGTAAATAAATACAGTAGCATTTCATCATGCAAACATTTTAACATGTCTCAAACCACATGTACTGTGTCTCATCCTATAAAAATCTTATAAAATAAGATTTTCATATGTATGCTTTATTGTATTTTATATGTTACTCTATTACTAATATATATTCTACATTAATGTGATTCTATAAGATTGAACATATCTAACTCCTTATTTGTATTTATGGAGAATTTTTAGCAATTTTCAATGATGAAACTGTTCCCAGGTGATTTTTGACTATGTACTGAGTTTAGAACTCAAACAGTATCATATGCACCTCACTGTCATTTACAAAAGTTTGCCCTCACATGGTTCCCATTCACCCAGGCCCTACCTCCCACTGTTCCTTCTTATCTGGCTCAGAATCTCCCCTGCTCACTTTGATCTCTGCCTCTTCCATCTCTTCCTCTGGTATCACTGAGAGCTTTAACTCTTTGAACTTTCTCCTCAGCTGATCCCCCTACATGTAAATATTTCCTGTATTATTTGCTTTGGTGGTTTGTCTTTTTTGTTTTCCAATTTCTTTTCTCCTTCCTCAATCACTCCTCCTCCTTTTCCAGGCTGTGATGAGTAGAAATAGCCTTAAGTACCATCATGGAGGCTACTCTGGCTATTTTTTGTCCCCTGATCCTGAAAGTGGTGACTCCTTCCTGTGGGGCCACAGCACTGGTCATCACCATGTCAGGATACTAGCAAAGCTTTTGTGGGATGTCTGCTTCAACCACTACAGAACAGTCTTCAGTGAGAAATAAATAAAAGGTGGGACTCTTTTCAGTATGAACTTGGTTTTCATTAACTGTGCTGGCCACACCAAAAGTTTTAGGGTATTAAGATTGTGAGCTCTGCTCAGGAGTTCGAGACCAGCCTAAGCAACAGGGTGAAACCTTGTCTGTACAAAAAATATAAAAAATTAGCTGGGCATGATGGTGTGCACCTGTAGTCCCAGATACTCCTGAGTCTAAGGTGAGAGGATAGCTTGAGCCTGGGAGACAAAACCTGTAGTGAGCCCACCACTGCACTCCAGCCTGGGTGACAGAGTGAGACCCTGTCAAAAAAAAAAAGGGAAGAAAAGCAAAGATTGTGAGCTCTGAAAGCAAACCACCTTGGTTCAAATCCCAGTTTCACTATGTATGAACGGTGTGACCTGAGTGAAGTAAGTTTCATGAACTCTAAATTTCCTAGTTTGCAATAATAACATTTGATTACAATTGGTATGGAGATTTAAAGGAGCCAATGTATGTAAATTGCTTAGGATGGAGCCTGCAATGTAGTAAGAACTCCTAAAAAGTGAGCTACTATATCATATAGTGATAACATTCCGTAATTAATTAATCCTCCCAACAACCCTTTATCAAGTACTGTTCAAGTGCCAGGCACTATGCTAATCAGTGGAGAAATAAGACAAATTAGGCAAAGCACCTGCCTTCAAGAACCACAGAGTCAAGAATTAGAGAACAATAGGCAAGTGAGTTAAGCCAAACTGTCACCAAGGTCACTGCCTCCCTCCCTTGCTGTGCTTAGCCAGCCTGGTTCTCCCTGCAGATGCAGTTTCAGGGGATGCTGTGAACTGATCAGAAAATCAATAGAAGGCAACTTGGAGGGGAGGGTGCAGAGGACATTGTCATTGTGACTTGGTCCCCTTAAGAGCTGAGATGCTTACTCAAGAGCTGGAGGTTAGAGTAGAGGCAGGCTCCACTCTCTGACCTCAAGGTATGAGCTTTGTTAGGAAATGAGCAGCTCTTCCTGAGAAATTCTCAGGAGACATGTCATACACTGCATCTTCCATGAAAGGCCAAGTCTTGGTTATGGCAGGAGGTGGCAGGAGGTAGAAGGAAAGTTCTGTGACCAAGTATGGATGAAAATGAATTTTTAATTTTACCATGTGCCTGGGATTTCAGAGGGTCTCAAATAAAAGACTAGTGACAAGGGAGCTATAAGAGATTGTGTCAGGAGAGAGGAAGAATGGCCAAGTACAGGGATGAGAACATTAGTCTGCAAAGAGGGCTGACTGTGCCTACAATTTTTGACAGTGACCAGGGCTAATAGAGAAGTGACATGTGGTAGGATTAATGGCACATAAATTTTCACACAGGGCTCTCCACTTACACATTTTCAGCTTCATTTTGTAACACTACTTCATGGATGCAATGCATGCTCTAAACCATTTATAGGAGTAGCACTGTTGGGGTCAAGGCCAAGTCTTTCAGACCAAAAACCAAATTCTCCCAGACGTTCACAAAGTCAGAAAAATTTGTAGAACTGACCTAATATGAAAACAAAGAACAGATTTTTATATTATTAAAGAAAACACTTTGAAACTTAAAAAAAAATGTAACTGATTCACATAATCTTATTGAAACATTGGCAAATATTCAGCCTACCTATACTATCCTTAATTAAAATGACTTATTTTACCACGATAAATTTAAATTTAAATTATTTCAAAATACTTCCGGCATTGGGAGGCTGCGGTAGGAGGATTGCTTGAGGCCAGGAGTTCAAGACCAGCCTAAGCAACATAGTGAGCCTCTGCCTCTACAAAAAGCTTTAAAAAATAAAAAAAAAATAGCTGGGCAAAGTTGTGTGTACCCATAGTCCCAGCTACTTGGGAAGCTGAGACAGGAGGATTGCTTGAGCTCAGGAGTTTGAGGATGGAATGAGCTATGGTCATGCCACTACGTGACAGACAGCCTGACAGAGCGAGTTGCTGTCTCAAAATAAATAAATAAATAAAATCCAAACACTTCCTGAAAACAGGTAATTTTATTTTAGCAAGTAAAATGTTACTTCTATTATGATATTACTATCTAATAATCTATGTGCCCTGAACAGCACTTCAAATGCAAATAACTATTCTGTCGATGGCTACACCTGTAAAATAGACCAAATGATATTACATTAACAGTTTATCAACCTGCCATTATTAATTTTAGAATCATGAGAATCATGAAATAGCAGAAGGAGTATGCTGACTGCCTATGGAATCCCAACAAATTAGATAAATGTAAATGTCAGAACCAACCAAAGTAGTCAAGCTTTGGAATCATTGTCCAAACTTTGGCAGATACAGCAGGCTATGGCAACAATGGGGAACAGGGGGCAAATTTTCCAACTCACAGGCAGAGCTGGTGAAAAATCTGGGAAGGTAAGCAACCATGCATTCCAATGAATAGATCTCAGCCCAGGTTCTCTAAAAAAAACCCAAAGCCAGAATGCTTGGTCAATTTGACCCCCTTAATGCATATAGATGCTTTTGTATGCCTGCATACCACATTTCCATATTGAAATACAATAGAAGTGTAAAGGTGGACTTACATAAGCCAAGTCACTTCTTATAGAAGTTGCTCCTAGGCATATGATGAACTTTGGTTAAAGTAGACACAATTAAAAATATATAAAAGTAGATAATCACTAGTAAAACACATGACATACTTATCTGGGCATTATTTATTCAAAAGTGTAGCTAAGTGACAAAGGCATGGCCACTTGATATTGGGGACTTTGATGAAAGTGTCATTGGTAGGGGTGATTAGGATGAGGGAAGATGGATTATATTGTCTCCAGAGCCTCATCCCTTTCAACATTGGCACTTTAAGAAATTAGAGTTTATAACTTCATCAAAAACTGATCAGGTTCTGGGGAAATTCATTAACTCAACTCACAAGGTAGTGATTTATTAACTAAAAATTTATACTGGGAATTGTTTATCTAGCAAGATGAATATTATAATTCATTTGAATGGGAGACCTCTGTCTGGTGTACTCTGGAGAGTAAATGATATCAGGAAGTGAGTTAGTGTGATTAAAACTAAAGGCAAAGCAACCCCATTTTAAAATTCAAGTGGCAGTGTCTTCAAAATACTTCCATTGTCTATGTTCAAACTATTTCTGATAAGATAACCTGGTACCAGCTTTTAGAACAATAGCCTCAAAAACCTATGAAGAGTTGCATGTTATTCTTCCAGGTCTCTTGTGACAATACAGACTTAGATATATCATAATTAATTATATCACTTCCTTTATTATGAAAACCCAACCCTACTTTTCTGAGCTGAGCTGTAAAAGATACCATCATCTCTAGTGGTTCAGTGAGTATGGCAAGTGCTGTGATAAATAAAGTTTTACTTAAGGACTTCTCAAAGCCTTTGCCATGATAATGCTATGTGAGACTCTAAGAGGAGAAAGTTAAAACACACAAGCTCCCCAATTTATTTTAAAACTAAGCCATTGTACCTTCTGGTTCTTAGTTTTGTTTTTTCCTCTCAAATTCTTATGGAATGGATATTCTTCTTCAGAACAGACGTTAAGAACCTTAGCCCTAAGTTTGTAAAAATAACTAGGACCATTTCTGAGAGTTATGTTCCTGGAGTTCACTAGGGCTTACTTCTTGCACATTGATTTCAATTAGCTCCAGTTTCAGAGGGCAATGTTTTTATCTGATTAGTTCTCAATGTAGGTGACATTTGAGCTTAAAATGGAGTTTTCTGATCTTGTTTCTAATATCTAAGAATCTGTTTGGAGCCCCATATATATTGACTGCCATTTGGTGCTGAGAATCAAGAAGTCTTGCACTTTTTAATTTTGAAATACGTATCAAATAATGGGAATTTGAACAAAATGTACAGGATGATATTTTGTAGCTTTCACCCAGCAGTAACAGACTGTATAACTATAGTAAACCCAAACCAGAAAACTGACATTGGTACAATCCAGACTTCATTCAGATTTCACCAGTTTTACATGCACTCATTTGTGTGTGTGTGTGTGTGTGTGTGTGTGTGTGTAGTTGTATGCCATCTTCTATGTCCTAAGAATTCGAATTTGGACAGTCCTTATAAGACAGTACCGGGACAAATATATGGGGGGGAGGTCTATTTAAACCCAGGACAGATTATTTTGTTTTTCTTTTAGTAAAATTTCAGAAATGTTCAGAAGACTTTGCATTTCCCCTGAATACTTTCCTCAGACTTATTTCTGATGTCCGGAATGCTTCAGTTAATAGATAAAGTATTTCTTAACAAAGAGGTAATAATAATTTTTTCTTCATATACCTATTTAACAAATGTTTACTTAGGTTCTACCATATGCCAGACACGTTGTAGGTGCTAGGGAAATTACAGTGAACAAAACTAAATCTTTGCTCTTGTGAATTTTATGCCTTAGAAGGGGGATGTCAAAAAGCAAAGTATAAAATCCTCCAGGTGGCAATAAGGGCTGTGAAGAAACCTAATCTGGAATTAGGTGTAAATGGGGGCTAGTTTACACAAGAGGTTTAGAAAAAGCCTCTCCAATAAGGTGGCATTTAGGGAGAGGCTGAAGGGGAAATTGAGAAGCAAGGGGAAAGTCATTGAGTCAGAGGGAAGAACACATAAGGAAGCCCTGAGTCACAAGCTTGCTTTGTGTGTTTTCAGAACAGCAAGGAGGCTAGTGTGAGACTAGCATAGCATGATGAGGAGACCGTAGAAGGACTTGAGGTCAGAGAAGTGACAGAAGCCAAATTATGTGGGGTCTTGTAAACCATAGTGACAAGTTGGGATTTTAGTCTGAGTGATCTGAGAAACCATTGGGCATTGGGCAGATTTGAGCAAAGAATTGATGCAATTTAACTCAGTTAAAAATATCACATAGGTTTCTAGTTAGAGAGAACAGTGGAAGCAGGAGATAAATAAAAAGGCTACTAATGATAACACAAAGGTAAGCTGATGGAGGCTTTTCCACTAGCTGTAGCAATGGAGGTGAAGAAGAGTGGTCAGGTTCTGGACATATTTCAAAGGAAAAATCAATAGATTTGCCTATGGAATGCATGTGGAGAGTGAGATAAAGAGGAACTAAGGGTGAATGCAAAGTTTTGGCTTGAGCTACCAAAGTGAAATTGCCATTTATGGAGATGAGGAAGACTGTGAGGATTGCTAGTGTTGGAGGAAAGGGTGAAGGAGTCAATAGCTCAGTTTTGAATATGTGAATTCTGAGATGACTATTAGGTGCCCTAGTAGCTGAGCATATGAATCTGGAGTTCAGGGGACAGGTCTGCTCATTATCAACACAGAGATGATGCTGAGGGCCATGGGACTGGATGAGAACAGCCAGGGAGAGGGTTTAGAATCAGATAAAGAGAGGAGTGCTTACTATGAACCAAGTAATGTTCTAAGTTCTTTGTGTTTAATTGCTCATTTCATCCTCACGACTCTATAAAGTAGAAACTCTTCTTTCCCCTCATTGTACAGGTGTGAGAACTGAAATTTAAAGAGGTTATAAAACTTGTCCAAAGTGACACAGCCAATCTGGTTATAAAAAGCTTACTTTATTGATACCGTACTTGTTGATAAACCTTGAAATTTAACCCCTGGATGAAGCAAGACACTGTTGTAAATGGCTACTTAGCTGAAAATGGCACTTAGCAGCCAGGACAAGAAAAGAGAAGAGTTTATTTATTTCCTAAGATAAAAACCCTTATAATATGCAATCTTGATACTCTCATCATTGTCAGTCACCCTCAGTTAAGCAGAGCAGAGGTCACAAGGACTGCTCCCATGCTCTTTACTGAAGAGTGGTTCCCTTTCGTGTTGGCACCACTTCATAGCAAATCTTTCACACAGAAGCATAGTTTTGGGTGGGGGCTCTTTAAGGGGATCCAGACTCCATATCATTTACATGATTCATTCTCTGATCCTGTTTTGACTGGGTTGGTTTCAATCATTCATTAGACACCTATTTCTTCTGGTCTATTATGAGATGTGTGAGATGTATTGGGGATGGAATAATAAATAAATAGAAATAATCTCACTCTACTCAATGAGCTTTCATACTAGTAGAAAATAAAAGATCAAGAACAAGTACACAGACAAGTAATTCAAATAATTATAAATTGTGGCAAATTCTATGAAGAAAAGAATGATGCAGCAAAAGCAAACAATAACAGGGAGATCTAGTTAGGGTGAATCAGAAAGGCCTTTCAGAAGAAGTGCTATTTAAGCCAATGCTTGAGGGATGAGCAGGAAATGCCCATGAAAAAAAAAAGATAGAAGGACATTCCACACAGTGAGGGCAGCAAGAGATCAGAGGCGCTGGGATTTCAGCAAACTTTGGTAACTGAGCACAGCTAAGACAATGTGTTTGGAGGGGGCTGAATGAATAGGAGGCCCTGAGTATCTTTTACAGTACAGTGTAAGAATATAAAGTGATTTAATTTAAAATGACTCAGCTATTGCTTTACTTCTATAATCCCATTCAGACAAAAAAGATTGCTGTGAATCCAATAATTTTATGACAGAGTAAAATATATTCATTTTGTAAAGGTTACCAAGACCCTGACTGTGTGTGGCCACTTGAAGATAATATTTATTCAGTCCAATTGTTTTGGAAAAAGTTCTTCTGGCAATCTCAATAACCGGTTGCTGCATAATAATCTGAATTTGGCTCCAAGTTATTGGCCCAGATGAGCAGACCATAGCTAATCCTCCATTTCTCTTTACACAGGCAGAGCCCAGAGCTGATCATTTCTACACTGCTTTGACTAAGTCCTCTTCTAATCATATGTAATAACAATTTCTATTAATCAGTTTTCTAGGTGTGTAAGGATTACAAGGAATTTATCCATGTAAGAAGGAGCAAATTTAGGTAGCTTTGCCCTTAAAATGTTCACATGGAGTAAGCAATTTGTCAGTCTTACCTTTTTCTATTATAAGAGGTAGGAAACCAATTCAAACTAAATCATGCCATTTTGCTTATGTGTTTGCATTACTGGTTCACACGGTCAAAATATGGAAAGGGGAAGAATAGGGAAGGAAGGCCCTGTATAGAATACATTCAAGAGCTTGAATGACATCAAGATCCTTCCTCACTGCATAAACTTGATACTTCTTACTGCATTTGGGTTTGTCTCATTGATTCATTTAATTAATTCTGTAAACATTTACTGAGCAACTACTTATGTATGAAGCACTGTATTAAGGTCTGGTTAGAGTGGTAATCAAGTCAGGCCAATTCTGTGCACAAGTATATAACACTTTGTACGCTTTTCTAGAGAGTAAAGGCAGAATTTAAACTAAAAATAAATTCGTACATAATCTAATTTCAAATAGTAAAATATTTCATAAATTTCATAAAAAAGCAATGTAGGATAAAGTAAGGGACTAAGGCTAGAGGAAGGCAATGGAGTACTTTAATTAAGGTGATCAGGAGAGCCTTCCTTAAAGAGATGATACTTGACTTGAGATCTGGAGCATTACATAGAAGCAGTCATTCAGAGCTCTGTGGCAAGAACATTCCAGAAAGAAGGATCCACAAATATAAAGACCCTAAAAAAGTGAAAATGACCTTAGTGTATTTGAAGGGCAGAGACAAGGCTCATATGGGTGAAGCAAAAAGATCTATGGGGAAAGTAGGATGTAGTTGTTGAATAGACAAGAACCTATTATCTAGGGTTTCCTAGCTTACGGTAAGAAGTCTAGACTTTTAGTTTTAAGAGGAAGTCATTGGAAACTTTTAAGCAGAAAATGAAAAGCTCAGGTATAAGCTTTAAAAATATCTTTCTAGTGGAGAACAGGCTGTAAGAAATCAAGCATTAGGAGGTAGATACTTCAGTCCTAGGGAGAAACTACAGTGGTGTGGATTCAGGTAAAAACTATAAAGTTGGCAAGAAATTACTCAACTCGGGTTATATTTTGAAAGTAGAGCCAAAGAGACTTATGAATGGATTGAATGTGAGAGCACAGACAGAAATAAGCAATGCAATTCAAAGGATATTTCCCTGAGCAGAGGAGGTAGATGTGTAGCTAGTTGAGCTATTTACTGATATTGGAAAAACTGGAGGAGGAGAAGGTTTAAAGAGCACTATTGGGAGAAATCAAGAATCCAGCTCAACATCCTCATCAACCATAAAGGGAGAGATAAGTAGATTGTAGCCATTGGAGCCTAGTGTTTAAAGAAGTCTGCATTGGAGACAGAGATTTGGGGCCATCAATATTATAAATAAAATTCATAACAAGAACATGGCTGAAGGCAATTCTCAGCTCAGATCCCTTTAGTTCAAGAAATCAATGAGGAAAGAGAATGTCTCATTCCAGTTTCCACAAGGAGAATCCTAGGCAAGAACTCTTATTCATCTGGCTTGGATAATTTGTCCTTCTTTTAGCAGCTGTGTCTATTACTCCAGAGCAAAATGTAAAAATAACAACCTAGCATGGAAAATATGCTTTGCTCATCTTTATATTTGCTATTTCCCATAAGAACACTCTCCAAAAAATATTGTATTCCCTGCCTTTTAAAATAATGGATGCTTTATTAAATAGCAATCTCTACTTATAACACACACCAAATATATGGGAGTTTATCTAGATGAGTGGTCTGAAACTTGAACCCATATTAGACTCACATGCAGGACTTTGAAAAACACACATTGCTGGGCCCTGTGCCCAGAGTTTCTGATTCTAGAAGACTAAGTTGCCCAAGAATGTATTTTTCTAACAAGTTCCCAGTGATGCTGATGCTGCAGAGATGGGCACCACCCTTTGAAAATGACTCCTATATAATGTAAACCAAACAACATTAGTGTATTAGTCTGTTTTCATGCTGCTGATAAAGACATACCTAAGACTGAGCAATTTACAAAGGAAAGAGGTTTAAGCAAGAACTCACAGCTCCACGTGTCTGGGGAAGCTTCACAATCATGGCAGAAGGTGGGGAGGAGCAAGTCACATCTTAGGTGGATGGCGGCAGGCAGAGAGAGAGCTAGTTCAGAGAACCTCCCGTTTTTAAAGCCATCAGATCTTGTGAGACCCATTCACTATCACTAGAACAGCATGCAAAAGACCCAACCTCATGATTTAGTCATCTCCCATTGGGTCCTTCCCACAACACATGGGAATTATGGGAGCTACAAGATGAGATTTGGGTATGGACACAGAGTCAAACTGTATCAATTTGTAATTAAAAAAATTGAGGCTAAGATTATGTCTTTTGTTCTAAAATTTATTTTCTGTTTTTACTTTATGCTGTATAATCTTTGATATCAAATTTCCAGATAATGGAGAAATGCAAAGTACAGCCTGTTACTAATATTTTTTTCTATATGACTTGGAAGAGTTGAATGACCAAATGGAATGTCCATTTATGTTTGTTCTGCTTGTTGGTGCCTGGTTCATTGGTACATTGTGTATGTGTGTGTATGTAGGTGCATATTTATTATTGCACAATACTCTGAACTTATTATTCTGTCTCTTAGAAATTATGCTTGGTCATGAAGCTGACCAAGTCTACAATGAGGATGATAAAAAAACATACAATGTTGGGATACTGAACCCAGAAGTTAAAAATAAAAGTATTATCATTGAATGCTCTCAGAGAGTTGATACTATTATCTTTCATTTTACTATTATCTTTCATTTTTTCATAAAACAATTATCACTGTGTGCCAAGCCCTGTGCTAGGCCCTGAAGATACATAAATAAATCAACTATTTTGACTAATTCTTTAAAAAACTTTTCTTACAATTAGTTTTGTTAATATGATTGCAGTATAGCCAAAATTATAATTTTAGATGTGAGATATCAAGGAAAATCAATGAAAATAAAATATCATACTTTTTGTGGGGCTGGGGAAAAATTTTCAGTGCTGAATAATTTCCTCTGTTCTCTGTTCATTTCATGTATGGCCATGGGCAAGGAACTCCCAGTAAAGCACTTCTATTCCCATAACAGGTTGTAACTTCCTCTGGCATGGCATAAAACTTAATTTCATGTGTGCCAGGCAACACTATTTTCCAAAGCTCAAGCTAATTATATGAGATTTATCTGTGTGGAAACACAGGGATTAAGCAAGAAGGAAAAAATAGGAAAAAAATATTTAGTGGCTGTGTTTAACAAAGTATAATGAAAACAAAGGTTATAGAAAACAAAGTCTTTCCTGAAATAAACACCTACCCAGTGAAGGTAACTGTGAATATTCTGTTGTTGCTTTAATCATGGCCTAACAGAAACTGCTACCAATAATACAAAAATACAAAACAGACATATTTGCCTTTAAGCCAGTACCGGAACCTTCATTAACCTTATATCTTCTCTATACCTGTTACTACGCTTTCTGGTTCTTACTTTCTGATGATTATTCAGTAGAACCTCTGTTTAGAAAAAAAAAATGCCTCCTTATCGTTGTAGTATGCTAATTTTTCATGGAAAGCATATTATTTAAAAGAATACATTTATCCTCCAAATAATTCTTTATAATTAATTGTTTTGTCTGTAAGCCCTAATTTTACTTATCTAACTTTTTCCCCCTGGGATTAGTTGTTTTCCTCATATTGCCTAATTGCACGTTATATCCTGCTCCAATTTTCATATTTCACAATTACTTTATCCGAGGGGAAAAAAGACTCCAGTATTTTATTTCCCCTAATACAGAGTTTTAATTTCCTCAATTTCCAATCTTAATATTTGTCTTTTCCTTCATAGGCATAGTTGTAATATTTATCAGTTGCGATCACCCTAATCTTTCAAATATGAGAAGAGACTCTTGAATATTCTGCATCTTAGTTATCTATTATTTATTTGGATGACAGGATTTTTGTGATAAATGAGGATAAAAAAACGTCTGTTATTTGTTCAGGTTAAGGCAAATTCCACATGTTTTCTGAATTTAATTAGCACCAGCTTCTTCAACTTTATTTACCACCTTCCTTTTTTTTTTTTTTTTTTTTTTGCAGAATAACCAATTCTTCAAAGTAAAGCTGTACTTTCTGCTTTACAAGTTAGCTCTACAGTGGATATAATTATCATCTGAAGTGAAGCCTGGAAGTCCTGTGGCCTACTTCAGAGTTAGGATTAAATCAGATTACACAGACCCCAGAGTGGTTTTCTTCCCCTGTATTAAGGCCACTGGTCTGACTTGCTGGTAGAGCAGTTGAAATATTATACTGTTGCTCCTTTGGGATCTGAAGACCTGTATTAGATTCTTCCCCATGAGTGAAGTCTACAGGCTTCCCAAGTTATTTAACCGCTTTGTGGCTTTCTGTAACTCTCCTTAGTATTCTCTCTTCTCTTATCGTTTCCTCATTTGTAATACATAAATAAAAATGATCTAAGTAATGGGTTACTAAAAGGACTAAATGAGATAAAGGATACAAAACCTATTTTTATGTCACTGTGATACAAAAATTGATTAATTAGATCCCATTTGTCAATTTCTTTAAACTGAAGAGCTTCTGCACAGCAAAAGAAACTACCATCAGAGTGAACAGGCAACCTACAGAATGGGAGAAAATTTTTGCAATCTACTCATCTGACAAAGGGCTAATATCCAGAATCTACAGTGAACTCCAACAAATTTACAAGAAAAAACAAATAACCCCATCAACAAGTGGGTGAAGTATATGAATAGACACTTCTCAAAAGAAGACATTTATGCAGCCAACAGGCACATGAAAAAATGTCATCATCACTGGCCATCAGAGAAATGCAAATCAAAACCACAATGAGATACCATCTCACACCAGTTAGAATGGCAATCATTAAAAAATCAGGAAACAACAGGTGCTGGAGAGGATGTGGAGAAACAGGAACACTTTTACACGGTTGGTGAGACTTTGTAAACTAGTTCAACCATTGTGGAAGTCGGTGTGGCGATTCCTCAGGGATCTAGAACTAGAAATACCATTTGACCCAGCCATCCCATCACTGGGTATATACACAAAGGATTATAAATCATGCTGCTATAAACACACATGCACACGTATGTTTATTGTGGCACTGTTCACAATAGCAAAGACTTGTAACCAACCCAAATGTCCATCAATGATTGATAGACTGGATTAAGAAAATGTGGCACATATACACCATGGAATACTATGCAGCCATAAAAACTGATGAGTTCATGTCCTTTGTAGGGACATGGATGAAGCTGGAATCCATCATTCTCAGCAAACTATCGCAAGGACAAAAAACCAAACACCATATGTTCTCACTCATAGGTGGGAATAGAACAATGAGAACACATGGACACAGGAAGGGGAACATCACACACCAGGGCCTGTTGTGGGGTAGGGGGAGAGGGGAGGGATAGCATTAGGAGATATACCTAATGTTAAATGACGAGTTAATGTGTGCAGCACACCAACATGGCACATGTATACATATGTAACAAACCTGCATGTTGTGCACATGTACCCTAAAACTTAAAGTATAATAATAATAATAATAATAAAAGAAATGTTTATTGAAATCTTTCAGTATTGAATGTTGGGGTTAGCACTCAAAAGAAGGAATGTGACTGGAGGGAGAACTGGAGCATAGTCTTTGATTACATTTGCAGTATAAGTATACAGTTTCTACTTACATTGTAAAGTTTGAGGAGGACACAGCTCTGAGCATCTCCAGACCTCCTTCCACACTTCTTCACCCTGCCCTGCACCTCCAAGGATGATCCGTGTGGATGGCATCAGCAAGCTCCCTTCCCATCTAGCTTCCTATTGAGTTTGATCACAGTGGGCATTGGCTGTGTTCAAGAGAGAAGGAGAATAAAATAAAAGTTGCCATTCCCTAGGTCCTTTATAGCAGAGTTCTTTTAGTTTGGCTTGTCTAAAGTTGCAAATTATCAAAGTCACAACTCCTAAGGGATAACCTCTCAGCTCTTCTCATTCTCGGGGTTCCATTATACTTCTTCTTGCCCTTTCAGAACTAGGGATGGTTATTGTTTCCAGATGTTACTAGTCCGAAGAAACTGCCCTGTCATTTGTAGTTACCTAATATCCTACCAATAGTAGACATTGTCTTAAATTCCTCAAATTATCCCCCTGTGGTTTGATTATTTTTCTTCAACTGCTTGAACAGCAGGCTAAAGAGAGATAATTGGAAAGGCAATTTTAATGCTACAATCTTGGTCCATAGATGGTTCAGATGTTTTTCTGTCCTCCTGAAATTCATTTTTTTTTGGGGGAAAAGACAGATGTACAGATAAATAAATATTTACACAAGATGGCAAAGTCTTCAAGGTTTGAGTATCCACAGAGACCCTAGTAACTCCCAGCATAAGCTGTAGCAATGATAATGATTTTTGTATCATCGCCTGGGTCAGACCCCTGTTATCTGTCACCTGCACAACAACAAAACTGCCTCCTTGTTACTCTCTCTGTTGCCCATCTGGTGAAAAGCACTATTCTGTTTACATCATGCAGTGATGTTCCTCATTGGCCTTGGGATAAAGTGCAATCTCCTTGGCATGATAAGCCTGATAAATCTGATGTTTTCCTAAATTTGGCTTGACTTACTGCCCTGGTCTCACTTTCGGTGCCTTAATAGTTTAAAACACATGTGGACATAAATAACGTAGGATTCCTAACCTGTACCCTATCCACAAATCAGTTCTATGTTGATTAAAGACCAAAGTATACAAATCAACTTTAAAATTTTTAGGGAAAAATCTGGGAAATCTAGGAAATATGTGTGACTTCTAGTAGGAAATGGCTTTAAAATAAGACACAATGAGTGCAAATGATAAGGACAATATTTATGTATGTATTTGAATATTATGAATAAAAAGTTTATCAAGAACTTTTTTTAATTTAAAAGTTCAAAGTCTGGTAGAAGACATGGACAATACAAATAACTCACAGAAGAGCAAAATCCAGAATAAAAAGAACCCCAACATGTTGATAAGAAAAACATAATAGCCTAATTAAAAGAAATGACAAATGTAATAGCAAAAGTGTAGAGGAGGGAAAAACTTGAATACCAAATGAACCTAAAAATTGTGTTTCTTCTCACTAGTAATACATGAAATGGTATTTAAATGTAATTCAATTCTAATGCATGCCAATCAGGTTTACAAACATGTCAAAGTTTGATAATGTCAATTGCTGGAGTATGTGGAATAAGAGAAACCCTTATAAATTAGTGTACCTGCTTTGGAGAGCAATTTAGTAATACCTAGTTAAGTTGAAGAAGTGAAATATTTTTGTCAATAACTAGGATGGTTGAAATGTTCATTCCCATGATTCAAGTTGTCAGTATATGCTCTAGAGAAAGTCCTGCACATTTCCACGTGGGCACCTGGGTAATATACAGAAAACATCTAGAGAAACACTACTGTAGTATGGGAAAATAAAGAACCTCAACAGATAAAATAGTTAAACAAACTGTGATGTTTCCTTAAAATTGAATAGATAAATAAAATGTGATGTTTTATTAAAACTGAATAATATCAAATTGTAAAACTGAAGGCACTACAGCTATACATATAAAAATGGATGAACATCGTAGCATATATTTAAATGAAAAAGCAATTTTATGAAGAATGCATGAATTACAATACTGCATATGGAAATTAAAATAAACTAAACATTGCTTTATATTGTTTGGGATAAACATATATATGAAAAGTATAAAAATTGATGGATATATAAACCCTACCTTCTGAATATTGGTTACTTGTAACAAGGGATGAGGGAAAGGAGTACATTCATCAGACTGTCAGGAAATTTTCATTCTGTTGGCAATGTGTTCTTTCTTGAGGTGGGTCTTTTAAAAATTATTCTCTATATGTTTTCCACATATTTCATATTATCTTATAATGAAAAATAGATGTAATGGCTTCTTAAAAATTTTAGTGAAAAATAAACGAACCGTACACTTCAAACAGTTATCATAGGGTTAAACACATGCAGAACAGAGTTTCAAGAAGTTTCTGTCCTCTTCTTTTTCTCTTCTATCTTCTTGGTAGGAATCACTTCCTCCTGTATTCTTTTCCCTTGTCTCTATTTTAATAAGTGAGGAATGCGGTGGCAAATGTGTGTACTCTAACTTATAGCCTAGACTCAAATTTGTGATATCAGTCATACCTGACCTGTCATCTAGTGTCAATTATTCAATCTCTTTGTAACTTAATTTTTTCCATATGAAAAATAAAAAGAGAAATTGTGTTTATGTTGCAAATTTAATTCTATGTTAATTTAATCCAGATGAAATACTTAATGTAGACTCTGGCCAAAAATGAAGTCCATTAATCTGTCTATTTTGTAACCAACCAGATAAAAATTACAGTGCTAGTTAATGACACAAAGTCTACTAAGATTAAGATATATCTTTTAGGAATAATATGTGTCACGCACTGTGCCAAATTATGTGTTTGATATATTATCTCATTTAACACTCATAATGTAAGAGTCAGGTGCTAGCATTATCTAATTTGCAGATATCGAAATGGAGGTATAGTACCTAAATGGGTCCTGAGATAAAGGGGAAGAATCTGGATACAAATTTATTCTGGTTGAATCTAAAGCCCAGTATTTTAATCATTAAATTTTGTCTGCTAGTTTTATGCTGTTTCTTTAATGCCTTACAAACATATGGTAAAGATGGAAAAATGAAATGTTGGCTCTTCTCACTGACCGATGATGTCATTGTCTTGTGAAAAAAAAGTGGTGCTTTTATTTATTTATTGTTTTATTTGACTTTAAGTTCTGGGATACATGTGCAGAACGTGCAGGTTTGCTACATAGGTATACATGTACCATAGTGGTTTGCTGCACCTATCAACTCATCTTCTAGGTTTTAAGCCCCACATGCATTAAGCATTTGCCCTAATGCTCTCCCTCCCCTTGTCCCCCACTCCCCAACAGGCCCCTGTGTGTTATGTTCCCCTCCCTGTGTCCATGTGTTCTCATTGTTCAACTTCCGAAGTGGTGCTTTTCTTTCTGTCCTTTCTCCTATGAGTATATGCTCATTTTATCTTAACTGAGTACTGCATGTAGTGGTGGTTACCAATGTAGGCACATTCTATTGGATCAATAGCTTACCAACAAAAAGAGTCCAGGACCAGATGGATTCACAGCCGAATTCTACCAGAGGTACTAGGAGGAACTGATACCATTCCTTCTGAAACTATTCCAATCAATAGAAAAATTATGAGGCCAGCATCATCCTGATACCAAAGCCTGGCAGAGACACAACCAAAAAAGAGAATTTTAGACCAACATCCTTGATGAACATTGATGCAAAAATCTTCAATAAAATACTGGTAAACCGAATCCAGCAGCACATCAAAAAGCTTATCCACCATGATCAAGTGGGCTTCATGCCTGGGATGCAAGGCTGCTTCAATATATGCAAATCAATAAATGTAATCCAGCATATAAACAGAACCAAAGACAAAAACCACATGATTATCTCAATAGATGCAGAAAAGGCCTTTGACAAAATTCAACAACCCTTCATGCTAAAAACTCTCAATAAATTCGGTATTGATGGGACGTATCTCAAAATAATGAGAGCTATCTATGACAAACCCACAGCCAATATCATACTGAATGGGCAAAAACTGGAAGCATTCCATTTGAAAACTGGCACAAGACAGGGATACCCTCTCTCACCACTCCTGTTCAACATAGTGTTGGAAGTTCTGGCCAGGGCAATCAGGCAGGAGAAGGAAATAAAGGGTATTCAGTTAGGAAAAGAGGAAGTCAAATTGTCCCTGTTTGCAGACGACATGATTGTATATCTAGAAAACCCCATTGTCTCAGCCCAAAATCTCCTTAAGCTGATAAACAACTTCAGCAAAGTCTCAGGATACAAAATCAATGTACAAAAATCACAAGCATTCTTATACAACAATAATAGACAAACAGGGAGCCAAATCATGAGTGAACTCCCATTCACAATTGCTTCAAAGAGAATAAAATACCTAGGAATCCACCTTACAAGGGACATGAGGGACCTCTTCAAGGAGAACTACAAACCACTGCTCAATGAAATAAAAGACGATACAAACAAATGGAAGAACATTCCATGATCATGGGTAGGAAGAATCAATATCATGAAAATGGCCATACTGCCCAAGGTAATTTATAGATTCAATGCCATCCCCAACAAGCTACCGATGACTTTCTTCACAGAATTGGAAAATAGTACTTTAAAGTTCATATGGAACCAAAAAAAAGCCCGCATCACCAAGTCAATCCTAAGCCAAAAGAACAAAGCAGGAGGCATCACACTACCTGACTTCAAACTATACTACAAGGCTACGGTAACCAAAACAGCATGGTACTGGTACCAAAACAGAGATATAGATCAATGGAACAGAACAGAGCCCTCAGAAATAACGCCGCATATCTACAACTGTCTGACCTTTGACAAACCTGAGAAAAACAAGCAATGGGGAAAGGATTCCCTATTTAATAAGTGGTGCTGGGAAAACTGGCTAGCCATATGTAGAAAGCTGAAACTGGATCCCTTCCTTACACTTATACAAAAATCAATTCAAGATGGATTAAAGACTTAAACGTTAGACCTAAAACCATAAAAACCCTAGAAGAAAACCTAGGCATTACCATTCAGGACATAGGCATGGGCAAGGACTTCATGTCTAAAACACCAAAAGCAATGGCAACAAAAGCCAAAATTGACAAATGGGATCTAATTAAACTAAAGAGCTTCTGCACAGCAAAAGAAACTACCATCAGAGTGAACAGGCAACCCACAAAATAGGAGAAAATTTTTGCAACCTACTCATCTGACAAAGGGCTGATATCCAGAATCTACAATGAACTCAAACAAATTTACAAGAAAACAAACAACCCCATCAAAAAGTGAGCAAAGGACATGAACAGACACTTCTCAAAATAAGACATTTATGCAGCCAACAGACACATGAAAAAATGCTCACCATCACTGGCCATCAGAGCAATGCAAATCAAAACCACAATGAGATATCATCTCACACCAGTTAGAATGGCAATCATTAAAAAGTCAGGAAACAACAGGTGCTGGAGAGGATGTGGAGAAATAGGAACACTTTTACACTGTTGGTGGGACTGTAAACTAGTTCAACCATTGTGGAAGTCAGTGTGGCGATTCCTCAGGGATCTAGAACTAGAAATACCATTTGACCCAGCCATCCCATTACTGGGTATATATCCAAAGGACTATAAATCATGCTGCTATAAAGACACATGCACACGTATGTTTATTGCAGCATTATTCACAATAGCAAAGACTTGGAACCAACCCAAATGTCCAACAATGATAGACTGGATTAAGAAAATGTGGCACATATACACCATACTATGCAGCCATAAAAAAGGATGAGTTAATGTCCTTTGTAGGGACATGGATGAAATTGGAAATCATCATTCTCAGTAAACTATCGCAAGAACAAAAAACCAAACACCGCATATTCTCACTCATAGGTGGGAATTGAACAATGAGAACACATGGACACAGGAAGGGGAACATCACACTCTGGGGACTGTTGTGGGGTGGGGGAGGGGGGAGGGATAGCATTGGGAGGTATACCTAATGCTAGATGACGAGTTAGTGGGTGCAGCACACCAGCATGTCACATGTATACATATGTAACTAACCTGAACATTGTGCACATGTACCCTAAAACTTAAAGTATAATAATAAAACAAAAACAAAAACAACAAAAAAAAGAATGTGAGTCAGCCCTTTAGCCCTAGAAGTGCTTTTACACAGAAGTCTGTTTGGAATAAAAATCTGTTAGAAGTCCATCCAAAATATATAGGTTATTTAAGGAATTAAACCTGTTACACAAGGATGGGTATTTTAAAATTTTGTTTAACTGTTTGCTTTTTTCCTAAAACACTGATTTAGGTGTGTGTAAATAGCTCAGTGAAGAAAAAAAAAGAAGAAGGAGAAAAAAAACAATGAAATCAGTTGCTTGGCATTGCATCAGTAAATGATCAACTATTATTTTAAAACTTTCAACCAGAAATTGTTTCATATAAACTATATTTTTATTCTGTGAAAAGGGCAACTTACACAGTTTTAAAAATAGGAAAAGACGTATTCAGGAGAGATGCTTGTTTCTGTGTGTTAGAAGGAAGGTATATGGTGACTGAATTCATCCAGAATTGCTACAGTCAGCATTTCCAAAGTTGTATTTCATCAGGGTTTATAGAGACATTTGAAGGCACTGTTAGTAAGTTAAGCAGCCTATCCATCACCCCTGCACCCCAAATCATACAGGCTACATATAAAGAAAAGCAAAATCCCACTACATTTTGTTGTTTAGGTCTACTTTGAAATTCTCCACATTAGAGTCAAATAATGCCATGATTATTAATAGAAAGAGCTTATATATTAATAATCTCTTATTTTCAAGGTAAAAGGACTGGTATTGAGTTCATAGTAACTGTGGGCTTAGGGCAAAATGAAGAGTTATGTCCAGATTATTACCAGTCATTAGCTAAGTATAATGCCTTTAGTCTAGTAGGCTTCACCAGAGTATGATTTTTTTTCCTGTATATTCAAAAATGTATCATGTGACTTATCATCCTCTTGAATTTTTGTTCACCTTAGTGTGAAACATACTGGTTGTTCTAGTCATCAATATCTATTTTATAGTTGCAGTCATTCTGCAATGATGCATGTCAATGGCATCAGTGCATTTCTGCCAGTATATAAATCTCTACCCATCTCTGCACCATGTGGAGGTTTAAACATTTCATGAAATGATACATTGCCATGAATCTTACTTATCTTCTCATATTTATACTGTCATAGTCTCTAAATAATATGTTTTTACTCTACTTCACAGATATAAATCTTCAAGAATATGTATTTTTAATGGTGTTCTTCTTTGGAAGCATTTTAGTTATACAAAATGGTTTCACTGAACTTATGAATTAAGAGCCCAATAGATTGTTGGTTACTTTGAATTTATGAGTTCTCTGTTGAACTTTAATTTGAAGGAAGCCAGCTACACAAGTCACATCAATTTTCAAAGTCTCATTACTGGTATTCTAATGAACAAGTATTAACAACTTGTTTGTTGTTGTTTGTTGTTTTTGTTGTGCTCATTAAAGAGATTTTTACCAGAGAGGCACCACATGAATCACTTTTTCAACTACCTATTTTGTTACAGACTATTGGCTGAGCAATGAAGATAAAGCAACAAACAAGACAAAGTTCCTGCAACTGTGGAACTTCCATATGCGTGAAGAAATGAGGCACTTGACAAGTAATGACATTTATTTTCCCTTATCTCCCTTATATGAAGCAGTGAGCCCATTACTTTCCAAACAACTGGAGTTCTACCACACACACATCAGGATTTCTTAGCTAAAGAGAAATGGAGTCTTTTCAGTGTGCCCTAAAGGAGGTGGTAAGGAACTGAACCGTATATTTTCACATCTGGTTTGTAGCGTGTTGAAGTCCTAAGTGAAAAGAGCTGAGAGGCAGAGTAAGACAGCCAAATAGAAAGCCCTACCTATTGTTTCCCTGAGCAAGGACACCAAATTAACAGCTATCTATATGAAAAAAACACCTCCATAAGAACCAAAAAAGAGGTGAGCACTCATAGTACCTAGTATTAACTTTACATCGCTGAAAGAGGCACTGAAGAGACTGAAAAAACAGTCCTGGCCAGGAGTGGTGGCTCATGCTTGTAATCCCAGCACTTTGGGAGGCTGAGGCAAGCGGATTACCTGAGGTCAGGAGTTCAAGACCAGCCTGGCCAGCGTGGTGAAACGCTATCTCTACTAAAAATACAAAATTAGCCAGGTGTTTTGGCACATGACTGTAATCCCAGCTACTCAGGAGGCTGAGACAGGAAAATCTCTTGAACCCAGGAGGGAGAAGTTGCAGTGAGCTGAGATTGTGCCACTGCACTCCAGCCTGAGAGACAGAGCAAGACTCCATCTCAAAAAAAAAAAAAGAAAAAGAAAAAAGAAAAAAAAGAAAAAAAAAGAAAACAGTCCTGAATTGCAGATGCCACCTCTCCCCACCCCAAGAGTAGCTGTGTGTTGTGGAATGTATCTCTGGGTGCTGGGGGAGGGAGAACACAGCAATTGTGAGGCATCGAACTCAATGCTGCCCTGTTAAAGCAGAAAGGAAAACCCAACCACTCTCAGCTGACACCTTTCCACAGAGCAAGCATTTAAACCAGCCCTAGCCAGAGGGGAATCTCCCATCCCAGCAGTCTCCACTTGAATGCCTGCAAACCTCACCACCAAGAGCTGCAGCCACTCTGTGTCTCCAAGTAAACTTGAAAGGCAGTCTCCGCCATAATAGCTGAGACTCATAGGCGAGTCCTAGGACTGAACTAGGTCCAGAGGCGGTGGACTTGGGGGCACACAACCTACTGAGACATCATCTGTGGCAGCCAAGGGAGTACTGGCATCACCATTCCCCTAACCCGAAGATGCATAACTTGTGGATCCAAAAGAGACTCTTCTGCTTGAGGAAAAAAGAGAGAAGAGTGGGAAGGACTTTTCTTGCACCTTGAATACCAGCTGAGCCACAGCAGGATAGGGCACTGGTCAGAGCCTTGAGGCCCCCATTCCAGGCCTTAGCTCTGAGGTGACATTTCTAGACATATCCTGGGCCAGAAGAGAACTGGCTGCCTTGAAGGAAAGGACCCAGTCCTGCAGCATTCATCACCTGCTAACTGAAGAGCCGGCGGACCCTGAATAACCAGCAATGATGCCTGGGTACTACATCTAGGGCCTTGATGAGCCACTGAGACTTGCTGGCTTCAGGGGAGACTCAGCACATTACCAGCTCTGGTGGCTACAGGGCAAAAGTAAAGAGGCAAAAGCAGAGGCAAAAGTAAAGGCGACTTTGTCTTGCACCTTAGGTACCAAAACCGCCACAGGTGGGTAGAGCACCAAGTGCGCTTAAGGGATCCCTGATTCCAGGGTTGACTCTTGGATGACATTTCTGTGCCTGCCCTGGGCTAGAGGGGAGCCCACTGCTCTGAAGGGTGAGTCCCAGGCCAGGCAACATTCACCACAAACTGACATAAGAGACTCTGGGCCTTAAGGGAGCGTTTGTGGAAACCTGGCAGCACTCATGGCCAGGGGTGGTGGGGGCTATGGGTTATAGTCTTCTGCTTTTGAAACAGGGAGGGAAGAGTGGGAAGGACTGTGGCTTGTATCTTGAGTGTGAAATCAGCCCCAATATAATAGAACACCAGGTAGACTTCTAAGGTTTGTAACCTCTTACCCCGACTCCTGGACAGCACTACTGGACCTATCTGGGGCCTGAGGGACCTCAGTGCCCTGAGGGGAAGGACAAAGGCCTGGCTGGCTTTGCCACCTGCTGATTATAGAGCCCTAGGGCCTTGAGCAAACCTAGACAGTAGCCAGGGAGTGGTTACAGCAGGCTTTGTGTGGCACCCAGCACTATGGTGACTTCAAGTCTGACTCAGCACAATCATAGTGGTGGTGGCCACAGGGGTGCTTGGGTCACTGCACCCCAAGCTTCAGGTGACTCAGAATGGAGAGTTAGGCTTTGTATGTTTGGGAGAAAGTAAGAGAAGAGAGCAAGAGTCTCTTCCTGGTAAACCAGAAAATTCTCCTGGATCTTGTTTAAGACCATCAAGGTGGTGCTTCTGAGACTCTGCAAGAACCACAGCGTTACTGGGTCTCGGGTGCCCAGTAAAGAAGATACAGCTTAGATCACAACACCCAAGTTCTTTCAAATAGCTAAAAAGCCTTTTCAAGAAGGGTGGCTACAAATAAGCCCAGCCAGTGAAGACCTACAATAAATACCTAACTCTTCAGTACCCAGTCACTGAAGGATATCTTCTACACCACCCAGGAAAACATAACCTCACCAAATAAAATAAATAAGGCACCAGGGACCAATCCTGGAGAAACAGAGAATGTGACCTTTCAGACAGATAGATCAAAATATCTGTGTTGAGGAAACAGAAAGAAATTCAAGATAACAGAGAAGGAATTTAGAATTCTATCAGATAAATTCAACAGAGATTGAAATAATTTAAAATAATCAAGCAGAAATTCTGGAGCTGAAAAATGCACTCGGCATACTGAAGAATGCATCACTCTTTCAATTGCAGAATGGATCAAGCAGAAAAAAAGACATAGCTCAAAAACAGGCTATTTGAAAATACACAGTCAGAGGAGACAAAAGTAAAAACTAATGTACTTTACAAGAGTGAAAAGAACAGGGATGCCCTCTCTCACCGCTCCTATTCAACATAGTGTTGGAAGTTCTGGCCAGGGCAATCAGGCAGGAGAAGGAAATAAAGGGTATTCAATTAGGAAAAGAGGAAGTCAAATTGTCCCTGTTTGCAGACGACATGATTGTTTATCTAGAAAACCCCATCGTCTCAGCCCAAAATCTCCTTAAGCTGATAAGCAACTTCAGCAAAGTCTCAGGATACAAAATCAATGTACAAAAATCACAAGCATTCTTATACACCAACAACAGACAAACAGAGAGCCAAATCATGAGTGAACTCCCATTCACAATTGCTTCAAAGAGAATAAAATACCTAGGAATCCAACTTACAAGGGATGTGAAGGACCTCTTCAAGGAGAACTACAAACCACTGCTCAAGGAAATAAAAGAGGATACAAACAAATGGAAGAACATTCCATGCTCATGGGTAGGAAGAATCAATATCGTGAAAATGGCCATACTGCCCAAGGGAATTTACAGATTCAATGCCATCCCCATCAAGCTACCAATGATTTTCTTCACAGAATTGGAAAAAACTACTTTAAAGTTCATATGGAACCAAAAAAGAGCCCGCATCGCCAAGTCAATCCTAAGCCAAAAGAACAAATCTGGAGGCATCACACTACCTGACTTCAAACTATACTACAAGGCTACAGTAACCAAAACAGCATGGTACTGGTCCCAAAACAGAGATATAGATCAATGGAACAGAACAGAGCCCTCAGAAATAACGCCGCGTATCTACAACTATCTGATCTTTGACAAACCTGAGAAAAACAAGCAATGGGGAAAGGATTCCCTATTTAATAAATGGTGCTGGGAAAACTGGCTAGCCATATGTAGAAAGCTGAAACTGGATCCCTTCCTTACACCTTATACAAAAATCAATTCAAGATGGATTAAAGATTTAAACGTTAGACCTAAAACCATAAAAACCCTAGAAGAAAACCTAGGCATTACCATTCAGGACATAGGCGTGGGCAAGGACTTCATGTCCAAAACACCAAAAGCAATGGCAACAAAAGCCAAAATTGACAAATGGGATCTAATTAAACTAAAGAGCTTCTGCACAGCAAAAGAAACTACCATCAGAGTGAACAGGCAACCTACAACATGGGAGAAAATTTTCGCAACCTACTCATCTGACAAAGGGCTAATATCCAGAATCTACAATGAACTCAAACAAATTTACAAGAAAAAAACAAACAACCCCATCAAAAAGTGGGCGAAGGACATGAACAGACACTTCTCAAAATAAGACATTTATGCAGCCAAAAAACATATGAAAAAATGCTCATCATCACTGGCCATCAGAGAAATGCAAATCAAAACCACTATGAGATATCATCTCACACCAGTTAGAATGGCAATCATTAAAAAGTCAGGAAACAACAGGTGCTGGAGAGGATGTGGAGAAATAGGAACACTTTTACACTGTTGGTGGGACTGTAAACTAGTTCAACCATTGTGGATGTCAGTGTGGCAATTCCTCAGGGATCTAGAACTAGAAATACCATTTGACCCAGCCATCCCATTACTGGGTATATATCCAAAGGACTATAAATCATGCTGCTATAAAGACACATGCACACGTATGTTTATTGCAGCATTATTCACAATAGCAAAGACTTGGAACCAACCCAAATGTCCAACAATGATAGACTGGATTAAGAAAATGTGGCACATATACACCATGGAATACTATGCAGCCATAAAAAAGGATGAGTTAATGTCCTTTGTAGGGACATGGATGAAATTGGAAACCATCATTCTCAGTAAACTATCGCAAGAACAAAAAACCAAACACCGCATATTCTCACTCATAGGTGGGAATTGAACAATGAGATCACATGGACACAGGAAGGGGAATATCACACTCTGGGGACTGTGGTGGGGTGGGGGGAGGGATAGTATTGGTAGATATATCTAATGCTAGATGACGAGTTAGTGGGTGCAGCACACCAGCACGGCACATGTATACATATGTAACTAACCTGCACAATGTGCACATGTGCCCTAAAACTTAAAGTATAATAATAAAAAAAAAAGAATAAAAAACAATGAAGCATGCCTACGGGATCTAGAAAATACCTTCAAAAGGGCAAATCTGAGAGATATTGGCCTTAGAGAGGACATAGAGAAAGAGATAGAGGTAGAAAGTTCATTCAAAGAGATAATAACAGAGAACTTCCCAAACCTAGAGAAAGATATCAACATCCAAGTACAAGAAGGTTATTGAATACCAAGCATACTTAACCCCAAAAAAGACTACCTCAAGGCATTTAAAAATCAAATTCCCAAAAGTCAAGGACAAAGAAAGGATCCTAAAAGCAGCAAGAGAAAACAAACAAATAGCATACAATGAAGCTCAAATAGATCTGGCAGCAGACTTTTCAGTGAAAATTTTACAGGCCAGGAGAGATTGGCATGACATATTTAAAGTGCTGAAGGAAAATAACTTTTATCCTAGAATAGTATATCTGGCAAAAATATTCTTCAAATATGAAGAAGAAACAAAGACTTTCCCAGACAAAAGCAAAGGGATTTCATCAATACCAGACCCATCCTATAAGAAATGCTAAAGTGAATACTTCAATCAGAAAGAAAAGAACATTACGGAACAGAACAGAGCCCTCAGAAATAATACCACACATCTACAACCATCTGATCTTTGACAAACCTGACAAAAACAAGAAATGGGGAAAGGATTCCCTATTTAATAAATGGTGCTGGGAAAACTGGCTAGCCATATGTAGAAAGCTGAAACTGGATCCCTTCCTTACACCTTATACAAAAATTAATTCAAGATGGATTAAAGACTTAAATGTTAGACCTAAAACCATAAAAACTCTAGAAGAAAACCTAGGCAATACCATTCAGGACATAGGCATGGGCAAGGACTTCATGTCTAAAACACCAAAAGCAATGGCAACAAAAGCCAAAATTGACAAATGGGATCTAATTAAACTAAAGAGCTTCTGCACAGCAAAAGAAACTATCGTCAGAGTGAACAGGCAACCTACAGAATGGGAGAATATTTTTGCAATCTACTCATCTGACAAAGGGCTAATATGCAGAATCTACAAAGAACTCCAACAAATTTACAAGAAAAAAGCAACCCCATCAACAAGTGGGTGAAGGATATGAACAGACACTGTGTGTTCATATGTCAGTGGGGCAATTCCTCAGGGATCTAGGACTAGAAATACCATTTGACCCAGCCATCCCATTACTGGGTATATACGCAAAGGATTATAAATCATGCTGCTATAAAGACACATGCACACGTATGTTTATTGTGGCATTATTCACAATAGCAAAGACTTGGAACCAACCCAAATGTCCAACAATGATAGACTGGATTAAGAAAATGTGGCACATATACACCACGGAATACTATGCAGCCATGAAAACTGATGAGTTCATGTCCTTTAGGGACATGGATGAAGCTGGAAACCATCATTCTCAGCAAACTATCACAAGGACAAAAACCCAAACACTGCATGTTCTCACTCATAGGTGGGAATTGAACAATGAGAACACATGGACACAGGAAGGGGAACATCATACACCAGGGCCTGTTGTGGGGTGGGGGGAGAGGGGAAGGATAGCATTAGGAGATATACCTAATGTAAATGATGAGTTAATGGGTACAGCACACCAACATGGCACATGTATACATATGTAGCAAACCTGCACGTTGTGCACATGTAACCTAGAACTCAAAGTATAATAAAAATTATATATATATAAAAGAAAAACATTAATGATCAATAAATAATCATCTGAAGGTACAAAACTTACTGGTAATAGTAAGTACACAGAAAAACACAGAATATAATACACGGTTAATTGTGGTGTGTAAACTATTCTTATTGTAAGTGGAAAGACTAAATGATGAACCAATCAAAAATAGTAACTACAACAATTTTTCAAGATGTGCAATAAAATATAAATAGAACAATAACAACTTAAAAAGCAGGAGGACAAAGTTAAGGCATAGAATTTTAATTTGTTTTGTTGTTGTTTGTTTATGCAAATAGTGTTAAGTTGTTATCAAGTTAAAATAATAGCTTATAAGATAGATTTTGCAAGCCTCATGGTAACCTCAAACCAATGGATACACACACACAAAATAAAACGCAAGAAACGAAATCATATCACTAGAGAACATCATCTTCATTAGAGGAAAACGGGACTGAAAGAAAGAGAAGGTCACAAAGCAACCAGAAAACAAATAACAAAATGGAGTAAGTTCTTGCTTATCAATAATAACATTGAATGTAAATAGACTAAACTCTCCAATCCAAAGACATAGGCTGCCTGAATGGATTAAAAAAGAAAGACTCCTTGATCTGTTGCATACATGAAACACACTTCACATATAAAAACACACATAGATTGCAAATAAAGGGATGGAATATTTATGTGTGTCTTTGTAGGTGAAAAATAAAGATATTCCATGCCAATGGAAGCCAAAAAAAGAGCAGGAGTTACTATACTTACTATATCAGAAAAAGTAGATTTCAAGAAAAAACCTGTAAGAAGAGACAAAAGAGTCACTCTATAATAATAAAGGAATCAATTCAGTAAGTGGATAAAACAATTATATATATGCCCAACTTGGGAGCACCCAGATACATAGAGGAAATATTAGTAGAGCTAAAGAGAGAGGCCCCAATACAATAATAGCTGGAGACTTCAACACCCCATTTTTGGCATTGAACAGACCTTCTAGACAGAAAATAAAGAAACATTAGAGCTAATCTGCACCATAGACCAAAGGGATCTAACAGATATTTATAGAACATTTCATTCAAGAGCTGCAGCACGCACATTCTTTTCCTCAGCACATGGATCATTCTCAAGACAAGTCAAAATGAGATATCATCACCCCAGTTAAAATAGCTTATATCCAAAGACAGGCAATAACAAATGCTGGCGAAGGATATGGAGGAAAGGTTACTGTTGCACACTGTTAGTGGAGATGTAAATTTGTACAGCCAGTATGGAGAAGAGGAGTTTGGAGGTTCCTCAAAACACTAAAAATAGAGCTACCATATGATTCAGCAATTCCACTGCTGGGTATATACCCCAAAGAAAGAAAATAAGTATATCGAAGAGATATCTGCACTCCTATGTTTGTTGAAGCCCTGTTTACAATAGCTAAGATTTGAAAACAACCTAAGTGTCCATTAACAGATGAAAGGAGAAAGAAAATATGGTACAAATACACAGTGGAGTATTATTCAGCCACAAAAAAGAATGAGATTCAGTCATTTGCAACAACATTGATGGAATGGGAGCTCATTGTGTTAAGTGAAGTAAGCCAGGCACAGCAAGACAATCTTTGTGTCTTCTCACTTATTTGTGGGATCTAAAACTCAAACAATTGAATTCATGGACATAGAGAGTAGAAGGATGATTACCAGAGGCTAAGGAGGACACTGTGGGGCTGGGGGAAGGAGAGGATGGCTAATGGGTACCAAAAAATGTTAGAAAGGATGAATAACAGCTACTATTCAATAGCACTACAGAGTGACTATATTCAATAATTGGATTGTTACTCAAAAGAGAAATGCTTGAGAGGATGGATTCCCCATTCCTCATGATTTGCTTATTCAACATGGCATGCCTATATCAAACACCTCATTTACCCCATAAATATATACCCTACTACGTACCCACAAAAATTAAAAAAAATTAAAAAATTATAAAAAGAAAGTGTTGAGCCATTGTCCATGGTACTGAATGTATAATATAGCTACAGAATAGATGAGAACACTGTTGTTTACTTGACTGCTGAACTAAATTTAATAGGACTTTCTAAGTAATTAACTGGATGCCAAAAATGCAAAAGTGAACACGGCACAGTCATGGTTTTCAAAAAGTTCACAATCATGGTGAAAAAACTGCCCTTGAATGTTGTTAATACCTTTTAAAGTCAGTTAGTTCTGAACTCAGTACATGCTACTCGACCTGAGTATATGGTACTTGAACAGCTCAAGTAATAGAATAAAACTCTGTTGGTTATGGGCAAAGACAATGCTGATTAATTTTCTTTATCAACCTTTTTTTTAATGCTACAAGTAATGATGGGCCAGGAAATGTTTCAATGATGGGTAAATCTACTTTTTTTTTTTCCTTTTTTGAGACAGAGTTTTGCCCTTGTTGCCCAGGCTGGAGTGCAATGGCATGATCTCGGCTCACTGCAACCTCCAGCTCCCCAGTTCAAGTGATTCTGCTGCCTCAGCCTCCTGAGTAGTTGGGATTACAGGTGCACACCACCACACCCGGCTAATTTTTGTGTTACTAGTAGAGATGGGGTTTCACCATGTTGGCCAGGTTGGTCTCAAACTCCTGACCTCATGTGATCCACCCACCTCAGTCTCCCAAAGTGCAGGGATTACAGGTGTGAGCCACCATGCCCAGCCAGGTAAATCTACTTTCTTAATTGATCAAATGCAATGTTATTAGATACATGTGCCACCTAAGTACTTTATGGGGAGGTAAGCTGTAACTTCACAATGATGTAAACTTCGCTTATTGCCTTGGAATAAAGTACTAAACATATTAGGAATATGGACTGTAATATGATCCAAAAGTGACATTTTATAAATATAACTTTTACATTTCTTTTTTTCTGAGATGGAGTCTCACTGTGTCACCAGGCTGGAGTGCAGTGACGCAATCTCGGCTCACTGCAACCTCTGCCTCTCTGGTTCAAGTGATTCTCCTGCCTCAGCCTACCAAGTAGCTGGGACTACAGGCACGTGCCACCACGCCCAGCTAAGTTTTGCATTTTTAGTAAAGACATAGTTTCACCAAGTTGGCCAGGATTGTCTCGATCTCTTGACCTCGTGATCCACCCACCTTGGCCTCCTAAAGTACTGGGATTACAGGCGTGAGCCACCACGCCTGGCCTTACAGTGCCATTTTTAATGCAGTCATCATTTATATTACACATCACAAGGGTTATTAATAGAGCCAAAACTTCAGTAATGAAAATATAAAATTATAGAAGACAGGTAATAATGTAGAAATAATGAACACATCTGCAAGTCTAGGATACAATTTTCACATTGGAGAAGAGTTGCCAAAGTCCCTGAGTCAAAAAGCCTTGGTCTGAGCTTTGAAATATTAGTAGAGACAAATATAAAATGTATTTAAAAGGAGGTGTATTGTATGACTACATTAGAGGTTAATTTATTGAATCTTTACAAATTTATCATACAAGAGGGACAACCATCAAGTAAATATTGATGAAAGAGAAAATTAAACATGCTCCCTATTCAAGGAAATATTAATGCTATTCATTGCAATACTCTCACATTGGAAACATTAGGACCAGAATTCCAAAAACCCAATGATTGTGGCCTTTATAATTGCTCATCTAAACAAAGAGACATGAATTTGAGCATCTCCACTAGAAAAGATATTGATTCTACCTTTCTTTCTATTTCTTTATGGGAAAGGAAGAAAACTGGAACTGCACATTTCCCATCTGTTCTGCCTTCTTTTTCAGGGGAGATAAAATTATTTCCCCTTTCCACTAATTCTTCAAGCAAGAATCCTCCAAAACCATTGATTGAAAGAAGGAAGAGTTTGAACCAATAGTGTTGCCTCTGAAATATATTTGGAGAAATTTTATTCCCCACATTATTTAACAGTGCCATCCCCTACAAGGAAAACCATTAGCAACTGCGCTCATGAAGTCTTCACTTACCAGAGCTATCAATATATTAACCATATGTTTATTATGTAGATCAGGAACCATTAAAATGCTCAATGTTATTTTTCAACTATCTAGAGAATACATTTTAAAACATACAGCATCATAAATGTGAAAAATATAACTATCTCGATTTACTTTTCTATGTTTTATATAGTAATATTTGTTCATTTTAAAGCATCTTAAACATTATTTTAATGATTAAAAATACATGTTATATTCTATAATATGTATATACCATAATTTTTAACTAATATCCTATTACTAGGCATTTAGGTTGTTTCCAGGTTTTGTTACCATAAATTATCTTATAGTGAAAGAAGGTACAGATAAGTGTACATTTTCATTTCTTCTCTCATTTTTTTCTCTTCTGATATAATAGAAATCTCAGAATAAAATGTCCAGGACTTGTATATGATAGAATTAAAATATAGGTGACTTTCTCTTTCCATGTTTAACTGCATTTATCCCTATAAACAGGAAAAATATTATTCATCCATTCATTGAAAAAAAATATTCAATTCTTGTTATGTTACAGCCACTCTTGTAGGCACTTAGATAAAACCTCAAAGGAAGACAGACAAAAATTATTGTAGTTATCGAGGTCTTTTCTTTTTGAAGACTCTTGCCTCACATAGTATTCTAATTGTTAAATCATGCTATGTATTTTTGACAGGAGATTGTATGATTCCATTGCATTGTGTTGGAACGGGAAGCAGGCACTGAGGAGATCTTTTGGTGACAGATTACCAAAACCTTGAGAAAGCTTTGCATACTCCACATTTTAAAAGTGCTCTATATCCAGAATTGTAAGTAAACATAGTACCCATATTCTATTTGCATGATGTCAGTGGGAATGTGCCTCAAAAAGTAAGAATTTGGGCTTTGCCATTTTACACTTAGCCTGATGTTTTACATAAACAGATTTTGCCCTGGAATGGCCGTATAATATGAACTTAGATTGTGTATCTAAAGGAAAAAAAATCAGCTTATAAAAGTGAATCCTAAGTTTTAGTGCTAGATCTTAAATATAAAGTCAGTATTGTTGTATTTGGTTTTCAATTTTTTTTCATGATTTTAAACATGGAAATAATTTTAATGACTGAGTAATGTTTTGAAAATATTTTCTCTGACTTCCATTAGATGTCATTCTAACATCTAATGTTAAAATGGCTAACATAACACTTACGTTATGATGGCAACATAAATAAAAATCAGAAGCTTATTGTTTCCAGAATGGCAGTGTGTTATAATAATTATAATAAAGAATGAATAAAATTATTAGGAATTTGACACCTAATTGCTAGATGGCTGGGAAGGCACAGAAATATATGCCTGACCTAAAAAATTCAAATTCACAGATGAATTGGCAATATATAATATTATATAAAAATTAATAAAAACAGAATAACCGTTCTAGAAAAGAAAGATATGTCACGAGGAAGTACACTATTATTGTAATAAGTGGTTTACACAGAGTACACACCAGTATTTTTTTCAGTTGCCAAGAGATAAATCATATTCAAATCACGTCGAAGGTCAAGGAAGTCCAGAGATGCGTCCACCTTCAAGTATGGATGCATCCAGCAGTTCAATCAATGCCTTCAAAAAGATATGTCTCTCCATATTTTGGCTCTACTTTCCTCCATTTTGTGTTTGTCATCAGGCAGGCCCTTTCTGCAAGGTGGCAGATGTCTACTAGCTGCTTATTATTTACAGTCCACCACATTTTGGCTAACAATTAGCAATGCCAGAAGAAAGATAACTCCAGTTTTTCAATAATCCTAGCAAAAGTCCTGGGATTTCATTTACTGGCCCATGTTTGGTGATACATTTAATTTTGGACAAATCAATATTACTCTGATTTTGCAAGTGTGGATCAAAGGTCAAACTTTATAGCTAAAGAATTAATAACCTTCCTATGAACTACAATGAGATGATAAGGGAAATGGTGGTTCCCTGTGGAGCGAATTGCTGCTAACCCAAGAAAAAGGGAATGGATATTGAGCAGGAAAATACAAAAGTCTACTACCTCATATTTTTTTCATTTAATCCTTGCAGCCACCCTCGGAGTTAGAAATTATTTTATCCATTTAAGGATAGAGAAACTGAAGGTCAAAAACTGCAAATAACTTTCACAAAATCATAACACTAAAAGGTAGTAAATATGAGATTCACATTTTGTCTGATTTCATAACTCATGCCTTAAATGCTATATGACACTGCTCTCATTAAAGTTTTTACATCAATAACTGGTGAACAGAGGTGCAAGCAAATGTTCCTAATCTCCTATTCAGCCTTGACTTTTCCGCAAGGTTTCAGGTCAGAACACCTTTCCCTTTTGTCCTTGTTTCTGCTTATTTTATCCTGGTTTAGGGATTTACAGATTCTATTTGGAAGTGTAGTGTCCTACAGTAAAATCTGAGGCAATAGCATTGTAATATCAAGTAGCTTATCTTCTTGGTTTTGTTCTCAAAGACAGTTCTTGACTGTGACTATCCTGAGCACTGAGATTTTACTTTGTTTGACTCTGAATCTCTAGTGTCTCATACAGTGCTTGGCATTCATCAACCGGGCAATCATTCATCAATATGCCTGAGAAAAATAAAATGAAAACATTTCTGATCCCATGAAAGTAAAGGTGGTTATATGCTTCAGCCTGTACATACAACACAGATAGACTCGGTGTAAGTCTCAGATTTGCCTTCTGTTTCAATGTGTCCTTGATCAAGTAGCTAAAACTCTTTTAGGCTTCAATTCCCTTGTCTATAAAATAAAAATAATGGTACCGACCTTTGAGGGTCATAATGAAGAATTTGGGACGTGTGCAGAGTAAAGCAGGGTTTCCTGAACATAGGAAGTGTTCAATAAATGGTGACTGTTACTCACTTAAGTTATTTCATCAGTTATGGACATGCAATAGAGCTAGAAAAAGTACTTAGATATATTTAATATGAAACTTTAGTAGAATTGATTATATACACTTCAGGTACGCATACATGCAACATACACACAAGACCCAACGATTTATGTGTGCTAACACTGTGGTCAGGCAAATTTCCTCATGATTTAATAAATCTGTGTCTATGGCACAAAGTTATTTCATAAGGGTAAAATGCTGAATCTATTCTAGGAATAAGTCCAGTTTTCCAGTTCTCCCACCCCCCAAAAACTTTTTGACTAGAAACCTTTATATTTTAAAATCCTTTACTTTATATAGGCTACTTGTGCAATTCTATTACTTTAAGAAAAACTGTTTTTGACTCACAAATCAGCTTTCGTCATTACTCCAACTTCTCTCTTCTCAAAAACATTTTGCCATATGTCTTAATATAAAAGTATTTTAAAAGTTGATGAGTTACTATGATAAATAAATTATCAAAATTTTTTTGAACTATTATGTTGATTTGGATAATTTCAATTGCAAGTGACAGAAACCCAGTTGAAAGTGGCTTGGGTAGGAGAGAGGGAAAGAAGTAGGGAGAGAAAAGGGGAAAAGGAGAAATTTACTGGCTTATGTAATTGAACATTTCAAGGGCAGATAGTTTGAGCAAGGCTAGATCAAGGCAAATAATCAATGTGTCTCTCAGTCTCAGTTTTGCTTTGTTTCATACTGGCTCATTCTCAGGTAAGTTCTCCCTTTGACAATGTAAAATAGATAGCATCATAGGTTTGCGTTCTACCAATTCAGTAACACCAGTGGAAAATGAGCTTCACTTAATTTCCGTAAGAGGTACTAGGGTTGAATGCCACTGTTCTGCTTTGATCACAGCCTTCCCTGAATCAGTCATGGGGTCTACAGCAGGCATAACACTTTGATAGGCCACATCTAGATAATTTCCCTCTTCTGGGAATATGAGATAGGGTCAAGCCCAGCTGAACCACATGAGCACAGAGGGGAGACGTGGTGGCCCCCCAAATTATAACGGGGTGCTGTTAGTTTAAGAAAACCCAATGGATGCTGCTGGATTGGCAACAATATGGGATGACTGTTTGACACATTCTTAAATTTTTTTCCCAATTTTGTATTTAAAAAATTAAAATAGTATTTCGATACAATAATGTCAAGAAGATTAAAAATCATTATCATTCCTGGTAGATAAATGTTCGTCAACTTATGATAAAGTTGTGTCTCGATAAAACCACGGTAGGTTAAAAAGACCATAAGTTGAAAGACACTTAATACATCTAACCTAGCAACCATCACAGCCTAACCAATTTTAAACATGCTCAGGACACTTACATTAGCCTATGTTAGGAAAAAAGTCATCTAACGTAAGCCTATTTTATAATAAAGTGTTGAATATCTCATGTAATTTATTAAATACCGTATATTATGTCATAATTGGACAGTTTTACATGATAGGAAAGTTGAAAAATCCTAAGTCAAACCATCGTTAAGTCAGGAACCATGTGTAATCCAAAACCAGGTGCTTATACTACCTTTATTGCTTGTCAACGTTATAAAAATGTGTGTGTGTCCGCGTCTGTGTACACTTACTTGTCCTTTACCCTAAAACCAAGGAGGGAGTCTAAAGCAAGAATCATATCCTCAGAATTTAAATTTAAATACCATTGTAAAGTAATTTTAAGGGGAAAATTCAATCACATCTTTATAACATGGCAAATACACTAAGATAATAAATGCATAGCAATTTACTACAGATAATCGATCATCATTTCAGAGTCTTTTCAAAAGGATTGGTTTGACGACATTTTCCACTGAGATTCATATGACCTTTTCCTACAATAAGGTTGATCAAACTCCCAGCAAACCATGTTGTTCTACAACAGAAGACAGGTTACAAGCTAAAGAAATTAAAGCAGATTTATTTAATTTGTAACATGGAGGAGATTACAAATGGCAGGAAGGTTTTTATATCCTATTCACCTGAAAATAATAGAATTCATGATAATTTTCTTCCTTTTCACTGAGAGGCAAGAGACTTTGAAGCTATTGTAAGACCAAACTACCTGGGGAGCTCAGCCTTGGCCCCAAACTCTGCTGTGTAGCTTGAACCCACTAGCAGTGGGGGTGACTTGATATCAGAACACAGATATTAATGAATAACAAAAGATAAAGTTAGATCATGACTACTCACAGAGCAGGAGTTCAGCTGATTTAACCAGGCAGAAGAGAAATATATTTTTAGTTTCAAAGCCAATTCATATACTTCTTAACAACTGCTGTTGTGTGAAAAAATGTCTGGGAGTGAATGTGGCTTATAATACAGAGGGAAGCATGAATAATCTAACTGACCAGGATTAGACGGAAAAGCAAAGAATGTAACTGTCATGATAGATGACACGTAAGGAAAATCTCTAACAATTTTTCTTTTACACTGGAAAAGTGGAAAGCTTTCTCCCTTCCTCTAAATCCTTGGCCCAAATTAATACCTAAACTTTTTTTAAATTAAATCTCAAGCAAGAAATGCATGTGCTATAGTCATCGTTGTTAGGCTGTCATCATAACAGTCTCCTGAAAAGTTTGAAAAAAAAGTTATGTAATTATGCAGGTTTTTCAAATATTTAATGCAGCTGAAAATAAGCTATTGTTCTAATAAAATATAGCAGGATCCCTGCATATGGATCAGATAAAAGAACAAGGGCTCTGAATGAAGATATCACTGGACTTAGAGCCAGAAGACTTAGATTGAATCTAAGAGACTGGGGCTTTTGATAGCTAAGTAAATTGGGGCATGCCACCTGGTTTTCTCAATATCTGTTCCCTTCTCTAGTATAAGCGATAATCTCAATGTACCTACTGCAAGGGAGCATTGTGAAAAATAAATGAGACAATGCATTGACAACATCTAAAAAATGTGTACTATAGAATTATAGAATGTTATTTTTACTGGGAATTGTCTTAATATTCTGTCCATGTTCAGTGCATGCAGATTGGCAAGCATCAGCTTACTTATAAGACTATCTTCTTATAGGCCTTCTAAGATAGGAGAGATCCAAAATGAATTACAATATTTAATGGGTTCACTAAATTCCTGGAAAAACTGCTTGAACATGGAGGAAGAGAACCGTCTCAAACATCTGCATGGAAGTAAGTAATAAAGAGATGAGCCAAGTAAAGAGGAAAAAATACCAAAGACTTCCACCGTGAGAAATTAAAGACATCAATTTTAATCATTAAGGAAGGTATTTGTACCATATGACACCAAATAGATACTTGAAACATGCTTCTAAATGACTTTTTTAAAAAAATTCTTTCAAATGTTTAGGGTCTTCGAGAAAAATATTTCTATTTAATGTTTCTAAGTGAAAAAGCGGTAACTCATAGCCATAAAACCATGAGTTTCTTGAAACCTTGAGGAAAATGTGTGTGTATGTGTGTGTAAATAAACTGTGTTTACAGTGTAAGAAATAATATGCTTAAAAATCCTAAATAAGTATTCTAGTTTACAGGCACACAAAGATTATTCAAGACTTTTTAAGTTACAAGTAACAAAAGCTCAACTCAAATTTCTTTATGCAAAGTGGGAATCAGGGAAGGGGAACTCTGAAGGACATTATAAGGGAAATCAAAGAGATATTTCTGGCTTTAGGCAATGCAGGATATGGAGGTTCAAATGATGCCTTTAGTCTCCTCCTTGTGCTCTTCTCTATTTCCCTCAAGGTTACTTTATTCTCTAGATCTCTCTTCATGATTGCACAGACTGTATAAGCTGTCCGAAACTTCTGTTCTGACATGTCATAATTCCAAGAATTCTCCTCTTCTTGGTGGCTGCATCAATTACTTAAAAAGGAACACTAATTGATCCTGCTTGAAGAATGTACTTTTTCTTTTTTTTTTTTGACAAACTGTTCTTTATTGGGTGATCTGATTGCCCAGTCTGGATTAGAGTCCCATTCCTGTGTCTGGGAAGTAAGGATGGGGATTTATAGCCTTATAAGTATCACATGTAAAAGAAAGGCAGCAGCCCCAGTCAGGGTCTTATGGCTAAAACTCCCATCTCTCTGGGACAGAGCACCCAGGGTAAGAGGTGGCTGTAGGTGGAGCTTTAGCATACTTAAGCGTTCCTGCCTGCCAGCTCTGAAGAGAACAGCGGACCTCCCAGCACAGTGCTCGAGCTCTGCTAAGGGACACACTGCTTTCTCAAGTGGGTCCCTGATCCCCGTGCCTCCTGATGGGGAGATACATCCCAACAGGGGTCGACAGACACCTCATACAGGAGAGCTCCAACTGACATCTGGTAGGTGCTCTTCTGGGACAAAGCTTCCAGGAAAAAGGAGCAGGCAGCCTTTGCTGGTGATACCCAGGCAAATAGGGTCTGGAGTGGACCCTCAGAAAACTCCAGCAGACCTGGAGAAGAGGGGCCTGACTGTTGGAAGGAAAACTAACAAACAGCAATAGCATCAACATCAACAAAAAGGACGACCACGTAAAAACTCCATCCGAAGGTCACCAACAGCAAAGGCCAAAGGTAGATAAATCCATGAAGATGAGGAAAAACCAGTGCAAAAAGTCTGAAAATTTCAAAACCAGAATGCCTCTTCTCCTCCAAAAGATCACAACTCCTAGCCCACAAGGGAACAAAACTGAACAGAGAATGAGTTTGACGAATTGGCAGAAGTAGGCTTCAGAAGGTGGGTAATAACAAACTCCTCCAAGCTAAAGGAGCATGTTCTAACCCAATGCAAAGAAGCTAAGAACCTTGTTAAAAGGTTAGAGGAATTGCTAACTAAAATAACCAGTTTAGAGAAGAACATAAATGACCTGATGGAGCTGAAAAACACAGCACGAGAACTTTGTGAAGCATACATAAGTATCAATAGCCGAATCGATCAAGCGGAGGAAAAGATATCAAAGATTGAAGATCAACTTAATGAAATGAGCATGAAGACAAGATTAGATGAAAAAGAATGAAAAGGAAAGAACAAAACCTCCAAGAAATATGGGACTATGTTAAAAGACAAAACCTATGTTTGATTGGTGTACCAGAAAGTGACAGGGAGAATGAAACCAAGTTGGAAAACACACTTCAGGATATTACCCAGGAGAACTTCCCCAAACTAGCAAGACAGGCCAACATTCAAATTCAGGAAATACAGGGAACACCACAAACATACTCCTTGAGAAGAGCAACCCCAAGACACATAATCATCAGATTCACCAAGGATGTAATGAAGGAAAAAATGTTAAGGGCAGCCAGAGAGAAAGGTTGGGTTACCCACAAAGAGAAGCCTATTAGACTAACTGGGGCTCTCTCTGCAGAAACTCTACTAGCCAGAAGAGAGTGGGGGCCAATATTCAATATTCTTAAATAAAAGAATTTTCAACCCAGAATTTCATACCAGCCAAACTAAACTTTATAAGTGAAGGAAAAATAAAGTCCTTTGCAGACAAGCAAATGCTGAAGGATTTTGTCACCACCAGGCCTGCCTTACAAGAGCTCCTGAAGGAAGTACTAAATATGGAAAGGAAAAACCAGTACCAGCCACTGCAAAAACAAACCAAAATGTAAAGACCGTTGACACTACGAAGAAACTGCATTAACTAATGAGCAAAATAGCAAGCTAAAATCACAATGACAGGATCAAATTCACACATAACAATATTAACTTTAAATGTAAACAGGCTCAATGCCCCAATTAATGTATGTTTATTGCAGCACTGTTCATAATAGCAAAGACTTGGAACCAACCAAATGTCCATCAACGATAGACTGGATAAAGAAAATGTGGCACATATACACCATGGAATACTATGCAGCCATGAAAAAAGGATGAGTTCATATCCTGTGCAGGGACATGGATGAAGCTGGAAACCATCATTTTCAGCAAACTAACACAAGAACAGAAAACCAAACACCACATATTCTCACTCTAAGTGGGAGTTGAACAATGAGAACACATGGACACAGGGAAAGGAATATTACACACTGGGACATGTTGGGGGGCAGGAGATTAGAGGAGAGATAGCATTAGGAGAAATACCTAATGTAGATGACAGGTTGATGGATGCAGCAAACCACCATGGCACGTGTATACCTATGTAACAAACCTGCACATTCTGCACATGTGTCCCAGACTTTAAGGATAAAAAAAGAAAAGGCACAGACTGGCAAATTAGATAAAGACTGTATTGGTGTGCTGTATTCAGGATATATATCTCATGTGCAAAGACATACATAGGCTCAAAATAAAGGGATGGAGGAAGATTTACCAAGCAAATGGAAAGAAAATAAAAAGGAAAAGCAGGGGTTGCAATCCCAGTCTCTGATAAAACATACATTAAACCAACCAAGATCAAAAAAGACAAAAAATAGCATTACATAATGGTAAACGGATCAATGCAACAAGAAGTGCTAAGTATCCTAAATATATATGCACCCAGTACAGGAGCATCCAGATTCATAAAGCAAGTTCTTAGAGACCCACAAAGAGAATTAGATTCCCACACAATAATAGTGAGAGAAATTTACACCCCACTGTCAATATTAGACAGATCAACAAAACTGACAATTAAAAAGGATATTCAGGACATGAACTCAACTCTGGACCAAGCGAACCTAATAGACATCTACAGAATGTTCTACCCCAAATCAACAGAATATACATTCTTCTCAGCACCACATAGCACTTATTCTAAAATAGACCACATAATCGGAGGTAAAACACTCCTCAGCAAATGCAAAAGAATGGAAATCCTAACAAACAGTCTCTCAGACTACAGTGCAATCACATTAGAACTCAGGATTAAGAAACTCAGTCAAAACCACACAACTACATGGAAACTGAACAACCTGCTCCTGAATGACTACTGAGTAAATAACAAAATTAAGGCAGAAATAAATAAGCTCTTTGAAACCAATGAGAACAAAGACACAACGTACCAGAATCTCTAAGACATAGCTAAAGCAGTGTTTAGAAGGAAATTTATAGCACTAAATGGCCAAAGGGGAAAGTGGGAAAGATCTAAAATCGACACCCTAACATCACAATTAAAAGAATGAGAGAATCAAAAGCAAACAAATTCAAAAGCTAGCAGAAGACAAAAAATAACTAAGATCAGAACAGAACTGAAGGAGGTAGAGACACGAAAAACCCTTCAAAAAAATCAATGAATCCAGGAGCTGTTTTTTTGAAACATTAACAAAATACATAGACTGCTAGCCAGAGTAATAGAGAAGAAAAGAGAGAAGAATCAAATAGATACAATAAAAAATGATAAAGGGGAGATCACCACTGATCCCACAGAAATACAAACTACTATCAGAGAATACTATAAACACCTCTATGCAAATAAAATAGAAAATCTAGAAGAAATGGATAAATTCCTGGAAACATACACCCTTCCAGGACTAAACCAGGAAGAAGTTGAAGCCCTGAATAGACCAATAACAAGTTCTGAAATTGAGGCAGTAATAGCCTACCAACCAAAGAAAGCCCAGGACCAGAGGGATTCATAGCCAAATTCTACCAGAGGTACAAAGAGAAACTGGTACCATTCCTTCTGAAACTATTCCAAACAATAGAAGAAGAGGGACTCCTCCCTAACTCATTTAATGAGGCCAGCATCATCCTGATACCAAAACCTGGCAGAGCCACAAGTTTCAGGCCAATATCCCTGATGAACATCGATGCAAAAATCCTCAATAAAATACTGGCAAACCGAATCCAGCAGCACATCAAAAAGCTTACCCACCACGATCAAGTCAGATTCATCCCTGGGATGCAAGGTTGGTTCAACATATACAAATAAATAAACATAATCCATCACATAAACAGAACCAATGACAAAAACCACACGATTATCTCGGTAGATGCAGAAAGGGCTTTAAATAAAATTCAACAGCCCTTCATGCTATCAACACTCAATAAACTTGATATTGATGAAACATATCTCAAAATAAGAAGAACTATTTATGATAAACCCACAGCCAATATCACACTCAATGGGCAAAAGCTGGAAGCATTCCCTTTGAAAACCGGCACAAGACAAGGATGTCCTCTCTCACCACCTCTATTTAACATAGTTTTGGAAGTGCTGGCTAGGGCAATTAGGCAAGAGAAAGAAATAAAGCTTTCTCTTTCTTTCAAATAGGAAGAGAGGAAGTCAAATTATCTGTTTGCAGATAACATGATTGTATATTTAGAAAAACCCATTGTCTCAGCCCCAAAACTCCTTAAGCTGATAAGCAACTTTAGCAAAGTCTCAGGATACAAAATCAGTGTGCAAAAATCACAAGCTTTCTCCTACACCAGTAATAGATAAACAGAGAGCCAAATCATGAGCAAACTCCCATTCACGATTGCTACAAAGAAAACAGCATGTCTGGGAATACAACTTACAAGGGACGTGAAGGACCTCTTCCAGGAGAACTACAAACCACTGCTCAAGGCAATAAGAGAGTACACAAACAAATGGAAAAGCATTCCATGCTCATGGACAGAAAGAATCAATATCGTGAAAATGGCCATACTGCCCAAAGTAATTTATAGATTCAATGCTATTCCCATCAAGCTACCTTGACTTTCTTCACAGAATTAGAAAATGTTACTTTATATTTCATATGGAACCAAAAAAGAGCCTGTGTAACCAAAACAATCCTAAGCAAAAAAAAAAAAAAAAAAAAAAAAAAAAAAGCTGGAGGCATCACACTACCTGATTTCAAGCTATACTAGAAGGCTCCAGTAACCAAAACAGCATGGTGCTGGTACCAAAACAGATATATAGACCAATGGAACAGAACAGAGCCCTCAGAAATAACACCACACATCTACAACCATCTGATCTTTGACAAACCTGACAAAAACAAGCAATGTGGAAAGGATTTCCTATTTATTAAATGGTTCCGGGACAACTGGCTAGCCATATGCAGAAAACTGAAACTGGACCCCTTCCTTACACCTTATACAAAAATTAACTCAAGTGCATTAAGGGCTTAAACATAAGACCTAAAACCATAAAAACCCTAGAAGAAAACCTAGGCAATACCATTCAAGACGTAGGCATGGGTGAAGACTTCATGACTAAAACACCAAAAGCAATGGCAACAAAAGCCAAAATTGACCAATGGGATCTAATTAAACTAAAGAGCATCTGCACAGCAAAAGAAACTATCATCAGAGTGAACAGGCAACCTACAGAATGGGAGAACATTTTTGCCATCTATCCATCTGAAAAAGGGAACATATCCAGAATCTATAAGGAAATTAAACAAATTTACAAACAAACAAAAAACAACTCTATTAAAAAGTGGGTAAAGGATAGGAACAGACACTTTTCAAAAGAAGACATTTATGTGGCCAATAAACATATGAAAAAAAGCTTATCATCACTGGTTATTAGAGAAATGCAAATCAAAACCGCAATGTGATACCATCTCATGCCATTTAGAATGGTGATCATTAAAAAGTCAGGAAACAACAGATGCTGGAGAGGATATGGAGAAATAGGAATGCTTTTACACTGTTGGTGGGAGGGTAAATTACTTCAACCATGTGGAAGACAGTGTGGTGATTTCTCAAGGATCTAGAACTAGAAACACCATTTGGCCCAGCAACCCCATTACTGGGTAAATACACAAAGGATTATAAATCATTCTACTATAAAGACACATGCACCATATGTTTACTGCGGCACTATTCACAATAGCAAAGACTTGGAACCAACCCAAATGCCCATCAATGATAGACTGAATAAAGAAAATGTGGCACATATACACCATGGAGTACTATGCAGCCATAAAAAAGAATGATTTCATGTCCTTTCCAGGGACATAGATGAAGCTGGAAACCATCATTCTGAGAAGACTTACACAGAAATAGAAAACCAAACACCACAGGTTCTCACTCATAAGTGGGAGTTGAACAATGAGAACATATGGGCACAGGGAAGGGAACATCACACACCGGGACCTGTCATGTGGTGGACGGCAAGGGGAGGGATAGCATTAGGAGGAGAAATACCATATGTAGATGACGGGTTGATGGGTGCAGCAAACCAACCATGGCACATACATACCTATGTAACAAACCTGCATGTTCTGCATATGTATCCCAGAAGGTAAGTATAATTAAAAAAAAAAGAATCCATGATAGTAAACACACACACACACACACACACACACACAAATAAATAAATAAAATAGCACATGGAGGAGAGGCGATATGGTTCTGAAAAGGCCAATTTACAAAAATAATAATAAGAGCACTTGATGTTCACCAGCAGTTTTTAAATGGAGCTTATAATATATTCTTATAGGCATCGATATTGAGAGAGAAATAACAGCATTTCTTCACTGATGGTATTGAAAAATTTGCATTTCTTAGGTTGACCACCTGTGAGCTGTAATATTCTGGTTGGGATGTCAGGGTATGAGGGCAGCAGCCCATGACTGATAAGATGTGGGCTTCTGCTGGAACTTTGTAACGAGTTTGAAGTTGAAACAAATGTATGGTTAGGAAGTTAAGGAAATCGAACAATTCCTTTGACCCAGAATGGGATTAATGGAGGCAACTAAAGTATCCACTCCTTTTTCATTGCATAGCAGAGCTCTGCCCTTCCCTGAATAGCAGGTCTTCACACAGCAGGAATGCACAGTGTTTACCCCATAATATACAGAGCCCATGGTGAGAGACCAGCACAGCCTGATGTAGTCTTTTAAAATAGATTTTTAAAAAACAAACAAAAATTTCCAGATCTTATCATCAACATCCCCTTGGAAGAATCAAATAAAGATAAACACTATGAAACAATGTCAAAATAAGACATACAAGGCTGAGGCAGGAGAACGGCGTGAACCCGGGAGGTGGAGCTTGCAGTGAGCTGAGATCACGCCACTGCACTCCAGTCTGGGTGACAGAGCGAGACCCCATCTCAAAAAAAAAAAAAAAATGACATACAAATGGCCAACAGGTATATGAAAAAAAATGTTCAACATTACTAATCATCCATGAAATGCAATTTAAAATCACAATTAGAATGACTAATATCAAAAAGACAAAACATAACAAATATTGAAATTGTGGAGAAAAGGGAACTCTGGTATACCTTGTTGGTGGGAATATAAATTAGTATACTCATTATGAAAAACATTATGGAAGCTCCTCAAAAGCTTAAAAACAGACCTACCATATGATACAGCACTCCCACTTCTGGGTATATCACCAAAGGAGATGAAATCAATATGTTGAAGAAATGTCTGCACTCCCATGCTTACTATTGAGTTATTCATAATAGCCAAGACATGGAATCAATCTAAGTGTCTATTAACAGATGAGTGAATAAACAATATGAGTTATATATGCACAGTGGATTACAATGTAGCCTTAAAAATCAAGGAAATCCTGTTATTTGTGACAACATGGATGAACCTGGAGAACATTATGTTAAATGAAATAAGGCAGACACAGAAAGGCAAATAATATACGATCTCACTTATATGTGGATTCCAAAGAAATCTAACCCATAGAAGCAGAGAGGAGAATGGTAGATACAAATGGCTGTGGAAAAAGTGTGGAGATGTTTGTCAAAGGATACTAAATTTCAGTTAGACAGAAGGAATAAATTCAAGAGATGTAAGACATGATGATCATGGTCAATACAATTTAGTGGATACTTGAAAATCACTAAAAGTAAATATTATATGTTCTCACCACAAAATGAAATAAATATGTGAGGTAATGAGTATGTTAATTCGCTTAATTGAGCCATTCCACAATGTATACATATTTCAAAACATTATGTTTTACATCATAAAACTATATATAGTCTTATTCATCGATTTTTAAAAGATTCATTGATATCAAAAAGCCAAAACTGATTCTAGATATCTTAATCAAAAAGTCAACTTATTAGAAGGATATGGTGCAGCTCACACAAATAAGATAATCTGAAAAAAAAAAAATTAAAATCCAGGTACCCCTAAGATTCCAGGTAGCAATAAGAGATAAACCACTTGATCAGGAAGTTACTGCTGGGACAAATAATCTCTCACCAATTCTCTGTTCTTGAGTCCCTGTATGCTGAGAAGCAGGCAGCTGTGTGTTTAAAAGCATCTGCACACCCATCAGACAGACATGGATTTAAATTCCACTACCAGCACTTAAATACTGGCTCTCTGGTCTTGAGCTATTCATTTCAATTATAAAGTGGGGATAATAATGACATCTATTTTATTGGGTTGTTGTGTGACACAAAGGCTTACATTAATGTCAAATCCGTAGTACACACTCAAAATATTCAAGTATTATTAAGATTCTAAAGATAAAGCCCAAGGGGCCAAGCATGACACCTTGATTAATGAAACCATCAAAACTCTACTGAAGAAGGAGATATAATCTCTTGTAAGAATGTTAGAGTACATTAGCAGAAGCGTGGCTACTCAAAGCTAGAGAGGCAAGGAATGACAAATGTCCCCTAGAGTTGCCAATGCACAGAATTACAACTCCATTTGACTTTCTCACATATTTTTATCAGATGTGGGCTGCATAAGGCCAGTCATAAGCCATAAGGTCAGCCATAGCCTGTATAAGGTTATGAAACTGAGTTTCATAAAGGAGATATTGAAAATTAGGTTGATTTGATGGTAAAAGTAGGTTGATATTGAAAAAGTTATCCCAGCATTCACATCTACAAAAGGTATTGATTTTCACAAATCTGTTATGATGCATGTAAGAAAATCAAATGATGCTTAGAGAAAAGCACAAGAGAGTTTTTGCTAACTTATTTAAACTCTATTGTATCTATTAAAGATGAGGCCTCGTTCTTTATTGGTCTTTGTTCCCAGTCAACACAAGAAAAGCCAAAAAAGCACTCTGAGCCTAATTGCTTTGTTTGTAAACTTTACTTGTTCATTTCTGATGTCTTGAGTTTTTTGACAAGTTATTGAATGAAAAAAATAAATAGACAGTTGATTCTTCAGGGCTTATAAAATTTGATAAATGCTTATTTAACTTTTTGACAGTTGTGAGCAATAAATAAAGAAGCATCCTGAAGTCAAGTTTGTATAAAACTTGCCTTGTTTTTGCTTACACAAAATCCCCAGGAACCAGGAGTTGAAATATGTTTCTCATCTGACTTTTTTTCTTTTATCAGGGAGCGTATTCATTTGCACTTATAGTTTAGGGCTGTACTGGACACTTGAGATGCTACTTTGATTTATTTTAGTTTTCATTTCACAGTGGAAGGAAAAATGAGTCATTAAGAACTTGGCTTTGGACAAAATCTCCCATGATACAATGAATGACATGCTTTTCCAAAACAGACTTGAGAAAGAAAGTTTAGCAGGTTACACTTCAGTTGTACTATAGTCTTGGCAGTATACTTTTAAGACATTGTGGAGAAATGGATCTTTGAAGATAAGAAGTAAAGGGATAAGTTATTCTCATCCTCTTTTCCATTTTGTCTAAACCAAGAAAATGTGTGAATAGATATTATGCAATGCTCTAAGGGCTTGGCATGTATTATCTCATTTAATCACTTACTCGTTCATTTGACACATATTAAATGAGGCTATTCTCAGTGCCAGGTGATATTCTATGGGTTGGTGACCACTGTAAACAAAAATGACAAATATTCCTGCCATCATGAAACTTACTGAAGGTCACAGTAATAAGTAAGAGAAATAAGTAAAACAACATTTATTAAATAGTGATAAGAATTTAGGAGAAAAATCAAACAGACAAGGGGAATAGGAATTGTTGGGGGTGGGATTTTGGAGCTTTAGAAGAGTAGCCAAGGAAGGCTTCTTAGAGTTGTTCATCGGGCAAAAACTGAAAGAAGTGAGAACACCATAGGGATAATTTAGGGAAGAGTGTTAAAGGCAGGGGAAATGACCAATACTGGGACCTTGCAGCACCTGCAAGCCAAATGCATGGGAACAGCTAGGCAGCCAGTGTTCCTGGAGTGTGCAGTTGAGTAGAACAATAATGTGAGATGAAGTCAGAGGTGTAAGGTGGGTCAAGAGGGGAAGCTATGTTGGCCTTTGTAAGGTCATGATACAGCATTTAATTTTTACTATGAGTAAGACAAGACTCCACTGGAAAGTTTCCAAGAAAGAGTTGATGTAATTTGACTTATGCTTCATCAGGATCACTCTGGCTGGTATATTTAGAATAGACAGGGTGCTGCATCCTGAACTGGCATGGAGGTGACAACAGTGGTGAAGTGGATGAATTCTAAATATATTTTGACAGTAGATAAGACAGAATTTGCTGAATGACCAAAAGATTAATTTAAAAAATGGGTGCATCAGCATGTTTCCATTTTCTTCCTCAGAATGGAAATTCTTGCTTAACAATATCTCTCTATTCATCTATATACCAATCAATGAATCATCCATCACTATTTATCATATAGCTACTTATATTTATCTATCTTTCCGTATATCCATCTGAATATCTATCATCTATCTTTTGTGGATAAGGAAAAGTCAAAATATTATTATTGACATGTAGGCATAAATAAGCAATGCTAATTAGAAGGTACATTCGGGAGAGTGGAATGTCAAACATATAGCCTCAAAGATAGCTAGAAATAAAAACGAGTTAAATCAATACATTTGCGAGAAAAGGGAAGTTAATCTGACTTTACTAGGAAAGAGAGGAGACAAAGGAAACTGGTGGGACTATGAAATAGTTTGCTCTTGTTTGACACAAAAATAAAGAAAGCCAAGGATATAAAATAATCTAACCAACTAGAGTTAAAAATTTAAAGCTTCTGTCAAAACTACCTCTAGGATAATGCTATTATAATGAGAAAAACTGGCAACAAACAAAATAAAAAAAATATTTACAGGTAAAGGCATATGCCAGGTAAGGTCTAGAAAAGAGTTTAGGAGGAGATTGGGCTTTAGACAATAAGTGAATTTATAAGATTATGGTTCATATAAAAATGTATAAAGTGTTTAACTTACACTTTCATGCTAAAGAAAGCCTCTGAGTTACGCTGTGCTATTTTTTCTTTTAATGGATAATAGCTGAACCAGTGTAGGTAGAGTATCATGTATGTGCATATCCACATTATCCCAACTGCCTCTACTCTTTGCATTACTACTGGGAAAGAACCACAGACTGAGAAAATGACAACACTCATTGTCCCGGTGACTTCTGTAAATTCTGGTGGATTGAGACAACTCAGGCAGCCCATCCTTAAGTTTGCACATCCTAAAATTTCCATGATCTAAACAAAGGACTAGAACAGGGAGGCAACAGTGTCTATGAAGCAATCCATTTTAAATATTTCTACATGGACCAGAATTGAAGTATATCATTACAGATTGTACAGGATAATATATCAACACTTAATCAATGAACGAAACAATAATAATGGATCTCCACTACTATTGAAAGACAGACGGTACCTACAGTGTTCATAGTTTAAAGTGCATTCAAGTTTACATTCAATAAAATAAAATACATAAGGTTAAAATTTTTGTTCTGATAGACTAAGAAACTAATATACACTGCATACTTTATATATCCTTAAGTGAGCCAGAAAACTTATGTGACTATGGAGGCCAAGCAAATGATGGAAATAAGTGAACCTATTAATTGGGAGTGGTAAGAAGTGGAGAAGCATGTCTCATTGATAGATGCAATGACTGCGAGTTTTAGACAACTGTGTTCAAGTAGAAATGTAACCTAAAGATGTTAAGATATCCTGATTTTTTTCAAAGTTTTTAATGTTAGATCTTTTTTAAAAATCCTTATCAGAACAATCAAAAGATATTCATGGGATGCCAGTTTGACACACTTGTCCAGAATTTTCAACTTTACAAAAGTAATATAGGGCAATGGTTACAAACCCAAACTTTTAATACAGTCTGGTTCAAATTCCCTCTCTATTGCCTATTAACTGAATGATCCTGGGAAGTTACTAAAATTTCCTGATCCTCAATTAACTCAATTGTGAAAAAAATATAATGCCTAACTTTTGGAATTGTTGTAAAAATTGCAACAATATATTTAAAGTTCATAATGGTGATGATGACTGTTAGAACAAAAGTAACTCCAAAATTCTTTATGTCTTTGATTCCTAGAGTCCTATCACAATCACATTTTCACCATGTTAGGGTAAGGCTTTTAGTCTTTTCAAAAATAAATACTATTGAACATATATTCCATGAAAAAGATTATACAGTCTTTTCATATGCATTTCACATGCATGCTTTGACCCTCATAATCTTATAAGCAAGGCACTATCATTATAGTGCCACTTAACATGTTAGAAAACCAAGACAAGGCTTAGAATAAATCTTCTAACCTCAGCCTTAGAAATAAAGTGTCTACATATTTTAGTGTGTATCAAGGGTAAAGAAGAAGAAGACGGGTAAAGTTAGACAATTCATAAATGAAGAAAGGATAAAAGAGAAAGTGGTAGACAGTAGCTACCAGCATTAAGGAATTTCCTGAAATTGTTATAAAGCCTCCTGTTAAGCATAGTATTATGGACACAGTACAAATGAACTAGTTGTTTTCAATATTCAAATTAAAAGGTTTAGCTTCCTTTTAAGGCAATTTTAAAAAAAATTATAGTGGAAACTTAACTTTGGATCTATCATAAAACTCATGAGAATTTTTATCTATGAAGGAATCATTCTACAGCCAACTTATCCAGCAGAAATATTTGACAAACAAGGAAATACATACATGAAATAAATCCACAGATCAAGGCATCCTTATGAAAGTGGAGGACAGCAAAGAAACTCAAGAAGATGCAATCAGATGGAATATACTGTAAAATTGTGCACACTATTTGGTTGAACATAGTATGTTGGTGTATAGAGATCAGAGAGCTAAACTTGTGATGCTCTGAATTCCTTGAAGAATTCGGCAGGATTAGTTCTAGCTATGGGTATAAGTTAATTCACCAGAACAGTGAACAGACCTTGGAGGCAGTGACAGTCTCTGAAAAGATTTTGATAGATGCCTCAGCACTGGATGTGCAGTGCTGGTGGGTGCTCATATGCCTCAGAAACAGAAATGGACCAGAAATAGAGCTGCAAACAATACAGTCACATTCCTGAGAAGAATATTTATGAGGAGTGGAGAAAGAACTATACCTTTAAAAAGCTGACAGGACAGGCTAAGAAAAATGTTTGTGTTTTTCCTGTAACTACTGGAAAAGGAGGACACAGCACACTGGATTTTCCTTGTAGAAGCTAATTCCTATTCCAAGCGCAAGCCCCACATTGATGGGACTGAGGGAAAACCAAGGGGACTTCTTGTCTTCTGTCTTATTTTTGGCCTGCTAGGATACCTAAACCTGTATTAGTGTTATTATTAATATCTAATATTTAGCAAGAATTTTCAATGTGAAAAACACTGTTGTAAGGACATGATATCCTTCATTTCAAATTTTTACAGAAGCTCCATATGGTACACATGATTACCCTTAAGTTTAGGTGAGAAAATAGAGAGTCAGAAACATTGTGATCTACCCAGCACACCCAACCAACAAATAGGAGATCCTCAGAGGCAAATCCAGAGCCATCAGACTCCAAATCCCTGGTTATTTTTATTCCCTTTTGCTGCACTTACAACTTTCTTAAAATTTCTTTCAAAACTGTGACATTACCAGAAATAGCTTGTGTTATAGAAACACCATTGGGCTGGAAGGTAGATGGATTATGCATATTCCTTTATTTAGCTGTGGAATGTTGCATCTTGATTTCTTACTCTTCAAAAAGGGAGACTTAAATAATTTCTCAATTTATCCCACCTCTGAATTTTATGATTCTAGTTCTCTTCTATAGTATACAGAGTGAGTAGATGGTAGGAGATACCAAGATATGGAAACAAGAAGATACATTAATTTTAAAAAAAGCCTTTTTTATAACTAAATATTAAAAAGGGAAGTACTATTCTAGGCATGGGAAAACATTACATCTTTAAGATTCCATAAGTTTCCTGTGCAGTAAGTATATTGGCCCCATATTATCAATAAGAAAGCTGAGTCACAGAGAAGTTAACTTTCCCCAAGGTCATACTAGATAAAGCTGGGACTCAAGGCTTGGTCTGTCTCATTCTAAACTCCATCATCTTCAATACCAAATGATAACTTTCAGTGACTATGCTTAGAAAAAAACAAATCAGTGATGAAACTGTCTACCTGTTGTTTTATTCTGGCAAAAATACAAAATATGCGCTGATGAGCGTCCTTGATAATGGAAAAAAAGAATACATTGTTTTCAGAGCTTCAAGCACAAATCCAAATAAAGAGCAAACTCAGTATGTAATAATAATGCACAGCCCTTTCATCGATGATTTATAATTATTTTGATTTTGTTGATCCCATCTGGGGGGACCAGATAAGCAAAATGAAGACCAATCATTTGGAAATCAATAGTTTCGCAGCATGGTTAGTAAGTTGCTCTAAAATTAGTGCATAATCAACCAGAACACAATCAGTGTGATTGGTGAGGCAATGGCCAAAACTTGATTATGGCTTTTTTTTTCTGTGGCAAAATAAATGGAGAGTCAGGTCATAAATTCAATGTTGAAGGCTTTTCATAGCATCTAGTTGGATCAACTGCTTATTACTAATTATTCCTAAATGATTACCTACCTTAGCTCTCTGCAATCTCAAATTGTTCTTCAATGGTATTTAATAAATCTGATGACAGAGAATGTATTAACTCATGAAGCAGTTCCTTCTGTTTTTAGACAGATGATTCTGATGGATGTGGACACATCCTGGAATGGAACACAAAACTGTTTCTTTGCATCTACCTCTCACAAAGTCCATATGGAATCATTGACCTTTTTTTCTTCTTCAGAAATGATGTGCAATTTTTAGTAATTTTAAAAATTATCCTTGGAGCTGATAATTTCATAGATAAAATAATCTAAGAAATTGTAAAACATGCTGCTGTTTTATAACAGCACTTTACTCACTGCACTGTTCTGCATCCTCCCAGACTGTGAGACATTCAATGGCAGGGTCTATGTTTCATTGATTGAAGTATCCCAGTATTTAATAAAGTGCCTGCTATGTAATAAGCACAAATGTCTATTCCATTGAACTAAACTATACATTTTCAAAAATATCCATTTGAGTCCTGCTTTGTATAAAAAATGTCTGTTGGTAAATTTAATTTAACTCTAGTGCTATCGGTGTTTCACTTAAAGATATTTATATTATTTCTTTCATCTCCATTTGCTGTTTGTTGTTTCTTTCTTTTGAGGAATACTTTGGAATACATATTTATTTTGGAATATTTTGGCATATTTAGACTATTCTGGAAACCTCAGGTCATAAAGTTTTAGTTTCTTTTTATATGTCCTTTCTCTATATTTGTTCTTATTTATAGTCCCTTCTAAAATAAAAACTGTAGTTATGACTATCTTTTTCTGAAAAAGGAATTGCATTTACCCAAAAGTTTCCCTAAAGGGATTGTAATCATTGTCGTTGCTCTCCTAGAATCATTGTCTTTTCATCAAAAGCCTTCATAAAGTGATAAAATTACCATTAAAAATAACTGCATTAAAATGGAAAATAAAAATTCATACTCTCAAGGCAAGACAAGTAATGAGGAATTATCTATTTTGTTAAAGAATAATTTTATGTAATATAGATACAAAAAGAATTTTGATTGTAGTTTCTATTTTTTAAGGTAGATAATTAACTTTTTTAACCATATGATTTTTCTAATCAGTTTGCATGGGAAACTGTGTTATGCAAGTCCATTTGGAGTAACTACAACTTGATCTCTTATTGATGATTCAGAACCATGGACATAAATTTCTTTTTACCAATATTAAAGATTCTTATAAAAACCATGATAACATAATTTTTCTTTTAATTAGAACAGTTTTTACTCAATAAATTTTATTTTCATTTACTTATCAACCTTTTATTCAATACCTACAATGTGTCTGCCACTCTTCTAGATCTTGAAGATACTGAAAGGAAGAAATTTATCCGGAAAATACCCACAGATTTGTGGAGAAACAGCCATGGAAAGAAAAACATTACAACACAATATGACAGTCACCATAATATAGCTACTGTATTTATAAGATGGATGAGAGTATGAGGAAGATGCGCCTACCTTTGGACCAGAAAAGAAGGTCTTCATAGAAATAGGATTTGAGTTAAGAATGGAAATTAAGTAAACATAATAAATTATTTAGAGGTATAATAAAATGAAGTGTCTTTGAAGATCAATAAAATAATTTGGTAATATTGGGATGTAAGCTATGACAACGAGGGTGGAAAACTAGACAAAAGCTGATTCCACCTAAACATCTTTCAAATGAATACATATTTAATCCAATTCACAATAGCAAACAGCTGTAGAATATTGAGCAGAAATATAATATAATTAGAACTGAGTGCTCAATGCCACATTAATTTCAGAGGAGTAACAATTGCACCACTGACAATAAGTCAATCTAGCTCAGCTCCAGTGATTTGTGATGCTTCCTGTTTGTTTTTCTTGGTTCCATGTCTTATTTGTGGTAACCAGCACTAGATTGATGAAATGTCTTATCTAGAAGCAAACATGACTATCATTTTAGCTGTTACACAATATTGCATGTATTACTTCTTTTGACCTTCTGTGAGCACATACCACTTATATTGTCATGCAATATGATTCAAGTAGACTTTCTTGAGCCCCAGTTTTCAGCTAATGCTTGTGTATGGAACTGATGATGCCCACCTATCGAATATTCCAGACCAGAGTGCTGACATTGGAAGATAAATAGAAAGGTATTCAGACAACTAATTCTTATTTTTCCTGCCCAGAATCCTGATTACAGTTTGCTTTAAAGATGACTATCACCAATGCCTGGGAGGAGATATGTCAGATGTGAAGTACCACTAATAAATTAAGGCAATATAGTTCTTCACTTGTCAAAAGAACATGTAGATAAATTTGGGAATATCATGATATGTAGTTTTATCCATAACCATGAAGATTAAGTCCTAATTTCCAGTTAAGACCCAGAGATCATTTTCCAAATGTTCTGTTTCTCTGTGAGATCCTGCTAAGCCCTAATGGATTGGGTGCACTTGAAGTGAAGAGCACCTTAAATTATCGCCCAGAAAGTAGTTTTCCCTAAATGGAAACTTTTAATCATTTGAATTATTATTCTTTGTGTCATCTTGTCAACTTTTCATTGCTGATGATAGAATCTTGGACTTCACTATGCACACACTTAAAAATATATTTTAAGATTTATTACTAAATATTACATATGTAGTCATACCTCATTTTATTATGCTTTACTTTATTCATTTTGCAGGTGTTATGTTTTTAGAAATTAAATGTTTGTGGCAATCCTGCGCTGGGCAGGGCTATCAGCCCCATTCCTCCCACATGTGCTTACTTTGTGTTTCTGTGTCACATTTTGGTAATTCTTGCAATATATCCTTTTCAGCATGATTATATCTATTACGGTGACCTGTGATCAGTGATCATTGATGTTACTATTTCAATTGTTTGGGACAACATGAACCATACCCATATAAGATACACACTTAATAAATCAGTGTTCTATATGTTCTGACATCTCTACCAACCAGCCGTTCCTCCATCTCTCTCCCTCTCCTAGGGACTTCCTATTTCATGGACATGACAATATTGAAATTAGGCCAATTAATTCTACAATTGTTTCTAAGTGTTCAAGTGAAAGAGTCACACATCTCTCACTTTTAATCTTACACCACGTAGAAAAATTAATTCAAGATGGATTAATGGATTAAAGACTTAAATGTAAAAACTAAAACTATAAAAACCCTGGAAGATAACCTAGGAAGCACCATTCTTGACATAGAACTTGGCAAAGATTTCATGATGAAGATACCAAATGCAATTGCAACAAAAGCAGAAACTGACAAATGGAATATGGAATCTAATTAAACTAAAGAGCTTCTGCAAACAGCAAAACAAAACAAACAAACAAAAAAAACCAGAGTGAACAGACAACCTACAGAATGGGAGAAAATTTTGCAAACTATGCATCCAACAAAGATCGAATACCAGAGCCTATAAGGAACTTAAACACATTTATAAGCAAAAAACAAATAACCCCATTAAAAAGTGGGCAAAGGACATGAACAGACACTTTTCCAAAGAAGACATACATGCAGCCAACAAGCATATGAAAAAATGTTCTACATCACTTATAATTAAATGAATGCAAGTCAAAACCATAATGAGATTCCATCTCATATCACTCAGAATAGCTATTAGTAAAAAGTCAAAAAATAACAGATGCTGGCAAGGTTGTAAAGAAAAGCGAATGCTTATACACTGTTGATGGGAGTGGAAATTAGTTCAGCCGTTGTGGAAAGCAGTGTGGCAATTCCTCAAATAACTTAAAACAGAATTACTATTTGACCCAGCAGTCCCATTTGTGGCTATATACCCAAAATATTGGGTGTATACCCAAATATTGCTATATGTTTATCGCAGTAATATTCACAATAACAAAGACATAGAATCAACCTAAATGTCCATCAATGGTAGATTTGATAAAGAAAATATGGTGCTTATATGCCATCCAATACTATGCAGTCATAAAAGTATAATGAGACCATGTATTTTGCAGCGACATGGATAGAGCTGGAAGCCATTATCCTAAGCAAACTAACACAGAAACAGAAAAACACATACTGCATATTCTCACTTATAAGTGAGAACTAAACAATGAGAACACATGAATACTAGGAGAGGAACAACAGATACTGGGGCCTACTTGAGGTTGGAGTATACCTATTAGGTATTATGCTTCTTACCTAGGTGAGGAAATTATCTGTATGTCAAATCCCTGTGTCACACAGTTTATCTATATAACAAACTTGTACATGTACCCCTGAACCTAAAATAAAAGTTTTCTTAACTAATCAAAAGCTAGAAATGGTTAAGCTTAGTGAGGAAGGCATGTTGAAAATCAAGACAGGCCAAAAGCTGGGAATTTTGTGCTGAACAGCCAAGTTGTGAATGCAAAGGAAAAGTTCTTAAAGAAATTAAAAGTGCTACTCCAGTGAGCACAAAAGTAATAAAAAAGCAAAACAGACTTATTGCAGATATAGGGAAAGTTTTAGTGGTCTGGATGTAAGATCAAACCAGCCATGACATTCTCTTAAGACCAAGGCTAATCCAGAGCAAGGTCCTAACTGTCTGCAATTCTATGAAGGCTTATAGTTGAAGAAGCTGTAGAAAAAAAAGAGAAACTTGCAGGGGTTGGTTCATGAAGTTTAAGAAAAAAAAATGCCATCTCCATAACATAGAAGTGCAAGGTAAAAGAGCAAGAGCTGATGTGGAAGCTGCAGCAATGATCCAGCATATCCAGCTAAAATAATTGAAGATGGCTATGCTAAACAACATATTTTCAATGCAGATGAAAGAGCCCTCTACTAGAAAAAAAATAACATTTAAGACTTTCATAACTAGAGAGACGTCAGTGCCTGGACTCAAAGCTTCAAAAAACATGCTGACTTGTTCAGAGCTAATGCTGCTGGTGATCTTCAACTAAAGCCAATGCTCACTTACCATTCTGAAAATATTGGTGCCCTTAAGAATGATGCTAAGTCAACTCTGACTGTGCTCTATAAATGAAATAACAAACCCTGGATGACAGCACATCTAGATACAGTATGATTAACTAAATATTTAAAGTCCAATTTTGAGACATACTGCTGAGAAAAAAAGGTTTCTTTCAAAATATTACTGATCATTGACAATGCATCTAGTCACCAAAGAACTCTGATAGAAATAGAGGAGATTGGTGTTATTTTCATGCCTGCCAATGCAGCATTCATTCTGAAGCCCATGAATCAAGAAGTCATTTTGACTTTCAAGTCTTATTATTTAAGAAATTTAGTTTGTAAGTCTACAGCTGCTATAGATAATGATTTTTTGATGGATCTGGGCAAAATATGTACTTTGAAAACCTTCTGGAAAGGTTTCACTGTTCTAGATGCCATTAAAAATAATTATGATTCATGGGAGAAGTCAAAATTTCAACATTAGCAGGAGTGGGAAAGTTGATTACAGTTCTCAAGGATGACCTTGAAGGGTTTAAGACTTTAGTAGAGGAAGTCACTGAAGATGTGGTGGATATACCAAGAGAGCTAGAATAAGAAGTAGAGCCTGGAGATGTGACTGAATTGCTGCAATCTCATAACATTTGAATAGGTGAGGAGTTGCTTCTTATGAATGAGAAAAAAAGGTTGTTTTGCTTTTTTTTAGATAGAATATGCTCCTAGTGAAGATGCTGTGAACACTGTTGAAATGACAACAAAGAACATAGAGTATTACATAAACTGAGCAGATAAAATAGCAGTAGGATTGGAGACGTTTTACTCCAATTTTGAAAGAAGTTCTATTGTGGGTAAAATGCTATCAAACAGCATTACGTGCTACATATTAATCTTTCATGAAAGGAAAAGTCATCGATTTGGCAAACTTCATTTTTGTCTTGTTTTAAAAAATTGCTGCAGTCTCAGTAACCTTCAGCAACCACCATCCAGGTCAGTTAGCAGCCATCAACACTGAGGCAAGTCCCTCCACCACCAAAAAGATTACAACTCACTGAAAGCTCAGATGATCATTAGTATTTTCATCAATAAATCACTTTTTAATCAAGGCATGTACAATTTAAAATAAAATACTATTATAAACAATATAATACAGCATAACATAAACATGCACTGGGAGACCAAAATATTTGTGTGACTCACTTTCTTATGATATTTGCTTGAGTGCAGTGGTCTGTAACTAAATCTGCAATATCTTTGAGGTATGTTTGTATATACTTATTGTGCTGAGTAAATTATAATTTTTTTGCTGAATACCATATCTAGTCCTCTAAGATAAAGTGTATCATTCTAAAACTTCCTTTCTCGATAGACAGTTATATAGACAGATACAAAATATAAGATATTATCAACTAATGTAGATATATCATTTTTGCTTGTAGGTTTTTGCTTTAAATAAATAGAATCATCAAAATAGAGCAAACATATTACATTGCAACTTTTTTATTCATGTGACCATACCTTGACCAGTATTACAGTTTGGTAAATATAAAAGTAGCTATCAATTTCTCTCCCTTTTTTTCTATAAAACAGCTTTGTATACTTTTATATAATTTGAAATCATTCATAAGTTGTTTAACTGCTTTTTTCCCCAGTTACAAAAAATAATCCTCATCTTCTACTCTTTACTTTCCATCTCCCTCAGTTGTGCCCTCCTCCTCAAACTAATAATTTCTATAAATAGCTTGGGGTGCCTTCTATACTTATTTTCATGTTTATATAACAATATACAAAATTCATATTAACACACTCATACACATTAATAGTTAAGAAAAATTTGTTTGCTTCACTATATAAAGATAACCCTACTACATATACTTTCCTGTACCTTAGTCTTTTTGCCCTTAAAAATACATTGTGAAAATGTCTTTAAAACTATATAGTGTGCTAACTGGCATCAACAAAATGGCAGAATGGGAATTCTTAGTGCTTGACCCCTCACAGAACCATCAATCTGAACAACCATCCATTAATAAAAATCCCTGCATGGGACCTAAGGAATCCAGATGAGAGATTACAGCACCTGAGTGTAGGGTGAAAATAAGAAAGGATGACACACTGAAGAGAGTGGGAAGGATTGTTTCACACTACCCATATCACCCTCCCTCCATGTTGGGAAAGGAGATTGAAGTCATCATTCAACTATGCCACAGACCCCAGCACCAGGCCCATTCAGTGAATCCTGGTGTGAAGCTGGTTCCAGTGGCCCCAGGATTTGGGTCTTTCCCAGTACCAGGGCAGCCCTGCAACAGCACCAGTCTACTGCCCACAGCCCCAAGCTCCAGACTAGCTCCTATGGACCAAGATTCTGTGTTGTTCTCAGAAGACCCAGACTCCAGAGGTTCAACTGCAGACTCAGGCTTAAGACTTACCCCAGTGTCAGATAGGTCCTCACAGTCCCAGGCACCAGACATTCCCACAGGATCCAGGGACCAGGCCTGCCCTAGTGGACCATGATGTCTGCCCAAACCGTACAGACTGAGAACACAGCCCCCCATCCCCCACCGCCCCCAAAAGACTCAGGTTGAAGACCAGCTTCTGTGTACCCAGGCTTCAGCCTTGCCTCTATGAACATAGGCTCCAGGCCCCACCACATGTATCCAGGCAGTAGTCCTTTCCCTGTGGACCCAGGCATCAGAGCTGCACAGTCACTGACCCAGGCACAAGGCTAGCCCGCCTGAGAACTCCAGCAGCAAGCCCACCAGCATATCCCAATAGCTTGCCCATCCAGAACCTCTGGACAGGGTGACTGAGGAACAACTTGTCCTACTAAAGTCAGTATGTAAATATTGAAAAGGATGCCTAATTTTTTGAATACCCAGGCACCAGAGCAAGGATCACAAATCATCAGGGAAATATGACATCATCAAAGGAAAAAAAAATAAAGCACCAGTAACCAACCCTAAAGACATGGAGCTCTACAAATTGATGAATAAATCAAAGTAATCATCTTAGGTTAATTCAATGGGTTATAAGAGGAGAAAGACGAACAGTAAATAATATCAATAAAACAATACATGAACAAAATTAGAAGTTTAACAAAGAAATAGACAACATAAAGATGAACCAAACAAAAATTCCAGAACTGAGGAATATAATCACTGAGCTGAAAAATTCTTTAGAGAGCTTCAGGAGCAGACCTGTTAAAGCAGAAATAAAGAAAAACAGTGAAGACATATCAGTTGAAATTACCCAGGCCAGGATTGGCGGCTTGTACCTGTAATTTCAGCACTTTAGGAGGCCAGACTGGGAGGATCATTCAAGGCCAGGAGTTTAAGACTAGCCTGGGAAACATAACAAGACCCCATATATACAAAAATTAAAAAAAAAAAATTCACCAGGCATGGTAGTGCATGCCTGTAGTCCTAGCTACCCAGGGAGCTAACACAGGAGTAATAACACCCGAGCTCAGGGGTTTGAGATTATGGTAAGCTATGGTTGTGTCTTTGCAGTCCAGCCTGGATAACAGCGCAAGATTCTGTCTCCAAAACATGTTTTTTAAAGAAATTACCCAGTCAGAAAAATGTTAAGAAAAAATAATGAAAAGGAGTGAAGCAAGCCTATCAAACTTATAAGACACCATCAAGCACAGCAAAATCCACATTATGGGAATCTCGGAAAGAGAAGATAGAAAGTACTGAAAGCTTATTCAAAGAAATAAAGAAATACTCCTAAATCTGTAGAAAAAAATGAACATTCAAATCTATGAGACACAGAAACCCCAAATGGATTAAATACAGGGAGATGTTTATCAAGACACCTTATAATCAAACTCTCAAAAGTCGGAGAGAATTTTCAAGGCTGCAAGGGAAAAATAATTCTTTACATCCAAGGGAATCCCTTAAGATTATCAGCAGACTTCTTAGCAGAAACCTCGCAGGCAAGAAAATAGTGGGATTACATATTCAAATAGCTGAAAGAAGATGTCCTTCAGAAATGAAAGAGAAAAAAATATTTTCCCAGAAAAACAAAACCTGAGAGAGTTCATCATGGCTAGACATATAAGAAATACTAAAAAGCATTCTTGAAGATGAAACAAAAGGATTATAACCAACAACATGAAAACATGAAGATATAAAACTCATTGTAAATGTAAGGATCTAGTACAAATCAGAAGACTCTAATACAGTAAGAGTGGTACATAAATCAATTTAAGCCTAGCATTAAAAGTAACTATAGCTTCAATAATTTGTTAATGGATATATGATACAGAAAACATGTAAGTTGTAACATCAATAACATAAATGTGAGAAGAGGGAAAGTTAAAGTGTAGCATTTTTGTATATAATTTAAGTTCATTTGTTATCAACTTAAAAAATTGACTGTCAGAACTATAAGATGTTTTAAGTAAGCCTACTTGTAATAACAAATTTTTAAAAATGGTAGAACACAAAAGGCAAAGAGAAAGGAGTCAAAATATAAATATATATATTTAAGTATATAAAATAATATCACTACAAAACAAATTATCAAATCACAAAGGAAGACAGTAAGAGAGGAAGTTGGAACTACAAAATAGAAAACAATCAACAAAATGCTGATCATAAGTACTTACTGTTCGTATCAATAGTTGCTTTAAATATAAATGAATTAAAGTATCCAATCAAAAGACATAAAGTGACTGAAGATTTTTTAAAAAATCCAACTGTATGCTGCATTCAATAGACTCATTTTATCTTTAAGAACAACAGATTGAAAGTAAAGGAATAAAAAAACTTATGTCCTGCAATTGGTAATCAAAAGAGAGCATGATGGCTATACTTACATGAGACAAAATAGACTTTAAGTTAAAAACTTTCACAAGAGATAAAGAAAGTCATTATGTAATGAAAAAGACTTCAATTTATCAAGAAGATAATTATGTATGTAATTACATAACATACACAAACATATCCAAATCAGAGCACCTAAATAAATAAACTATAAGAAGAGCTGAATAAAGAAATAGACAGACAACCATACAACAACAGTAGGGAACTTCAATACCCCACTTTCAACAACGTATAGAACACTTATATTGAAAACCAAATAGGAAACATTGTACTTGAACTTTACTATATAGCAAATGAGTTTAACAATCATACAGAACATTCCATCCAACAGCAGCAGAGTACATATTCTTTTCAAGTGCACATGGATCACTCTCCAGGATAGATCATATGTTGGTCCACCAAACAAGTATGAACAAGTTTAAGATTGAAATCATGGCCGGGCACGGTGGCTCAGGCCTGTAATCCCAGCACTTTGGGAGGCTGAGGTGGGCGGATCAGGAGGTCAGGAGATCAAGACCATCCTGGCTAACACAGTGAAACCCCGTCTCTACTAAAAATACAAAAAAAATTAGCCAGGCATGGTGGCGGGCACCTGTTGTCCCAGCTACTCGGGAGGCTGAGGCAGGAGAATGGCATGAACCCGGGAGGCGGAGCTTGGAGTGAGCCGAGATCGTGCCACTGCACTCCAGCATGGCCGACAGAGTGAGACTCTGTCTCCAAAAAAAAATAAAGATTGAAATAATATAGAGTATTTTTTTCTGACCACAATAGTATGAAACTGGAAGTCAAAAACAGGAATAAAATTGGGAAATTCACTAAAATGTCAAAATTAAAAAGCATACTCCTGTGGGTTTGTCATAGATAGCTCTTATTATTTTCAGATACGTCCCATCAATACCTAATTTATTGAGAGTTTTTAGCATGAAGGTTGTTGAATTTTGTCAAAGGCCTTTTCTGCATCCATTGAGATAATCATGTAGTTTTTGTCTTTGGTTCTGTTTATATGCTGGATTACATTTATTGACTTGCGTATATTGAACCAGCCTTGCATCCCAGGGATGAAGCCCACTTGATCATGGTGGATAAGCTTTTTGATGTGCTGCTGGATTCGGTTTGCCAGTATTTTATTGAGGATTTTTGCATCAATGTTCATCAAGGATATTGGTCTAAAATTCTCTTTTTTTTGTTGTGTCTCTGCCCGGCTTTGGTATCAGGATGATGCTGGCTTCATAAAATGAGTTAGGGAGGATTCCCTCTTTTTCTATTGATTGGAATAGTTTCAGAAGGAATGGTACCAATTCCTCCTTGAACCTCTGGTAGAATTCGGCTGTGAATCCATCTGGTCCTGGACTCTTTTTGGTTGGTAAGCTATTGATTATTGCCACAATTTCAGATCCTGTTATTGGTCTATTCAGAGATTCAACTTCTTCCTGGTTTAGTCTTGGGAGAGCGTATGTGTCGAGGAATTTGTCCATTTCCTCTAGATTGTCTAGCTTATTTGTGTAGAGGTGTTTGTAGTATTATCTGATGGTAGTTTGTATTTCTGTGGGATCGGTGGTGATATCCCCTTTATCATTTTTTATTGCGTCTATTTGATTCTTCTCTCTTTTTTTCTTTATTAGTCTTGCTAGCAATCTATCAATTTTGTTGATCCTTTCAAAAAACCAGCTCCTGGATTCATTAATTTCTTGAAGGGTTTTTTTTTTTTTTTGTCTCTATTTCCTTCAGTTTTGCTCTGATTGTAGTTATTTCTTGCCTTCTGCTAGCTTTTGAATGTGTTTGCTCTTGCTTTTCTAGTTCTTTTAATTGTGATGCTAGGGTGTCAATTTTGGATCTTTCCTGCTTTCTCTTGTGGGCATTTAGTGCTATAAATTTCCCTCTACACACTGCTTTGAATGTGTCTCAGAGATTCTGGTATGTCGTGTCTTTGTTCTCATTGGTTTCAAAGAACATCTTTATTTCTGTCTTTATTTCCTTATGTACCCAGTAGCCATTCAGGAGCAGGTTGTTCAGTTTCCATGTAGTTGAGCGGTTTTGAGTGAGATTCTTAATCCTGAGTTCTAGTTTGATTTCACTATGGTCTGAGAGACAGTTTGTTATAATTTCTGTTCTTTTACATTTGCTGAGGAGAGCTTTACTTCCAAGTATGTGGTCAATTTTGGAATAGGTGTGGTGTGGTGCTGAAAAAAATGTATATTCTCTTGATTTGGGGTGGAGAGTTCTGTAGATGTCTATTAGGTCCACTTGGTGCAGAGCTGAGTTCAATTCCTGGGTATCCTTGTTAACTTTCTGTCTCATTGATCTGTCTAATGTTGACAGTGGGGTGTTAAAGTCTCCCATTATTATTGTGTGAATGGGCAAAAACTGGAAGCATTCCCTTTGAAAACTGGCACAAGACAGGGATGCCCTCTCTCACCACTCCTATTCAACATAGTGTTGGAAGTTCTGGCCAGGGCAATTAGGCAGGAGAAGGAAATAAAGGGTATTCAATTAGGAAAAGAGGAAGTCAAATTGTCCCTGTTTGCAGAAGACATGATTGTATATCTAGAAAACCCCATTGTCTCAGCCCAAAATCTCCTTAAGCTGATAAGCAACTTCAGCAAAGTCTCAGGATACAAAATCAATGTACAAAAATCACAAGCATTCTTAAACACCAATAACAGACAAACAGAGAGCCAAATCATGAGTAAACTCCCATTCACAATTGCTTCAAAGAGAATAAAATACCTAGGAATCCAACTTACAAGGGACATGAATGACCTCTTCAAGGAGAACTACAAACCACTGCTCAATGAAATAGAAGAGGATACAAACAAATGGAAGAACATTCCATGTTCATGGGTAGGAAGAATCAATATTGTGAAAATGGCCATACTGCCCAAGGTAATTTATAGATTCAATGCCATCGCCATCAAGCTACCAATGACTTAGAATTGGAAAAAAACTACTTTAAAGTTCATATGGAACTTTAAAAAAGAGCCCGCATCACAAAGTCAATCTTAAGCCAAAAGAACAAAGCTGCAGGCATCACGCTACCTGACTTCAAACTATACTACAAGGCTACAGTAACCAAAACAGCATGGTACTGGTACCAAAACAGAGATATAGATCAATGGAACAGAACAGAGCCCTCAGAAATAACGCCGCATATCTACAACTATCTCATCTTTGACAAACGTGAGAAAAACAAGCAATGGGGAAAGGATTCCCTATTTAATAAATGGTGCTGGGAAAACTGGCTAGCCATATGTAGAAAGCTGAAACTGGATCCCTTCCTTATACCTTATACAAAAATTAATTCAAGATGGATTAAAGACTTAAACGTTAGACCTAAAACCATAAAAACCCCAGAAGAAAACCTAGGCATTACCATTCAGGACATAGGCATGGGCCAGGACTTCATGTCTAAAACACCAAAAGCAATGGCAATAAAAGCCAAAATTGACAAACGGGAACTAATTAAACTAAAGAGCTTCTGCACAGCAAAAGAAACTACCATCAGAGTGAACAGGCAACCTACAAAATGGGAGAAAATTTTCGCAACCTACTCATCTGACAAAGGGCTAATATCCAGAATCTACAATGAACTCAAACAAATTTACAAGAAAAAAACAAACCCATCAAAAAGTGGGCAAAGGATATGAACAGGCACTTCTCAAAAGAAGACATTTATGCAGCCAAAAGACACATGAAAAAATGCTCCTCATCACTGGCCATCAGAGAAATGCAAATCAAAACCACAATGAGATACCATCTCACACCAGTTAGAATGGCAATCATTAAAAAGTCAGGAAACAACAGGTGCTGGAGAGGATGTGGAGAAATAGGAACACTTTTACACTGTTGGTGGGACTGTAAACTAGTTCAACCATTGTGGAAGTCAGTGTGGCGATTCCTCAGAGATCTAGAACTAGAAACATCATTTGACCCAGCGATCCCATTACTGGGTATATACCCAAAGGACTATAAGTGTTGCTGCTATAAAGACACATGCACACGTATGTTTATTGCGGCATTATTCACAATAGCAAAGACTTGGAACCAACCCAAATGTCCAACAATGATAGACTGGATTAAGAAATTGTGGCACATATATACCATGGAATACTATGCAGCCATAAAAAATAATGAGTTCATGTCCTTTGTAGGGACATGGATGAAATTGGAAATCATCATTCTCAGTAAGCTATCGCAAGGACAAAAAACCAAACACCGCATGTTCTCACTCGTAGGTGGGAATAGAACAATGAGAACACATGGACACAGGAAGGGGAACATCACACTCTGGGGACTGTTGTGGGGTGGGGGAGGGGGGAGGGATAGCATTAAGAGATATACGTAATGCTAAATGACGAGTTAATGGGTGCAGCACACCAGCATGGCACATCTGTATATATGTAACTAACCGGCACACTGTGCACATGTACCCTAAAACTTAAAGTTAATAATAATAATAAAAAAGCATACTCCTGAACAACCAATGGGTCAAGGAAGAAGTCAAATTAAAGGAAACAAAAATCTTAAGACAAATGAACATGAAAACACATCATACCAGAGCTTATAGAGCAAGATTCCTAGAGGGAGGTTGTAGTGATAAATGCCTACATTAAGAAAAACCATCTCAAAGAGATGACTTATCTTTATCCCAAGGAATTAGAAAAAGAACAAAGCCCAAAATTAGCAAAAGAAGGAAAATAATGAAGATTAGAGCAGAAATAAATGATATAGAAAATAGTGTAAAATAACTATGAAACTGAGTTGGTTTTTGAAAAGATATGCAAAACTGCCAAACCTTTAGAGTATTTAAGAAAAAGACACAGAAGCCTAAAATAAATAAAGTTACAAATTAAAAAGAGACATTGCAAGTGATAGCACAGAAATGAAAGGGATCATAAAAAAGTGCAATGAGCAATTATACACCAACAAATTGGATAACTCGAAAGACATGGATAAATTCCTAGGAACATATAATCTACCAAGTCTGAATCATGAGGAAATGGAAAATCTGAACAGACCAATAATGAGGGAAAAGATGGAATAGTAAACAAAAATCTTCCAACAAAGAAACGCTGAGGACAAGATGACTTCACAAGTGAATTCTACGATCTTTCTCAAATTCTTCTAAAAAGTTAAAAAGAAGGGAACACTACAAAAGTCACTTTATGAGGTCAGCATTACTCTAATACCAAAGCCAAACAAGGACATTATAAGAAAAGCAAATTAAAGGTAATATCCCTGATGAATACAGATGCAGAAATCATCAACAAAGTGCTATCAAATCAAACTCAATAGCACATCAAAATGATAACACTCATAATCAAATTGTACGTATCTCTGGAATACAATGACTTTTCAACATGGACAAGTCAATGAATGTGATAGACTACATTAACAGGGTAAAGGAAAAAGCTATATGATCATCTCAACAGATGCAGAAAAACATTTGACAAATTCAACATCCTTTCATGACAAAAACTCTCAACAAATTGGAGAAGAAGTGTATCTCAACATAATAAAGGGCATGTATGATAGCCCCACAGTTCACATACTTAATCATAAATAGCTGAAACATTTTACTGTAAGATTAGGAGTAAGAAAAGGATGCCTGCTCTTGTCATGTCTATTCAGCATAGTATTAGAAGTCCTAGCAAGAATAATTAGGCAATAAAAAGAAATAAAAGTTACCTGAGTCAGAGAAGAAATAAAATAGTCTCTGTATGCAGATGATGTGATTTTATATGTAGAGAAAACACTTAAGATGCAACTAAAATTTGTTAGAATAAATGAATTCAGTAAAGTTGCAGGATACAAAATTAGCATATGAAAACAATTTCCCTTATAAATACTAACAGTGAACTATCTAAAAAAGAAATTAAGAAAACAATCTGTTGTAGCTTCAAAAAAAAAAAATACTTAGAAATAAGGAGGTAGGCCAGGCGTGGTGGCTCACGCCTGTAATCCCAGCACTTTGGGAGGCTGAGGTTGGTGGATCACGAGGCCAGGAGTTCAAGACCAGCTTGGCCAACATAGTGAATCCCCATCTCTACTAAAACTACAAAAAAATTAGCCAGGCATGGTGGTGCATGCTTTTAGTCCCAGCTACTCGGAAGGCTTAGGCAGGAGAATCACTTGAATCCACCAGGAAGGTGGAGGCTGCAGTGAGCCGAGATCACTCCACTGCATTCCAGCTTGTGCAACAGAGTGAGAATTCGTCTCACAAAAAAAAAAAAAAGAAGAAGAAGAAGAAATGAGGAGGTAAAAAATTATTATATTGAAAACTATAAAACTTTGATGAAAGGAATTAAAGAAGAGAAACAAATGGTAAGATGTCCTGTGTCCATGGATTGGAAGAAATAATACTGCAAAAATATCCATACTACTATCTAAATGAATCTACACATATAATAGACTTCCTATTTTAATTCCAATGGCATTTTTCACAAGAATAGAAAAAAATCCTGAAATTAATATGAAGCCACAAAAGACCCATAATAGCCAAATAAATCTTGACCAAAAGAACAATGCTAGAGGCATTACACTACCTGAATTCAAAACACATTTCCAATCTGTAGAACTCAAAGAATATGATATTGGCATAAAAATAGACATATAGGACAATGGGACAAAATTGCCCAGAAATAAAACCACTTATATTTGGCAAACGTTCCAGGAACATACAATGAGGAAAGGATTATCTCTTCAATAAATGATGCTGAGGAAACTGGATATCTACATGTAAAAGAAAGGAACTGGACAATAATCTCATACCATACACAAAAAAAATCAACCCAAAATGGATTGAAGAGTTAAACGTAAGACCTAAAACTACTAGAAGAAAACACAGAGAATAAATTGTTGACTTTGATTTGGGCAATGATTTGTTAAAATATTACACCAAAAGCACAGGCAACAATAGCAAAAATAAGCAATGGGATTGTATCAACCTGTAAAGCTGTTGTACAGCAAAGGAAACAATCAACAGATTGAAAAGACAAGCTATGAAATGGGAGAAAATATTTTCAAACCATGTATCTAGTAAAGAGTTAAAATCCAAAATATGTAGGCAACCCACACAACTCAATAACTAGAAAATAAGCAACCCAATTAAAAATGGGTAAAGAACCTCAACAGGCATTTCTCAAAAGAAGAAATACATTTTCCAATAGGTATTTTAAAAAATGCTCAACATCACTAATTATGCTGGAAATACAAATCAAAATCACAATGAGGTGTCATCTTATACTTGCTAGGATGGCTATTATCAAAGTTATTAAGGATAAATATTTATAAGAAGAAAAGGAAATCCTTGTACACTGCTGTTAGGAATGTAAATTAATACAGCCATTATAGAAAACAGTTTATAGTTTCCTCAGAAAATTAAAAATAGAAGTTTCATATGCTCTAACTATCCCACTTCTTGGTATATATCTAAAGGAAATTAAATCAGTATATCAAAGAGACATCTGCATTCCCATGTTCATTGCAGCATTTTTCACAATTATCAAGATAGGAAAATAACCCACATGCCCATTGAAGGGTAACTAGATCAAGAAAATTCAAACTTTAAAACATGAAAATTCTGTCATTTGTGACAACATAGATAAATGTAGAAGACATTATACTAAGTGAACTAAGCCAGGCACAGAAAGACAAACACTATATATGGAATATAAAAATGTCAAAATCATAGAGGCAGAGAGAAGAATGGTAGATGCCAGTAGCTGAGGGATAATGGAAATGGAGAGATGTTAGTCAAATGTAATAAGTTTCAGTTATGCAGGATAAAAAAGTTCTAGAAATCTAATATACAGCATGGTGGCTAAAGTTAATAATACCATATTACACACTTGGAATTTATTAAGTGATTAGATCTTAAATATTAACACACACATGATAACTATGTGAGATGATAGATGTGTTTATCAGCTTGATTTTAGTAATCAGTTCACTATGTATACATATACCAAATATCATGTTATATACATTAAATATTTAATATTTTATTTGTCAATTAGCACAATCAGTAATGGTAAAGGTTATACTAAAACTGATACCACAGATATGCAAAATATCACCAGAGACTACTATAAGCATCTCTATGCAAACAAACTAGAAAACGTTAAAAAAGGATAAATTTCTGAAAACATACAACTTCCAAAGATTGAGCCAGGAAGAAACAGAAATCCTGAACAGACCAATAATGAGTACTAAAATTGAATCAGTAATTAAAAGTATCCCAAGAAAAAGTCCAAGGCAAGATGAATTCACAGCTGAATTTTACCACATATACAAAGATGAGCTGGTACCAGTCTTATTGAAACTATTCCCAAAAAATCAAGGAAGGGTATTTCTCTCTAACTCATTACACAAAATCATGATACCAAAATCAGGCAATGAAACAAACAAACAAAAAAAAAAAACAAAGCTACTGGTCAATATTCCTAATGAAAATAGAGGCAAAAAAATTCTACAAAATACTAGTAAACTGAATCCAACAGTATATCAAAAAGATTTTGCATCACAATCAAGGGGACTTTATTCCAGGAATACAAAGATGGTTCAATATGCCAAATAAATATATTTGATTTATCACAGAAACAGAATTACAAGCAAAAGTCATATGATTATCCCAATAGATAAAGAAAAACATTTGATAATATCCAACCTTCCTTCATGATAAAAGTCCTTTCAAGCTAAGTGTTGAAGGAGCATACCTAAAAATAATAAAACCCATATAAAACAAACCCACAGCCAACGTCACACAGAATGGGGAAAAGTTGAAAGCATTCTCCCTAAGAACACGAACAAAAGAAGGATGCCTACTCTCACTACTCCTATTCAACATAGTACTGGAAGTCCTAGCAAGAGCAGTCAGGCAAGAGAAATAAAGGGCATCTAAATTGGAAGAAAAGAAGTCAAACCATCTCTGTTCACTGACAACATGATCTTATACCTAGAAAACCCTAAGGAATCCTCCAAAAGACTCCTAGACATGATTAACACTTTCGGTAAAATTTCAGGGTACAAAATCAGTGTTCATAGTACAGTAGATTTCTATACATCAACAATGTTCGAATTGAGGACCAAATCAAGAACTCAATCCCATTTATAATAGTCACCAAGAAAACACCAAAATATAGGAATACATTTAAGCAAGAAGGTGAAAGCTCTCCACAACGAAAACTACAAATCACTGCTGAAATAAATAATAGGTGACACAAATGAAAAATAACCCATGCTCATGGATTGAAAGAATCATTATTGTTTAAATGACCATACTGCCAAAAGCAACTTACAGATTCAACACAATTCATTTCAAACTGCCAATGTCATTTTTCACCGAACTAAAAAAAAATCTTAAATTCATACAGAACCCAAAAAAGCACAAATAGCCAAAGCAATTATAAGCAAAAAGAATAAAGCCAGAAACCTTACTTACTTGACTTCATGCCTTCAAATTATACTACAAGGCTATAGTAACCAAAACAGCACTGTATTGGTATAAAACTAGACAGATAGATCAAGGGAACAGAACAGATAACCAAGAAATAAAGTCACATATCTACAGTAAACTAATCTTATCAAACTCAATGAAAACAAACAATAGGTAAAGGATTCCTTATTCAACAAATAGTCCTGGGTGAATTGGCTAGCCATATGTGGAAGAATGAAACTGGACCCCTATCTCTCATCATAATAAAACTTAACCCAAGATGGAATAAAGACTTACATGTATGACCTGAAACTATAAAATCCTGAAATAAAACTAGGAAAAACTTCTGAACATTGCTCTAGGCAAAGAATTTATGACCAAAACCTCAAGAGGAAATATAGCAAAACAAAATAAACAAATGGGACTTAATTAAACTAAAAAGCTTCCGCACATGAAAGAAACTAGCAACAGAGTAAACAGAGAAACTACAGAATGGGAGAAAATACTGCAAACTGCTTCATCCACGTCCCTGCAAAGGACATGAACTCATTCTTTTTTATGGCTGCTTAGTATTCCATAGTGTGTATGTGGCACATTTCTTTTCTTTTTATTTTTTTTACAAAGGTGTTAGAAAAAGAAAGAAAATACAGCAAACTGTGCATCCGGCAAAGAACTAATATCCAGGATATGCAAGTAATTCCAACAACTTAACAAGAAAACAACAAATAACCCAATTTAAATAGTGGACAAAAGAACAGACATTTCTCAAAAGAACACATACAAGCAGCCAGAAAACATATTAAAATAATGCTCAATACCACTAATCATCAACAAAGTGCAAATTAAAACCACAATGAGATACCATCTTACACCAGTCATAACAGCTATAATTAAAAATAAAAAAATAACAGATATATTTAGTAAGGATGCAGGGAAAAGGAATACTTATACATTGTTGGTGGGAACGTAAATTACTACAGCCTCTATGGAAAACAGTATGGAGATTTCTCAAAGAACTAAAACTAAAACTACCATTTGACTCAACAACCCCACTACTGGGTATCTACCCAAAGGAGCAGAAATCATTATATCCCAAAGGCAGCCACACTCATATGTTTATGACAGCACTGTTCCCAATAGCAAAGTCATGTCCAACAACTGATGATTGGATAAAGAAATTGTTATATATACGCTATGAAATCCTATGCAGCCATAAAAATAATGAAATCATGTCTTTTGCTACAACATGGATGGAGCTAGATGCAATTATCCTAAGTGAAATAACTCAGAAACACACACACTGGGGAGTTTGTGGGGGGAGTCTGTGAGGAGGGTGAGGGTTGAAAAATTACCTATTGGGTACAGGCTTCGTTATTTGTGAGATGGGTACACCGTAAGCCCAAACCTGACCATTATGCAATATATTAATGTAACTAACCTGAACATGTATCCTCCTGAATCTACAATTTAAAAAAAGGAGAGGTACTTTACTAAGTTTTTCTTAGATTTTCTATAATTTTTATTATTTTATTTTTATATGCAAGTATTGAGTACATCTGGAATTTTTATAGTATTAAGTAAAGATTTCACATTTTTTATTCAAGATATCTAACCAATTATACCAGAAATATTTGTTAAAATATCATTTTTCCATCATATTGATCTTTTAATTTTGACATATTAAATTGTCATAAATACTGAGCTGTGTTCCTGGATTCTCTATTCTCTTCCATTGAGCAGTTTATCTGGCCATAGAATCTTTACTTGATTACATTAACTATACATAATTACATGACTTTAAAATTTGGTGAGTTATGTACCTCTTTACTATTTATCCTTACCAGACATTTGCTGACAATTTCCAGATATGTATTATTCTATACAGATTTTAATGTAATTTTATGTAATTCCTAACAGGAAAGTAGCACATTTGCCATTGTAAAAAATGCTGCAAAAAGTATTTCCAATAAAATACATTTTATTAACTGCCCTTTTCAGAACTATTGATGTAATCATAGACCTGGATTTTTCTATGAATTTGTTAATGTAAAATTTTGTGTTGACTTTTTGGTTCATATTGAACAAACCTTACATTTCTAGGACAAACAGTTTGTTATAATGAAGTACATTTCTGTGACAGTGTCAGATTCTATTGGTTAATATATCAAAGTAGGCATCTCCATAAAAAATATAAACATTATCATATTTTGGCATTAAATTATGATTTTATAAAACTGTTTAAGGTGATTTAAAAATTTTTAACAGGCAAATAGTTTATTTGACATTAGAATCATCTGCTCTTCATTAGACAAATATAACTTGGCTAATGGTCCTGACTAAAATGGCAGGTTTAAATACCTTTTCAACATCTTTGATAACTGGTCTCAAGTTTTTCCAGTTTTCTTTCTTGGTTTAACTTGGGTAATGTATATTCTGCTAAGAAATCATCAATTTTTTTTCTGGCTTTTCAAATTTATTGCCATAAAGTTTCAGGAAGTTTTATATATATATAAATTATATATAAATAAAATTATATATATATAATTTTATACGCATATAAAATTGGTTATATATAATATATATATAATATATATATTATATATATAATATATATTATATATATATAATATATATAACCATTTCTGAAGGAAAAAAGAATATTCTGATTGATAGCATTTTACCAATTTCAGTGGTATAAATTCTTCCTTCATTGCTAATTTCAAGATATCAGTATGATGTTAAGCAATGTGGAAATGCGAAGAGATATGTACAGTTGGCTCTCACAAGCATGGACAAGTATTTTTCCAGAACGGTACTGAGTATCAGTATTTTCTTGAAGTAATGTATTATCTTTGTTTGCTTATTTGCTTATTTGTTTAAGAGAACCAGACTTTTGGTAAACTTATTTCTATTACAATATTTTGTGTGTGTGTGTGTATTGCTAACTCCTTATTTTCAGTTTTATCTTTTTCAATTCACACTTTCTATCTATTCTCATGTATTTTCTTGTTTGTTTTCTAATTTTTAAAATGAGGACTTTCTCATTTTTAAATCATTTTTTTCTTTAGTAATGAGGCATTTGAAACTATTAATTAACTTCAAAATACAAGCTTTGCCCTGTGTTATAGGTTGTGGCGAGGTGTGTTCTTTTCAGAGCTTTCTAAAAGTTCAATTTAGAATTGATTTTCTTTTTTTTTTGATTCGATAATTACTAGCAAGTATTTAAGGGTTTTTTGAGGTGAGCAGATCATTTTAAAGAATAGTTTATTTTATTTTCATTGGTTAACAATACGGAGACTATGCCTGAGTGATCTCTTTCTCTCTGTGTCTGTCTCTCTCTCTCTCAATTGGTAACCTCCCTCCCTCTCAGGATAGTATGACTTTAGGTCTTCAGTCCCCGAAATTCACCCACTTTTTTTTTTCAGTTTATCAAGTGCTTCCTGATCCTTTCTGCTTTAAACTTTCACATGTGATAGTTCATCTCCTTTGGCACTTCTCTCTGTTTCAGCAACTCAACTTCCACTGTCATTAAATTCATTTTCTAATTCAGCTATCTGCATCCTCTTTCAGTTCCAGTTCAAGTATCAATTCTTAAGGGAAGCTTTCCCAGAGACTCCCAAATAGGGTAGAGCACCTGTTATGTACTCTCATAACCCTCTGTCCTTCTCCTTCTTTATTATAATTATAAACAGTAACTCTCTAATTAGTTTCACGGCAATATGTATGGATGGAGAAATTAACTATGTGTTATTTTAGAGTCTTCCAGTTTATCATGAATGGATGACAGGTATTGTTTCCTTTCTTTCCCAGTAGAGTAGGCAGGGACTCCTTGGTATTTTTTTGGGTTCAGATCACAGCTTTCTTGAAAATCTGTAAATGACAGTGGGATGAGCTCCAGAGATTGACTCATAGTGTTTAATGTCTTTAATAAAAGAAATATCTTATTAGTTTCTAAACCTGGGAGCCCTGAAAAAATATAGCTGGAATTTCTCTTATGCAACATTCAGAATTTCTGCATTACTGAAGTACATGGAATAAATGCATATGGAAGGGTATTTTGTTCTCATTCAGTTTTTCCTGATGAAGTAAAGAGAAGGCAAGTGAATGAAATAAGCAAATTCATCATTCATTATTGTATTCAGCAAATCATGGTTATAACAAAGATTCTGATGTAGGTGCTTCAATAAATATATAAATAAAGTTGAACTAATGGTCCAATAGAAGAAATATGAGAAATCGTGAGGAGTTTTTGGGAGGAGACAGGTAGAGTAGAGATCAGTAGCAATGAAAAAATACATATTTCGGAGTCAGATAAACTTTTTCCCCCACATCTTGGCTATACCTATGTGACTAAGCCAAACCTTCTAAGCTTCATTTTCTTCTGCAGAATGAATTTAATAATATAACTTACTTGCGGATTTATGCATTTTCTAACTCAGCTACTGCATTCCCTTTCAGTTCTAGTTCAATATCATTTCCTAAGGGATCCAATGATATGAATGCAAAGCTCTTTGTATAGCACCAGGCATACAGTAAGCACTAAATATTGTCGCTGGTTATTATTTCTTCTGAGTCTCATTTCTATGAAAACTCAAAGATTTTCTACAAACAGCCTCACACCACCTATTAACTACTATTTCAGTTTTCACTAACAGGAAATCACAGAGCTGTGTTGAAAGGATATGTTGGATGATATTCAGGCTATTGCAGTAGCTAAGTCACTCATCTTTAAACCAGCCCAAAATATATATGATTTAAATTCATATAACAACCTGACAAATGATATGAATTATAGACTCTTCAGGGTCACTTAAGAAGAGTTGAAACTGGAAATTTTAAATTCACAAGATGCCAAGAATCTTCTTGTGTACAATTACATATATCTCAAGAAAGCAAGTGATAAATGCCAGTCAAGAGGACTGATAAGGTGGCACAGGAGGCTAGAAGAGTGAAAGACTGCATTTTAAGGAGGAATTCAAGGCTGTCACTAGAGTGTCCTCACAAAGCATTTATTTACCTGTTATCATTTGATACCTGAACTCAGTTATAATGCAACTATTCTGAGTTTCAGAACTGTATGAAATGGAAACTGGACATGTATAAGGGGTGGTTGTCTGGTAGTTTCTTGTGTCACAAGAGAAAATTGGAACCTTCTCTCAGTAGCTCATTTGAATAGCACACAGTCACCACTGATTATTGGCAGAACAATGATTGGTGTGGCCATATTCTCAGTATTTTCAGACTGTAGTACTCCAGACTTTTGTATTAAACAAACTAGTACAACTAAAATAAATAAACTAAAAGGTGTCTCACAAAGAGTATTATCAACATTTTTATTTTATCACATAAATGTGTAATTTTTTGAAGCTGCAATTACTGTTGCTGTTACTTTTTAAATAATATTTTGAAGGCAAAACAGGAAGAACAAAATTCATGTAAATAAAATTAAGTTGTTCTTTCCTATGTCCTTAAATACATTTCATGTATGTCACCATATGGATCTTCAGAATATTTACAGTGTATGTCTAGAATAATCTGATTTAAAGTATAGTCTGATGGTCACACTTGAAAGTCATGTTGGAAAACCTAGATGGCACCCAAAAGCAATAGATATCCTTCTGCCAGAACAGCTAAAACTGAGCCTCAGAGAGACACCCTCGTAATGGCTGACAGGAAGATACAGGCAACACATATTGAGATTGTCACATGTCTCTGTTCCAAACAAAGGAAACTGGTGACTTCAAACATGATCTCTAGATTGAAGCCAGAAGGGCAGATGTTCTCAATTACAGGCTTGATTACAATCTTGCTCCGTCTCATAATATGTAGACTGCTTCAAACTGAGTTGTAGCGGCATTTTATCTATTTAATGATGGTTAATGATTTTTTAATATAAAGGAGAATGGCTTCTCTCCGAATAAAGAACAAGCTTTATTAAAGGACCAAGTTTAGAATTTTGAAAATCCTGCTAGTTTTACTTTAGTGTTTTCACTATGTTGAGGACCCATGAAAAATTTCTGCAACACCCAAACAGGCCCTTGGAGGGAAGTGGACAACCAGTGAGCTCAGAAACACAGGTGTCTGGAACCCACCCCTCAGAGATTCTGATTCCAGTACTCTTGAAATAATGTCTGTTGCTTCAGATTTTTTTTAATGTTCTCCCAATGAATCTACCATGCAACCAGGATTGAAACCTATGGATCTAGAGCTGGCAGGACATTATTCCCCTTCTGTCACTATTTTCCTCCAGAAACTGTTAACTGTTCAAAGCTATGTCTTAGATCAGTGCACATGGATGCTTCCTTTCACAAGCAGCTTGGATACTTAGTGCCAACCATCTCGGGCTTGAAGAATGTGCTACAAAATGAATTCAGTAAAGCCTCTTTCCTGTTTGACTGTTTACTGAGGCAAGAGAGACAGGTGTGTGGGGCAATGGGAGAGCCACTTGCAACCCTGTAGGAGAAGATGCCTCGCTATTATCTCACAGATTAAAATATGTCCCAAATGACTAATGGCCATCCTCCCTTCAAAGCTGACTGCTTGAAAAGATTTAAAAGGCAGCCAAGGCACAATGTTTGCAGTAATTTAGAGCTCCCCATTTGAAAACCAGAGATCAATGGCTGCAATGTGAATCTGCTGAAAGAATAACAAAACAGCAAGCTAAACATCTGGACTAATTTTCAGAAGTCATAAAATGGAAACATTACCAGAAAATATGATAGAGCTTGGCAGGTAAAGAGAATGTCAAAAAAATCTGAAAGGGAGAAAATAGAATAGGAAAAAAATCAGGAAACTCTGGCAATTGATAATCAAGATGATATTAAAATAGCAGTAGAGCCACCACTTATTGAGTTCGTATGATGCATCAAGTATTTATATTTATTTATCAAAATTATTTATAAATGCCTACTATATGTGAGGCACTTTTCCTCGGTGTAGAAATGCAGCTAGAAACAAAGATAAACAAAGTACCTGACTTCATAGAGCTTATATGCCAGTGAGGAAAATTTCTAATTATTTCCAGTACTTATGACAGTGCTGCAAAGTAGGAATTGGCAACCCCAATTTTATAGAAATTGAAGACTAAAGAAAGTTAATTAACTATAACTCATAATTGGCTGCCAACTTGCCGAATAAGGGCATAATTCAGAGGAGTTATTACTTCTGACTTTAGTCAAACATTTCTCTGTGTTGTAAATGTAAAAGGGATGCAGGACAGTTGCTTCCTCAGATCTAAGAGACTGAGCATGAGAAGACCCTAGATTTAAGTTTTCTTTTGCCCATTAATTCACATTCTGATCTTGAGGGGGGTCATTTCCCTTTTCCAAGTCTTGGTTTTATGTTTCTAAAGTGAGGCAGTTGGACTAGATTAGTAGATCTTAAAGTATGGTACTCAGGTAGGCAACATTAGCCCCACTGGGGAATTTATTAGAAATGCAAATTATCACGGCACATCCCACATTGATTGATTGAATCGAAACTCTGGTGTGGGACCCAGCCATTTGTGTTTTAAAAGGCCCTCCAGGTGATTGTGACATGCACTAAACAGAGAAACATTGGATTAAATAATATAATACATGATTAAAAGTTTAAGAACAAACAGGCATGGATTTCATCCAAGCTTCACAACGCACTAGCAAGTCCCTGAACCACCCTGAGCCTCTACTTCCTGAGCCATTTTTTTCAATTTGTCTGTAATGAATGGGAAAACATGTATAAAATACACAAATGATGGCTTGGCATTTAGGTAAGTATCGTCATTGTAATTTCTGTCATCTAAAACACGTTAACATTGACATTCTAAGTTACTTTCATAATTCAATATAACATCACAAATGCTGACTAGTCAAAAACAATTCCCAGGTAATTAAAAAATAGTTTCCTTTCAATAACCCAAATACATGTTAAAATTGGCAGATTGCAGCATCAAATGTTTCTGCTACAAGAGGTAGTAATGTTTGTCACAAGCAGATGCTGCATTTAGCATCCAGGACATCAGTAAGCCACATCCCTTTGTATCAAATCACCTTACTCCAATCATGAAATCTGTGGGCTGGCCAGTTTGCTGTCTAGTTGAATGTACACTTTGATGCACATACAAACATGTATTGAGCTAGTGATAATAAAGTAATTGAATAAAAGGAGGAAGAGCATCAATTTATAAGCACATAGAAGACATAGAAGCCTAAAGGAAGGATAAGGCCGTTTGAAGCACATGCAGATGTGGCAATCCCCACTACCATTTGTTTTCATCTGCATCACTCTACCGACAAGATCAAAATAATACTCCAGGTCCTTCATGAAACATGTTAAACCACTAGAAAACAGGAAGCAACTGAGATAAACAATGATCCACCAGCCATGAATAATAGAAAGATAGGTTTAATGTGTTATAAATTCCTCTTGTCCCCAATAAAGGAGTCAAGTTACAGTTTAAATTCAGAAAAAAGCAAATTCTCCAAGGCATTTTGTTTTCCTGAGCAAGCTTAATTACAGTAGCTTGAAACTACTAAAAATTTTAGAGATGATATAATGCAGGGGTGAATATCTCAGTGAGGCAGGAAGGGATCTATCTCAACTCGACTATTTACAAACTGCATGATCTTGGACAAGTTTCTTAATCTTTCTAAGCCTCGTTTTTCTCATAAGTAAAATAGAGATAATAATAGTCTTTACCACAAAAGGTTTATTTGAGGATTAAAGGCTATAGTCCTTAGCATAAGTTCTGATGTAGTATACTTAGTGAACGATACTCACATGTATTTTTTAAAATTCCTGAATCACTATGAGCCTAAGAGCCTGATGGCTGTCCTTAAAACAATTTTAGAAGGCTCTCTCTTTAAAACCTGCCACCAAGTGCATTTCTATCTATTATGGCCCTAAATTTAGATGAAAACCATCTGTATCAGAGCTCTACGGGTTGCAAGTGAAACTGGCTCAAATTGAAATGTGAATTTACTAGCTCACAAGACTCGGAAGTCCAGAGGTGTATTGTGACATTAGGCATGGGTGGCTTCAGACTTCAAACAATATCTTAGGACTTGAATTCTACTGTGTTATCTTTTTAAAAAATTATGTTTTATATCTTGAATATTAATAATTGTACAGTATGTATTTATGTGGTACAAAGTGATATTATGATTTTTGCTTTACGTCAGCTTCTAAGAAGTGGCAAGATCTCTGTAATAACTTTCCATCTCCTCAATATTCCCACTTGCATCAGGAAGACAGACCAGACCCTCTTTACTGGTGGTTCCATTAGTTCTTTGATTTACTCTGATTGGATCTGCTTTGGCCAGGTTGAACTAATCATGGCATGCAGTAGTAATCTGATGTGCTGATTGGCTTAGACCTAAATCAAGTGATCTACTCTGGAGGTGGGTTTGGGTGCTACACAGAGCCATGGACAGAGAGAGGAGGAAGGATGAATGTCCACTGGAAAAATTTGGGTTGTTGCCACAGAGGCAAACAATAAGTAGCCACTCTACCCCTTTATTTTGCCTTTGGCTTTTTTCTTTTCAGTAAGTCCTTTAGTCATCCAGGTGTAGTCCCAGATTTCAATTAGTTACTGATTTCCAGATCAGTTTTTCATAAAACGTGGCTTGTGGACAACTTATATCAGTATTTCCTGTAGTGTCTATTAAAATGAAAATTTATAGACCTCGCTTCAATGTCTAATCCCTAAGGGTCAGGCTTAGTAGTCTGTATTTTTAACAAGTTCTCCCAGATTATTATCAGAAATACTAAAGCTTGGAAACCATTGAACCAGGTAATCATTAGATAAAGATAATTTATCCCATAATAAACCATTGAGTTAATTTATTAAATTTCACTATCACTTCCTTATGAACACCTGTAGAACAGAGATTATAATAATCTATGACCTCAGCTACCTCAAAGAGTTCTTTAAGAATCAATTTTGTTATATGTCAATTTTTACTTGGTTCTTTAGAAATAGCAATAAGTTTTATTAATTTGGCATGTGAATGGTGTCTCTTTAGTAATCTCCTAAATGGAGAAGTAGTATGTATGATTTTTTAAAAAATGACATTAGGTAAATTGGTAAACCTCTATGGGTTTGAGTTTATTCATTTATAAAGAGGGAAAAACCTCTTTAGGGTTTTAATGAGAATTAACATAACTTATTTAAGTTGCTTAGGACATTGGCCCATAGTAATTGCTCAAATGACAGTTACTCCTGCTAGGCACTTCCTGTATATTTTCTCATTTAATTCTCATACAATTCTGGTAGGAAGTTATTATAGCACCTATTTTGCAAAGTAGAGACCTGAGTTTCAGGAAAGTTAAATCACTTGTTCAAGGTCTTAGAGCTAGTATGATAATTATATGAAAATATAATTGAAATCCACAAGTGTTTAGTGGGTATGTGTTACACACTGTCCATTGATAATTCATGATTTCTGAGTAACTTATGGGCATTATAATTTAAGTATGTGAAAGGACCAGTTAATAGAGCATTCCACTTACAATGATGACAGTGGGAATTTGTTACCTCTGAACATATGATTCTATTATTATTTTCCACTCTGTATCCTACGAGATTACAAAAACAATGTTGAAACTTCTGATGTATAATTTTGACAGGGTGCAAATAAGACTTATTTTATTAAATATTTAAGTCTCTGGGTTAAGGAGTAAAAATTACCTCAATTACTGCTAAGGGCTAATTTACACAGCAGGAGAGTTAAGCTCCATATGTTATTATTTTTAGGAGAGTGTGTTTATTCTGTTTTATTTTTCATCAAGATTTATTGTAGACTGTTTCTATTTTAATCAAACCAATATTACAGCGTGAATATATTTTCAGATTCTAAGCAATTTTAATCTTAGTTGATAACCTTTAGATAACATCTACTCTTAAGACTAGAGTTGTGTGAGTATGTGTTGGCGGTTTTGTGGGATTTTTTTTTCACACCACTCTGCAGTTGAGCTTGTGTTCTAAAATAGCTGTTCATGTCTCCAAACTTCATTTATGCTAATCTCACCATCCTCTATGCAACTTCACCCCAGATATGAACTTGTTCGTGTTGTTTCCCCATCTTGAAATGTTCCTTGTCCTCCTCCATACACACCCTATCCCATCTCTCATGGCTTAGCTCAAGACTGACCTTCTGTAGGGAACTTTTCATAAGTCCTCCACCAGAAATGGATTATTTTCCCTTCTATTAACTTCCCTTTTAGATATTTACAACTTGTGATTCTCCTAAGCAATTTGTCAACATTTAGCTGAAAAACATTGAACTGGATAAATAAACAAGCTATTCCTTTGTGTTGCATGCTAGGAAGTTTATAACAAACATCTGGGCTACTCATGGCAAGAGGAAAAACTTCAGTGAGCACTTTTATCTGACCCTAATTTCTGGCTTCATTTTATATCCAAATGTCTCCCCCTCTACACACACACACACACACACACACACACACACACACACACACACACACACGCATTTTCTTTATCACACAGTTCTAATCTGTGTTCTATTCTTTACATTTTTTTCTGAGGTGGGTGCAAGTTGAAATACAAATGAATAGACACAGGTGTATCTGTCAATTTTAAGTCTCTTTGTATTGCAGTGACAAAATATAATCCATCTCAAATGGGCCTAACCTGCAAAGATGATTTATTGGCTCATGAGGAAAAACCTCTAGAGACTTTGGCTGAATCTTGATCCAGAAGTTCAAATGGTGTCACTCAGAGCATGGCTACTTTGTGAGTCACTTTTTTCTGCCTTCTGTGGCATCATCTTTATACTCAGACATCACAAACATGGCCCTTGGAGGTTCTAGCCTCTCTCTCCTCATGGTAATAAAACAGAGCAAGCATCCAGAGCATCTGAACCGTGAAACCCACAAGAGAAAACGTTTCTTATGACTGCTTTCATAGAATAAAGGAGATGCTTTTCTCTCCAGAAATAAATGCCTCTTTCCATCTCATCAGTTCAGATTGTATCATAAGTCTTTCTCTGAGCAAATGGTTTAGCTGGAATGATGTCACGACTTTTACAGTCATTGACTTAAACAAATCTGGTTTAAAATGAAGGATGGTTTTACAAAGAAAATCTGGTGTACTTTTAGGAAGTTGGAATTAGAAGCCTAGGGGCCAAAATCGTGGCAAACATTCTCCATGTAAGAAGTTTTGTATGCAATTGTTTTAATTTCTCTGGAAGAAGATGGCAGGATTTTTGAGTGAGGAATTCAGCTTTCTTTGTAGGCTTCACATTCGCAGCATATGTTAGGCTCCTGGCTGGTACCCTTCATACTTGCTTGTGGCTATGGCTGTAGTTTACATGTAGTTCACTTATACAACTGAACTCTACTGCATCTCATTCCCCATAAAAAGAAATCTAGAGGGATTATACTCAGGTATTAACTTGAGCAGTGCAGAAACAACGCTTGATATATTGATTGCTCAAGGGACATTTGGGTACTCAGTTTCTGGTTGATGAAATAATCTACACCACAAGAACTGAATAAAAGATAAACAATGCTTTCATTGTCTTTTGTTGGAACTGCACTTGGAACATGTTCTTTGCACAAATATAGCTATGACCATGACATCAGTGATGTGATGTAGAACAACTGAGATGGGAACGCTGCTAGGGCTTCTTTATGTTTTCCTAGTTTAATATCCTATACAGGATGAGTAACAGATAGTGTTGCCAGATTTAGCAAATAAAAATGCAGCACACCTAGTTAAATTTGAATTTTAGATAAACAAAAAATCACTTTTAGGATAAATGCAATCCATACAATATTTGTAGAAGTGATACTAGTATCAGTAAATCAAGCAGTTTAGTCAATGCTATCATTAAGTTTCTATAAATTGTACTATACCTAACATAATACTTTCAATCTTCATAGGAATCAAATGGGAGATGAAATCCTGTCTCCACCATCACTAGCTATGTTACCTTATATAAATTTTCTAAACACTTTGAGCATTAACTTTGTTATTCATAAAATAGAGGAAAATACTAGCTCCTATCTCATAGGGCAATTGTGAGGATTAAGTGATATATAGTATATAAGAGTTTAATCTGGAGCCTGAAATGTAGTAAACTCTCAATAAACAATAAAGTATAGAGTAAGAAGATAAGTATTTGTAGCTACTCATACAAGCCTTTCAAATTCTGTGAAATAATTAACTTCCCTTTCTCAGTGCAATATAGGAATAACAGAAATCAATGCTTAATGAGGAAACTTTTGACTAAGGCTGAAATTTATTCCAGAGTATTTACTTAGGGTTCCATTAGTAAAGAACAAGCATGAACAGATGCTGGTGACAGGGGTAAAAGGGTGTACCCTGCATTTGTCCTTGTGTGGCTTTAGCTCACGTGGAATACATAATGATGAAGAAAATATATGAAGCAGCCCGATGCCTGTGGAATTTAAAGATTTCACATGCAGAATTAGTTTATATAAACCTCCACAGCCTTTCTTCAAAACTGAAATGAGAACTTCTGAGAGCACATTTTATTCTCAGTGTCTTTCACAGTACATGATATATATTAGATACTCAATAAATTTTTACTAAAATAGAGGGAATCTGAGATGGGAAGTATTCCTTTAGATGTGCCTTCTCTGTCCTTTATGTAGAAATTTTGCAGCTTCCAAAGAGAAGTAGAAGCCTATAGAATTGAGTTTCATCTTCTGTTAGTAGAGTAATCACCTTTTTTTCATGCAAATTGCAGTTTTTTAGAAGAGAGAAAGATGCTATTAGGAGTTAGGCATAAACTGGAGCTTTCACAGGCAAACAAAGACATATGGTCACTCTACCTACAAACAACACTTGGAAGCCAGTGAATGTAAAGTGTAAAGGCTTCCAGGTAATAATATCTACCATTGAACAAATATAACATTCTACTTTTAGTAGAGAATGAGGGTCAAAGGAATAGTTTCTACTGTGGTCGGAGCCATGTCCACCATGCTTATAATTCATTTTAATTATTTTAATCTTTTGTCTGGTTAACAGTCACTCAACCATTTTCAGACGCATTGAGATACCATAGACTCTTAGACCATCAGTTCTGAAAACAGCATAAGGGGTTATATAGTCTCATTCCCTCATTGTTCCCAGTAATAAAATAGGCCAGAGGGTGACAGCTGGGAGAAGCTGCAAAGAATACTGAACTTCAACAAAAGACTGTTTTCAAGTTCTCATTCTGTGATCCAGATGCCAAACTATGGCATATGGCAAGAGACAAATCTAGGCCAATTCATGTTATTGTAAATAAAATCTTATTGGGGGTGCAGCTACACCCATTCATGTATGTGTATCTATTGTTGCTTTCTGGCTATAATGACAGATTTGAATATTTGCAACAGAATATATATCCTACAAAACCGAACATATTTACTCTCTGGCCCTTTACAGCAAAAATTTGTAAAAACAATCCTCGAATCTAGTAGTAGTAGCTGGTATCTTCCATCTTCTTTTCCTCTAACTTCTCTGTCTTCCTCTTAGCTACTGGACATTAAATGCTGCACACCAGACAGTAGGCTAAGTTTTGCTAAATCCTCACAAACCCCTGGGATAGGACAGGCAGTATGCATGGTTGATAGAGTGAATTCTAGATGCTGACTATGTGTTTTGTTTCCTGATTGCATCAGCAACCAGAGCCAATATCTTTTTATAGTTATTTAAACTCTCTGCATGTCCTTCATTGATTTTCATCATCAACATCCTTAAGAAGTAAATCCTCTTATTAGCTCAAACTTCATAGCTGAGAAAATTGAAGCTTATAGAGGTTCATGTTCAGAGTCAGCATTTGAACTCAAGGCAGTCTAGCTTCAGAGCAAAAGCTCTTAAACAATATTATACTGTCATTGTGAAGCTAAAATGATACACTAGACATTAAATGCCATTTGAAAAAAGTAACACAATGTGAATATTAAGAACACACTGTGGTCATTTCTACATAATTATTATTTTCTACACTATACAGTCAAGGAAGTCTCACATCTTGCGATTTATTTCAAATAAAATTAACTAGTGATCATTGTTGCTCAATATAAAGTATTGATGATAGTAATAATTACACTGATTTGCCTACAGATTATACTCTTATTGTTCACCCAATTTGGTGATGGAATTTTCAAATTGGTTTGCTACCTTCATCTCTTTTGCTCTGCCATGAGCCCCTTCCCTGCCCTACTTGGATTTATCTCACTGAGTATAAAAAATCATCTTGCTTACATTGCTTTAAATTGCCTCTTTACTGGAGCCTTTGCACAGTATTTGGGTAACACTAATTGGAACAATTATTTATAATAAGGATGCATGTGGAGAAGCCACTCAATGTGTTTACCTGTCTGAAAATAATTATGCTATTCGCATTCCCTTAGACCACAATTTGTGAATATGTGTCTGGGTTTTGTTGATACCCTCTTTTTACTGAATAAATTGTAGTATTTTGAGCAGGGAATTATAGTTTACACTGGAAGTAAATAATGTGACACTTTGATCAGCCTCTTTCCTCCTGGGTGGCTAGGAGTAGCTCTCCTTAATTGCAGTGTGCTTGCACACCTGAGATGGAGCCTACATAACTCTTGCCTTCTGCCAGCAATCATCACTGGGATTTAAAATGGAAAAGAGCCATACCATGCCTAATCATTTCATCTATCCACTTGCTAAAACAAGATATTTCTGGAGGTCAATCTTCTGTTCTTCCAGAACAAAGGAAAGCACCAATTCAGTGGGAAAACAAACTTGCTGAATATGAAGACAACCAACAAAGTGAATAAATTTTATACTTTTCAAGTTACTACCTTGGGTCAAGGAGACATACTCGAGATGGAATCACCGTTATGCCAAACATTTTATTAAACAAAAAAGAATGCAGAATTTATCTAAACAAAAAGTGTTCACCTAACCTTATACTTGCATGTCTTAGTATTCAGCAAAAGATATAAGAGTATTTCTATGCAGATTTATGGAGCTCTTTCCTTACATATCTATTTCCTCTTTGGAGTTTCAGCCCCATTTAAATTTTATCTCTTTGTCCTTAATTAAGCAAAACATCTATTTTGTTGTTTAGATTTCCCCTCCCTGTAAAAGAGTCAGGAAAGTGTTTCTAAGCAGATATCTGGGGTGATTGAAGACCTCCCTTTATTTGTTAACCTTCTTTCAGAGCATTCTCATTATATATTTTTGATACAAAATAATTGTACATATTTATGTGGCACATGTGATATTTTGATACAGGCATACAATGTATATTGATCAAATCAGGAAAATTAGAAAATCTATCATCTCAAACAGTGGTCATTTCTTTGTGTTAAGAACATTTGAGAGCTTCTCTTCTAGCTATTTTTAAATATGTAATCAATTATAGTTAACTATAGTCATCCTACTGTGCTATTGAACACTAGAACTTAATCTTCTAAGTGTATTTTTTAACCTATTAACCAATTTTGTTTTAACCCACTTTTGTCTCTGCCCTTCTCAGCCTCTAGTAACAATCATTCTACTCCCTACCACCATGAGATCAATTTTTTTTTTTTTGCTCCTGCATATGACTGAGAACATGTGATATTTCTCTTTCTGTCCCTGGCTTATTTCACATAACATAATGACTTCCAGTTCCATGCATGTTGCTGCAAATGATAGGATTGCATTCTTTTTATGGTCAAATAGGATATAGAAATAATTTATCTCTGTAGTTCATTGAGAATTTTTATCATGAAAAGGTGTTTTGTCCAATTATTTTTCTGCATCTATTAACAAAATCATGTGATTTTAATCCTTTATTCTGTTAACACGGTGGTTTGTGCATTAATTGATTTGCATATGTTGAATTATCCTTGGATATGCAGTTTTCCCAGCACCATTTATTGAAGAGTTTGTCTTTTCTCCAATGTATGTTCTTGGCACCTGTGATAAAAATGAGTCGGTCTCAATTTTGTTGGTTTCTGCTCTGATCTTTAGTATTTATTTCCTTCTGTGAATTTTGGGTTTGGTTTTTTCTTGCTGTTATTGTTCCTGGAGTGCATCATTAAGTTGTTCATTTAAAATCTTTCTAGTTTTTTGATATAGGCATTTTTTTACTATAAACCTGCTTCTTTCTTAATACTGTTTTTGCTCTGTACCATAGGTTTTGATATGTTGTGACATTCTATTTTCAGTTCTTTCAATTAATCTTTCTAATTTTATTTTTAACTTTTTTCTTCACCATTCAGGAATATGTTGTTTAATTTCTAGGTACTTATATAGTTTTTAATGTTTCTCTTGTTGGTCTAGTTTTATTTCATTGTGTTCCAACCACATACTTAATATGATTTTAATTTGTTAGTTTTCTTGAGGATTGTTTTGTGTCCTAACATATGGTCAGCCATAGATAATGTTCTATGCACTGAAGAAAAGAATGTGTATTCTGCAGCTGTTGGGTGAAACATTCTGTAAATGTTTGTCGGGTCCATTTGGTCTATGGTGTCATTTAAATCTGATATTTCATTGGTGATTTTCTGTTTAAATAACCTGTCCAATGCTGAGAGTGGGGTGTTGAAATCTCCTATTAGTAGTGTATTGGAATCTATCTCTCCCTTTGCATCTAATATTTGCTTTATATATCTGGGTGCTTGGGTGTTTGGTACATGTATATCTGTAATTGTTACATTCTCTTGCTAAATTGATCCCTTTATATAATGCCCTTCTTTGTCTCTGTCAGCTTTTAACTTGAAGAACAATAAAAAAGATCAACAAACAAAGCTGGTTTATTGAACAGATAATTAAAATCAACAAACCATTAGCTAGACAAACTAAGAATAAAATATACAGAAGAGCCAAATAAATAAAATCAGGAAGTAAAATGGAGATGTTAAATGGATACCACAGAAATGCAAAGAATCACTGGAGACTACTAGGAGCAACTATACATGAGTAGATTCGAAAACCTGGAGGAAATAGATAAATTCCTTCACACAACTTAAAGTCTCTTCCTGTGGAACAATACCCACCCCTAATATCCCAAGTATGGGTTAGGTTTCCCTACTTTTCATTGCCATAACTCTGTAGACTCCCTTATGAAAGTACTTTTCACACCATTCATTGTTGTTTTCTCCACTCACTGACAGTAAAGATTGGTATTATCTTTCCTATTCAGCATAGTGGTTGGCACAGAGAATAAACCTAGATAAGTAAATGTTAAATATTGAGCAAATCGGTGAAGAACTATCTGGGAAAAAAGAACCTAAACCAGCAAAGTATAAACAGTGGCATTTTACAAAACTCACATTTGTGATATTCTTTTAAAAATATATAAATTATTTCTCTATACTTTATTTTTTATGTTCACAGCATTTTCATCCTAGGAAGTGCTAGCATATACTCTCCCCACTGTAAAATCTGAAAATAGATTCATAGCATCTACATTATGGTCAGATGTGGCAAACCTCAGATTGGAAATATCTAAATCCAGGTATATTAGTCATCTTAAGTAAAACTATCCATACCAAATGATTCAAAGGTGTTATGGCTTTACACAATAAAGATTTATTTCTTATTAATGTTATATAGTACAATGTATACTGGAGGAGGCGGGGAAGACCTCTGCTACACACAGTCTTCAGGGACCTAGATTCTTTTCATGGTGTGGCTCTGCCAACTTCAACAAATGCCTTCAGGAATTTAACATCATATAGTGTCATCCATGTGTCAGATTAAGGGAAGAGGGAGAGATCAAACAGAAAGCAAACTGATTATAGCTGCACAGACCAAACAGTAAGGTATCTATTTTATTTATATTACATTGATGAGAGCTAGTCATATGACCCCCTAGATGCAAGGCTGACAGGAAATGAGAATTAGCTACGTGCTCAGGAAGAAGAAGTGGGTGTTATGAGCATCTACTCAGTCTCTGCCAACACATTTACATTAGTGACCAAGTTCATTTATTTATTCATACATATGAACTATAGAGAAATAGTAATAAATAAAAAATAGTTTCAAATTTTTTAAAGCTTATATTCTAATAAGAGTACTCAGATTTTTAAAAACTAAATACATCTTTCTGTAGACAAAAGTAAAATGGAATATGAGGAAGGAGGTATTATTTGTATAGGATAGTCCTGGAAAATATCTCTGATAAGATGATATTTGCAAATAGAGCTGAAGGGTGTGGAGGAACAGGCCATGTTGATATTCAGGGCAGGAGCAGCCCAACAAAGAATAGCAACTGCAAAGTCCTCATGGAGCTTGGTGTCTTGCAAGATCAGCAAGGGGGCTGTTCTGGGTGGTGCAGAGTACAAGAGGAAAGAGTGATTGAGATGGCATCAGCGAAACAGTCGGGCAGCAGATCAGGGAGAGCTTTCTCGGCCATTTTAAAAACTGAGTTGGAAAGATGTTGGAGGAGTAAAATGTTTTCTTAGTGTCACACTGCCTGTTGTTTGAGAAGAGATTGGACAGACAAGGCAAAGCTAGAAGAGCAGAATAGTTAGGCAGCTAAATCACAGCCTGGTCATTTTGAACTATAGTGAATTATAATGTTTTATCTATTTACTTTTTAAATATTGAGATATAATTTATGTAAAGTGGTATTCACTCTTTTTTGAGTACAGTTCTATTAGTTTGGACAAGCACATGCAGGCATGTAACCACCACTACCATCATGATACAGAACAGAGCCCTCACTCCCCCAAATTTTCTCACTCTGCCCTTTGTTATAAACCCCACCCTATCCCCATGGCCTAGCAACTGCTGATCTATTTTCTGTTTCTATAGTATTACCTTTTCCAGAACCACAGAGTAGGTAGCCTTTTGAGTCTGGCTTCTTTCACATAGAATTATGCATTTAGAATTCGTCCATTTAGTTTTGTGTTTTACTAGTTTCTTTCTTTTCATTGCTGAGAAGTATGCTGTTGAATGTATACCCAAGTTTCTTAATCCATTCACTAGAATTTATGTTTTATCCTGTCATTCAGCACTTTACAAATAAAGCCTCTAAAAACATTAATTTGTGTGTGTGTGTGTGTGTGTGTGTGTGTGTGTGTGTGTGTGAATGTAAGTTTTCATTTGTCTTGGGTAAATCTCAAGAATAGGGCATTTTACTTTATTTATTTATTTATTTATTTATTTATTTATTTATTTATTTATTTATTTATTGAGGCAGGGTCTCACTCTTCACCCAGGCTGGAGTCTAGTGTTGGATCTATAGCCTTGAATTCCTGAGCTCAGGCAATCCTGCCACCTCAGCCTCCTGAGTAGCTGGGACTACCAGCATGTGCCACTATACCCAGCTGATTTTTTTGTTGTTTTTTTGTTTTTTTGCTTTTTTAGTGGAGATAGGGTTTCCCCATAATGCCCAGGCAAGCCTTGGGCTCAAGCGATCTGCTTGCTTTGGCCTCCCAAGTATTTTACTTTTAAAACTCTAACAAAATTAGGCATTAAACTGTAAAAGGAAAGTCATTATCAATTAATTTAGCATATACAAAGGACATATCATGTGCAAGGCGTTAAAGCTACCACAATGAACAAACCAGGTAAGGTCCCCTTCTCTATGAAATATGAAGACATGCATAACCTACATATTCCAGGAACTGCCCTAGGCACTGGGAATAAAACAAATGACAGAATTATATCTTCTTATGGAATGAGTGAACTAATAATCAAGAAAATATCAAGCCCTGGTGAATACAGAAAATAAAATAAAATGGGTGTTTTGAAAGAGGTTGACTCTGGAGACTGTGATCAGTGGAGATTTCTCTGAGAAAGGCATACTTAAACTGGTACTAGAAAGAGAAGAAAGAGCCTTTTATTCTAATCTCTGGAATAAGGGCATTTAGGACAGTGGAACAGCTAAGATAGAGGTTTTAATGCAGGAACTGGCGATACGTGTTCAATGAAATGGAGTAATTTACAGTTATTGAGCAACTATATGCCAGTCAATATGCCAGGTTATTAACTTATGTTCCAAGTTATTACTTATTTTTTATTTGAGTAGAATATCTGAATTCCCAGTAAAATTGTTGACCTGTAAGATATTAAGTAATAATTAGACACTATTAGGAAGATATTTCCATATATTGAATCTATCTAAGTATCAAGTTTATGACATCATAGTGATCACCACTGCTCTCCTAAACTAGAAATAAATTAAAGCCAAACAAGTAAGTAGGAGTGATCTCACTACAAGGCTGTCTGCACATACAGTGGGTGTAATTTAACAGTGATGCCTCAGTGCCTTTTAAAATGGCATCTCACTTACTGAAAAAAAATGGAATAGATAGCAAGCCAGAGGTCTCAGGCAGTATGTCAAGATACTTTATAGAGCCAAAGAAAGCTATAAAACAAAGCAAAGCAACAACCAAAAATTCACTGACAGCTAAAAGAAATGGGCTGCTTCAAGTTGCTTTTTCTTTCCTGGTGCTATGATTCAGTATCCTTCCCAAATGTATATTTTTTCTTAGTTATTAAAGTCTCATGGAGAGATGCATGGCATTTTCGTTTGAGCACTATTTTATAACAACCTTTGTGATCTTCCATTGTGTCTTATATGTGCTTTACATAGATGTGGCAATTACAGGTTTACAATAGCAGTTAGAAAACTCCAGATAGAATGGGAATAAACTTTGGATGAATCACATTATTCACGTGCTTGGAAATATAGGTGACCACAGCTAAAAACATTGAATCTAAATTTCACCATACATTTTTTACCATCTTAACTACAGTGTTATAATAATGCAAATTCTGTTTGACATTGATACTTCAGAGTTGGGACCAACCTATAAACAGGGTAATCAAATAAATATAGGGGTAGGACTTACTCCAAGGAATATGCTGGAATGTATGGATGTTGTTAGGCTTTAGAGACTGAAATATATACACCTTAGGGGTGGGAAGATTTACTGAGATTGAGAGATGGGGCTTCGGACTACTAATTAAGATTATAATAGCATGCTTAATATTACTAATTATAATAACATGTTTAGTATTACTAATTATTAAGAATGTAAAGGGAGGATATAGAAATGGATGCAAGGGCCTCTGGTCAAATGAAGTAGATTGAATGTAGATGTTAATGCCTGTAATCTCTCAAAAACACTAGTAGAAGAAAAAAATGACAGTGGAAGAAATAAAGATGTGAGTCTACAAAGAAAAGGAAAGAGTGACAGGCAAGACGACTTGGAATGAAAGGTGTCAACAGCATTCAAAGGAAGGAAATGGATGGAAGGATAGCAACAAACTAGCAGAGCAAAAGAAGATGAACTCTATCTGCTTAAAGTGTAGCAGCCAATGGGAAACAAGTCAGCATCTGCCATATAAAAGAAAGGTTTAGGATTTGGAGGTGTTATGTAATTCCAAAGGACGTGAAGAGAGGAGAGGCTAAATTGAGAAAGCTAAAAAACAATTTGTAATGCTGTTGCCCCTGCCCGCCTGAACCTAGAGCTCCTTCATTACCCCTTAGCACACCTTGATCACTTGTTCACCTTCAGAAGCTAAGAGGTTCAGTTGCTGGGGAAATTGAGCTGCAGAGCCTCTAGACTCATATCAAATCATATGACTACATCTTTCTGTTATATTTATTTGCTTAGGGCTGTTTTCATGATTGTTGATTATAATGCTACAGAGATGAACCATACATATTTTTCTCAGTGTATAATTATGAATATAAACATCCTAAAGCTTGAAAGATTAGATTATAATTTAGTCCTGTGGGCACATTTTCTCTGAAGTAAATATTAGAGATCATTTCCCTTTTCTCAGCTTTATCCAACATAAGCATTTATCTCTTGGGGTTGTCATTAAATAAGAAATTGTCAACAAATGTAGGTAAAACATATAGTAAATTCTACATAACCACTTTTCTCCATTCTCTTTTTCCAAATCTTCCTTATTTCATATAATGAACATCTTTTTAAAAATATACCCAACATCTATTTCCCCATTTAAATAGTATTAGAACCTTACTTTTCCTAAGGATAATTCTCTACTTGTTACTCTTTATGGTTTGGAAATAGCTGGCCTAATTACACCACTTCCAATAAGTAGAGATAAAAATCTACATCTAGCTAATCCATTTCCATGGACACAGCAAATAGTTATTAACTTCTATATAACACAAGCTAATCAGAATCAATATGTGAAATTTACAGGAACTATTGAAAAAGAAAAGCTCCTTCCAGAGGGACTGCTAGACAGTGAGAGGTAAGCCTTGAGCCATTGGTTACCAGCATGACTAGGGAGATTGCATGAAATGAAAACTCAAACAGAGGACAGCAGAGCTGGAAAATGGAGCCTCACTGAATTCAGACAATAGTACGTAACACCTCAACTCAGCTATGCCTGAATTGTTTAATTATGTTAGCCATTTTATCCCCCCCGCAACCCTTTCTGCATTTCTTTTCCCTAAGTTAGGTTTAATTGATGCTCTGGGACTTCCAAATATGAGCATATAACCCAATCATATTTGTTTATCCAACCCATCCTTTCAAGATGTGCTTCTCTTTTAAATCTCTCTCCTGATCATGACTTTGCACATTCATCCCTGTCCTTCAACTTTTTCTTTTTTTACTGAGTTCTATATTTTGTTTAGAAATTTTATCATTTTAAAACATTTCCACAGAACTGTTAGATGTGATCAATAAGGATAAGGAAAATTACTTGTTCTTTAACAAATCTTAGATGTATGATTTGGGAAAAATTCTTAATCATTCCTAATTAAATTTTTGCTTTAATCATTATAATAAAAATTATCTTGTCAAGGTCACTGATATTGTCCATATTGCTATAATCAATGCTCAATTCTAAGTCCTTCCCTTATGTGACTTACCAGCAACATTTGAGAAACCTGCTCAGCTTCTCCTTATTGAGAGGCCTTCTTCCCTTGGAATCCAGGACTCCACAATCATGTTTTCTTTCTGCCTCACTGGCTGCTCCATCTCAGTTTCTATGCTACTAACTCCTTATCTTCTGGCTATAAATGTTGAGCAGTCAGTTCCTGGACTGCTTGTCCATCCTCATTTACTTTATTTAATGCCAAGCCCATATTCTTTCTGTCCTCTAAACCCAGACTGTATTGGACTGCCTACTTGACATTTCTTGAATATCTAATAGATTTCTCAAACTTAACCTCTTTAAAAATGAACTTCTGGCTGTCCCATCAGACCTGTAGCACCCAAATCTTCCCCATTTTCAATAATAGCAACTATACTCTTCCAGGTAGTCAGAAAAATCCTGGGACTCGTTCCTTACTCCATTTTCTCTCACGTAGGGATGCTCCTGCCTCAGGGTACTTGTACTTGCTATTCAGCTGCCTGGAATGCAGTATCCTCAGATACCTACATGCCTCACTTTTCAAGTAGTTTAAGTCTTTGTTCAAATGTCAGCTTCTCATTATGGACTTCCTTGACCATGATATTTAAAATATCCAGTCTCTGGAGCCAGATAGCCAATATTTGAATCATGGTCTGACCACTCCTTAGCTGACTCTCACTAACAGGTTATTTAATGCATCGTTGACTCATTTTCTTCATCTTTAAAATAAAGTTAATAATTCTACTTGTCTTACAGTGTTTTTATGAAAACTAAATGAATTAATAGCTGTATAATGTTTAGAATCTCACTTGTTTTTATTGTCATTATTAACTACTGAAAGTTAACAGAAAAGTGAAGGCAGTAGAAAAGAAAACAAAGTTTACAGTAATGTACACACCAATGTGCATTGTGAGGCAAAAATTATTTACAAACCATAAAGCCACCACACTCATTGGCTCTTGCAGTAAGAAAAAGTTCTGATTGATCAATAAAGCATTTGTTCTTTCTCTTCAATTCAGTGAGCTAGAAGTGCTCCCACAGGAATGGGATAAAATCAAAATTATCTTATGATATGATATGCAGCAAAGTTGATAACGGGTTCCTTCTCATCTTCCAGAAATGGATGCTATAATTATGGAAATCTCTCAGATAAAAGTGGGCTACTCAAGATTCTCAAGTTATTTATTTAAAATACAATTTCTTATCTGTTACCTGTTTCATAAAGCAATATACCATTCTACTTCTCACTTACATAGAAACTGCGTCTTTAAAACTCCAAAGTTATAAAAGAAAAAAGAAACAAAACCACATGTTTATAATCCAGATTGATTAAATAAACTATTTTACCTTTATTTTCATTTTTGCCATTATAGAAACAATAAAAAGGATAAAGGAAGAAAAATAGCTCAAAATGACTCTTAATTTCTTTTTTGTTATTTTAAAAACTGATTTAAACTGTCAGTATACACACACACACACAAAGCCCCTACCTTTGTGTGAAAATATGCCGCCTCAGAGTATGATGTCTAACTAGTCTAAATGGATTAAAACTGAATTATGTCTTACTTGGGAAGTTGAGGCAGAAGGATCACTCGAGGTCAGAAGTTCAAGACCAGACTAGGCAACATGGCGAGACGCCACCTCTAAAAATTAAGTTTAAAAAATTAGCTAGGTATACTAACGCATGCCTGTAGTCTTACTACTAAGGAGGCTGAGGTGTGAGGATTGCTTGAGCCAAGGAGTAGGAGGAAGCAGTGAGCTGTGATTGGTCTACTGCACTCCAGCATGAGTGACAGAGTGAGAGGCTATCTCTAAAAACAGACAAACAAAAAACTGAATTGTGTCAACTGAATTGTGTGGTCATGTTAGTATTTATTAACAAATAAAAATTATGAATGAGTATTAAAATACAATAATTTTTAATAATAATATTTTATCATTTATTGACCTAAAAGAAAGTAGGGACAATTATGACGAAAAATAAAATTTACGTGATAGCAAAAACCAATTTTGTGATTTTTATGTTGAACACAGTGGGAGAATGGAGCCATCTGAAAAGAGCAGGGACCACTCCAACTGCAAGCCTGTATCATTTATAATGTCAATCTATTTTATTTAGAATAAATATATGGTGTCACAATGAGGAGAAATCAGTGGTTTCTCTAGCATCTTTTTGAACCAGATAGGCCATGTCTTGCTATTAAATTTGTTGTTTACCTGGGAACTTTCTCACAAATTTCAAAAGCATTTACCTCCTTACATCTATCAGAGAATTGGAGACGTCAGCAAGATGACAGAAGAGGAGGCTCAGGACTCTCTCTCCACCCACAGACGAACCAAATAAACACCTACGCACAGATCAATTCCCTCTGAGAAAAATTCAGAAACAGTTAAGAGACTCCTGTATACCAAATGACTGAGAAAATTCCCATTTAAAAATGGATAAGAAAAGCTGAGACACACTTTGGCCATAAATTCTGTTTCCAACACAGCACCAAGCAAATGGGAGAGAACCCTCCTCTCTCAGTTTTTCCCTGAGGAGCAAAGGGTTTGGACAACACATCTAATGTCCCAACTTTGACGGCTGCTACCCAACAGACTGACTCTTAACTTTCTTATCTCTAGAAGCTGACAAAGACCACTAGGCAATAGTATTCTGGGACCGCAGAAGGGAAAATAAGATGGTTTTAAACAGGCACAGGTGCACTTAACACACCTATTCTTTCTTGCTCAGTGCAGTCAGAAAGCGATAAACCTCAGCTTCCAGCTTCTCCCTGGAAGGAGTTATACTGCACGTCTAACCTCTCAACTTTTTCAGACGCTGCCTGAGAGTCTGATGTCTAACCAGTCCACATCTGGAAGCTAAAAGGGCAGGCAGTCACTAGTTTTCTGAGAACTTGAATGGACATGCGGACACTTTCCAACACTCCTCTGTTAGGTTTGCTCCATTGAAAAAAAATAAGCCTTTCATCTTCATGTTGGAAACTGAACTATACAATTAGTTCCTTGACTTTTCCAGCTGCTGTCTGAGGGTCTGGCTACTAAATTTCCAGAGCTAATAGGGCCTTGGGATTCACTAATCCCCCAGGGTCTATAGAGAACAAAGTGGCATTTTAAATGGCCATATAGGTACTTTCTGCAACTCCTGTCTGGCTTACACCAGTTATAAAACTCAGCTCCCAGTTGGGAGAGGTTAGACTACATATTTGGAGCCTTGACTTTTCCAGCTGCTACCTGAAGATCCAACTTCTATCTTGCCTATTTCTTGGAGCTGATGGAGAAAGCAATCACTAGTTCCCTGGGAGTTTATGGCCACATGGGTACTTCCCATTGCTCCTCCTCCTGGCTCCTTTCAGTGAAAAAAAATCATTTCTACAGCATTTCCACAGAAGGAGTTTGATTATCCCTTTAGCTCCACAACTTTTCTGCTTGCTACCTGAGGAACTGGCCTCTAACCCATTTGTATCTGAAAGGTAATGAGGCCTGGCATTCTCCAGACCTCTTGAGGGTGACAGAGAACAAAGCAACAGTTTGAAAGAGCAAAAAGTCTGAATGACTGTACAAGCATTTGCCATAGCTTACCTCCTGGCTCAGTTAAGAGATAGTGGGTGATAAGTTCCAGCTTCCAGCTTCTCCCTAAAGAGAGAAAAATTGAATCACATATCTAGTACCTGAACTTTTCCAGTGGCTAATAAAAGGAGTGGATCCTATCTCATCTGTTTCAGGGCACTGACAGGACTTGGCATACTCTAGTTTCTTAGAGGCCACTAGGAAGAAAAATGGCAGCTGGACAAGCACAAAGGTTTGAAAGGCACCAGAATCTCTCATGAGACTGATTGGCAAGCATCATTTCCTATATCAAAAAAGCATGTGAATGTTGGGAGAAGTGGATGTTTCATCTAATGCACAGAAACCAACACAGAGAGTCAAAGAAAAGAAAGAAACATGAAAATATGTTCCAAATAAAATAATAGAAAAATCTTCCAAAACAAATTAGAATGAAATGGGGATATTTGATGTACCCAACAGAGAATTCAAAATAATGGTCATAAAAATGCTTATTAAGTTCAGGAGAGCAGTGAATAAGTGAAATTTTTAACAAAGTGATAGAAAATATTAAAAGTGCCAAACAAAAACTATAGAACTAAATAGTATCAACTAAACTGAAAAATTAAATAGAGCATTTCATCAGTAGATTAGATCAAGCAAAAGAAAGAATCACTGAACTTGAAGATGGGTCATTAGAAACCATCCAATCAGAGGAGCTAAAAATAAAAGGAATGAAAAGGATAACTTTAGGGAAATATGGAACATTACTAAGAGGACAAAAATATTCATTACAAAAGTCAAATAAAGAGATGACAGAGAAAAGAGGACAGACAAGTTGATAAAAAAAAAAATGGCCCAAAACTTCCCTAACCTGGGGAAAGAAATAGACATCCAGATTTAAGAACCCCAAAGGACACTAAATACGATGAATCCAAAGAGATCTACACCAAGACATATTATAATCAAATTGTCAAAAGTGCACTGGAGGTGATGGGAACCTCTTGTGAATAAACACAATCTTGAACAATCCGTGGGTCAAAGATCAAATCAAAACGGAATTTTAAAAATATCTCGAGATAAATAAAAATGAAAACAAAACATGCCAAAATGTGTAGAAGGTAGCAAAAGCAGTACTAGGAGGGAGGTTTATACTAAAAAAAGGAAAGATCTCAAATAAACACTCTAACATTATACCTAAACTAAATAGAAAAATAAACACAATCTAAGCCCAAAGTTAGCAGAAGAAATGATAAAAATTGGAGCAGAAATAAATTTAAAAATAGAAAAAAATCAACAAAACTAAGAGTGACCTTCTGAAACAGACAAATAAAATTGGCCAACCCTTTGCTAGACTAACATAAAATAGAGAAGAGGCAAATAAAGAAAATTAGAAATAAAATGAGAAGCATTACAGCTGGTGCTTCAGAATAAAATGGATCAAAAGGGACGATTATGCACAATTATATGTCAACAAATTGAATTACACTGAAGAAGAGGGTTTAAAAAAACTCAGTATCATATGATTTCACAATTAAATTTTACCAAACATTTAAGAATAATTAATAGCAATTAATCTCAAACTCTTCCAAAAAAAATGGAAAAAAGAAGAAACACTGCTAAACTCATTTTATGAGGCCAGCATCACACAGACATCAAGACCAGAAAGAAAAAACAAAAACATGCACACAAGAAAAGAAAACTACAGGCAAATATCTCTGATGAATATACATGTAAAAATCCTCAATAAAATAACAGCAAAATTAATTCAACAGCACATTAAAACAACTGTACACCATGATCAAGTGGGATTTATCCCTAGAATGTAAGATAGTTCAAAATTTTCAAGTTTATTAATGTGATTCAATGTATTAACAGAATAAAAGGTAAAAACCATATGATTATATCAATAAATGTGGAAGGAAAGTTAGAGTTCCACATCTATTCGTGACAAAATCTCTCAATAAAATAGGTATAGAAGAAACTTATCTCAGTACAGTAAAAACCATTTTTGACAACCTTATAACTAATGTCATAATCAATATTAAAAATTTGAAAGCTTCTATTTTAAAATCAGCAACAAGGGAAGGATATGCACTCTTGCTACTTCTATTCAACATGGTACTGAAAGTACAAGCTGAAGCAATTAGGCAAGAAAAAGAAACACAGGGCACCTACATTGGAAAGGAAGAAATAAAATTTTCTCTCCTTGCAAATGACATGATTCTGTATGTAGAAAACTGTAAAGACTAAACAATAAGCCTGTGAATTTTTTTTAAATCAGTAAAGTTGCAGGATGCCAAATTAACATATAAAAATTAGTAGTGTTTCTTTACACAAACAATGAATTTCTGAAAGGGAAATTATAAAAAACATTTACAATAGCACCAAAAGAATAAAATACTTAGAAATAAACATAGCCAAGAACGTGAAATATCTGTATACTAAAACTAGAAAACTTTATGAAATAAATTGAAGACAAAAATAGTCATTCATCACTTAACAATGGGTATACATTCTGAGAAATGCATAGTTAGGTGACTATATTATTGTGCAAATTTTATAGAGTATATAACACAAACCTAGATGGTGTAGCCTACTATAAACCTAAACTATTTGGTATAGCCTATTGCTTCTAGAGATAAACCCATATAGCATGTTACTGTACCAAACTGTATAAAGAAAAAGTAGCATAATGATAGTATTTGTGTGATAGGAGATTTTCAGTTTCATCATAACCTTAGGGGACCACTATTATATATGCAAGGCATCATTAACTAAAACATCATTATGAGGTACATGACTGTAAATGGAAGACATCCCACATTCATGGATTGGAAGATTTAATATTTCACAATATCCCTGCAAGTTTGGAATTACTATCCCTACTTAAAGATAGGACAGCTAAGGCTCAGAGATTTGAAGTCATTTTTCTGAAGTGAGAGCTAATAAGTGGTAGAGAAAAAATTTTAATACAGCACATTTATGTCTAAAGTGTGTACTATTTTTAGTAAGCCACTCAAACAGAGGTGTCATTTATAAAAGTGCTTTGTAAATTGCCAAAAGCTATACAAATACAGATTATGATAATAGTAAATGAGTTATTTTAATCAAGGCCTATAAAGTTGATGTTATATTTGCCTTATTATGACGTTATAATGGATGTATAATATAATGTTTGTGAAGTAAAATCAACCACAGAAAACTAGCTCAGCAAACAAATGCTTTTTCCTCTGGATTCTAGGGACATTTTTACTATAACCTACTGAGACACTTCCCTTTCTGTCAACTAATAGGCTTTTGATGAGACCATTTTAGATCTATCTAAAGATGTATTATAATTTTTAATTTGCTCTATTTATTTAATGAAAGTTATTGAGACTAATCCTCATTTTCTTGTTAGTGTAAAAAAAAAAGATTTCCATTTAATTAAAATTAATGACCTTCACACTGAAAAAAGATTTTTGAGTTCTGAGAATGAGATTTAAGACTTAGTATAAAAGGGGAGCCTGGCATAAATTTAATAAATTGGAAGCACTCTTTAGCAAATATGCTGACAATTTCCTTTGCAAGTTTTAATTCTCCCAACGCAAAAGCAGTGAAGAGAAATTGTAGTTTGCTAACAGACTATGAGAGTCTTTGCAGGTGACATTACTTTGATTTTGGCCTCCTGTCCCATTTATACCTAAATGTATACTTAATTTCAAAAATTTCCCATACTATGAATGGGTAAAATAAAAGGGGAAATGGAATTTAAATGCCACAAAGCCACCCTTAATATTGTATCATCTTGTGCACAGTCAAGCTTTAGATGTTAATGGGAAAATTAAATTAAAGGTTTTAACATAAAACCAGAAGATTAGGCAAACAGCAAAATATATTTTGCTGTGCATGCCTATTGAGTATACTCATATAAATCTTTCCTAGCATACTTTAAGCTTGCATGAATAATTTATTAGAAAAGCAAAAGTAAAATTCCCACCATGCTGAACTATTGCAATTATTTTTTCTTAAAGTCAATGGATATAGTGAGGTTTTTTTTTTAAAAAAAGAGAAGATTCAAGAACAAATCCATTTAATCCTGTCTTTTAATCTAAAATCAAATTTCACCTAACAGATACTGTGAAAATTAAAAGACAAATGAGAGCAGCCACTGCTTCTTTCTAAAACAACAGGTTGTCTAGTTTGGTTGACTGCAACTCAGTTAACAGTCCTTGTCTAGGTCCAATATAGCTATTTTATTTATAAAAAACATTCTTCTTGGAAATAAGAGATTGGAGAAAATACCCACAAAGTGAAGTTGGAGACTATCTTTCCTAAGAACTTTTTTCAATTGTTCTTTAGAGCATTTGAAAATTTAAAAAGAAAAAAAAAAGTTGAGTTGCCATTGGAATGCAGAGAGAATGGTTAGAAACGGTCCCTTGAAAAAACATTATACTTCTTAAATCATGAAATACAAGCTATAAACAGGCTGCCTAAGGAAATCACCTGGGATTAGTAGATGACTGCTCCAGAGGGAAGAAAAGACGAAAAAGATGGTTCCTGTTCTTACTTGTCAGCCAGTAACAGTATTTGAGTCATTCTCATGGAACAGGTTGTATTATTTGACCAGAACAGTGAAAAGTGGATTAGCCAAAATCTGACTGGGCTTATTCCCAAATGCTAGTAAAGGAGGGGAGGGGATGAAGTCATCAAGTTGTATTTAAATTTGTTTTTAAAGGCACATTTGAGATAATGCCTCTTCAGAGACTGTGCTTAGAGTAATCAAATGGCGAAGCTGCAAGCATTTTAAAAGTTCTGCAATGCACCCTGACAAGTCAACAGCATCCAGACTTGTTTGCTTCTTCCAGGACTCATCAGGCTTTGCAACTGTTCTTTCCCAAATGTGCTTAGACAGTAAGAGAATAATTAATTTACCCTGAGCACCGAAGACAGGTTCAGAAAGCAACAACAGAAAGGCCGAGGTCAGGGTTCACGGGCTGGTAGATCCTCTCATTCTGCCCCAACAACCCCTTTCAAAGCTCTGCAGATCTGATGGACAGACTGCAACTGGGAAAAATGCAAGTGATGCTGCTGTGCAAGCTCAGAGAGTCTGTGAAAAAAGTTCCATTCAATTGCTATTAAACCACTAGTTCATATTCACATGGTTCTTAATACAGCCTTCCCCCAGAGGACAGAATAAGAAATCTGTAATCATTTCATTGAATAACAAACTATTTACTCAATGTCTACTAAACGCCAAGTACTATATGAGGCATTGGGAATGTAGCAATAAACAAATACACAAAGTTCTTGCCTTTGATAACCTTAAAGTTTAGTGAAATATGCAAGGAATTAAACAATTATGTCTATGCATATATACATAAATACAAAACACGATATGGCCTCCAAATAAAAATTATAAGGTATAATTATTGATTATAGCAGAGATGCTTGATCTAGCTGGGAAAGAGTCATTTTCACTGAGACCCAAAGAATGAGGAAAATTTAAAAAAGTATAGAATGTAGGGAATAGTCCAGAAAATACAAGCAACATAAAGGTAGGAGCCCATTGAGCTCTAGACCCAAGAGGATGCAGAGGCTACATAATAGCAAGACATTAAAAGGAAAGATGATTAGATGTTGGGGGTGGGTGATTCACAGAAGCTAATGCTGGAGCATAGTACAAAAAGAAAGTTGTCTTAGAAAGAATCGAAATGAAAAAGCATCCTCAAATTTCCCTTTTCTGTGACTTGTGAACAGAGGACAGCAGGGTTAGCAGGGTAGAGAATACACAGACCATATCTGTCTGATGTCAAATGACTCACAGTTAAAACAGAAGGGTTGAGATGATTCTCCATGGGGATTTTGCCTGGACAGCAGTTCCACTTACTTTGTGCCCTGAGTTGAACTTACGGTGTCACAATCAGTAGAAGTATTTATATCTATGTGTCCATTTAAGACTCATAGAGGAGCCAGTGTTCAAAAACATAACCATCGTCTTTTTTTTAATTATACTTTAAGTTCTAGGGTACATGTGCACAATATGCAGATTTGTTACATATGTATACCTGTGCCACGTTGGTGTGCTGCACCCATTAACTCGTCATTTAACATTAGGCATATATCCTAATGCTATCCCTCCCCCTCCCCCCATTCCACAACAGGCCCCAGTGTCTGATGTTCCCCTTCCTGTGTCCAAGTGTTCTCATTATTCAATTCCCACCTATGAGTGAGAACATGCGGTTAGTTTTCTGTCCTTGCAATAGTTTGCTGAGAGTAATGGTTTCCAGCTTCATCCATGTCCCTACAAAGGACATGAACTCATCCTTTTTTATGGCTGCATAGTATTCCATGGTGTATATGTGCCACATTTTCTTAATACAGTCTATCATTGTTGGATATTTGGGTGGGTTCCAAGTCTTTGCTATTGTGAATAGTGCCACAATAAACATACATGTGCACGTGTCTTTATAGCAGCATGATTTATAATCCTTTGGGTATATACCCAGTAATGGGATGGCTGGGTCAAATGGTATTTCTAGTTCTAGATCTTTGAGGAATCACCACATCCTCTCTTAATGTCTTCCCAGCTTTGAAGAGATCAGGACCCAACTTTCCTACTGGATCTATCCTGAATCACTTGAGTAAGTCTCAGCGTTGATTGGTATAAAGTTTTGGCACAAATTATTTCTCTGAAACGTAAATCCAGTGAAAGTTAAAGTATATTTTGATAACTTAAGATGATCTATTCTCACCAGAGCATACCATACAACATCAGGACAATCAGCAAGCAAGAGCTTTGGAGTTTCTACAGTTTCTCAGGAGAGATACTCTAGGTATACTTCTTGTCTAGACAGAAGACTTGCTCAGTCAAAAGAAACACAAAGACGGAATTGCCAAGCCTCATATACACACAGTCACACCACCCTAAAATTAAAACATAATTATCTATGTGGAAACCTCCCTTTTACATGATATTGATGAGCTCTAACATCTAGATTCCTGGTTAAATTTTGACATTATTGAGCATTACAGAAGTCCAATTATATTGTGGCTGACTCTAGACTGATGCAATCAGTTCTCTAACAAAACTGGGAACAATGGAATGTGGTAGACCTTGCTGGGCCCTACCACAGTCACTTCTAGCAAAAGATAAAAAATATTTACTTAACTATATTTTCTTTAAAGTATTGGCTCACTTTATTGAAAAATCTACAATATAGCTTCAGGTATAGATTGACCCTAAATTAAAACTTCACCATTTCTCAACTACATTTCTTTTAATTTGCCTCATCTCTGTGGTACAAAAAGCACTGTAATAGCTTCAAGCTTCCTATCATCCTTCCACCATGCCCTAAAGAAAATACAGAAGGATCCCTTTTGTAATCCCCACATGGTGAAGAAGAAATATTGCCTTCTCAAAATACTCTGTAAGTGTTTCTTTTTTATCACTGGTTATGTAAGTGTTATGTACTCATCTATTAAATGAGTACAGTGACGAGGGGAATGTCATAGGATAGTTGCCTCAAGAATGCTATCAATCCTATTCAAACCACACTGATGAAAATATAACGAGTGGGCTACTGAAAAATAAATAAATAAGTGGTGCTGTTGACAGGAAAGAGGGAAAAAGGCTGGAGAGGTGATACGGTTTAGCTGTGTCCCCACCCAAATTTCAACTTGAATTGTATCTCTCAGAATTCTCATGTGTTGTGGGAGGGACCCAGGGGGAGATAATTGAATCAAATCATGGAGGCCAGTCTTTCCTGTATTATTCTCATGATAGTGAATTAATTCTCACAAGATCTGATGGCTTTATCAGGGGTTTCTGATTTTGCTTCTTCCTCATGTTTTTCCTGCTACCACCATGTAAGAAGTGGCTTTCACTTCCTGCCATGATTCTGAGGCCTCCCCAACCATGTGAAACTGTAAGTCCAATTAAACTTATTTTTCTTCCCAGTCTCAGATGTGACTTTATCAGCAGTGTGAAAACAGACTAGTACCATAAATTGATACCAAGAGTAGGGTGTTGCTTAAAAGATACCCGAAAAATTGAAAGCCACATTGGAACTGGATAATAAGCAGAGGTTGGAACAGTTTGGAGGGCTCAAAAGAATACAGGAAAATGTGGGAAAGTTGGGAACTTCCTAGAGACGTGTTGAATGGCTTTGCCCAAAATGCTGATAGCCATATGGACAATAAGGTCCAGGCTGAAGTGGTCTCAGATGAAAAGGGACTTGTTGGGAACTGGAGTAAAGGTGACTCTTTTTATGTTTTAGCAAAGAGACTGGCAGCATTTTGCCCCTGCCCTAGAGATTTGTGGAACTTTGAACTTGAGAAAGATGATTTAGGGTATCTGGTAGAAGAAATTTCTACGCAGCAAAGCATTCAAAAGGTGTCTTGGGTGCTGTTAAAGGCATTCAGTTTTATAAAGGAAGCAGAGCATAAAAGTTTGGGAAATTTTCAGCCTAGCTACGCAATAGAAAAGAAAAACCCATTTTATGGGGAGAAATTCAAGCAGGCTGCCAAAATTTGCATAAGTAGCAAGGAGACTAATGTTAATCCTCAAGACCATGGGGAAAATGTCTCCAGGCAATGTCAGAGGACTTCATGGCACCCCCTACCATCACAGGCCTGGAGGCCCAGGAGGAAAAAGTGGTTTTCTGGGCTGGGCCCAGTGTCTTCATGCTGTGTGCAGCCTAGGGACTTTGTGCCCTGTGTTCCAGCCACTCCAGCCGTGGCTGAAAGGGGCCAATGTAGAGCTTGGGCTGTGGCTTCAGAGGGTGGAAACCCTAAGCTTTGGCAGCTTCCATGTGGTATTGAGCCTGTGGGTACACAGCAGTCAAGAATTGAGGGTTGGGAACCTCCTCCTAGATTTCAGAAGATGTATGGAAATGCATGGATGCCCAGGCAAAAGTTCACTGCAGGGGCAGGGACCTCCTGGAGAACCTCTGCTAGGGCAGTACAGAAGGGAAATGTGGGTTTGGAACCCCCACACAGAGTCCCAGTGGGGCACCACCTAGTGGAGCTGTGAGAATAGGGCCACCATCCTCCAGACCCCAGAATGGTAGAACCACCTACAGCTTGCACCATGCTCCTGGAAAAGCTGCAGTCACTCAATACCAGCCCATGAAAGCAGCCAGGAGGGAGAGTGTAACCTGCAAAGCCACAGGGCCAGAGCTGCCCAAGACCATGAGAACCCAGCTCTTACATCAGTGTGACCTGGATGTTAGACCTGGAGTCAAAGGAAATCATCTTGGAGATTTTAAATTTGACTGCCCCTCTGGATTTTGGACTTGCATGGGCCCTATAAACCCTTCATTTTGGGCAATTTCTCACATACGGAATGGCTGTATTTACCCAATACCTGTACTCCCATTGTATCTAGGAAGTAACTAGCTTGCTTTTGATTTTACAGGCTCATGGGCAGAAGGGACTTGCCTTGTCTCAGATGAGACTTTGGACTGTGGACATTCGGGTTAATGCTGAAATGAGTTAAGACTTCTGGGGACTGTTGGGAAGGCATGACTAGTTTTGAAATGTGAGGACATGAGATTTGGAGGGACCATGGTGGAATGATATGGTTTGGCTGTGTCCCTGCCCAAATATCAACTTGAATTATATCTCCCAGAATTCCCACATGTTGTGGGAAGGATCCAGGAGGAGGTAATTGAATCATGGGGGCCAGTCTTTCCTGTGCTATTCTCATGAGAGTGAGCTAAGTCTCACCATATCTGATGGGTTTATCAGGGGTTTCCACTTTTGCTTCTTCATCTTTCTCTTGCCACCGCCATGTAAGAAGTGCATTTCACCTTCTGCCATGATTCTGAGGCCTCCCCAACCATGTGAAACTGTAAGTCCAATTAAACCTCCTTTTCTTCCCAGTCTTGGGTATGTCTTTATCAGCAGCATGAGAGCAGACTAATACAAGAGGCAACCCAAAACTATCAGCTCAACCTCCTTTCAAAGTTGCTTTTTATTAGTTTTCTGAGAACAAATGCAAACATTTTAACTGTTTGTCAGAGAGAGGGAGAGATAGCTCATGCTTATTTTTTCATTCATAAGGGATAATGTGTAGCAGAGATGCTGTATGAAGTAAAATCCATTCTGCTGCTGTCTACTCTGGAATTTGGGCTTTCTTAAATGTTCCCTCTGTCTTTACTATTGAGGATATGTGACCTCCAGAATGCGGCCAGAAAAGGAAATCAGGGTTTAGGGCTACTGGCAGGATGACATATTGATCTGCTTTCCTCACCCTAGTCAGGAATCCATAAGTCCTTTTTTGTAACTCAGACTAATGTTTTCTACAGCCAGAGACAACCTCTCAAAATAGCCACATCTGATGGCCTTTTTATCCATTGGGTGGTCTGGGTAGATGTTGGGTAGGCAATAAAATCAAAGATCAGCTGGAGTCAGGAGGGAAAACTGCTTTCTCACCATGGTAAGTGCCATCGACAGGTCTGAAAACCTACAAGGAGATTCAAGGGAGAGGAAATAACATTTAGAATCAGCAGCTTCTAGGAAAATAACTTATCTTATTCATTCTTTTCTTTGAGCCTCCTTTTCTTTGAGGGGCATTTTAAGGGCTGTGAACCATGACTTTTTTTCTGGTTTTAAAATACAATAATAAAGCAAAGGGGAGGGTGGATATGTTTTATGAGTGACCAGGAAATTAACAAACATCCACTGACATTTATTATATGCCAGAACCTGTGAGGGGCAGGCCTGAGGAGTACAATGCCCCAGCGACATCCCTTATTACAAATACAAATGCCACCATTGCAATCTTCTAATTTCAGTCTTCTAATTACCCTGTCTATAAAAGGTTGTTATTTAAATCTGGCACCTTAGAAAATGTTATATATGAGAATTCTTTAGGCTTTTAACCTAAATATGGAGCACCCTACTGCAAATGAGACATATAAAGAGGAACCATGCTTCAGTTCTCAAGTGATGCTAGGAGAACAGTATAATGGTAATGGTATGTAAAATAAATGGTTGGTATCCCTTCACACTAATATACAACCACACTGTGCTTTCCTGCCACAGCTGACCCCAACAGGTCAGCTCGCAAGAACAACTCAATCTATATGACAGGACTGGTTCATACAAGCTTAGTTTACTTTCACACCGGTTTGCAGTGCTGGTTTCTAAGAAGTCTCCATTGACATATGGCCCTCAGTAATATGGTCTCTACAATGACAATGCAGTTATCCCTCTAAATATCAAGTATAAGTAAATATTTCATTTATCTTCTCAGAATAGTTAAGGATTTATTTACATAGAGAAAAATTCTAGAACTCTTATAATCTTGCTGAATCTTATTTTCTACTAGTTCTTGATACAACTCCCACTAGTGTTCTCTAAGGATGTGCTACAATATTCTGAAGCTGTGCCTTTATCAAGCTCTTCTTCCTCTAAAACTACCATTTTATGACCTAATTCCAACTAATTCTTCAAAGTTAAAATCAATTTCTCCTATCTCCTAGAAACATACTAGTAACAATAAATCTCTCCCTATAGACTACATAATATAGAATAGAATGATTTAACGTTCAAACTCTGCAATCACAGTGACTATGGTTCTGGTCTGTCCTAGCCAACTTACAAACTCAAACCCCTGGGCAAGTTACTTAATATTCCTAAGCTTCACCTTTTTCATCCATTAATAAAAATAATAATAAGCTAATCACCAAAGAGCTGCTTTGAGGGTTTAAAGAAATATATGTAGGATCAAGCCCTTAGTAAATATTCAAATATATTAGCTAATGTTAATAGTCAACTTTGTATCTTCTACTGCTTCAAAGATAGAACCAGAACAGTAAATATGTGATGAATTGTACAGAAACTAGTAAAAGATCATGCAGCTGTATAAATATTTAGAATAGAATGCAAAGCAAGAATTAAGAAGCAACTAAGCCATTACACTCAGACAACATATCTTAAAGAGGATGTATCCTTAGAGACGCCTCCACATATTCAACTTCATGATGAAATGCAGTCTTCTTTTGGCCCCCTTGACTGGGTTCCCTCTGCACCTCTACAGTTGTTTCTTTGAATTCTTATGAAATCTCAAGTGTTTGCTTCCTCTATATAAATTTGCTAACATTCTTTGAATGAAGCTCATTCTCTTTTGTTTTCTAATCATTTCATGGTATTCTTATGGGTTTTAAGTAACTCATATAACTTTGTTACTCAACTATGGTATCTTTTAATTATTTTATTTTATTTTTATTATTGCTTGTTAGAATAATGAAGACATGGTAAGTGTAAATTACACAAACTTTATTGTCTAAATGCTGGAGATAAAACAACTAGGAACAACAGAAAATTTTCTTAGAATCACACTGGTGCCACTCAGGATCTGCACTGACTACATGCCCCATGCTCACTGTTGTTAGAGGATGAAGAGCTTAATCAGCCTTTGTCAACTTTTCCTAACACTTAGCAGTCTTTAAATTAAGGCCTATCTTGTTCAGTCAATCACCAGTCTTCAAAATGATATGAAAGTCTAGAGCCAAAAAAGAGGAAAGGGAGAGTGAGCAAGATCCAACCAACTTTTATTTCCACATTTATTATGCTCTTGAAGCTTATTTTGTTTGGACTTCAGTTGCACCAATTTTTAATTTTAATTGTTTTGTCAAAGACATCAATTTTTTTTCACGATCTAGCTGATAAATCTTCACAGTGTGCTGGATTTTGTGAAGTTGTAAATGGCTAATTTATTTTTCTGCCAGGACTGAAGGGAAATATTTGACTACACATTCGGCATAAACTTTTAGCACCTATTGAACTACAGCATTTATTCTCTTCAGTGATGTTAACTTCATCAGAAAGTTCATCAATTGTATAAGCTAGATAGCATTTGGCAGATGATTTTATCTTCCCATAATATAGTATGAGCAGAGGTGCACCTACATAGCCCTCCCTCAGAAACATTTCAAAACCCAGTATTGATGAGGGTAGGGCATGTCCAGACTCTAGAGAGGAAACTTGACCTTGGGCTTTGAAGAAGCTCTTTGCCTGAGGGCATTACCCAGAGAGGGATCTGATAATTACTGAGTCACCAATATTCTCAGCAGCTAGTGGGATGGATGCCTTAGTTCTGAGGGAGGGCAAGAAACCACTTCAGTTGTCAAACTATGGCATTATGGAAAATAAAAGACGTGGTTAATACAATTTTCTACATAGAAATCTTTATCTTAGAGTCTGTCTGCCTGGGAACCAGGTAAAAATGACTTAAGTCTCAATACCTGTAATGCATAGTGTTTTAGCCTCTTAGTCCTCCAAATGTTGCACTGGTAAGTGTTAAATTACTAGTTTTTCAAAAAGAGGAAAAAAATCCTATTCTGTAACTTTTCCCAATTTTCATAGCATAAATGATGTCATCATGGCTGATTTCAAGCTATCAACATGATGTCACTGAAAGGTGATCTGGGAAAGATGCACATGTGTATTCTGGGGAGTCGCTGTGAACTGGATCCAGCACACCACTGGCTCCTCCTTGGGGAGGATAAAGGCATTTTTATAAAACATATTCAACAATTAAAGTATAATAAAATGTTGTCTAACTAGAACCTAATTATTAAGATTTTTCTACTATTCCCTTTGCCCACATTTCCACATGGTTTAGGTTTGCAAACTGATATTTCTCAGGCTTCCCCAGGATGAAAAATGAAATCACATTGGCAAAAATAATACAGGAAAAGATGGTTTCGTAGGTAAATTCTACCAAATTTTTAAAGAATAATTAACACCTATCCTTTAAAAAAAATCCAAAAGTTGAAGAGGAGTGACCACTTCCAAAGCCAGACAAAGAATGAAATAAAACTACATGCTAATATCTCTGATAAATACAGATGCAAACATTCTCAACAAAATACTAGAAAAATGAATAAGCCACACATCAAATGGATTATACACCATGATCAAGTGAGATTTGTCCCTGGGCTACAAGTATAATTTCAACATATACAAATCAATTAATGTACATATCACATTAACAGAATGAAGTATAAAAATCACACTATTGTCTCAACAGATGCAGTAACAGGGTTGGACAGAATTCAATACCCTTTTATGATAAAAATTCTCAATACACTACAAATAGAAATAAATTATTTTATATAGAATTCAGACAAAAAGAAGCATGAAATATGTCATTTTCAGCAACACGGATGAAACTACAGGTCATTATGTTAAGTGATATAAGCCAGGCACAGAAAGACAAATATCACATTTTCTCACTCATACGTGGGAGTTAAAAAAATGCTGATCTCATGGAAGTAGAGACTAGAATAATATTTACCAAAGGCTGGGAAGGGTATGTGTGGTGGAGGTGGGGTGGGGGAGAGATGAGGAGAGGTAGGTTTATGTGTACAAATATGCAATTAGATAGAAGGAATAAGTTCTAATGTTTGATAGCACAGCAAGGTGACTACAGTTAACAATATATTTTATATTTCAAAACAGCTGGAAGAGAATATTTGAAATGTCCCCAACACAATAAATGATAAATGCTCAAGGTGATAGATATTCTAAATACCCTGACTTGATTACACAGTCTATGTGTGTATCAAAATTTCACAATTATACCAAAAATATGTGCAAATATTATGTATCAATTACAAATTTGATAATAAAAGTCTTATGCAATTAAAAGCAATTAGGAACAGAAATGTAAAACCACATATGGCAAGCCTATAGCATACATCATACTCAGTTGAGATTAATTACACTTTTTTTCTGCAAGGCAAGAATGCTCACTCTAGTCCTGGCCAGAACAATTAGCCAAGAAAAAAAAGTCATCCAAATTGGAAAGGAAAAAGTAAAATTGTCAGTACTTGCAGATAACATTAACTTATATATTGAAAACCCTAAACACTCTACCAAAAAGTCGTTAGAGCTAATAAACACATTCAGTAAAGTTGCAGGATACAAAATCAACATACAAAAATTAGTTGTATTTCTATACCATAACAACGTATCTTTAAGGCTGAAAAATATTCCATTGTATCTAAAAGAAAGTAGCCAAAAAATTTTCTAAAAGCATCAGAGAAATAAAGTGCCTAGGAATAAACTTAACTAAAGAGGTAAAATATTAGTTAATCTTAAAAATCTTTGTACACTGAACAGTACAAATATTGATGAAAAAAATTGAAAACACAAACAAATGGGAAGACATCCCATGTTCATAGATTTAAAGACTTACTATTGTGAAAATGTCCACACTAAACAAAGTGATCTACAGATTCAATGCAATCCCTATGAATATTCCAATGGAATTTTTTATAAAAATAAAGAAATAACTTTTTAGTCACATCAATCTTTAGAAAAAGGAACAAAACTAGAGGCATAACCCTTGCTGATTTCAAATAAATTACAAAGCTATAGCAACTTAGAAATTATGATGCAGGCATAAATCTAAACATATAAATCAATAGAAGAGAATGGAAAGCTCAGAAATAAATCCATCCATATATGGTCAATTGATCTTAGGCAAGGGTGCCAAGAGTACACAGTAGAGAAAAGATAGTCTCTAAAGCAAACAGCATTGAGAAAACTGGACATGCAAATGAAAAAAAATAAAACTGGACCCTTATTTTACACTACACACACATAAAAATCCACTAAAATAAATTAATGGACTTAAATGCAAGATCTAAAACTGTAAAACTCCTAGAAGAAAATACATGGAAATAATTTCATAATAATGTTTTGGGCAATAATTTCATGTATATGATACCAAAAGCACAGGCGACAAAAGCAAAAATAAGTAAATGAGACTACATCAAGCTAAAAAGCATCTGCAGACAAAGGAAGTAACAAATACAATGAAAAGGCAACCTAAAATTGAGAGAAAATATTTATAAACCTCATGTACAATAACGAGTTAATTTCCAAAATATGTAAGAAACTCTTACAACTCAATAAAAAAATACTAATAATCTAATTTTAAAATAGGCTAAAGCCTTGAATAGAGATTTCTACAAGGGAGACATATAAATGGGCAAAAGGTAAATGAAAAGATGTTCAGTGTCACTAATCATCAGAAAAATGCAAATTACAACCACAATGAGATATCATCTCACACTTGTTAAGATGGCTTTTATCAAAAAATAAAAGATGAGAACTATTGGTGAATGTGAAGCAATTGGAACTATTGTGACCTGTTGGTGAGAATGCAAAATAGTGTGACACTATGAAGAACAGTATGAAACCTTCTCAAAAAGATAGAAATAGAACCACCATATGATCTAGCAGTCCCACTTCTCTGTATTTATTCAAAATAATTAAAATCAAAATATGGAAGAAATATTAGCACTCTCATATTCATTACAGGGCTATTTACAATAGCCAAGACATGGAAACAACCTAAACATCCATCATTGGATGGATGGATAAATAAATGTGGTATACTGATATGATGAGATATTATTTAGCTTCAAAAAAAGGAAATTCTACATTATACAATAACATGGATGAATCCTGAGTGCACTATCCTAAGTGAAATAAGGCAGTCACAAAATAACAAAAACTGCATGTTTCTACTTATATGACATATCTAATGTAGTCAGACTCATAGAATGTAGAATGGTGCTTGCCAAGGACAGAAGGTAGGGGAAAATGAGGAGCTGCTAATGAGTGAGCATGAAGTTTTAGTTATGGAAGATAAATTCTAGAGATCTGCTGAACAGCATTTTGGGTAGAAGCACAACATTGTGCTTACACTTAAAGAATTTTATTATACACTTAAAATTGTGTTGAGTGCAGATCTCATCTTGTGTTATTATCACAATCAAATAAAATCTAAAAAAGAAAAAGGAAAAAAGAACTAACTGGGTCTTGCAAGATGTTGCCACAATTCTATTGACACTATAGTTCTCCTGTCAAGTAAAGCCTCTCTTTCATTGGCCCTGAAATTTACACCAGGAGATGAAAACTGCAGCTTTGCTAAATTTGACTAAAGTATAATAGCATGGGAATCTTGGAAATAGGAGTTACTAAATAAGTTATAATTTTTCTTCTTCTTCAGTTTTAATGTTTGTGGGAAGACTACAGAAGCAGCAGTTGTCTTGCCTTCAGTATGCTCCAGAATTTTTGTTACTTGTTTCTTTTTATTTATTCAAATACACATCAATTTTTTTTATCTTTTGGAGATCAGACTCAAGTTCAATGGAGCTTAGACTAATATAAAAACACAAAATAATAACCAAATTTTTAGTATTATACATTTCTCTAATGTTTTAACACATATTATCAATCCTTGCAAGAGTCCTGTCAGATAAGCAAAATGGGTGTTAATGTTAATTCCATTTTGTAGACAAGTCAGCCAAGACATCAACTTAAATAAAGATAGAACTTTGGAGAGATTTAGGACTCTAATCCTCAACCTTTGGCTTGGAGTATGTGTGGAACTGCCACTATACTGCTCTGAATTTATTAAGACAATAGAAAAAACAGAATTTTTAGAGAGATTTGGCAGTATTGATGGCTTTCTAGTTAAATATTAATGAAAAATGTAATTAAGTTTATCGGAACAAGCATTCCTTAGCAAGGATTTTGAAAAATATAAATCAGCACACAAACACAAATGTAATTAATACAGATCATTGATTTTTCAGAAAAATACAATTGTTGATGGGGACTGAAATTGATATAATACATTATTATCAAAATAGTGATGTTTGGAAGTATTTAATGCCTATCCCCAAAAACCTACCTTCTTCATAAGGCAGAGTTAGTTATTTTGAAAAACCACAGACAAAAATCCTCTCTACAGTTTAAAGTATTGAAAATAATGTGTATCTGTAAGGGGTTTTAGTTGCTAACAAGAGACAACACTCCAGATAATTAAAGCAGAAAATAAATTTATAAATGAATCATAAACACACCAGAAGACCCAAAGGATCTGCTTAAAATATATAAGGATGAGGACACAAATAACATTGAGAATTTAACTAGAGAAGTCATATGTCTGGTGAAATGTGAGAGAGAATGAAGTGGTCCATAGGCACTGCATTGGTTTCCTAGGGCTGTTATAACAAAGAACCACAAACTGGGTGGCTTAGAACAACAGCAATTTATTGTCTCATAGTACTAGAGGCTAGAAGTCCCAAATCAAGTTGTCAGCAGGGCCACGCTTCCTCTAAAATACATAGAGGAAGCCTTCCTTATATCTTCCTATTTTCTATGTGATCTGCTAGTAATCTTTGCTTTCCTTGGCCTATAATTTTCTATGTGATCTGCTAGTAATCTTTGGCTTTCCTTGGCCTATAAATGCACCACTCCCATCGTGTTTTCATATGGCATTCACCCTGTGTGTCTCCACATAGCCTTCCTTCTATATGTATCCATCCCTGTGTCCAAATTTCTCCTTTTGTAAGGACACCAGGCATGTTGGATTAGGGCCCACCCTAATGGCCTCATGTTAATTTGATTACCTCTGTAAAGATTCTGTTTCCAATCATCACATTCTGAGTTAAGGGAGTTAAGACTTCAACATATTTGTTTTGAGGGGACACAGTCCAACACATAATAATCATTAAAACAAAAACAAAAACAAATTGCAGGCCAGGCACAGTGGCTCACACCTGTAATCACAGCACTCTGGGAGGCCAAGCTGGGAGGACTACTTTGGCCCAGGAGTTTGAGAACAGACTAGGTAACATAGTGCAACCCCATCTCTACAAAAAATAAAAAATCAGCTGGGCATGGTGGCTCACGCCTGTAGGCCCAGCTACTCAGAAGGCTGAGGTGGCAGGATCGCTTGAGCCCCAAAGTTTGAGACTACATTGAGCCATGATTGTACCACTGCATTCCAGCTTGGACAATAGAGGGAGACCCTGTCTCAAAATGAAAACAAACAAACAAACAGACAAATTATGCTAAGATCTTGTAACAAAGAATTACAAAACAAAATTTAAAAATCAATACAATATGAAAAGTTTCTAAAAACTACAAAGTACTTTGAAACAAAGTGGACAAGTCCTTTTCTGCGTCTATTGAGATAATCATGTGATTTTTGTCATTGGTTCTGTTTATGTGATGGATTACATTTATTGATTCGCGTATGTTGAACCAGCCTTGCATCCTAGGTATAAAGCCAACTTGATCGTGGTGGATAAGCTTTTTGATGTGCTGCTGGATTCGATTTGCAAGTATTTTATTGAAGATTTTCTCATCTATGTTCATCAGGGATATTGACCTGAAGTTTTCTTTTCTTGTTGTGTTTCTGCCAGGTATTGGTATCAGGATGATGCTGGCCTCATAAAATGAGTTAGGGAGGGTTCCCTCTTTTTCTGTTGTTTGGAATAGTTTTAGAAGGAATGGCACCAGCTCCTCTTTGTACCTGTGGTAGAAGTTGGCTGTGAATCCGTCTGGTCCTGGACTTTTTTTAATTGGTAGGCTATTGATTACTGACTCAATTTCAGAACTTGTTACTGGTTTATTCAGGGATTCGACTTCTTCCTGGGTTAGACTTGGGGGGTGTATGTGTCCAGGAATGTATCCATTTCTTCTAGATTTTCTAGTTTATTTGCATAGGAGTGTTTATAGTATTCAATGATGGTAGTTTGTATTTCTGTGGGATCAGTGGTGATCTCCCCTTTATCTTTTTTTATTGCATCTATTTGATTCTTCTCTCTTTCCTTCTGTATTAGCCTGGCTAGCGGTCTATCTACTTTGTTGATTTTTTTTAAGAAACCAGCTCCTGGATTCATTGATTTTTTTTTGAAGGGTTTTTCATGTCTCCATCTCCTTCAATTCTGCTCTGATCTTAGTTATTTCATGTCTTCTGCTAGCTTTTGAATTTGTTTGCTGTTGCTTCTGTAGTTCTTTTAATTGTGATGTTAGGGTGTCAGTTTTAGATCTTTCCTGCTTTCTCTTGTGGGCATTTAGTGCTGTAAATTTCCCTCTAAACACTGCTTTAAATGTGTCCCAGAGATTCTGGTATGTTGTGTCTTCATTCTCATTGGTTTCAAAGAACATCTTTATTTCTGCCTTCATTTTGTTGTTTACCCAGTAGTCATTCAGGAGCAGGTTGTTCAGTTTCCATGTAGTTATGAGGTTTTCAGTGAGATTCTTAATCCTAAGTTCTAATTTGATTGCACTGTGGTCTGAGAGACTGCTTGTTATGATTTCTGTTCTTTTGCACGTGCTGAGGAGAGTTTTACTTCCAAATATGTGGTCAATTTTAGAATAAGTGTGATAAGGTGCTAAGAAGAATGTATATGCTGTTGAATTGGGGTGGAGAGATCTGTAGATGTCTATTAGGTCCGCTTGGCCCAGAACTAAGTTCAAGTCCTGAATATTCATGTTAATTTTCTGTCTCATTGATCTGTCTAATATTGACAGTGAGGTGTTAAAGTCTCCCACTATTATTTTGTGGGAGTCTAACACCCCTTCATGCTAAAAACTCTCAATAAACTAGGTATCGATGGAACATATCTCAAAGTAATAAGAGGTATTTATGACAAACCCACAGCCGATATCATACTGAAAGGGCAAAAACTGGAAGCTTTCCCTTTGAAATCCGGCATAAGACAAGGATGCCCTATCTCACCACACCTATTCAACATAGTATTGAAAGTTCTGGGCAGGGCAATCAGGCAAGATAAAGCAATACAGCGCATTCAAATAGGAAGAGAGGAAGTCCAATTGTCTCTGTTTGCAGATGACATGATTGTATATTTAGAAAAACCCATCATCTCAGCCCAAAATCTCCTTAAGCTGATAAGCAACTTCAGCAAAGTCTCAGGATACAAATTCAACATACAAAAATCACAAGCATGCCTATACACAAATAACAGACAAACAGAAAGCCAAATCATGAGTAAACTCCCATTCACAATTGCTACTAAGAGAATAAAACACCTAGGAATACAACTTACAAGGCATGTGAAAGACCTCTTCAGGGAGAAGTACAAATCACTGCTGAAGGAAATAAGAGAGGACACAAACAAATGGAAAATCATTCCATGCTCGTGGATAGGAAGAATCAATATCGTGAAAATGGCCATAGTGCCCAAAGTAATTTACAGATTCAATGCTATCCCCATCAAGCTACCACTGACTTTCTTCACAGAATTGGAAAAAACTACTTTAAACTTCATATGGAACCAAAAAAGAGCCCACATATCCAAGACAATCCTGGGCAAGAAGAACAAAGCTGGAGGCATCACGCTACCTGACTTCAAACTATACTACAAGTCTACAGTAAACAAAACACCATGATACTGGTACCAAAACAGATATATAGACCAATGGAACAGAACGGAGGCCTCAGAAATAACACCACACATCTACAACCATCTGGTCTTTGACAAACCTGACACACATGAGCAATGGGGAAAAGATCCCCTATTTAATAAATGGTGTTGGGAAAACAGGCTAGTCATATGCAGAAAACTGAAACCGGACCCCTTCCTTACAACTTATACAAAAATCAACTCAAGATGGATCAAAGACTTAAATGTAAGTCCTAGGACCATAAAACACCTAGAAGAAAACCTGGGCAATACCATTCAGGGCATAGGCATTGGTTTCATGTCTAAAACACCAAAAGCAATGGCAACAAATGTCAAAATTGACAAATGGGATCTAATTAAACTAAAGAGCTTCTGCACAGTAAAAGAAACTATCATCAGAGTAAAGAGGGAACCTTTAGAATGGGAGAAAATTTTTGCAATCTATCCATCTGACAAAGGGTTAATACCCAGAATCTACAAAGAACTTAAACAAATTTACAAGAAAAATCAAACAACCCCATCAAAAAATGGGCAAAGGATATGAACAGACACTTTCAAAAGAAGACATTTATGCAGCCAACAGACGTATGAAAAAATGTTAATCATCACTGGTCATTAGAGAAATGCAAATCAAAACCACAATGAGATACCATCTCATACCAGTTAGAATAGAGATCATTAAAAAGTCAGCAAACAACAGATGCTGGAGAGGTTGTGGAAAAATAGGAACGCTTTTACACTGTTGGTGGGAGTATAAATTAGTTCAACCATTGTGGAAGACAGTGTGACGATTCCTCAAGGATCTAGAACTAGAAATACCATTTGACCCAATAATCCCATTTTTGGGCATATACCCAAAGGATTATAAATCATTCTACGATAAAGAAACATGCACACGTATATTGATTTTGGCACTATTCACAATAGCAAAGGCTTGGAACAAACCCAAATGTCCATCAATGATAGAATGGATTAAGAAAATGTGGTACATGTACACCATGGAATACTATGTAGCCATAAAAAAGGATGAGTTCGTGTCCTTTGCAGGGACATGGATGAAGCTGGAAACCATCATTCTCAGCAAACCATCACAAGATCAGAAAACCAAACACTGCACGTTCTCACTCATAAGTGGGAACTGAACAATGAGAACATTTGGACACAGGGAGGGGAACATCACACACCTGGGCCTGTCAGGGGTTGGGGGGCTAGGGGAGTCATAACATTAGGCGAAATACCTAATGTAGGTGATGGGTTGATGGGTGTAGCAAACCAACATGGCACATGTATACCTATGTAACAAAACTGCACATTCTGCACATGTAACCCAGAACTTAAAATATAATTACATAAATAAATAAGAAATAAAGTGAACAAAGATATACAAAAAAAGTTTAAACACTGAAAACTCCAAAACATTGCTAAACAAGATCTAAAGAAGATTTTTAAAGTCTTAAATAGACATGCCATTTTCCTGGATTTGAAGACCCCAGTATTGCAAAGATTATTCTTCTAAAATTGGGGTATTAATTCAACAAAATTTCCAGCACATATTTCTATGACTTGACTAATTGATGCTAAAATTTACGTGAAAATGCAAAGAAACCTAAAAGTTATCTTTAAAACCTAAAAAATCTTTTTAGACAAAGGATAACAAATTTGGAAGAATATCTTATGCTACAATTTAATATAAAGCTGCATTAATTCATATAATGTGGTATTACAGAGTCTGGATATTAGTCCTTTGTTGGATGCATAGTTTGAAAATATATTCTTCAATTCTGTAGGTTGTCCATTTACTCTGCTGATTATTTCTTTTGCTGTGCAGAAGCTTTTTAGTATAATTTAGTCCCATTTGTGTATTTTTGTTTTTATCTCATTTGCTTTTGAGGTCTTAGTCATAAATCTTTGCCTAGGCCAATGTTCTGAAGAGCCTTTCCTTGGTTTTCTTCTATGATTTTTATTGTTTCAGTTATTACATTTAGGTCTTTAATCCATCTTGAGTTAATTTTTGTATATGGTGAGAGATAGGGGTCTAGTTTTGTTCTTGTGCACATTGCTATCCAACATTTTCAGCACCACTTACTGAATATGGTGTTTTTTCCCCAGTGTATACTTTTGTCAGCTTTGTCAAAGACCACTTGGTTGTAGGTGTGTGACTTTATTTCAAGGTTCTCTATTCTGTTTCATTTATCTATGTCTCTATTTTTATGTTGGCACAATACTCTTTTGATTACTATACCCTTGTAGTATCATTTGAATTCAGGTAATGTGATGCCTCCAGCTTTGTTATATTTTTGCTTAAAACTTCTTTAGCTATTTAAGCTCCTTTTTGGTTCTTAATTTTAGGACTAATTAGGACTTAATTTTAGGACTAAATCCAGAATCCACAAGGAAGTCAAACAACTCAACAAGAAAGACACAACCTCATTAAAAAGTGAGTAAAGGGCAAGAACCAACATTCCTCAAAAGAGACATACAAGTGGCCAAAAGTCATGAAAAAATGCTCAACATCACAAATCATCAGAGAAATGCAAATTAAAATAACAGTGAGATACCATCTCACACCAGTTAGAATGGCTATTATCAAAACCTCAGAAAACAACAGATGTTGGTAGAAATGCTGAAAAAGGGAAACACTTACACACTGCTGGTAGGAATGGAAATTAGTACAACCTCTATGGAAAACAGTGTGGAAAGTACTCAAGCAACTAAAAATAAAACTACCATTTGACCCAGGAAGCCCACTACTGGGTATTTACCCAAAGAAAAAGGAATTGTTATATGCAAAAGACACCTACACTCATATGTTTATTGTAGCATTATTCACAATAGTAAAGTCATGTGATCAATCAACATGTCCATCAATGGACAATTGGATAAAGAAAATGTGTTGTATATATACACCATGGAATACTTCACAGCCATAAAAAAGAATAAAATTATATCCTTTGCAGCAACATGAATGGAGCTGGAGGCCATTATCCTAAGTGAAGTAACTCAGAAACAGAAAACCACATATCTCATATTCACATTGGGTAGACATGGACATACATACAAGGGGTAATAACAGACACTGAAGACTCCAAAAGTGGGGAGGACAAAAGAGGGGTATGGCTGAAGAATCACCTATTGGGTACAACGTTCACTGTTTGGATGATGGGTACACTGGAAGCCCAAGGTCCACCACTATGCAATATATCATCTAACAAATCTGCACATGTACCCCCTGAATTTTTAAAAATAAAAATAAAAAAGAGAGTGAGGACAGATGAATAGATCACTAAAACAGAAAAACCGTTCAGAAGTAGTCACACACACATATATATTTTTATTTTCCGAGAGCTTTACTGAATTATGGTTGACATATGATAAATTCCACATATTTCATATATAAGATTTGATAATTTTTAATGTGTATATATATATATGAAATCATCACTACAATTAAAAAAACTAATTTTCATCACCTCTAAGAATTTTTTTCTTACGTCCCTTTGTATTTTCTCCCTCTTGCCATTTCATGTCTTCCTTTGCCCTGATCCCCATGAAACAACTGATCTGACTTTCTGTCACTCTAGATTGGTTTGTACTTTGTAGAATTTTAAATAAATGGAACATAAACTTGGAGGAAGTATTCTAGAATTTCTACTCAGCATATTAAGATTCACCAACATTATTTCTTATATTAATAGTTCATTCCTTTTCATTTCTAAGTAATGTTCCATGTTATGAATGTGCCAAAGTTTGCCCATTATCTGTTGATGAACATTTGAATTGTATCTAGTTTGAGGCTTCCACAAATAAAGGTATTATGAACATTCATGTGCAACCTTTTGTCTGTACATACATTTTAATTACCTTTGGGTAAGTGCTGATAGAAGAATGGCTAGATCACCTGGCAGCTGGAGGTTAAGTTATTTTAAAAATTGCCAAACTGTTTTGCTGATGGATTTATGATTTTACATTCCTATCAAAGTATGAAGTTCCAGTTGCTACCTATCTTTACGAATAATTAGAATTACTAGACTTTTGAATTTTAGATGGTATAATAGTTATGTTGTTATATCTCTTTCTCTCTCTCTCTCTCTTTTTTTGGAGTCTCACTCTGTTGTCCAGGCTAGAATGCAGTGGTGCCACCTCAGCTCGCTGCAACCTCTGCCTTCCAGGTTCAGGAGATTCTCCTGCCTCAGCCTCCTGAGTAGCTGGGACTACAGGTATGCACCACCACGCCCAGTTAATTTTTGTATTTTTAGTAGAGAAAGGGTTTCACCATGTTGGCCAGGCTGGTCTCAAACTCCTGACCTCAGGTGATTTGCCTGCCTCGTCCTCCCAAAGTGCTGGGATTACAGGTGTGAGCCACCGCACCCAGCCTAATTTGTATTTTTCTAATATCTAATAATCCTGAGCATCTTTTCATTTTGTTTTTTGCCATTCATCTATATCTGTGGTGAAATGCCTGTTCAAATATTTTTCCCACTTCTTTGTTGAGCTGTTTTATTTGTTATTTAAAGCTTTGGAATGTTTTAACATATTCTGGGCACAAATCTTTTATCAGATACATTTGAAAACATTTTATCCCAATCTGTGGTTTGATTTTTTATTCTCTTCAGCAGTGATTTTCAAAGAGCAGAAACTCCTAATTGTCTTGAAGTTCATTTTTTCAAGTTTGTCATTTAGGATTCATTGCTTTGATGTCATAGCTAACAAATCTTCCCTAAACTGAAGTCACAAAAATTTGCTCCTATGTTTTCTTCTATAAGTTTTAGAGTTTAAGGTTTTAAATTTAGGCCTATAATCTATTTCAATGTTTGTTTTTGCTTTTATGAGTTTTTATATATTGATGAGTTTGAAATGAAGTTGATTATATTTTATATATGGATATCCAATTTTTCTAGAACATTTTTAGTGGAAAACTCACTAAAATGTCTATGCACCTTTACTAAAACTCAATTGACCACATATGCATAAATCTTTATCTAGACTCTCTACATTTTCAAAAATAATTCAGTTAATTTAGATCTTTTGCATCTTCATATAAATTTAAAACCAGCTTGTCAATTTCCACAAAGGGTGACTAGAATTTTTATTTATACTGCATCAAACATATGGATCATTCTTGCATAAAATAGATATCTTAATAATATTTAGTATTCTAATCCATCATACTACTTATTTAGGTCTTATTTAATATCTCTCAGTAGTATTTTACAGTTTTCAGTGAGCAAATCTTGCACATTTTTGTCAGATTTATCCTTATCATATTTTAGTGCTATTATAATGATATTATCCCACAATTTTAGTTTGATTATTGTTAGTATATAGAAATACACTTTATTTTTGCATATTGAATTTGCATTCTTTAATCTTGCTAAACTCACTTATTCTGAAAACTTTTTTGTAAATGATAGTAAATTTTCTACATAGAGAATTATGTTGTTTGTGAATCAATATAGATTTACTTATTACTTTCCAAACTAGATGCTATTTTTCTTTTTGGCTTCTTTTCTTATTGCATGACCTAGAACATCATGTACATTGTTGAATAGAAATGGTAAGAACAAATATTCTTGGATTGTATCTGATCTAAAGAGAAAATCGTTCAGTCTATCATGATAAATGTGACATACTTTATTTTTTATACGTACTTTTATTATTTTAATATAAAAATTAACATTGATTAATGTTCAAATGTAAAGTGACCTTTCATTGCTGAGATGAGCCCCACTTGGTCATTATGCATTTATCCTTACATGCTCTTGAATTAATTTAGCTAAAATTTAATTTGAAGAGAGAGAGAGAGAAAGTGTTTGTGTGTGTATGTGTGTGTGTGTGCCCACAACAGCTGCTGATGTGTAGTTTACATCCCATACACCTATCCGGTTTTGATATTAGGTTAATGTTGGTATTAGAGCATGAGTTGGATAGTAGTCCCTTCTCTTTAATTTTCCGGAAGAATTTTAATTATTCTGTTTTAGATGTTTGGTAAAATTCACCAGTGAAATCACCTCAATCTGAGGCCTAATTTGTGGAAAATATTTTAAGTACACATTCATTTGGTTAGAAGATATAGAGCTAGTAAGGCTACCTATATTTTTTTGAATGAGCTTTGGCAGTTTGTGGTTTTCAAGATTTTTTAAATTTTGTCTAATAGTCAAATTTATTGGCATAAAGTTACTCACAAAACTCCTCTACCATTCCCATAATATCCATAGAATAAGTAGTTATGGTACCTCTCCCATTCCTAATACTGTTATTTTGTGTCACCTTTATTTATTCATTCTACCTATAAGTTTATCAATATTATTGATTATCTAAAGAATACTTGTTTTGATTAATTTGTTTTTTCTTCACTATTTTTTGATGTTCTATCCCACCTCTTTCTACTCTGGTCTTTATTATTTTCTTTCTTCTGCTAAGTTTGAGCTTAATTTGCTCTTTTGTTTCTAGTTTTTTTTTCCAAAGGATGAAATTGAAGTTATTGATTCAATAACTTTTTTATTTTTAATATGGGCATTTAGTGCTGTAAATTTTCTTTGGAATACTGCTTTAGCTGTATCTCACAAATATTGATGTATTATATTTTTATTTTGTATACAATATTTTCTTTTTTTTATTTCTTTTTTTTAAATTTATTTATTTATTATTATTATACTTTAAGTTTTAGGGTACATGTGCACAATGTGCAGGTTAGTTACATATGTATACATGTGCCATGCTGGTGCACTGCACCCACTAACTCATCATCTAGCATTAGGTATATCTCCCAATGCTATCCCTCCCCCCTCCCCCCACCCCACAACAGTCCCCAGAGTGTGATGTTCCCCTTCCTGTGTCCATATGTTCTCATTGTTCAATTCCCACCTATGAGTGAGAATATGCGGTGTTTGGCTTTTTGTTCTTGCGATAGTTTACTGAGAATGATGGTTTCCAATTTCATCCATGTCCCTACAAAGGACGTGAACTCATCATTTTTTATGGCTGCATAGTATTCCATGGTGTATATGTGCCACATTTTCTTAAACCAGTCTATCATTGTTGGACATTTGGGTTGGTTCCAAGTCTTTGCTATTGTGAATAATGCCACAATAAACTTATGTGTGCATGTGTCTTTATAGCAGCATGATTTATAGTCCTTTGGGTATATAACCAGTAATGGGATGGCTGGGTCAAGTGGTATTTCTAGTTCTAGATCCCTGAGGAATCGCCACACTGACTTCCACAATGGTTGAACTAGTTTACAGTCCCACCAACAGTGTAAAAGTGTTCCTTTTTCTCCACATGTTCTCCAGCACCGGTTGTTTCCTGACTTTTTAATGATTGCCATTCTAAGTGGTGTGAGATGGTATCTCATTGTGATTTTGATTTGCATTTCTCTGATGGCCAGTGATGGTGAGCATTTTTTCATGTGTTTTTTGGCTGCATAAATGTCTTCTTTTGAGAAGTGTCTGTTCATATCCTTTGCCCACTTTTTGGTGGGGTATTTGTTTTTTCCTTGTAAATTTGTTTGAGTTCTTTGTAGATTCTGGATATTAGCCTTTTGTCAGTCGAGTAGATTGCAAAAATTTTCTCCCATTCTGTAGGTTGCCTGTTCACTCTGATGGTAGTTTCTTTTGCTACGCAGAAGCTCTTTAGTTTAATTAGATCCCATTTGTTAATTTTGTCTTTTGTTGCCATTGTTTTTGGTGTTTTAGACATGAAGTCCTTGCCCATGCCTATGTCCTGAATGGTAATGCCTAGGTTTTCTTCTAGGGTTTTTATGGTTTTAGGTCTAACGTTTAAGTCTTTAATCCATCTTGAATTGATTTTTGTATAAGGTGTAAGGAAGGGATCCAGTTTCAGCTTTCTACATATGGCTAGCCAGTTTTCCCAGCACCATTTATTAAATAGGGAATCCTTTCCCCGTTGCTTGTTTTTCTCAGGTTTGTAAAAGGTCAGATAGTTGTAGATATGTGGCATTATTTCTGAGGGCTCTGTTCTGTTCCATTGATCTATATCTCTGTTTTGGTACCAGTACCATGCTGTTTTGGTTACCGTAGCCTTATAGTATAGTTTGAAGTCAGGTAGTGTGATGCCTCCTGCTTTGTTCTTTTGGCTTAGGATTGACTTGGTGATGCGGGCTCTTTTTTGGTTCCATATGAACTTTAAAGTACTATTTTCCAATTCTGTGAAGAAAGTGATTGGTAGCTTGATGGGGATGGCATTGAATCTGTAAATTACCTTGGGCAGTATGGCCATTTTCACAATATTGATTCTTCCTACCCATGATCATGGAATGTTCTTCCATTTGTTTGTATCCTCTTTTATTTCCTTGAGCAGTGGTTTGTAGTTCTCCTTGAAGAGGTCCTTCACATCCCTTGTAAGTTGGATTCCTAAAAAATGATAAAGGGGATATCACCACTGATCCCACAGAAATACAAACTACCATCAGAGAATACTACAAACACCTCTATGCAAATAAACTAGAAAATCTAGAAGAAATGGATAAATTCCTGGACACATACACTCTCCCAAGACTAAACCAGGAAGAAGTTGAATCTCTGAATAGACCAATAACAGGATCTGAAATTCTGGCAATAATCAATAGCTTACCAACCAAAAAGAGTCCAGGACCAGATGGATTCACAGCTGAATTCTACCAGAGGTACGAGGAGGAACTGGTACCATTCCTTCTGAAACTATTCCAATCAATAGAAAAAGAGGGAATCCTCCCTAACTCATTTTATGAGGCCAGCATCATCCTGATACCAAAGCCGGGCAGAGACACAACCAAAAAAGAGAATTTTAGACCAATATCCTTGATGAACATTGATGCAAAAATCCTCAATAAAATACTGGCAAACTGAATCCAGCAGCACATCAAAAAGCTTATCCCCCATGATCAAGTGGGCTTCATCCCTGGGATGCAAGGCTGGTTCAATATATGCAAATCACTAAATGTAATCCAGCATATAAACAGAACCAAAGACAAAAACCACATGATTATCTCAATAGATGCAGAAAAGCCCTTTGACAAAATTCGACAACGCTTCATGCTAAAATCTCTAAATAAATTAGGTATTGATGGGACGTATTTCAAAATAATAAGAGCTATCTATGACAAACCCACAGCCAATATCATACTGAATGGGCAAAAACTGGAAGCATTCCCTTTGAAAACTGGCACAAGACAGGGATGCCCTCTCTCACCACTCCTATTCAACATAGTGTTGGAAGTTCTGGCCAGGGCAATTAGGCAGGAGAAGGAAATAAAGGGTATTCAATTAGGAAAAGAGGAAGTCAAATTGTCCCTGTTTGCAGATGACATGATCGTATATCTAGAAAACCCCATTGTCTCAGCCCAAAATCTCCTTAAGCTGATAAGCAACTTCGGCAAAGTCTCAGGATACAAAATCAATGTACAAAAATCACAAGCATTCTTATACACCAATAACAGACAAAGAGAGAGCCAAATCATGAATGAACTCCCATTCATAATTGCTTTAAAGTGTATACAATATTTTCTAATTTTTCTTTAGATTTCTTCTTTGAACCATAAATCATTTAGAGGCATCATGATATTTAATTTCCAAGTATTCTGGAGTAATTTTTTAGTTATCTTTTACCATTAATTTGTAATTTTATTTCATTATTAATAATAAAATACTGATTTTTAATTTTATGTTATTTATAGCCATAAGGCATATTTTATATTAAATTATTTTGAATTTATTGAGATTTGTTTTATGTTCTAGAAGCTGGCTAACATTTTCTATAGCGATCCAAATGGTAAATATTTTAGGCTTTGGGGCCATATAGTCTCTTTGTGTCACTCAACTCTGTTATTGTAGAACAAAGGCAGCCATAGAAAAATGTATATTCATGAGCATGGATATATTCATTGAGACTTCCATTTACAAAAACAGGCACTAAGCCAAATTTTGCCTAGAGATTGCAGTTAGCTGACCCTGGTGGAGAATATGGACTACTTTGGTAAATGCTCTGTCTCCACAGGAAATGAAAATGTATTCTTCTGTTTGGGTAGACTAGCCTTAAAGTGACAATTAGGTAAAGTTGGCTGATGATGTCATTCAAGTTCTTATTACTTTTCTAGTTTTTAAATCAATTATTGAGAGACGAATGCTTAAAGCATCATTTACCATCGTGAATTGTGTAAATTAAATTTCAGATTTTATCAGTTTTTACTTTATGTGCTTTAAATCTCTGTTATTAGGTACATTTAGGAATGTTCTCATGATAAAATAACCACTTCATTGCTGTGAAGTAACCCTCTTTTTTTGTTTTTTTGCTCTAAAATTTACTATGCCAGATATTTATGTACTCATCTGCCATTCTTCCGACTAATATTAGCATAAGTTATATTCTTCAAATCCTTTTCAAAAACATTTTTGTTTAATATTTAAAGTGTATATCTTAATGGAATAATATGATTGAGTCTTGTTTTTTCATTCAACTTGACAGTTTCTGTCTTTTAATTGAGTGTTCCAATGATGTACGTTTCTTGTATTTATTGATACAGTTGCATTAATTCTTCTATCTTGCAATTTGTTTCTATTTACTATCAATTTTTGTTCTTTTCTTCTGCTTCTGCCTTCCTTGTGATTAAATAACTTTTAAAATGATTTTTATCTTTCTTATTGATTTTTTAGACATAAATCTTCATTCTGATTTTTTTACTGGACTTTAGGGTTTACAGTATATATCTGTAATTTATCACATTCAACCTTGAAATAGTATTCTATCTTATGTATGGCATAAGAACCTTACAATACTGTAATTCTTTCTCTTCCCTCTTATTCAGTGAGCTATTATAATTATGTTTTATTATTTTATGTATAACAGCCACAGTTTATTATTATCTTGCTTTAAATAGCCAATTATTTTAAAAGAAATTTAAATAAGAAAAAACTTATTTCAATATTTATTCACATAATTACAATTTCTAGGGTTCTTTTTTCCTGTATGTAGATCCAGATTTTTTTTGCCGTCATTTTCCTTCTGCATCAAGAACTGCCTTTAGCATTTGTTGTACTGAAGGTCTGCAAATAGTAAATTACTTTGTATGTTTTTGAGTGTTGGAATAGTCTTCATCCGACTTTTTTTTTGTTTTTTTAATTAGTTAATTTTTATTCAGTCATAATACATACAAAATTCTAAACTGAGTACATAGCTTGATTACTTTTTACTTATGTATACACCCATATAACTAACTGTCTTCCACATCAGGATACAGAACATTGGTGCAGCATGACATACATCCCCCTTGGACATTTTTCCAGTCAATAACATCATACATTATCATTAATTCATTTTCCCATTCTTGAACTTTCTATAAATAAAATCATGCATTATGACCTCTTTCGTAACTGGCTTATTGCATGTACGACAGTTCTTTTATTATTATTATTTGTATGTAGTATCCCATGACTTGATACATCACAATTTATGTTTTCAGCTTGCTTACTGTTGATAGTTTTTATTGTTTATAGCATTTGGTTATAATAAATAAAGAAGTTATGAACATTATTGTACATTTCTTTTGGTGTACGAATACACTGATGTTTCTTGAATATATACCTAGGAGTGGATTGCTGGATCATAGGATAACATATGGTTAGCTTTAAGCATTGCTGACAGTTTTCCAAAGTATTTTTACCAAATCACACTCCAACTCTCAAATGAAAATTTCAGTTGCTCCATATTTTTACCAACATTTATTATGTTAAATAATGTTTTCTTTTATCCATTGCAGTTGATGCATAGGAAAGGATCTTGTTGCCTTCACTTTATTTGATGACTAATTATACACTTTGACTACATTGATATTTATATCATACACACACAATACCACTTTAAAAACTGTGCCCATTAAAAAAATTGGGGCAATTTTCTCTTAATAATTTGTGAGAATTCTTTATGTTTTCTCTTTTTTTGTTTAAATTCTAAAGATTTACTAGTATTGTAATTATACCTAATAATTTTTTTACAATTTCAACTTTATTACTGACCAAAGTGTACACATGTAGGTATGTCACATGGGTATACTGAGTGACATTGAGGCTTGGGATCCCAGTGATCCTGTTACCTAAGCAGTAAGCATAGTATGCAACACCTGGTTCTTCAGCCCATACCCCCTTCTTTCTTCAGTCATCTAATGGTTCCCAGTGTTTGTTGTTCTCATCTTCACATTTATGTGTATTCAGCACTTAGCTCCCCTTAATAAGTGAGAACATGTGGTATTTGGTTTTCTGTTCTTGCATAACTCTGTTTTGTTCTTGCATCAAACCAGGTGCTTTAGTTTTTCTATCCTAAGCATCTGTTTGCTTAAGATAATGGCCTCTAGCTCCATTCATTTTACTACAAAGGTCATGATCTCATTAATTTTTATGGCTGCAGAGTATTCCATGGTGCATATATACCACATTATTTTCTTTATCCAAACCACTGTTGATGTGCACCTAGTTTGATTTCATGTCTTTGTTATTGTGAATAGCACTGCAATGCACATATAGGTGCATATATCTTTTTGATAGAATGAATTATTTTTCCTTTAGGTATATATCCAACAGTAGAGGGATTGCTGGGTCAAATTGTAGTTCTATTTCAAGTTATTTGCACAATCTCCAGTTTGCTTTCCACAATGACTGAACCAGTTTGCATTCCTACCAACAGTGTATGAGTTGTATGAGTGTTCCCTTTTCTCTGCATCCTTGCTAACATCTATTGTTTTTTGCCTTTTTAATGACAGCCATTCTGACTGGTGTGAGATGGAATCTCATTGTGGTTTTTATTTGCATTTCTCTAACGATTAGTGATGTTGAGCATTTTTTCATGTTTGTTAGCCACTTGTACATCTTCTTTCAGGAAGTTTCTGTTCGTGTCCTTTGCCCATTTTTTAATTGGATGTTTGGGTTTTTGCTTGTTGATTTGTTTACATTTCTTACAGATTCTGGATAATAGACCTTTGTCATATACATAGTTTGCAAATATATTCTCCCATTCTGTAGGTTGTTTATTTATTCTCTTGATAGTTTCTCTTGCTGTGCTGAAGCTCTTCGGTGTATTTATGTCCCATTTGTCAACTTTAGTTTTGTTGCAATTGCTTTTGGGGACTTAGCAATATCTGGCATATAAAATTGCAGTACAAGTCTTTCAAATTTGAAATTTTACTGGTACAATATAAAGACAAAGGTATATAGTCACTATAGAGTGCCCAAACTTTCCTGTAAGAACCATTGTTTTTCTTAATGTAGAATGATTAATGCATATTCTACAAGGGGCAGTTAGGTTAGAAATTTTATACGGTATGCCTGGACATAATTTTCAAATTATACAATAACACAAACAACTTTGTTAAGACCATGTTTCGTTTTCTGGTCAATGGATAAAAGGCTATGTAATTTATTTTCAAGGGTTTTGTTTAAAGTCTATGCTCATGAAAAGTTGGAAAGACAAATCACAGAAAGTTTTAATATATCTTACATAATTTTGTTTGTACAAAAATACAAATTAAATATAAACAAAAATCAATGATGATAATTTAATGCCAATCTATTTTATATAATCTTCAGTTATATATAAAAATTTCACAGTTCTGCTATTGTGAAAAAATACCAAATTGAATTATTATCTATTGATACAGGGCCTTCAAAAGCTTACATTAGCATTACTTTTCTTCATGGTTAATTGTGTTTTCTAATTTGAGATTACCTAAACACTAAGAAAAAAGAAAAAAACAATATAAGGACAGTGTGTTCATAAACCATCAAATAATTTGGCTGGAACATATTATAAAACACAAAGAAACTTCACATATATGTACAATGAACATTACGCATTACACACACACAGAGGTGAACAAGTGTGTGCATGCATACAAACACACACCCGCATGCACACATAGCCAGTCATAAAATAAAGCCTAATGAGGCATTGCTTCCAGTTCCATCATGAGCTGTGCACTTTTTCTTGCTTCATCGAATGCAATTTTTTGTCACCTTCCCATTCTTGAAGATCATTAACATATTCCTCAACATCTCCTTTCCCTTCCTCAAGTGTAACAAAATTGTCTGCTAGTATCCTGTGTAAAGATAGTTGACCCTTGGGGACTTTTTATTGAGTTCAGCAAATGAGTCCTTGAAGGCATTCATTCCAAAGCTCTTGGTTGCAACATAACTAAACTTGAAGGAACAATTTCAGATATCTCTTGTTAACCTGTAGCACAGCTCCAACAGAACAGAAGGTAATATTTTTAATGCTTCATTTTTTGTTGTTTTTGTTTCATGCCTTCTGCTATTTTTTTAAGATATTAAATACCTACACAATTCTATTGAATAACTTTAAAATAACATAGCACCATCTTGTAGCCCTTTGAGTTTTCAATAACAGGTTCCTCACCTAAAATATCTAAAACTTTTAATAGAATTTCCAGGGGATTTCCAGAATCAGACCTGATTGTTAGTGCCATCTCTGTACTTTTGATACTATTAAATGTATTAGATCTTCACCCTATATTCTCTCATATGCTTAAAAATTTCATAACTATCATTGACCACAGATAGGGGCACTGATGAAAACTGTCACTATATGTTCAAAAGCGTCTTTTACATGCTCTTTCTTCCAAACTGTTATGGTACTGTTTCTGCTACTGGAACACAATAGCTGCTTAAAAAGATGAGTCTGGAATAGGATCTTTTGTTTAATCATAATTTGTTATAAACTAAATGTTTGCATGTTTCCAAAATCCATATGCTGAAATTCTAGCCTCCAATGTGGTTTTCTTAGGAGGTAGGACTTTTGGAAGATAATTTTGGTCATGAGGGTAGAGCCCTCATGAATTTATTTAATTGCTATCTAGTCCTCTTTCTGCCATGTAAAGATACATGGCCATCTATGAACCCAGAAAGAGGCCCTTAACAGACACTAAATTTTCTGGCACCTTGATTTCAGACTTCCAGTCTCCAGAACTGTGAGAAATAAATTTCTGTTGTTTATAAGCCATCCAGTCTATGGTTCCATATTACAGCACTCAAAACAAAATTAGTATCAAGAATCAGGGATGCCGTTGTAACAAACACCTGAAAATGTGAAAGCAGCTTGGAGCTGGGTAATGGGTGAAGGCTGAAAAAGTTTTGAGGTGCATGCTTTAAAAAAGTCTATATTGCTATGAATGGACCTTTAAAGGCAATTCTGGTAAGATCTCAGAAAGAAAATAAGAGAGCTGTAGAGAAAGCTTTCACCTTACTCTTCTAGAGAATACCTGAGTAATTATGAACAGAACACTGCTACAAATATGGATAGTAAAGGCCATTCTGATGATGCTTCAGATGAAAATGAGGAGCAAGTTATTGAATGATGAAGAAAATATGATTCTTGTTATAAAGTGACAAGGAATATGGCTGAATTGTTTGTGTTCTAGTGTTTTGTGGAACGTAGGACTCATAAGAAATAACATTGGATATTAAGCTGAGGAGCTTTCTAAGTGAAGTGCTGAAGAAGCACCTCGGTTCCTCCTACCTGCTTATAGTAAAATGTAAAAAGAGGGAAATAATTTGAAAATGAAATTGTTCAGCAAAAAGGAACCAGAACTTAAACATTTGGAAAATTCTCAGCCTATCAGTATTGTAAAAAGTAAGAAAGCATGTTCAGAAGAGAACACTAAGGGTGTGGCCAAGTAATTGTTTGATAAGAAGATTAACATGAATGTGAACCAACTTAAATAACAATCTCAACAAAAGCCAGGAATAGAGATGGGATTATACCAGCAGAAAAAGTGCCAGCTGGGATTGAAGGAAACAGAGAAAATTGGACAAAATAAAGAATGACTTAGGTTTCTTAGACCCTATAGAATGAGACCATAGAGCTATTAAACTGGGAACATCTATTATTAAGACAAGAGCAGAAGAACTTCAAAGGAAATTCAGAGATCATCAAGGCTGCCACTCCTACCACAGGCCAAAAGTGAATGGGCCTGCAGGGCAGAGCTCTCCCACCTCCATTTCAAAGAGTGGGACCCATGCCTAGTGGAGCTATGGGGGCAGGGCTGCCTGTTGAAGTACTAGGTACATGACCCCCCACCACTTGTGAAAGAGAAGAAAGGCATAATGGAATCACCACAGAAAGCCAAAGTTGAACATCACCCTGCCAAGCTGTGGAGGTGATATTCCTATATCTGTGGGTCTGGAAGGTGGAAACTCCTCCACCCAAGTTGGTCTGTAAAGCAAAACTTCAAGCGGAAGAAGATTATTCTTGATCCTTAAAGTTTCGGGGGGCTTGTCTTGCTAAGTTTTGAACTTGCTTGGTATTATTCATTCCTTCCTTTTTTCTTATTTATCTCTTTGGAATGGATATGTCTATCCTATGCTTGCCCCACCATTGTTTTTGGAAGCACGTAACTTGTTTGATTTCACAGGAATTTTGTCTCAATAATTTGCACCTTGAGTCTCATTAATAGTTGATTTAGATGATATTTTGATGAGACACTTGTGTTTAGACTTTAGAGTTGATGCTATGAGTTAAGAATTTGGGAATTGTTGGGGTAAAATTAGTGTCTTTTGCATGTAAGAAAGGTGTGAATTTCGAGGAGCTGAGGATAGAGTATTATGGACTGAATGTTCTTGCAAATTCATATGTTGGCATCCTAACACTCCATGTGATGGTATTAGGAAGGTATAGCTTTGAGGAGGTAATTTAGGTGATGAAGATGGAAACTTCATGAATGAAATTAGTGCCCTAATAATAGAAACTCCGAGAGTTACCTAGTCTTCTTCAATCATGTGAAGATGCAATAAGAACAGGGCAGTCTGCAACCCAGAAGAGGATTATATTAGAGTTTTCCGGAGAAACAAAAACAACAGGATACCCAGAGATAAATGGATATATTAGGTAAATTGAGTCATGCAATTACAGATGCTGAAAAGTCTCACAATATGCCATCTTCAAGCTGGAGAACCAGGAAATCCAGTAGAGTGACTCAGTACAAGTCCAAAGGATTGAGAACCTGGGGTGCAGCTGGTGCGAGTTTAAACGTTAGAGAACCTACATGACTTGGATCCAGAAAAGAGAGAGAGAAAATTTACCTTTCCTCTGCCTTTTTTTCTAGTATGGCCCTCTACTGATTGCATTGTGCCCACCCAAATTGGGTGAGAGTGGACCTCCCTTGTTCAGTTCATGTATTCTAATGTTAATCTCTTCTGTAAACACTCTCATAGACATATCCAGAAATAGTGATTTGCCAGCTATCTTGGTATACTTTAATCTAGTCAAGTTGACACCTAAAATTAACCATCCCAAAGACCCTCACCAGAATCAGAACATATAGATACCCTGATCATAGACTTCAACTTCCAGAGCTATAAAAAAATAAATGTATTGTTAAGCTCCCAATCTATGGTATTGTTATAGCAGCCAAACTTGTTAAGCTCCCAAGTCTATGGTATTGTTATAGCAGCCAAACTAAGAGAGCATTTTTAAATTAAAATAATTCCTGCTACTGTAACTGTCCCCTGGAAGTTGGAAAAAAAAAATGAGCAGACACTCCTGTGCCAGCAGGCTCTTGGGAAGAGACTTGACTGTGGCCATAATCATGTAACTTGTATTCCAAAACATTTAAGTTACTGGAAGTTTCTAACAAATGTTTAGAACATAGGCCAGCATTTTTTTTCTGCTCCCTAGATTTTGTGGCCACTATGATTATATACAGGATTGAATAATAATTATCTCAATCCAATCTGCATTTTTCACCGTGAAGAAAACATTTCTTCTGTGAGTGACAGAGCCCTCAGGAGCAGCTTTTACTTCTTGAGAGATGCTCACCATACTTTTCAAGAATGTCATTCCATCTCTTATCATTAAATATATCTCTTGGAAAATTAACTGGTCTTTAATCCTGCAATGACTAGTCTGTTGTTCATTCCATCTAGTGAATTTTTTATTTAAGACATTGTAATTTTTATCTCTATAAGTTTGATTTGGTCTCTTTTAAATCTCTTATGCTTCTACGTACTTTGCTCAAAATTTCTTTCAAGCTGTTGAATATATAGATATATTGAATATCGACAATATTTTATTTCCTAACCTGGGTGGTGGATACTTGGTGTCTGCTTCACATTATTTGTTAAACTTTACATTTATATTTTGTATAATTTTCTGCATATGTGTTATGTTTCAAATAGAAGCTTAGATACCCAACTGCATTTATTGAGGACATTATCTTTTCTGCATTGTGTATTCTTGCAAACTTAACAAAGATTAATCCACCATGTATGCCTGGGTTTATTTCTGGGTTCTGTATTCTATACTGTTGGTCTATGTGTCTATTTTTATGCCAATATTATATTGTTTTGATTATCATAGCTCTATAATATAGTTTGAAATCAGAAAATAGGCTTTCTTGTTATTTCTCAAGATTGCTTTGGCTAGTCTTTCATGGTTCCATATAAACTTTAAGATTTTTTTTATTTCTTTGAAAAATGCCATTGGGATTTTGATAGGGATTGCATTGAATCGGTAGATCATGCTGAGTAGTATAAATATTTTAACTATATAATTTTTTTCTAATCTACTAACACAGCCTCCCCTCCCCTCCCCTTCCCAGACAGCATCTCGCTCTGTTGCCCAGGCTGGAGTGTAGTGGTGCGATCTTGGCTGACTGCAAACTCTGCCTCCCAGGTTCAAGCGATTCCCCTGCCTCAGCCTCCTGAGTAGCTGAGATTATAAGCACATGCCACCACACCCAGCTTATATTTGTATTTTTAGTAGAGACAGGGTTTCACCACACTGGCCAGGCTGGTCTCAAACTCCTGACCTCAGGTGATCTGTCCACCGCTGCCTCTCAAAGTGCTGGGATTACAGATGTGAGCCACCGTGCTTGGCCCATTTTTTGTCTTCAATTTCTTTTACCAATTTATTATCATTGTCAGTGTAGAGCTCTTTTACCTGCTTGGTTAAATTTATTGCCAAGTTAAAAGCTTCTGCACAGGAAAGGAAACAATTGACAAAATGAAAAGGAATGAGAGAAACTATTTGTAAACCACATATCTGATAAGGGGTTCATATGCAAAATATATAAGTAACTCACACAACTCAGTAGCAAAAACCAAATAAACCAATAAAATTATGGACAAAGAACCTGAATAGACTTTAAAAAAAAAGACATACAAATGGCCAATGGGTATATGAAAATGTGCTCAATATCAGTAATCGTCATGGAAATGCATACCAAAACTACAGTAAGATATCACTTCATACCTGTTAGAATTGCTATTATCAAAAAGACAAAAGACAACAAGTATTGGCAAGGGTATTAAGATAAGGGGACACTAGTAAACTGTTGGTGGGAATGTAAATTGGCATACCCATTATGCAAAAACAGTATAAAGTTTTCTCAACAAAATTAAAAGTATAACTACCATAATATCCAACAATTCTACTTCTATGTGTATATTCAAAAGAAATAAAATCAGTATCTCAAAAAGATCTCTGCACTCCAACGTTCTTTGCAGCATTATTCAGAATAGCCAAGATACAGAATCAATTTAAGTGTCCATCAACAGATGAATCAATAAAGAAACTGTGATCATTAGACGAGTGTCAGGATGGCCAAGTAGTCTAAGAAACTGTGTCTCACATACATATATGTATACATATATATATAGACACACACACAATGGAATATTATTCAATCATAAAAGGATGGAAATCCTGCCATTTGTGTTAAAGTGAAAAGCTGGAGGATGCTATGCTAAGTGAAATAATCCAGGCACAGAAAGACAAATATTACATCATTTCACTCACATATGGAATCTAAGAAAGTTGAACTCAGAAGCTGCGAGTAGAATGGTGGTTACAGGGGCTGGGAGGTGGGAAAAATGAGGAAAGGTTGATTAGATGGTATAAACTTATATGATAGGTAAGTTCTGTAATCTAATGTACAGCAAGGCAGCTATGTGTAATCATAATGGATTGTATACTTGAAATTTGCTGAGAGATGTTGTGTTCTCTCTCACACACACACACACACACAAGGTAACAATGTGAGGTGATAGAAGTATTATTTAGCTTGATTGTGGTAATTATTTTGGAATGTATACACATATCAATTTTCATTTGTCTATTATCCTTCAATAAAGCTGTAAAATCGTATTAAAAAATAAAGTAGGTGGTTTGATGTTTCAGCCGTTATATAAGCTCCACATTCAAAACATATCCCAAACCACTTTTCACCACCTTTACCATTATTCCACTGACCCAAGCCTTCATCATTCATTAACTTGTTAGCAGCATTAGCCACCCACCTGGACTTCCTTCTGCCCCATTCCTCTATAGTTCACTTTTGACTCAAAAGCTAATGCCATTCTTTTAAAATATAAGTTAAACCATATCATTTCTCTGCTCAAATCTCACTGATTTTTCACCTCATTCAGAATCAAAATTAAGGAGTTTTCGTGGTTACAAGACCTTCAATGATCTGGCATCCTGTTCTCTCTCTTTCTTCAAATGTACTCCCTCTATTTTAGCCACAGTATCCTCCCTTCTGTTCCTCTAACTCACTGAATACCCACCTGCTTTGGAGACATTGGTTTTACAACATCCTCTGCCTAGAATGCTCTTCTCACTGGCACCCCCATAGCTCACTCCCTTATCTCCATCATATATATATTCATATTTTATCTTTTTGGTAAGACTTTTCTGCTTTTCTCATTTAAACCAATCTGCTTCCACTGGTATCCTCTATTAACTACTCTGTCATATATACATCTATCATACTGTATATTTTACAATTTTTTTTGCCTTTCTGAAACTAAAACTCTGTGAGGGAAATGATTTTTGTCACTTCTTAAAAATTCATTGAATGAACCCTCAGTGCCTATATCAGTGCCTGTTATAAAGTAAGAACTCATTAAATATTTGTTGAACAAATACTCTTAGCTATAATTCTCTACTTTCAGGTATTTTATCCTCCTTGAAATTAAAAAAAAAAAAAAGCCCTAGCCTCCATTACTTATTTCGGTGGCTTGTAGGTAATATGCAATTAATACATTGTTTGTTGAAATAACAGTATACCTAGCTTGTGGCATTGTAGTGCTCTTATCCTAATGGCTACAGATGGGAAGTAGGAGTGTGCACTCTGAGGTTCTATTCCTGGATTTTTCTCTGATTGCATTCAACATACATGAATATTCAGTAGCTGTTTATTTCAGGACCTAAATATCAAACACTCATTTAGTAAAATGTTGGTATGGAAAGCACTGGACAAGCCACTGAAGATTAAAATAAAGACTACATTTTCTTCCAAGCTCCCAAAATATGCCTGCAAAATGAAATGTGTCCCTGCATTCCACAGTGTACTGCTAAACGTGCATTTGCATATGCAGATGCCAAATTCTTCTGACAGATCAGTTAATTGCAAACACAAAACAGCCACTGAGGACATATTTACTTCCCTTGTAAAGGCCAGTACAGTTGTGTGGGCCATAAATGAATGCATGCTGCTGGATTTGCAGGAATAGTTTCACAGACTGGAAATGATTACCTCTTCACTGAAATAGATTAGGAAGCAGTTGGTGTCAGTTATAAAGGCTTCTGTTTTCTCAAACAGGAAATATTGCTTGTTTTCCATGAAAGTATGTTACTGGTCACAGAAAACTACCCGTATGCCTCAACCCTATTAGTCTGGAATGGCAGCACTCACTCACCTGTCTTTAATTATACCTGATGGCATTTTGAAAGTCCTGGAAAAAGCCAATTGCTCTTGCTCCCAGGTTATAGAGTCCATAATGGCTATAGTGCGGGAGTGGAGTTTTTGACTCCACTCCAGATAGTCAAAGTCTCTTTTAAAATAGTGACTTGGTCCTGTAACAGGACTTACATATATATAGACTGATCAATGCAGAGCATAACAGAACTAATATGTCCCATATTGTATGAGTCTATTGAAAATATTCATAAAATGTTAAAGCAGGCATCTGATCTAAAATTATCACTTTACAGATGGGATAAAGCAGGCCCAAAAAGGTGAAGTGATTTGTCCAAAGTCACAGAGCTAGTTACTAAGAGAGTAGGGATTAAAACTCAGGATGCCTGACTTCTGATACTATGCTCTTTCCACTGTATTACTTTCAGTCACAGGCCTACCTGTTAGCCATACTGGTTCTGAAATATTTCCATTTTTTAAAAGTCACCCAAGGAGCAAATTAAAATGTTGATCTTTGAGGCCATTCCCTACCCACTAGAGACTCTAATTTAAAAAGTAAGTGAAAGAGCCTCAGAATTGTTTTGGCATGTACCCTAGGGGAATCTGATGTAGATGGCATCAGGCCACAACTTGAGAAATGTGGGTAAGTGACAGGATACCACTATGGAAGATGTGTAGTACATAGATTAGTATCATTACTGTAGAGTAATGATGAAAGACTTGCATTTATAGTATTGGCTTTGCGACTTACTAACAATGATCTGCATTTGAATGAATTTATTATTCAGCTTGAGTCTGTTACCTATCTGTAAAATGGGAATTAATTGGGAAATATTGAGAATTACATATACAAATTGTATACGTGTGTGTGTGCATGTGTGTGTATTTAATATACTCTAAATGAAAATAGAAAAATATATTTTTCCTTGTCCATACCTTAGTCTTCTTATTGTTTCTCCACTAGCCCCACCAAATCTACAACAAAACGTGCCTGTCTAGGAAATCAGGTAGGATGTCAGCAAGATTGTTCGTCTATTCTTTAAAATACTATTTTCTTTTTCCTTCCTATGGGCCTTAAAATGGCCAATTGCATTCAAGAAACCTGGTGAGAACACATTTCTGATTGAGAGGAAATATGTTTAAGTCATTTAGACATTTCCACATGTTTATTCCCACCTGGGTTAGAGGTCTTTTGGTCAAGTGAGCTTGTCAAGTACAGTGAAAATATACACAACCTAGGTTGTCATTTATATATATAGGCTTATGGGATGCTAAAATAAATGTCTACCAGAGATAAAATAAATAAGGGCTTCAAATCATCCAAAATGGTTACTTAAGTGCCACTTTGTCATCAATTGTCTAAAGTAACTTGATTGCAAAGATTCTAAGGATAGATGGTGAAAACAGACTCAAGTGTGAAGTGACAGATATGCCAAGAAAAAATGGAGATGGATGTCTCCATTTTTACTCAGAGAATTCTGAGTAACTGTAAGGCCATCTGAGCACTTCAGATAGCTCAGATCACCTAGGAATCAGACACTGTGATTGACTTCAAGTTGTTAACATTTAAAAGCATTCAGAGTGACAATCAGTTAGCTTGGCTACAGTAATGCATTTTCCAGTAAAAACATTCCTAAACTTCACATGCTAGTTGGTGGTGGTGGCAGGAGTGATACCTGTGCTAGTAGTCATGTTATGGATTCTCTACTTTTGTCTTCTAAAAATCTAGATAAGTAGCACAGCATACGGAATGAAAGCGGAAATTTAGAGTTGAGGAAGATGAAGATTTAAATCTAGTTTGGAACTTCCTACCTGTGTGAACTTGGGCAAATTGCTTAAAGTACTCAAGTTTCTATTTTTCACCTGTATAACAAGAATGAATCATTGACTTTAAAGACTATGTAGTTAAACTGGTTTATATAATTATTTTATATAAATAATTTGATATGTAATTTAATTCTACAGTCACTGAATCATAAAAGGTAATCAATAAATCCTTCTTCCTTGGTCATCATCATTATCATCATCATCACCATAGCAGTGGTGGTAATAGTAATTAAAGTTCTAGAAAAAGGGTGATTTTTATTTTTAATGATGTAGCCTAATTCTACTTTAACCTGTCTAAAACTGACTAATATTTAGATTGTTTGAATGATATTCTACTCAAAAATCAATTTTCCCAGTGGTAATGAATAAATAATGAAAATTTCCAAAAGAAGAAAAGGATTCAGAATAATCCAGGTTATTTTAAACAGTTGAAGACCAACAGAATTAATGTCGCAGAACCTATTCAGTAGATGCACAGATCTCAAATCTGTGTTTATTCTTTGACTTTTAGGGCAATAAGAGTTAGAGTCTCCATTTGAATCTGCTTAAAAACAAATAATGAACTTAAAACATACTGATAAATTTTCAAAATGCCAAGACCTTGACCAGAGTTTCTACATTAATAAGTTACTATCAATTTCTCCCTAGATGGAAAAAATACTAAAAAGTCAGAGGTTCCCATGGGAAGACTGAGCCTTAGTGAGTTTATATTGTGGGCACTCCGGCTTCTTCTCAGGTGTCCTATTGTCCCATTTTTCATTTTCATTTAGACCCAACAAACTGCTCACTGGAAGATGCTAATGAGGTTATTTTAGTTGAGGTGTAAGCAACTGATATAGCTTTGTAAATCCTCTTTTTTTCATTTGTATAAATTCATGGGTTATAAGTGTAATTTTCAGGATTGATGAGGAATAAGAGTTTTATGATGTCAAACATTAGCAAGTAGGTAATAGACAAAAGAATAGGTATGTTTTTGCATATAGGAATCATATTTTACATTTTTTGCTATATCTATGTAAAAATCATATACATCCATTGAGGAAAATCTGAATGTCATCTACATACTTAATGCTCAGACTTAAGTAACCCAAATTTTGTGCATACAAAATTAAAACCACAATGAGATATCACCTCACACCTGTTAGGGTAGCTATTATCAAAAAGAGAAGAGGTAAGTGTTGGTGAGGATGTGAGGAAAATGAAATCTTTATACACCATTGGTAGAAATGTAGATTAGTACAGTTATTATATAATACACTATAGAGGTTCCTAAAAAAAATTAAAAATAGAACTACCATATGATCCAGCAATCCCACTTATAGGTATCTAGAAGAAATGAAATCAGTCAGGGAAATATCTGCACTCCCATGTACATTCCAATATTATTTACAATAGCCAAGCTATGGATTCAACCTAAGCGTCCACTGACAGATGAATGGATGAAGAAAATCTGATATATTCATAGAATGGAATACTATTCAGCATTAAAAAATAATAAAATCTCGTCATTTGCAAAAACGTGGAGGAACCTGGAGAACATCATGCCAAGTGAAACAAGACTGATACAAAAAGACAAATACTGCATTATCTCTTATGTGAAGAATCTAAAAAACTTGAACTCATAGAATCAGAGGGTAGAATGGTGGTTATACCAGTGGTTAGGAGGAAGGAGGAGTAGAGAGATGAGAGTCAAAGAACACAAAATTTCAATAGACAGGAGATATGAACATAAGAAATATATTGTATAACATGGTGACTATAGTCAATAACAATGTATTGTATACTTGAAAATTACTAAGAGTAGATTTTAAATGTCCTCATAACAAAAAATATGTGTATAAGGCTATTGATATGTTAATTAGCTTTATTTAGCTGTCTATGATGTATGCATATATCAACAGGTTGTATACCATAAATATACACAAATTTTATTCATCAATTAAAAGAAAGGAAAGAATTTAATGTATACAATTTCAAAATTTTTCTGTAAATAACCATTTTCACACAAAAAAGTAGTACTTTATAAACTTCTTTGTAAACTACTTTTATATATTGAGCCTTTCTATTCATTATATTTTTTACATCATAATTTTAATAGCTGCAAGTTATTACATCATATAGATGAAACTTGCCAGTTTTAAACTCATGTGCTGTAATTGGATAGGCAATTGTTTCTAAGAAGTGGCTTCTAAAATCCAAATAAAAGTTAATATTTTCCAAGATTAAACCTTTCAAAGTTTTGGAAGGAATTTATTAAAGTTATAGTTCTACAAGTAAAATTGCTGGTGCAAATGGTGTGCAAATTTTTAACATACAGTGGGATATTACCAAACCACTACAGCCAAGAATACTTAGAGAATCAGCACTTCCCCCCTACTGTCACAATCACTGGGCATCATCATTAAAACAATTAAAAAGTGATTAAAGTGGACATATAAACTCAAAGCATGTATGTCGTTCACCCTGTGGTCTGGTCTGACTGACCTATCCCAAAGATGGAATATCATTGCCTGATCTACTCTGTTGAAAGCCTATTCTAGTCTTGTTTTCTTCTCAGCTATACCTGTTTCAAGGCTGGAGTTAGCAGCAGTGGGCATCTGAAAGCCTAATAAGAGCATTTCTCCTAGTATGATGGAGTTAAGTAGGCTTACATTCTCTCCTTTTACTAGCAAAGGCATAATTTAAAAATTTCTGAAGGCCAACGGAGTGGCACAACCCTAATGGGTTTCCTTTAAGAGAGAACCAGCTTATGTATGTGTGTTTCTATTTAGCAGGGACAATAAACACAAATAATGTCATAATGCTGCTAGAAATTGAACGATTCAAAGATAAGGCCTGTACCAAATGTCGGTACATACAAAAAAAAAATCCAATCACTGTTACAATCAGATAAGGCCTCTTTCTCCCTGTGGGCAATAGGTTGTTTTTAAAGATACTATTAGATACCCTTTTTTTTTAAGTTATGAAAAGTAAAATCAATTCTTACTTTATTTTTATCTAAAATACTCATAAAAAGATTTTTCTGCTTTTGTAATCTGAAATGGAAAAACAAACTGCAATACCTTGTTTTTGTCTTCGTGTTTGATGAAAATACCTGGTGTTAACAATTACCCAAGGTTGTACAGTAACTTGGAGATGTATGGCTTGTTTCAGAAGCCTCCAGGTTTTAAGAAATGATCCGATGGGAGCAATTTAATACAAACTCCAGTATTGCCATTATGATATAATGGCAAAATAAGAAACAAATCAAATAAATGTTGTAATTAATTAGGTCACAGTTCTAGGCCCTTGTCTCTTCCTTCTCTTTATTCTCTTGCTTAGCAATCTGAACTACACACAAAGCCCCAATCAACATCCATTTGCTAATGATTCTCAAATTCATATCTGTAACCCAGAACTCATTTTTTGAGCTCCTTGTATATCCAATTGCCTCTTGACTTCTCAGTTTGCAGCTCTCCAATGCAAATACAACATGAGTAATATAATATCCATGAGCTTCTCCCTCAAAATGAGTCTTCTCATTTTTCAAACTAAGTGAAGGTAAAAAGAAATAGCCATGGTCATATTTGATTTCTGCCATCAGCAAGTCTTACCATATTTTTTCCTTCTAAATATGACTGAAATACACCCATTTCTGCGTCTTATTTCTGGCCCTTCTCTGTATTGAGCTAGCATTCTCTCCCACCCGTACAAGCCTCCTGCCTTGAGTCCAAGTTTTCCTCCAGTCTTCACCCTTTCCAACTTGTTTTCCCAAAGACAGTGTGAATGATTTTTTAAACTCAGATATAATTACATTACCTCTAACTGAAAACCTTTTAAGGGATTCTCAATGATCTGTGATACTGAAAAATATCTTATCAAGGGTCACATGAGCAGGAGCCTTTCGGCTTTTCTGTGCCAACACCACACTGACCTTCTTTTTGTTTCTCAATTGCATCATGCTGTCACCTGACAGAGGTTTCTGCCACATGCTGCTCCCACACCACCCCTCTTCATGTTCCAACCCAGGACATGTTTGTCTTGATTTTTCTTCAATTTACTGCTTATCACTCTTCATCTCTCATCACAAACATCACTTCTACTTTTTTTTTTCTTTTTTTGAGATGGAGTCTTGCTCTATCACCCAGGCTGGAGTGCAGTGGTGCAATCTTGGCTCACTGCAACCTCTGCCTCCCAGCTACAAGCGATTCTCCCTCAGTCTCCCAAGAGGCTGTGATTACAGGCGCCAGCCACCACGCCCGGCTAATTTTTGTATTTTTAGCAGAGATGATGTTTCACCATATTAGCCAGGCTGGTCTGGAACTCCTGACCAAGGTGATCCACCCACCTCGGCCTCCCAAAGTGCTGGGTGATGCATGAGCCACCCTACCTGGCCTCAAACATCACTTCTTTATTGGAACTTTCTCTGACCCGCAAGCCTAGGAAAGATTCCTCTGGCTTCTGCTGTCATACAATTTTGTTTCTTTCTTTCATATTTCCCAGCTCAATTTTTATTTGAAATTATTTAATTAATACCTGGCTCATAAGCTTTAGGAGAATGCGGACTGTAGTCATTTGCTAGGGTTGCTGTAACCAAATACTTATTCACAAAATGAGTTGCTTCAACAACAGAAATTTATTGTCTCACTCTCCCAAAGGCTAGAAATCTGAAATCAAGGTACTGTCAGAGTCAGTTTCTTCTATGGGCTGTGAGGGAAGGATAAGTTCCCAGGCCTCTCTCCTTGATTTGTAGATGGCTGTCTTCTCTTGATGTCTCTTCATATAGTCTTCCCTCTATGCATGTCTGTGTCCAAATTTCCCCTTTTTATAAGGAAGCCAGTCATATGGGATTAAGGCCTACACTAATGGTCCTTAGTCCGTTTTAATTAATTACATGTGCAATGACTCATTTTCCAAGTAAGGTCACATTTTGATGTTCTGGGGATCATATATATTTTGGGGGACACAATTCATCCCATAACAGGGATCATGTCTGTTTTGCCCACAATTGTGTTTCCAGTTGCTAAGCAGTGACAGAGCCATAAGTAAATAAAGAGATGAATGATGTTTCCTAGTGTTTATTAAGCTAAAATTACCTGGTATGGGGATTATCTTCTGAACATGAAAGGATTTATTCCCGTGTTATTTCTTCTCTTCTATCTTAATCATAAATTTTTGACTTAAAAAAGGAGGAAGACATAGGAATATAGTTTGTTCATAAAAACATATAACAACTGAGACCAATACCTGAGTCCAATTATGTGACCGTAATAGAGAGGCTATGCCTTTGTGAGAACTCAATAAATTTTTGTGGAAGAGAAACAGAGATGAGAAAGGCAGAAATAGGAAGGCACTCTATTCCTTATGGTTTTAAGGATTTGGAAACATGATATGCTGTATGGAAACAGAATAGTTCTGCTGCTCTCCATCCCTGAGATACTAAATGAAACATACTATATCTTCCAAAGATAGCCAGAATAAAACTCCCCATAACAATGCTGTTCTGCAATAGAGTTTTGTCATTCCCCCATCAAGAGATGGAGCCTATCTTGTGACTGCTTTGATCAATAGAATACCGCCAAAATGATACTGTGTCAGTTTTGCCTATAGCCCTCAACTGATCCATCAGTTTTATTCTTTTTTCCCTTGGAAGTCAAACACCAGGTAAGAAGTATGACTACCCTAAGGCCACCAGCCTGTCAGAACAGCAAGCCACATGAAGAAGCCCATGGAAGATGAGAGACCATGTGGAAAGAAGGAAAGAAGACATGGAACATGGGAGTACCACATCTGGGAGTAAGGAAACCATCTTGGATTTGAGCCTGACTGAGCCTTCAGCCAGCCCCAGGTGCCAGCTGACTACAAACCTGTGAGTTCTCTAATGAGAACTGACCTCCTGAGCTCCCTCAATCCTCAATAACTGTGAGAGATAATCACGAATTGTTATTCTAAGATATTCAGTTTCAGAGTGGCGAGTTATGCAGCAGTAAAAGTAACCACAGCCACCCAGTAAATGTTGTGTTAATTCCTACCATGTAGCAGGTGCTAAATGTGGTGGTGTTGAATGGATAAACTCATCTCCAAGGTTCAAAGGGAATGAACATAGAGAATGGAGGGAAATGAATCTTATCAGCAAGATGTGAAAAGCCTCCTATTATAAGTTTTCTTTGAAAAGCTCCCTTCACTGGAAAGCTTTCAAGATTCTATGAGAATTAATCTTAAATGGTTTCTTTCTACATTAGATCAGGCAAACAGGCCTTGAGGACCACAGAGGCTTTGGGGAGAGAGTTCCTGGTCCTGAGGACTAGCAGTGTAAAATAATCCCTTGGATGACAGCTTAAAACTGAGAATTTTACTCCTAGAAAGTATTAAGATTTGAAAAGAAGACATTTATCCAATCTGATGGCTCATCAAAGCATTACCCTCTTTATTTCCCCACCTCCACCCAGACCCAAAACCCAGTCTGGATCATTTGAATGAATACAATATTTTTTGTAAGTAATCTGAGTAATGAAAAATCTTTAGTTGGAGACTTAGCCCTGGCAAATTCATCAACCTTTAGTTGCCTTAATGTTTACTTTGTTAAACGCTAAGATCATAAAGAGAAATAGTTACGTTTTTATTAATCAAGCCAGCATAGGGTTAAAAGAACTTTTGTGCATCAAGGCAAACTTTTACCTGTAGAAATAAGTAAATTTCAGATTTTACAAAAACACTTTGCACAGCTAAATGCGTAATTGTCCAGGTGAAGCTCTCAAACATGTAATTCTGAATGCTTACATGTGTTCTGAATACATACATGAACTCTTTTTTATACTCCCACGCCCATGTCTGTACACTACATGTGTGCACACATACCTCTTCTCAAAGGTCACACCTCAAGTTTTCCAGCTATACTCACATCATCCAATTGCAATCTCTTTTATTTCTTTAAAAATTAAAACATACTTTCAACCAAAAGTGCTACATATTACAGAAAATTTATAAAATACAGAAAGGTATTTTTAAGAGATTTCTCCAACTGTGTAGCTTTATTTTCCTGCTACAGCTGCCACTGCACACTCCTCTGTATGTGCCTCCTGATTCCAGCCTTGATGCAGCCTCTGATAAGGGCAGTAGAACTAGCCATGAGAACCTTCCAAGTTCGGATGAGAACTATGCTCCATGAAGTAGATGTTTAATAACTGGCTCTCTAAATGTAGTTCAGACATGAGTATATATTGATATTTTCGTTTATATTAACAAGTAAGATGAAAAATATGAAAATGAAACAATAAAGACATACTTTCAAACATTACCTCTTTATCAATCACCCTAAGCAAATTCTTTGTTGAATAAGATAATTTTCAAGCACCAGAAGAATATTTTCTCAATTGTTTGTGTTAGTTACAACATTACAGCTACAGACCAGACACACTTTTAAATTTAATTTGCACCATTTTCTTAAATCTAGACAATCGATAAAACAACAAATCAGAATGATAGAGCTTATGCCTTTTCTACTGGACCATCATTGATGTTTTTAAGCATGCTATGATTCAAGGTAGGTCTTGTTCTGTGAATCCATAACTGGTTACTTGTGTAGTCCTCTTCTGTTTTAAAATTCGATTAATATGGTTATAACTCAAGAAATAAATGACAAGCACACCAGTTTAAGTACTTACTTTGTATCTTAGCACCAATTAAAGATTGATTCCATGGTATTATATTACACCTCTTAGTATTCAAAAGCCACATAATTTACACTATTTATTTCCACTCTGGGTACTTGGTTTTCAAAGAATATACCGCACTTCTATTTACAGGATTATCCCCTGAGAAGTAATAAATAGGCTATAATTTCCTGCACATGTAGTTTGCTTTTTAAAAGTTTTTTTAAACTTTTTTTATGGAGGTAAAATATATGTATAAAACTTACTATACTTACCAGTTTGCTTTTAAAAAACAAACTGAGCATAAGCTAAAAACCTTCAACAATAGTCCTTCTTTATAACCAAACTCTCATTGTCAGTCAGACTATTTTATTACAATTGTTTACTTTTTAGAAATCATCAATGTGCAGGTATCTTACTTGGGAAAATTCTGACAATTGTCTTGCATTTATTCTGTAAAACACTTGTAATCCTATAATGTTTTTTGAACCAATGGGACACCAACACCCAATAGAAGGAGTTCTGAGGTACCTTCAGATGGGTGGCTAAAAGAAAAACCTGCTTATTTAAAAGAAATGATGAGTATTAATGGACAAAGAAATGGAGCCATCACAAGTACATATTCTTTGAACTTTCCACGTACATCTTTTCATGGCCGAATATACTTCTAACTATGACATTTAAAATATTTCTTAGACCAGCTTCTATTTTAACTCATCATTCTTGGGATATAGTCAACTACAAAGGAAAGTTACAGAGAGTTACAGGCAAATCTTGACTTTGAATCTAAACTGGCCGGTCGATGTAGACTCCACTTACACATAAAATGCTACATTGGAAACAAAAATACTAAACATTTCAGAGAGTAAAACCAAAAGCAACCAACTGTGGGAGCTTAAAATTCTGAAGTAAAGCATTATATTATATTAAAATTATCTTTTCTCTCTCTGTTGACAGCATTCAACAGAGTATCAAGGAATGGTAACGCAGTTTTCAGACAGGAAATATGCAGAGGAATTGCATATTTGGATCACTCTGTGTTCATTCATACTAAGACAAAATTACCCCACCAAAAGGTATTCTCTTTACTATAAGTAGCATATTCTCTTTACTATAAGCAATATATCAGCAAAAGAATATTACTATCAGTCAGAATGCAATTGCCACTACAACACATTTTTGGCTATTTTTAGACACTCTGTGTCTCATGTTGCCAAACTTTAGAAGGACTCTGTCTTCTTACTTTACAGATACAGTGATTCTGATCTTTGAGAATGAGAAGTAGCTCAGGAGACTTACTATAGAAATGTTAGATATTAAAATACAACACTGTGAGACAGTTTTGGTCTAGGGTTGTTGGATGTTACTCTTCCACATTTTCTTACACTCCAGAGCTGAGCAAACTAACCTGGGATGCACCATGCATTCTTAGTTACCTTAGGCCTAATTAGGTTCCTTTTAAACTTGGCATCGTTCACACAAACATTCCTTTTTGGAAATGACAGTCAAGGAGAAGACTCATGGTGGCCAAGATGCTGTAAATGAAATTTCTTTATCAGAGACTCTCAGCCAGATTCCCAGAAGACTTTTCATAGAACCATGGTGCTTTCTCTTAAAGAGTGAAAGTCAAAGTGTGGTCTGGTCTTAGAGTGGGACAGTGGGGTCCACCACAGCACAGCCTCTGGAAGGAGAATGGATAGAACTGGTGCTTGGATAGAACTGGTGCTCTGCAGCTTCATCATTTTCATCAAGAAAACAGATCTGAAGGCTGCAGACCTGAACAAATTATAATTCTCATCTTATCTCTATTAAGCACTTTATTATAATTGTTTACCAGCTCTACTAAATTTATTCCAAATAACTGAAAGACATTTATGGGCCTAAATTCTGAAAACTTGTTGGTTTTGCACTTGATAACTTCTAATGAAAATTACTTAATAGAATAGTAAAGGTGAAGCCATGCATTTGATATTCAATAGAATGAGATTTGAATCTCAGCTATAGTCCATTTGTAAAATATAGATAATATTTTTTCCTAAAATCCTTCGGATTGAATGTGATAATACACATAGGCTTAGCACACACTAATAGTTCAATGAATTATTACAATTATCTATTTTCATAGGCACTATTACTATTGGAGGACTTTTTCTAATGAAAGAAATTATTTCTGTGGTGTCTATAACACCAAATTACCTATGAAAACATAAAAATTTTGGTAATTATTCACAAATAATATAAAAACTACATTTCTTTTCAAATAGAAAAAGTCTATATTGTTTTCTAATGATAAAGTTAGTATATGTTCATGATAAATTTTAAAGAAGTTAATGATAAAAAGTAAACCTCTCTCCTAATTTTATAACTCCAAGATTTAGATTTATTCTTTCAGATTTATCAAAATGAATACTTACATGTATAGATACATAAATATGTATTTTTTACTCATCTTTAATTGGGCTCAGTAGTGTGACCCAGACATTTTTATATGTCATTACACAGAGAAAGCCCATTATTCTTAAGTTCCACATAGTGTTCCATTAATTTGATAAACTATAATTTTATATATCATAATAGTACTGGATGTTAAGCATATTTCAAACTTGTAGCAATCTCAGATTATAATAAAATAAAGTTACATGCTACAGAATGGTTGCCAGTTTTTGTGATATTTTATCAGAATTAATAAAGGACATACAGTGGGGTTGATATAATTCTTTTTAGATTAATAATGAAAAAGATGGTATTTTAAACATCCTAAAGCCACTTAAATGCTAGTACATATTTTAAAGGCCAGAGTGTTCTTTGCCCACATCACAGCAAAAGTTTAAGCACATATTTGCAGGATATATCTTGAAAGAGAGAAATGTGTCAAAATGAGATAAATGAAGATATTTCAATGACATTTACCATCAGATGAAATAGATAGTACAGCGGAAGTAAGAAAAAAAATGAAGGCACTCAAGACACATCATTGAGATTTAAGGCAAAAAAGTGGCTCTACCCAGTCTTCATGATACTCATTAGAAGAGAATGGTATGAGAAGACTGAAAGTAAAAATGAATTCCATTTTGATAAATTGTTTTCTTTTAACTTACACAATTAGAAAAATACATTTCAGAATGCATAAGAAATATGACAAAAGAGACAAGTCATCAAAACCTTATATGTACATAGAGTGCCAGTTTATAATTAATTGGATTTCAGAACTACAAACCAGCAAACCTGATTATGATCACAAAGATGAAGTAATAAGTAGCTTATGTACTACTAGGCTTATGAGTATACCGAGGTAAAAAAGTGCCCATGATACACCAGTGGGGATCCACTACGACAAATCATACTGTATTAACAGTCTAATTTTTAAGTTGTTTTACTAAATTTGCAGATTATAGGAATCTTGTCAATACAGTTGATCAGAAAAATAAGCAAAATTAAAAAAAAAAGTCACCCTTGCTCTGGTTTTGGGTAAGATGATGTGTGAACTACCAGTTTTTAAGTCCTTTAGAAGAATGAGTCTCAGCCTATCCCTTAATCATTTTTCTATGTGAAGTTTTTACAGTTATTGAGGTGAACCAAAGATGAAATCCATATTACGTTTTTCAGGTGACTCAAAACTAGGGAGGACAATTGGGTACAGATTCAAAATATTTCAGAGTGATGTGAAACATTAATAGAAATCTGAACAATCCTAAACTTAAAATCTTACAGTTTGCTGCTATGGCAAGCATCACCTGGCTGGCATTGTGTAGTCTTAGTCAATGAAGGAAAGGGTTTCTGTTTAGAGAATTGCACGAAATTTGAAATAATTGGGCTGCCATTTTAAACTCATCAAAAATAAAGGGTTCAATCTTAGGCAAGTCGGTCAACAGTTTATCTTAGAGACAAATTAAATTCCCACTGATATTATTTATAAAAAAGTGAGACTGTCAACTCACCTTCATTTCTCCTCTCCCTTGTTCCTGTCATATGGTATTTATTGAATGCCTACTTTATGACAGGTTCTATGCTAGATGATACAAGAATTATCTTAAAAGATAAGTTAGAAAAGCATCTTGCCATCAAAAAGTTTATAATTATATAATTAAGGCCATATGGTAGAGTGCACAGAGGAAGGACTTCAGAATGAAAAAGATTCAAACACAAATTTTAATTTTTCCATTTTTAAATGAGGCCTTTGGGTGAGTGACTAAAACTTTTTGAACGCCCTTTTCCCCTCATTTTTAAAATGGAGAAAATAATGTTTATTTCATAATGTTACTATGAGAATAAAATACAATAATGTAATATTAATAGTAAATATTTAATAAAGGTCATAATTTACAAAAGAGATTTAGGCTTGAATATCTACAATAAAAAGGAAGGAGCAATAAGCACCACAAAAAAGGTTTGATTGAAGTCCTGTTTGAGCTAAAGGAGATTTTTTAATTAATATCTGTTTTTACCTTCTATTTATAAATTCATATAATGGAAACTTTCAAATATACACACAAAAAGACCAGCAGTACAATAAATCCTCATGCATCCACTACACACCTTCAATAATTATTAAAATATTTTCCTCTTAATTCTTCTTTTCTTCAGTTTGTTTGTATTATCATTTTCTTCTCTAACTACTATTGCACTTTGATTCTTTCTTTAACCCAGAAGCTAATTAAGGGAGGCAGAATAGCAAAGTGGTTGAACACACACACACATACACACTGTAATTAGACTGCTTTGTTTATATTCCACATATATAAGTTACTAGCTCTGTACCTGGACACATCTTATATCTCTCTTGTCATATGGTTCTTCATCCATAAAATGACAATAATAACTTAATAAAGATTTTGTGATTATATGAGCTGATTAAGACAAAAATCTCAGCAAACTGCAAGTATATAATAAACATTCAATAAACACTAGCTATTATTATTCTAATTTCCAAGTGATTTGAATTGATTTGTTTATGCTGATGTTATTAATTACTAGTTTCATAGCATTGATTATGGAGAATGTGGACTATAACATTTCTTGATTCTTGATTTATTGATTGAAATTATGCTCCTGAAACAAGGTCAATCTTTTGCAAATGTTCAATGGGTCCTTAAAAGAAGATCTATTCTGAGTTTTTAGGGTAAAGAAATTCAATATTAGCTATAAATCAAGCTAATTAATTATTTATTTCTCCATTTTCATAACTATGGCCCATTTTATTTTTAATAACTTGAAAATCCTTTTAAAGCCTAATAATACTTTGTATACCTTTTTTTTTTTTTTCTTCACATAATCAACTAAGGTACCTCAAGGGTGATAAAAGGGTGACATTCTTCTATCCCCAGTCCTTGTCTCCAGCCTGGCAGTAGGCAAATGACTCAGAGATTTGCCAATGCCATTCTATTTGATAAGTTCTCTTCATACTCTCCTTTTGGCTACAACCTAATCATTCTTAAACCTTAAACCTTAACTTCACTTAACTTCCCCATAGATTAAGTCTTGGATTTATGTGTTTCTTATAATGTCCTGTGCTTTTCCTTCCTAATATTTATTAATTTGTAATTCTACAGTTATTTATTACTTGTTGAATTCTAGCTACCTCCAGAATGTAAGCCCATGAGCTATAGAGAATTGTGTTTTATTCACGTCTCTATGCCAAACACACTACACAGAGCCTGGCCACAAAAGTTTAGAATCCTAGTTTTGAGCCGAAGTAACAGAATTCCTCATTTTAAGTATTGTCTTTGCCTCTTACCCACTGTGTGACTTTGGGCAAGCCACTTAGTTTTCAGGCATTTGTCTTCTTTATCTTCAAAATGGAGATAATTAATTATACCTACATTACAGAATCATTTGAGTGTTAAATGAGATGAATTTATAAGGCAACTAAAGCACTGGCAGCTATATGCCAAGCCTGTTTCTAGGGACTGGGGGCATGATAGTAACCGAGAGAAATGAGGTCCTTGCTCTTGTGAATTCGTATTCCAGAAGGAGAATAAAAAGAGGAAAAAAAATAAACACATACCCAAGATAAGTTAAGAAATGATAAGTGAAATTTAAAGAAGGAGAAGAAAAGAGGAAGAGGAAGTAGAGGAAAAGAAAAAAAGGTTAACGTGTGAAAAGTAAATGGAATCAGATATTTGGATAAGCTTATACTGAGTGTTCAAGGGTGTCCTCTCTGCAGACCTGGTATTTAAGCTGATATTTAAATAGCAAGAAGAAACCAGCCATGTGAGTGAGTAAACGAGAGAAGAGCAATCTAGTCAGAGGGATCAGCAAGACTCTGTCATAGAAATGAGCTTTGGGTAACTGGAGACAGCAAGAAAGCCACTGTGGCCAGAGTACAATAAGCAAGAGAGAAATTAGAGGTAATTTTATATCGTAGGTAAGACAGTGGGAGAGAAAGAGCCAGAAGCCAAAATATACTTAAAATCCTGCTTGGCACACAGTAATAACTCAATAATATTAGCTAGTTTAATTGCTAGTACTGTCATATTATAGTTTTATTATTTTCTTATAACTAATAAATTACTTTTGAATGAATAAGTCAATGTCTGAATAGAAATGAATATGAATGCTCCCAGGAAATGGAAAAATCAAGGCATAGAAAAATTGAGGAACTTACTAAGGTTCATTTGCCTCTTGGGCATAGGAAAATTGAAGAACTTACTAAGGTTCATTTGCCTCTTGCCTAGCACAGACATATAAGACATCCTTAGAAGGACTGAAAGTAGATATTGGAGATACAAACATAAATTTGATGTTGCTTTCAGGGTGGCACGATTAATTGTAATATGAAGTCAAAGAAGTCTCATGCTTCAAAAGAAGGACAACCAATGTATTCTGTATGTTGACTGGAGGCAGAGAACATTGCTTGTCATTAGAGTTGACTGTAAACAGCCTGGTACAGACTGATAAGCTTCCATTTCCTCTTTTTCTGTCACCGTACCTTGCTTTTCTCCTGGAAGGACCCTCTCCCCTATTTTTAGTACTTGTGATTTTAGTGAGATGGCATCTTCTTCATGCCTGGTAATTTGGAACACTCGCATGCCTTAGGCCATATTGATGAGTTCAAAGAAAATTGTGTCATAAAAGTTGGTTTGGTTTTGTTTTTTATCATAAGCCAATTCTGGACCTTGGGTGAAACTACTTGAGAAAAGTATCCTTTTCAACTAGCTATGATATAACCCTAAGTTTGGCATGCACTTTATGGCCTCAAGGAGAGAAATCTCCAGCTTAAAACTGGAGATAAAAAAAAGAGGTAAGGGCCTAAAGACAGAGAACAAATACTGAAGACACTGAGGAGTATCTGGATCCCACTTTGCTTAAATACCACTCTACTGTCTCATTATTAAGGCAAAAAAATAATTACTTTTATACTTAAGCCCATCTGAATCAGCTCTTCTGTCACTTGCAAAGAAATGAGACTTGGTTGAAAGACACATTTTAAAAGATGGATGGTATCTGGGCATTTGAACAAAGATTAGAGAAAATGTCAAAGTACCTAAGTAATACTAACAGCTAAAAAATGTGAGATGGCTTTATTTTATAGCCTGCCAGACTTCAGATCACTTTTGTTGGCTTTATATATATATATATATGTTTTGGGATTTTTTGTTTGTTCCTTCTTTTCTTCTTAACATAGAAGATGTGACATGTCTATACGTTGACTGAATTCTGCTATCCATTTCCCTTAGGCACTTTTCCCAGATAACCCCTGAGGTTCTCCAATCAGAGCTTTGTCATCCTGAAATGCAAAGCAAGCCATGTCAAAGCAAAAACTTCACCAAAGTTAAACAAGCAAAGAAGACTTTATTCTAGACTATTACAATAAGGAGAGAGGCAGAACTTGGTCTGGAATTAATTCCACTGGAACAAAGGGCAGGAGAGTTTTTAAAAGCCTGGGTGGAATCAGGGAAAGGGAGATCTTAGGCCATCTGTGGTTACTAATTGGCCTTACCCAAAGAAGAAAATATAAACATTATTTCTCATACCTTTGTGACCAAAGGTAGTTTTACAACATGGAGCAAGAGGCCCACCTAATTTAGGTTCCTACTGTCCCATGGAAACTATGGAAATAGGGGTATCTCAGTTAATATTTACATTTCAAAGAGCTAGCACCCTGGTCCTTAAAAAAAATCTGTCCTAGGTAGAAGGAGGACTTTAAAAAGATTTGCATCTCAAAGGGGCAAAGACATAATTTATAATTTCAAGTTTTCTAAGAAAAATGCTCTAAGCAAAGAGTCAGAGCTTAGAGTCTATAAGAAACCTAAGTTTTGTCAAGCTGAGAAAAACATTAAGGCCCTCTTAGTCAACCAATGTGAGATATGCTGAATGTTCCCCCAAGCACTGTCTTTGTGTGCTCAGTTAAAGCAGCTGCATAAATGGCTTGGGCACCTCTTTGGATCTGCTCAGTTGTAAAGCTATTGAGACTTTCAGACTCAGTTCTCTGGAAACATAAATCAGCACCACTCTGGCTCAGACTCTCTTTCAAGATTAGGGTGGTGACAAGGACAGCTTGTCCTCCATGGATGGAAATTCTCAAACAATTCCACTTGTAAAATTGAGAAAGTAACTGTCTTTCAGGGTTGTTGCAAAGACAATAAAAGCACATAAAAACCCCAAACATGGTAACGGAAACTTAGCAGAGAGTAAAAAAAAAAAAAAAAATCTACTAATTAGTATTATTTACTTTCCAAAGGCACAGTTTGAATTTCAGAATTTAAGGGACTTGAATGGTTATTGAACCAAAGATTGTATATTGGGGGGACTGAATTTTGCCTACAGCCATGTTTTATTTGTTCTATGTGTTTATTTGTTTTTCGTATGTACTTTGTTTTTACAGATTCAGCTTAGTTGGCAATGTTTTTTAATTGGGAGATTCCATACACAAATCTAAATTAAACTATTCTCTTATTGATGGATATTTAGGGTTTTTTTTCAACTTTTTGCTAATATAAATAAATAGTGCTTGAACATGTCTTCCATTAAAGACCGGGGAGTGTCTCTAGGGTAAATTTGGGAATGTGAAACTGTTAGATCATAGGGAAGAGATATTTAAAATTTTAATGGATGTGACCAAATTACCCCCCAAAGTGCCTGAATCAATCTGCAGTATCACCTGCCACATGACAATGCTTATTTCCTGACGACTTCTTTAATATTTTATAGGGTTTTCTCCAATTTAATCATTTACAGTTGGATTTCGTTATTTTGTTTTGCACTTTCCTGATGACTTGTTAGGTGCACCTCTTTTATGTTTATTGGTGGCTTGTGTTTCCTTTTGTATGAATTCCTTACATTTATTCTTTGACAACCTTCTACAGAGGAGTAGAAGAGTCCAATTATTATTACTGTTTTTAGATGGGGTTCTCACTCTGTCACCCAGGCTGGAGTGCCATGGCATGATCACAGCTCACTGCAGCCTTGATCTCCTGGACCCAGGTAATTCTGCCACCACGGCCTCCAGACTAGCTGAGATTACAGGCACATGCCACCATGCCTGGCTTATTTATTTATTTATTGTAGAGATGGGCTCTTGCTTTGTTGCTCAGGCTAATCTCAAACTCCTGGCCTCAAGTGATCCTCCTGCCCTAGCCTCCCAAAGTGCTGGGATTACAGTTGTGAGGCACTGCACCCAGCCCCCAAATTTTTAAATGGTCTCCTCCTCTGAAATACTCCTCTTTTCGCTAGCTCAATCCTCCCCACTATGAGCCCTATTAATGATTCACAGCATTGTTTTTAATCAGTTTCCTTTCTAGATCCACAAGGTGGAATTTATTTAATTATTAACACACACTTATCAAAGGACTCCATGAGTGTCAGGTGATGCCCTGGCATCACAAAAATGCCAAGGAAGAAGTTATGAATTTGGAGGTGGGAGGGTCCTGCAACAGAAAGGGAGGTGGGGGAGGATATACAGAAAACAACTTTTCTCAACCTCTCAAGTTTTAGGAGAATAACTCTGATGCATAGAAATTATTTATTCAATGAGTGAATATGATATCGCCAAGGATGATGGATTATTACAAATGTAATCAGCTCACATTCTTGTATGTCTGTAATCACATTTTCCCTTTATGTCAATGAGCTGATTCCAGGGGCCAGCTTGCTGCCATTATGTTAATCCTCTAGGAGTATATGAATTGCATGCAGCACTTCAAAATGCTTTCCTAAGTTTTTATCTTGGTCACCCTTAACACCTTGGCTGAAAAGATGACGAGCATTTTTGCTTATTTTTAGTTTGTTTGTTTGTTTGTTCTCTTGCTCTATCCCAAAGCCAAGCCAGTTATTTTACTTTGCCCATTTTGCACTTTTCTTTCCAAAGAGAAGAGGGAAAAAAATAGAATATTGAGTTGTCAGCAAACAGTCTATCTTAAATAATTGAATAACAAGCACTATTATCCCAGAATACCTCCAAAAGAGATGTGCAGCAGATAAGGAGGAAAGCAAAAAGCTCTGAATTTTATAGGGTAAACTGGATGACAGTCTGAAACTACACATTCATGAAAATGTGCAAAACAATATATCTACATTCATGTTTTGCATATGTTTATTTAACACAGATGCCTGGTGTGAAATAGATCATCATTTCTGAGATGGCTCAACCATCTGCATTAAACTAGTAGGCCTGAAGAATGCATGTGAGCATAGCCTGGATTTGTCTGTTTCCAAGCCCCCATTCCAGAATTTAATCTTGTTCGTTATTTATGCAACAGAAATCTAAATCAACTTACAAAATGAAGGGAAAGAAACAACCTACCTTTGAGTCAATAGCTCTAATTTAGGTGAGGATTTTGTTTACAGTGGGTTATTAAAATGCTTTGTGTGGCTCTATCTTAAGTAACTTTCTGCCACTTCTCCTGGGAAAGCACGCCAGTTTAAAGACTTGCCTATTAAAACCTTGCTGATATTCAGCCTAACTCAACAATTTCTCTTTTTCTTTAATTGCTCCTTCTCCCTCTTGAGCTCCTGTGAGATCCACAGAGCAAGCACCACTCCTGATTGCCCTGCTTGCTTTAAGTTTCCAGCTTTCAGTCTGTATATCTTCATTTGAAGAGTCGTCCAGTTGTCTCTTGAAATAGACTACTTTCCTGTTTTCATGAGATGCCCTGAAACGTATGATACCCTCTGGTCTAACCTCCTTAGAATCACAGGATGGCACAGCAGGAAAGCCCATAAAGACCTCCACAATTTCGCTTCTCTGTTTGTAAATACAACCCAGAGATATTAAATGACTTATCTTGCCATGCAAGTAGCTGGTGAGAGAAGAAGGGCCAGAGCTCAGACCTGGAATTGTAGGACAGAAACAAAAACTGCTCACAAGGTTCAGGGAAGTAATATAAATAAGTGAAGTGGTCCAGGTGTATGACGATAGCTAGAAAGTACCTGGAATGGAGGGAATGTGTGTGCTCATCTGGAGAGGCACGCTCTGCAATAAAAGGGTCAGCTGTTAGTCAAAATCACCATCGCCTACTACTCCGAGTCTTCAAGAAAAATCAGTATTTTGAATGTTTGGGTGAAACATCCTGGTTTTAAAAATATTTTCAACTTATTAAAATTATTGTAAAATTCTATGCAGAGATACCAAAACATGGCTGAATCTAGCCTGCAGGACAATCATTTATACTTAATACTAGAGAATCTCATAATATTTCTCCTAAAATTGCAAACTGACATTAAGAGCTGTAAGTGTCCTGAATAGTCACGGAATCCATCTACTACAGTTTATAAATGTTAGAAGCTAAAGAAAATGGGAAGTAAATGATAGCTTGAATTATTGGATCTTTCACACCCATGTTATGCCCTCATCGCAGTGAAGAAGATAGACTTCTTTTCCTCTTGAATTTAGGATTGATTTTGTAGTTTGCTTTTGCCAATTACTGGGCAGACAGACACAACAGCAGGAATTGAAGGGAGCTTGCATGGTTGAGCTTGTTCTTTTGCATTCCTGCCTTTGGCTTTGGGTAGGATGCCTCTGAGGACTAAGCTCTGATTTTTAAATCTTGTCCAAATTCCTATCTAAGGGGTCTGGGGAGTCGTGCTCTACAAACCATAAATTCTCATCAAATGAGTTTTATTTAACCCTATATATCATGACTTACTTTCCAATCTGACTCTGGCATAACATTACGTGGCAAAGAAGAAAGTCAAAATATTTTACCAACATGTTTACCAGCCCAAATATTTTATAAACATGTTTATTTGCCATATTTTGAAATGGTCCTGCAAAGCTGTCCTTTGTGGGGAAAAATTTGCATCTGTAAAGAATTTTTTTTTTTTTTTTTTTTTTTGAGATAGAGTTTCACTCTTGGTGCCCAGGCTGGAGTGCAATGGCATGATCTCAGCTCATTGCAACCTCCGCCCCCTGGGTCCAAGCAATTCTCCTGCCTCAGCCTCCTGAGTAGCTGGGATTACAGGCATGCACCAACATGTCCAACTAATTTTTGTATTTTTAGTAGAGATGGGGTTTCGCCACATTGGGCAGGCTGGTCTTGAACTCCTGACCTCAGGTGATCCACCCACCTCAGCCTGAACCCTTTCAAAGGTCTTAATAGGAAACACTTGTCATCTATCGTGTCTAAGGGCAGCTACTACAAGACTTCAAAAGAACCTTGGTCTCCACAATCTTTTATCTTAACCTGAACATTTCCTTCCTATTGATTACAGGTCTTTAGAAAAACTCAACCAATTGCCAATCAGAAAATGTTTAAATTTATCTATAGTCAGGAAGTTCCTCCCCTATTTGAGTTATCCCTCCTTTCTGAACCAAACCAATGTATTTCTTCAATGTATTTGATTGATGTCTCACGCCTCCCTAAAATGTGTAATACCAAGCTGCACCCCGACCACCTTTGGCACATGTTCTCAGAACCTCCTGAGGGCTGTGTCATGGTCACTCATATTCGGCTCAGAATAAATCTCCTGAAATATTTTACAGAGTTTGGCTCTTTTCCTCAATGCCTCTTAGGTAATGCTGGCCCAAGGAGGATAAGCACATATGAAGCAGACCTGGAATCAAGCTACAGCTTGGAGCCAAGTCCAGGTGAAGTCAACTGAGTTCAGCCAAACCCCAGCCAACCTACTTATGCAGATTCTTAAGCAAGAAATAAATGCATGCTGTTTCAATCCATTGAAAGTTTGTATTTCTTTGTTACACAGCAGCTACGTAATAGAGACTTTCTCAAGACTACACAGTAAGTAGACGGCGGAATCAGCATTAAAATTCAGGGCTCCAGACCGTGCCCCCTCGCCAAGCCCAGTGTATTTCCTACTCTATTTTTTTCTTAAGTCCTGGTGATCCTCAATCTGCCACTTTCCTTATTTTATACAGTTGGCCTATCTGTCACACTAAGCCAAGAAAATGGCCCTTCAATTCTTCTTTGCAAGACTTTCTCGCAAGAATGTTTTCAGTCTGTATATATACCTACCAGAACTTTGAACACAACTTTCATTTCCACAAAAAGAAATGAAAATAATCTAGCTTGATTCCCTGTCAGCCAATTAGGATTTGCACAACCATAATTTAAATTTACATAAAAATTAAACCAGTCTCTATGCAAGATAGAGTAGTTTAGAATTACCACTAATTTAATTGAGGTTGCTTAAATGTCTTGTAATCGGTATGATTGTTGCCAATTGCCTGCATCTTCAGCAAGGTAATCAGAACCTGTTCAGCAAATTTCTATCTCCAAATCAATTAAACCGTAAAGCAAATTCCTTTTCTTTTAAGAAAGTTCTATGTCTTGGATTTTATTTTATTTACAATTAAGGCTTTATTGCATTCTAATGTACTTGTCCAGGAAAAAAACTCAAATAGTTTATTTTTTTTTCTTTAACTTTGTTTTCACTTTGCCCAGTAATAAATTTCATAAAAGGCCTTCCCTCTTTCAGGCTACTGAGGATAATAACAGTACCAACTTCTTAGGGTCATGATGAGGTGTTAGTTTTTACACATACACTTGCACACACACACACACACACAAACAGACTATACACGTAATTTTCATTTATTTATTTTTATTTTTGAGACAGGGTCTTGCTGTTGCCCAGGGTGGAGTGCAGTAGTGCAACTGTAGCTCACTGCAGCCTCTACCTGCTGGGCTTAAGCAGTCCTCCCACCTCAGCCACCCAAGTAGCTGGGACTAAAGTCACGTACCACCATCGCTGGCTAATTTATTTTATTTATTTATTTTTTATTTACTTATTTATTTATTAGACCTGAGGTCTCACTGTGTTGCTCAGGCTGGTCTTGAATTCCTGTGCTCAAGCAATCCACCTGCCTTGGCCTCCCAAAGATCCGGGATTACAGGTGTGAGCCACTGTGCCCAGCCAATTCATACACTTAAAATGGTGCCAAGGCACACACAGTCACAGCTCGCTGTTAGCAACTTTTCTTATTGTTCATATAGTACGCTATTAAGCTTACTACTCTGCTATAGATACTCTTGAAAGTAATCTGTTTATAATTAATATGAGCTTGGGTACTTGGCAGGGGAATAGCTTTCTACTGTCAACCACTACCCTACCCTCAAAACCACATAAATTTTCAGAAATTCTCTGACTGTGATCCTAAGTGACATTGTTGGCCTACTAATGATGTCACCTACTTATCTGGGGTGATTAAAGTGACAAAAAAAGGACCAGGAGTTAAGAATTAAAACAAAAACAACAACAAAACTTCTGTGTGAGAGAGCTTCATACTGGCCAGTATGATGCTCCTCAATCTTTAACGTGCATACAAGTTCCCTGATGACTTTGCAGAAGCACAGATTCCAGTCTGAATGGAGTCAGAGCTCGGCATTTCTAACAAGCTCCCAAGGATATAGATGCTGCTGCTCCACAGACCACACTCTTAATAGCCTAGACTGAAGGCAATAGTTTTCAAACTTTAACGTACATAAAAATCACGAGTGGCACTTGTTAGATGCAAATTTCTTGGCCTCTCCCTCAGGGATTTTGACACAGTAGACCCAGGAATTTGCATGTCTAACAAGTTCGCATTTAGAGACCCAGTCTCTAGGCCTTGATTCTGTGAAAGGGCAGATGCTTATAGTATTGCCTTTTAAAGTTAATGTCCCAACCTCGCTGTTCAGGGGAGCACTGCTTTACAGGTGCCTAATGCAGTGTACTAAATAAAAAAGCCAGGGGCGTGTGGTTCCACGTGTAGGTAAAATTTTGGAACACTAAATTAAACAGTGTGAAAATGTTCCTTTACTACATGGCCTTTCAGAGCTTGCGTATGGTAATGTGTGTGATGATATTCCCCCACATATTCAGGAACAGAACTTGCTATTTCTGAAATGCCAAGCATCTCCCAGAAGAGTGTTTTCAGGATAAGGACTTGGGAAGTTCTGCCCTCAGGTAGTTTGGCTCTGCTGCTCCCAAGGAGAGAATGAGGCCAGCCGTGAATGTTATAATGTTGGACTCTGAATCCACTGAAGGTTCCTGATAAGTTTCAGGGTAGAGCGCTCTCTGTCATGAAAAGTGTTCTAGTTAACACTCTAAACTTTCTCAAGGATGTTGTAGACAGCACTCCAGTTCAACACGAATGTTTAAATTAATCATCTATACGTTATTTTCTAATGTTCTAACTCAGTGTTTTCATCTTAGTGTAAATAGGCCTACAGAATCAGATTATTTCAAAAGGTGAAAGAGGCAGTAAATATAACTGAGCTCCTCCTGAATAAGCAACCTTTAAATAATGATTTTTTTAAAAAAATCCAGCTTTAATAAGGTATAATTGACAAATAAAAATTGTATATGTTTGAGGTGCAAAACATGATGATTTGACACATATACACATCCTAAAATGATTACCACAATCAAGCTAAATAAAACACCCATCACCTCACATACCTCACCTCATGTGTGTGTATGTAAGTGAGAACAATTTAGATCCACTCTTAGCCACTTTCAAGAAAAAAATACAGTATTATTAACTACAGTCAGCATGCTGTTAGATTTCTATATCATATTCATCTTACAACTTTAAAAGTTTATACCCTTTGACTAACATCTCCCCATCCACCTGACCCCAGCCCCTGGAAACCACCTTTCTACTCTCTGCTCCTGTGAGATCCACTTTTTAGACTCCACGTGTGAGACCACACAGTATTTGTCTTTGTCTGGCTGATTTCACTTAGCATAAGGTCCTCCAGATTCATTGATGTTGTTGTAAATGGCAGGATCTCCTTCTTTCTTATGGCTAAATAATATTCCATTATATATACACATTATGCATACATATATAACATGAGTGTGTATTATATATTTAAAAATATATAATTGGGAGGCTGAGGCGGGCAGATCACTTGAGGTCAGGGGTTCGAGACTAGCCTGGCTGACATGGTGAAATACTGTCTCTACCAAAAATATAAAAAATTAGCCTGGCATAGTGGCATGTGCCTGTAATCCTAGCTACTCAGGAGGCTGAGGCAGGAGAATCGCTTTTGAACCCGGGAGGCGGAGTTTGCAGTGAGCCGAGATCGTGCCACTGCACTCCAGACTAGGTGACAGAGCAAGACTCCGTCTGAAAAAAAAAAAAAAAAAAAAAAATTCTACAACTCATAAATGAATTCAGTAAAGTTGCAGGATACAAAATCAACATAAAATATCAATTGCATTTCTATACATTAACAATAAACTATCCAAAAAAGAAATTAGGAAAACACTCCCATTTATCATAGCATCAAAAATAATAAAATACTTAAGAATAAATTTAACCAAATATTGATAAAAGAAATTGGCAAAAAAAAAAAACAAACAAATGGAAAAATATTCCATGTCCATGGATTAGAAGAATTAATATTGTTAGAATGTTCATATTATCCAAAGCAACTTGAAGATTTAATGCAATCTCTATCAAAATTCCAATGACATTTTTTTCACAGAAATAGATTTAAAAAATAATTGGAACTGCAAAAGATTCCAAAAAGTTAAATAATTTCTAAGCCTTGACATTAATGTAAGGATTTGGTGAAACAATTTATCTTCCTAGTATTGCCCACACTCCCACATGCTACCTTCTCACCTGTTAATACAAGTGAACTCTCCATCTCCATGTTACTTTTTTTGTTTGTTTGTTTTCAGATGGGGTTTCACTCTTGTTGCCCAGGCTGGAGTGCAATGGTGCCATCTCAGCTCATTGCAATCTCCGCCTCCCAGGTTCAAGGGATTGCCCTGCCTTGGCCTCCCGAGTAGGTGGGATTACAGACGTGTGCCACCATGCCTAGCTAATTTTGTATTTTCAGTAGAGACGGGGGTTTCCCCATGTTGGTCAGGCTGGTCTCAAACTCCCGACCTCAGGTGATCCACTCACCTCAGCCTCCCAAAATGCTGGGATTACAGGTGGGAGCCACCACGCCCGGCCCTCCATGTTACTTTTTAGAGCCAATCCCTCCACTGTGTCCTAGATTCTAGCTCCTCTAACTACTAAAGGACAGGGCTCTAGAAATTCTCCCCTCTTTCTCCTATATATTTTTTTTCCATTAGCATGTGAACATGTTATCATCTTGAAAAACAAAAACAATTTCTTATATTTGCTCGTTATTGCTTCAAAGCATTTCTAAGGAGTCATCTAAGCTAACTCCACCTCTGACTTCTCTCTTTAAGTTTTTCCTTGAACTCACTCTGATAGTGCTTTTATCCCCACCATTCATCTGAAACTGCTCTTGTCAAAGTTAATAATGATCTATGGCTTGTTCACTACAATGGGCAATCATATTCTCATCTTATTTATTAGAAGTGTTTGATATATTTGATAATTCCCACCTTTTTGATATACTTTTTTCTTTTGATGTTGATAACACCACACTCTCTTGATTTACATCCTATTCCATTGGTCACTTTTTCAGTTCCTTGTGGAAATTCTTCTTCTTTTCTTAATTGTTTTAATGTTGACAATCCAGGATCAGTCTTCCTCTTTTTTTCTTCTCTCTTTTTCTTGCTCTTTTCTCCCTTTTTTTAAAAAATTTATTCCCTTACCTTCTCTTTTATATACACTCTCTCACTTAATGATTCTTATCATGTGGCTTTAAATTCTGACTTCCAAAATTATACTTCTGGCTCAGAACTCTTCTCTAAACTGCTCACTCACTGTATACAATTACTCAACACCTACACGTGGCTGTGTAATTAGACATAGCAAACTAAATGCATCCTAAAGTGAACTCCTGACCATCCCCTTCATAGCCTTCCACAACTCACTGGACTACAATTGCTCCAACCCAAATGATCGCTGAATCTTGACTTTTTTTTTCCTCTCATACTCAAATTTTAATCCAACAGAACATCCCATTGGCTCTACCTTCAAAATATACTCAGAAAATGGCTACTTCTCCACATTGCCATTGCTACCACACTAATAAACAAACTAATAGACAAAAAACAGCTATCAGCTCTTACCCAAATTATTTCAGTAGCCTCCTAATTTGTCATCTTGCTTCTATGCTTGTCTGTCTCTCATAGTCTATTTCCAACACAGCAGACAGAATTATACCACAAATTTATGTCAATTCCTCTGCTTAAAACCTTCTATTGGCTTCCTGTTCTACAAAGAATAAAATGAAATGGTCTAAAAATCTTGATGATGGCCTAAAAAGTCCTATATGATTTGATTTCCATATCACTCTTTTTATTTTTTAATTTTTTTTCCGGGGGATGGAGGGGTGGTGGGGACAGAGTCTTTCTGTGTCGCCCAGGCTGGAGTGCAATGGCACAATCTCAGCTCTCTGCAGTCTCCACCTCCTGGCTTCAAGCAATTGTCCTGCCTCAGCCTCCTGAGTAGCAGGGATTACAAGCATGCACAACCATGCCTGGCTAATTTTTTGTAATTTTAGTACAGACGAGGTTTCACCATGTTGGCCAGGCTGGTCTCAAACTCCTGACCTCGTGATCCACCCACTTCACACTCTTTCTAACCTGACTTCATATTACTATCACTTTGGATTCTTTGCTGTCCTTCAAATATGCTGGGTATTTTTCTGCCTTAAAGCTGTTGCATTAGCTGTTTTTTTTTTTTCTGTATGTAACATCCTTTCCTTAAATATCTAGGGAGATAACTTGCTTAGGTATTTATTTTGTGCCTTTATTCACAGGTTGCTTTGTAATTGAAGACAACCTTATCTAACGTACTTATTGTTACAAACTGTCAACCATCCTCAGGACTCCTGATCACCTTCAATGTGTTATATTTTTGCTTTTTTCTATTCTATTCATTGCCTTATGCCACAATATCTAATTTACTTATTCATTGTTTTTAATCCTCTTTAAGAGGATTGAAAGTTATAATTTATAGGCAATTTAGTGCATACATTGCATATAATTTATATGCAATGTTAACATAATTTATATGCAATAAATGCAACAATTTTATTGATATAGTGATATAGAACACTCCTCTGTTTTCTTCTAAAGGTTCCCTGTGTCCATTCCCAAACAGTGTACCACTCATCTCCCATCAAAGTCAATGTGTGATTTGCTTTCTATCACTACAGAGTTGGTTTTGTTTTTCCTAGAGTTTAATATAAATGAAAGAATACAGTATGTGGTCTTTTGTGTCTTTTTAAAATTTGACATGTTGATGAGAAATATTCCTGTTGTTTTGTGTATCAGTAGTTTATTCCTTTATGTTACTGAGTAATATTCCATTGTGTGACTATATAATAATTTGTTTTCACAATCATTTTTTGTTCAACATTACAGTTTTTGGTTATTAATAATAAAACTGCTGTGACCATGTCTTCATGTAGAGATATGTTTGCATTTGTCTTGTGTAAGTGCTAAGTATTATGAATAGAATTGCTGGTCATATGATAAGTACCTATCTACACTTATAAGAGACTGTCAAATTGTTTTGCAAAATGGTTGTATCATTTTATGTTTCTACAAGCAGGAGATGAAAGTTCCAGTTGCTCCATATCTTTACTTTTACTTGACATTATCATTTATTATCTATTATTTAGCTACTGTAATTGTGTGTAATGGTATCTCATGTGGTTTTAGTTTTCATTCCTCTGATAAATAATGATGTTGAGCATTTTTTTCATGTGCTTAGTTGGCCATTCATATATCTTCTATTGTGAAGTATCTGTTGAAATCCTTTATCCATTTTTTAAACTGGGTTGTTTGTCATATTATTGAATTATAAGAGCTATTTATAAATTCTAAATGCAAGTCTTCTGTCAGATATATGTATTGTCAGTATCTTCTAGGGAGGAGGTAGAATAGAATAACGCAGGCCAGAACAGAATTAAGGGAGCATAAGCTAATTGTCATAAACTAAAGATATATGATCTTGAAGCCCTTCACTGAGTATTGAGTTTTAAAATCCAATATTTTATTTCTTTGTCAAAAAGCACTGTTTGTGTGTTCAGCCACTTTGATTCCTCTACAGTAATCCAGTTAATAACTGCATGAGTGCAAGCCTGGCAGAGCTTCTAAGGAAGAGCAGAGCTCCATATCCTTCAAGTCAGTCCACCCCAATACCCTGTCCTACAAGGCTCTTCTTTACAGAATGTGTTGGCTCACAGATAAACAACATGTCTCCTCAGGGGCTGGAATATTGTTCTCCTTTTACTTTCACAAGATTGAAAAATGTGAGAGACTACTTTAAGGAATTCAAACCATTATACACAAATGGCTCCCATGTTTCCTTCCTTTCAGAGGCTCCGTCAATATCAGCACCATACGAAGGCCCCAAGTCACTGACAGTGCCCCACTATGACATCGTTCTAAGCTAACTGAATGTGAATATAGACAGCACTCAAGCCATACTGAGTTTATTTCCATACCAGAGTAGCACAGCATATTTGTGAAGTTGAATTTCTTTAGTTGGATCAAGTTGCCAAAGTGGGAAAGAAAGGAAAAGATACACCTGAAAGGTTAATACGTGATAATTATGACAATGATAACAACAATAAATGCAGGGAACATGCAAGCTCTTTACCACTTTAGTGTTGTCTTTCAAAACTAAAGACAGTGCCAAATATTTAGGTATATATGTGATATTTGTGGAATGTCATTATACTGAATCTTCACTAGGCACTAGGCACTGTAAGGGCTTTACAGATATTATCTCACTTTGTTCTTACCATTCACTCCCCCCACTGAAAAGAAAAAAAAAAACCGTGCAGTTAGCAATATTATAATTTCAGCTTGACAATAAGGATGCTGAAGCTCAGAAAGAGGATGTTACCTACCCCAGTTCATACAGCTGCAGAGCTACAATTCAAACCTAGTCTTTCTAATGCTTAAGCATAATTGTAAAAACTACTCAAAAAGTGAAACAGTGAAATTAAAGCTGCTTGTTAAAAACTTCACCTAGTGTACAAATTCTGCACACTTAACATTTATACAGACAGACATGCATAGACACACAACATGTCCTTACCCCCTTAAATTCTTAAAACTTACAAAATGTCTTACTTTGTAAATTTTCTTGTATATAGTACAATTCAAAAAAAGTAAAAGCATATTTTGGGTCATGATTCAGTAAAATAATATTTATTAGGCACCTATTTTACTATTTGCTGTTGGAGGGAACATATACTTATATGCACAGACCAAAGTCTATTACAACCATGATGATGACTTACTCATCCTTACAGCCTTAGGATCCAGCTTCTTTCTTGGTACATTTTAGCCCTTGATAATTTATTCATATTTTATTTTTTTGTTATTCATTTTGTTATATACTATTAATAAATAATGGCAACTCAACATCATTATATATGTATGTTTGTATGTGTATGGTGTGTGTTACACTTCTAGCCACTGTACCACATAAATACATAAAATAGTTAGCAATTCCTAACCTCCAGGAGCTTATATTGTACTTGAGGGAGGAAAACAATAAACAAACTAAATAAGTAGCTCATATAGAATGTTAGAAAGTCATAAATAGTATGGATAAAAATGAAAGCCGTGAAAACATATAAGGAGTAGTAAAGGAGAGGGTTCCGTTTTGAACAAAGAGGTCAGAGAAGGCCTCACTGAGAAGGTGACATTTAAACAGAGATTCAAAAGAGATGAGAAAATAAATTCTGTACATTTATTGGAAAAGAATATTCCAAACAGAAGAACAGCTAATGAGAAATCCTTAAGTTGAATCTTGAGTTCAAAGAAGAGATCCCTTTGGTGATAAATATTTGGAATTGTCACCATACAAATGGTATTGAAAACTAGGGGATGGAACAAGATCTACCAAATAAGAAGAAGCGAGATGGAGAAGACAAGTTCAAGGACAGCAGGAGGGGTTTTCCAGTATTAAGACAGTGAGAGGAGAGACCAACGGGTGTGGCAACTGAGGCAGAGAGAAAACCAGATGAGTATGGTGGCCTGGAATCTAAAAAACAAAGCATTTTATCTCCAGTCTTGCCTATACCAACCCATTTTCCACAACGTAGCAGAAAGAACTTTCTAAGCAAATATCTGATCATATTATGTTTCTCCTTAAAATATTTTATGGCTCTGCATTGCCTACAAAATAAAGCTTGGTCTCCCTAACATGTCTCACAAGGAGCTCTATGAGCTGAATTCCAGTCACTTTTCCAATGTCATCTCTCTCACCAAATCCCTCTTTCGGTCTTTCATTCATTTATTCAACAAATATTAAACACCTCTTACCTGCTAAGCACTGCCCTAGACACTGAAGAGAAAATAATGTAGAAAATCCACAAGGTCTCTGCTGTCACAGAACTGACATTTTGTTGAGTGTGGGGGAAATATGCGTAAGTGGATAAATGAGTAAATGAAGTGGATGCCAAGCCCCATGAGAGCAGGAACATAATCTATTTTATTTACTGCTCTATCCCCAACAGCAAGCATAGAACCTTAAACATAGTAGGTGTTGAATGGCTGACTGACTGTTTGTTGAACAACTAACTGAATAAGCGTAATTTAAGATGACCATATGTACTATAAAGGATTTCAGGAATTCAATGTGGACCTTCACTGGTAATTAAGAGCAGGGCTAAAGTTGTTTATCAGCTTAAGGAGATTTTGGGCTGAGACAATGGGGTTTTCTAAATATACAATCATGTCATCTGCAAACAGGGACAATTTGACTTCCTCTTTTCCTAATTGAATACCCTTTATTTCTTCCTCCTGCCTGATTGCCCTGGCCAGAACTTCCAACACTATGTTGAATAGGAGTGGTGAGACAGGGCATCCCTGTCTTGTGCCAATTTTCAAAGGGAATGCTTCCAGTTTTTGCCCATTCAGTATGATATTGGCTGTGGGTTTGTCATAGATAGCTCTTATTATTTTGAGATATGTCCCATCAACATCTAATTTATTGAGAGTTTTTAGCATGAAGGGCTGTTGAATTTTGTCAAAGGCCTTTTCTGCATCTGTTGAGATAATCATGTGGTTTTTGTCTTTGGTTCTGTTTATATGCTGGATTACATTTATTGATTTCAGTATATTGAACCAGCCTTGCATCCCAGGGATGAAGCCCACTTGATCATGGTGGATAAGCTTTTTGATGTGCTGCTGGATTCGGTTTGCCAGTATTTTATTGAGGATTTTTGCATCGATGTTCATCAGGGATACTGGTCTAAAATCCTACTTTAAAGTTCATATGGAACCAAAAAAGAGCCCGCATTGCCAAGACAATCCTAAGCCAAAAGAACAAAGCTGGATGCATCAAACTACCTGTCTTCAAACTATACTACAAGGCTACAGTAACCAAAACAGTATGGTGCTGGTACCAAAACAGACATATAGATCAATGGAACAGAACAGAGCCCTCAGAAATAATACCACATATCTACAACCATCTGATCTTTGACAAACCTGACAAAAACAAGAAATGGGGAAAGGATTCCCTATTTAATAAATGGTGCTGAGAAAATTGGCTAGCCATATGTAGAAAGCTGAAACTGGATCCCTTCCTTACACGTTATACAAAAATTAATTCAAGATCGATTAAAGACTTAAATGTTAGACCTAAAACCATAAAAACCCTAGAAGAAAACCTAGGCAATACCGTTCAGGATATAGGCATGGGGAAGGACTTCATGTCTAAAACACCAAAAGCAAGGGCAACAAAAGCCAAAATTGATAAATGGGATCTAATTAAACTAAAGAGCTTCTGCACAGCTAAAGAAACTACCATCAGAGTGAACAGGCATCCTACAGAATGGGAGAAAATTTTTGCAATCTACTCGACTGACAAAAGGCTAATATCCAGAATCTACAAAGAACTCAAACAAATTTACAAGGAAAAAACAAATACCCCACCAAAAAGTGGGCAAAGGATATGAACAGACACTTCTCAAAAGAAGACATTTATGCAGCCAAAAGACACATGAAAAAATGCTCATCATCACTGGCCATCAGAGAAATGCAAATCAAAACCACAGTGAGATACCATCTCACACCAGTTGGAATGGCAATCATTAAAAAGTCAGGAAACAACAGGTGCTGTAGAGGATGTGGAGAAATAGGAACACTTTTACACTGTTGGTGGGACTGTAAACTAGTTCAACCATTGTGGAAGACAGTGTGGCGATTCCTCAGGGATCTAGAACTAGAAATACCGTTTGACCCAGCCATCCCATTACTGGGTATATACCCAAAGGATTATAAATCATGCTGTTATAAAGACACACGCACACGTATGTTTACTGCGGCACTATTCACAATAGCAAAGACTTGGAACCAACCCAAATGTCCATTAATGATAGACTGGATTAAGAAATTGTGGCACATATACACCATGGAATATTATGCAGCCATAAAAAAGGATGAGTTCATGTCCTTTGTAGGGACATGGATGAAATTGGAAACCATCATTCTCAGCAAACTATCACAAGGACAAAAAACCAAACACTGCACATTCTCACTCATAGGTGGGAATTGAACAGTGAGAACACTTGGACACAGGAAGGGGAACATGACACACCGGGGAGTGTGTGGTGTGGGGGAAGGGGGTAGGGAATGCATTAGGAGATATAACTAATGTAAACAACGAGTTAATGGGTGCAGCACACCAACATGGCACATGTATACATATGTAACAAACCTGCATGTTGTGCACATGTACCCTAGAACATAAAGTATAATTAAAAAAAAAAAAAAAAAAAGAGCAGGGCACAGCCGGGCTCAGTGGCTCACACCTGTAATTCCAGCACTTTGGGAGGCCCAGGCAGGCGCATCACGAGGTCAGGAGATCGAGATCATCCTGGCTAACATGGTGAAACCCCATCTCTACTAAAAATTAAAAAAAAAAAATTAGCCAGGCGTGGTGGTGGACGCCTGTAGTTACAGCTACTCGGGAGACTGAGGCAGGAGAATGGCGTGAACCCGGGAGGCGGAGCTTGCAGTGAGCCGAGATTGTGCCACTGCACTCCAGCCTGGGCGACAGAGAGAGCCTCTGTCTAAAAAATAATAATAAATAAATAAATAAATAATAAAAAAATAAAATAAAATAAAATAAACAAGAGCAGGGCACTTGGACAGTGCCATCACAGAAGGCTTTAGACTCCTATTCTGAATTGCAGCCATTTGGAGCTTATTTCAGTTTGTCAAGATAATGTTTTGTCCAGTCCCTGGGCTTTTAAATATCCTATTCATTTTGCCAAGAAATGTTCTTTCTTCCTATCTGTAACATCCAGCCCTTGCCTAGCTAATTTTGACCTTATGGTTTGTGGTTAAATTTAAATTTCAACTCCTCTAAAAACACTTCCTGCACCTATCTGCTTCCCAAATTAGGTTAGATGCTCCATAGTTACTCAAAACATTCTGTGCTTAGCCTTATGGTGGTACTTATCTTGACGTATTTTCACTGTTATCCATACATAGGGGGAACAGTAGATAAGGGGGGACCTCATCACTATGCTCAGTCATGGCAAGATTTGGGAAGTTGTGGTTTTCCTTGTTCTCTCTGACAGCTTAAAATGCAGGTGTAGGCTGGTCTATATTGGGAAGCCCTATTCCTTTCACAGGACTTTGTGAATTGGAGATTTTTTTCCCCTTATCACAAACACCTAACTTACCTATTTGTTTGATTTTCTTTTTATTTATTTATATATTTATATCCAGCCTTGTTTCAAATTGTGGTACGAGCATCAGTACTTACCAGTGCCTGTCAAAGGAAATTGTGACATCAGCAAATTTAGAATTAACATTTCAATTTTAGAGTGGAAAAAGCCTTTATCAATCTTCTTTCCAGTATTTTTTTTTAAACTCTTATGGGCAATAGGGACATTTTTTTTTTGAGAATCTAATTAATTGTTCTCCTTAAAAAAAACACATTTCCCCCTTTATACACATAAAATTTGTGCACAATTTCTAAGACTTTACAGACCCCTGAAGCTGTTTATCTTTAAGATCCCCTGACAAATCTCAACGTTTAAGCATGAAAGGCAAGGAAATTTGGTTTTTAAAGTTTTTATCAAAAGAATCAAAGTTTTTATCAAAGGAATCAAAGTTTTTATCAAAAGAGTCAAAGTTTTTAAAAAAGGAAGAGACTTTTGGAGTGAAAATGTCATGCTGTCATTCTGGTTTAGGAAATGGACACCCAGCTTCCACCTGGGCAGTAAAACCAGTGAAGTGTACAATGCATAACCTTAGTCTATCCTCACACCCTTGAATGGGGAAAAAAAAATAGGGTTTCTGAGAAAGAAGAGAAAGGGTCCCTTTGATCCAACAGTTGAAGGAATGGGTAAGGTGATGTATGCTGAAACTGGGAGTCCAACCTACAGGACCTGCTGGGAGTTGGGCCAGGAAAGGTGAGTTGATTTGACTGCTGATTCAATTGCCATATCAAACCACCAAGATTCATTCAGGCATACTATAAAATAATGGAGAGTGAGTTTAAAATAGACTGAAATGTATAAGAACCTGACACACATTTACTAATGGAGATGATTTATGGTGTCACATTTCGTGATGTTTTGGTCCTTATAGCACCATTTGTATTAATATATTTAGCATAAGGTTAGAGAGCAGGTGCGTAACAAGAATCTCAAGTATTCTGAACCTTTGCATTTGTCTTTGGTTGGAATTTTTTAAGTGACTTTCATCTGAGAAGCATGAGGGAACAAAATGTGCTTTTTATTAAGATTTTTGGCAAATAATTGCGTTATTGGAACACGAACTTTTAAGATCGGCACTTTGTATCCAATTACTAGTGAATGAAATGGATAGTTTCTCTGACTTGTCTTTTCTGTTCTGCAGCAATTAAGATAATTCTCTGTAACTTTTCCAGTTAAAGTAAATGTATTGCTGGTGAACCTATGTCTGCAATTTGATGCTTCCTCTAAATGAAGAATACAGCAAACATGCCCATTAAAATTTTGCTTTTCCCACACTGTTTGTTTATGAAGAAGTGTTCTCCCAGACAGGAGAGGCCCTTTAAAAAACAAACAAACACAACAAACAAAAAACCCACTTTATCAGCACTTTTTTTTTTTTTTTTTCTGTCTGATTAGTGACAAAATGTCTGGACCAGACTTGAGACTCCTGGATTCCAGATCTGTCTCTGCTACTATCTTTCTGAATTTCCCCTGGAAAGTAACTTAACGCTCTTAGGCCTTCTTATTTGGGTTCAAGCCCTCTTCTGCCTCTCATTAGGGCAAGCAAGTTACTAGCTAAGTCTCGTTTCTGTTGATGGTAAGAGGGGAATAAATGCCTCCCTCAAAAGGCTCTGTGAGCTTAAATGAATCATTTATTAGAACACTTAGTACTGAGCTTGGCCCAAAGTAGACACTCAGCTAATTGTTATTATTATTATTGTCTCATAGAAACAGGTAATTGTTATTATTATTATTGTCTCATAGAAACAGGTATATGGTTAAGTAGTTGAATTAATCAGAGAAGAAATAAGTTGAAATATTACTCAATTTTCTCAATGTACCTTGTCTTGAAAAGTTGGCTTTGAACAAATTCCATGTCAAAATAACATTTTTCTTTTGATTTGATTTTTTTTAAATAAGACGTGTTCCCAAGAAAAGACTACTATGCTTAAAATTCAATATTTTCTTTGTGACAATTATTTTGTTATTTTATTTTGTAAATATGCAATGTCAAGTGTTTGCTCTAATTAAATTAAATTGGGAGAGTTGAGTTATAAGTATCAAAATTTTAGCACTGGACCAGAAAAAAGCTCTAATTAGTGTGGTAGGCAGAATCATGATCACCCTAAAAATGTCTGTGTCTTAATACTTGAAAACTGTGTTTATGTTTCGTTACATGGCAAAGGGAAATTAAGGATGCCTATGAAATTAGAATGCTAGCCAGCTGATCTTGAGATAAGGATTTTTTCCTAGATTATCCAGGCAGATCCAATAGAATCACAAGGGTCTTTAAAAGTAGAAAAAGTAACAGAAGTAGAGGTCAGAGTCATGTGATGTGAGAAAGATTAGACTCACTGTTGCTGATTTCGATGGAAGAAAAAAAAAACAGAGACCAAGGCACTCAGAATGCCTCTCAAATCTGGAAAAGGTAATACATGTTAGAATATATGTAGAGCAGTGGTTCTTAACCAGAGGAAATTTTTTCTTCAAAAAAGAAATTTGGGGCTGGGCACAGCGGCTCACACCTGTAATCCCAGCACTTTGGTAGGCCAAGGCCAGCGGATTGCTTGAGCTCAGAAGTTGGAGACTAGTTCAAGACCATGGGCAACATGGCGAAACCCCATCTCTACCAGAAAAAAAAAAAATAGCCAGGTGTGGTGTGGTGGCGCATGCCTGTAAGCCCAGCTACTTGGGGGACTGAGACAGGATTGCTCGAGCCCGGGAGGTGGGGATTGAGGTAAGCCAAGATCATACCACTGCACTCCAGCCTGGGTGACAGAGTGAGACCCTTTCTCAAAAAAAGAAAGAAAGAAAGAAAGAAAGAAAGAAAGAAAGAAAGAAAGAAAGAAAGAAAGAAAGAAAGAAAGAAAGAAAGAAAGAAAGAAAGAAAGAAAGAAAAAAGAGACAAAGAAATTTGGCAATATCTGAAGATATTTTTATTTTTGACTATTACACCTGGGGGCACTCTACCAACATGCATTTATATGTGTGTGTCTGTGTGTGTGTGTGTGTATATATATATACACACTATATATACACACACACACACTATATATATATACACACACTATATATATAGTATGTGTATACATGTGTGTATACATTGACTATATATGTACATATATGTACTATAAATACATATATATAAGCATATATGTACCAACGTATGTGTGTTTGTGTTTGTGTATATGTGTGTGTACACACACACACACACACACACACATATATATATATATGCTCTTTTAGCGCCTCCAGAAAGAAATACAGAGCAGTGGACACCTTGATTTTAGCCCCATGAGACTTGTATTGGAATACTGACCTACAAAGCTATAAGAAAATAAATTTGGGTTGTTTAAGCCACTAAGTTTGTGACAACCTGTTATATTAGTAATAGGAAATAAATACACTTAGCAATAATAATTATTTCTCATTTGTATAGTAATTGTTTGCATATGACTAATTTGTTTAAGTCACAAATAAACATTTGTTTAAAATACTGGGGGATATCTGGTAGTCTCTGCCTCAGTGGATGACAGTAGTACAAAGAACAGTGAGGAGGTTGTTGCATTAAACAAGGCACCAGAGGACAGTGACTTGAACCTGGGTGCTTACAGTGGAAATAATAAAAGTTGATCCAATTCTAGAGATATTTTGAAGTTAAAGACATCAGAATTTGCTGGCAAATGGAATGTGCAATGAGAAAGAGACAGATCAAATATAGCGGCAACATTTTTCACCTGAACATTAACTGACGGAGTGTGGATGAAACATATTTGGGACATAGGAAAGGATTAGAAGTTAAAACTTAGGCCGGGCAGGGTGCGTTGGCTCACACCTGTAATCCCAGCACTTCAGGAGGCCAAGGTAGGCAGATCACTCGAGGTCAGGAGTTCGAGACCAGCCTGGCCAACATGGTGAAACCCCATCTCTACTAAAAATATATAAATCAGCCAAATGTGGTGGCGTGTGCCTGTAATCCCAGCTATTAGGGAGGCTGAGGCAGGAAAATCACTTGGACCTGGGAGGCAGGGATTGCAGTAAGCTGAGATTGCACCATTGCACTCCAGCCTGGGTGACGGAGGAAGAGGAGGAGGAGAAGTTGTTGTTGTATAATTTTAGACATGTTAGATTTGAAAATGTCTAATAGGCCAATAGAAAATCTAAGTGGGTGTGTGGATGTACAAGTCTGGAGTTATCAGCAATGGCATAAACTTGGGAGTCTTTAACATGTCCATGGTGGTTAAAGTCATGAGAATGGATGAGATCACCTAGGGAGTGAGTATGTAGAGCAAAAAGATTTGAGAATTGAACCCTGAGGCATGACAGCTTTAAGAGGTCTGGGAGATAAGAGGAAACAGTCAAGGAGATTCAGAAAGATTTCCAGGAGGACAAAGAATAAACAGGACAGTGTGTGATGATTCCTGAAACCCAGTGAAGATAGCAATTCTTCTATATGCTGCTTCTAATTCAAGTGATTTGAATAATACTTGTAGACAATGGTATGATTACTCTACATCAGAGTTTCTCAATTAAGTCAAAATTGACATTTTGGGACCAGATAATTCTTTGCTGTGTTTATCCTGTGCATTATAGTATGCTTACCAACATCCTCGGTCATTACACACACATACATGTACACACACATACATATACACAGACATACATATACACATACAAACGTATACACACACAAATGTACATACACACACGTGTGTGTATATATATGTGTGTGGGTGAAATGTGTGTGTGTGTGCCTATATATATGCATGCTAGTAGAGTGCCCTAAATTGTGAAATAAAAAATATCTCTAGATACTGCCAATTTTTTTGAAGAAGCAATTTTCCCTGGTTCAGAAGCACTGCTCTACATATTTTCTAACATGCAGTATTCCTTTTATTTAGCCCCAGCCAAGTTGGAAGCCTAGCATTACTGGCAGAAGAAAAGCCTTAGAGTTAAGGCAGAGCTGGTCCCCTATCAAGAAGGTTGAGAATCATCAACAGAAAGTCAGCAGCCTTTACTCTAGACAGATGGGCAGACCATCTACTTCATGGCTGAACTGCCTTTCAATGTTGGCTTGATTAGCATCATTTTCTACCAGGGCATCTTTGAAGCACTTCTCTCAAAATCTAACTCTACCAACCTTCAGGGTAAAATAGAAATCCTCTGCCTTGAGTTTTTCAGGCAATTGTCTAGACTCAGAAGTGTCTAATTAACTCTGTTTTCTTGGTGTCTCTGTGCCTGGAGGACCAGAAACTGAAGCAATTCTGCTTACTAAAGAAATAATTTTCAAGTGAGGTAATTAGAGCTGCTGCTACAGTTCCTCCCATCTCAATGACCACTGGCGTGGAAAAAACTGAGGACACAGCAGCTCTAAGGAATCTTTGTCAACTTGCTTCTGCAAAGAATAAAATGTAAAATTAAAAGAGAAGCAGGTATCTAAATGAGGATGGAGTTACCACACAGGTAGAAATGAAAGAAAAATTCTCACAAACAGAAAATATTGAAGGCAATGATGCTGATGATGATGATGAAAATCATGATGATGACAATTGTGTCTTATGTACTAAACAACTACTTATTTAGTATCTCTCATGTATGTCATTCTTCTGTTCCTAATGCTTGGGAATATACTCGGAAATAAAATAGAAAAATGAATCCCACACTCATGATGCTTACATTCTAGTGGAAGAGACAAACAACAAACAAGGTAAATTATTTACAGAATAATTATGAAGAGAAAGTTCAGGCAGGCAGGGGAAAATGTTGAAGGAGTTGATATTTTAGTGGGGATTTATCAAAATAGGAGCAGAGAAATAAACTTCCAAGCATAGGGAATAGCAAATTCACATGGACATATGCCTGGCATGTTTGAGGAACAACAGGAAAAGTAGGTGGCTCAAGAAAAAATGGACAAGAGGCATAAAAATATGATATAAGGTCAGAGAGTTAATGAGAGGCCAGTTCATGAAAGGTTTATAGTTCACAGCACTTTATAGTAAGAACACTGGCTTTTATGCTGAATGAGATGAGAAGACACTGGAAGGTGTTCAGCAGACAAGGGCCCTGATCAGATTTATATTTCATCAAGGTGATTCTAACAGCTGTGTTGAGAATAGATCCCTAGGGGAAGGACATAAAGAAGGAAGCTATTCCAATAATCCAAGAGAGACATGGAAGTGGCTTGAATCAGGCTGGTGGTGAAAGTGGGGATGGTAAGAAGTGCTCAAATTCTGTACAGATTTGAAGGTAGAATAAACATGTTTTGTTGCTGGAAAACATGTAGGATTTTGGTAAAATAGAAGAGTCAAGGATGACTTCAAAGTTTCTGAAACACTGAGAAGATGGACTTGCCATTTACTAAATGGGGAAATTCTGCAATACATGCTTTTGAGAGAAGTTAAAATCAAACTTTGTTTTGGACATGTAAAGGAAGGGAAGATGTCAAGATAGCAGTAGAATATGGGATCAGAAGTTTAATGGAGAGGTCTGAGCTAGAGATAAGATTTGTGAATCATCAATATATAGATGATGAAAAATAACTCTTGATTTTTCTTTCTTCATGTTTAGACCTCTTTGGGTAGGCTCTAGCTGCACAGTGCCAGGCAGCTGCCACAATGGCTAATAACTCAGGCAAAATCCAGAATATAAAACATTATACAAGGCAAAAAAAGAAATTAGTCTCTCCAACAAATCAATGACATTAGAAAAGAGAGAAGTGGGAACTATACAATGAAAAAGACCTAAAATGACAATCAAACGCAATGTATAGGAGTTGTTTCTAACCTGAATTAAGCAAACGAACCACTAAAAAGGCATTTTTGAGACAATTAGAGGATTTTGAAAATGGACTGGATATTCAATGTTTTATGTAATTATTTCTATGTTGTTATACTTTATGCATACAAGTATATGTGTGTACATAGATAGGTTATGTATATATGGAAAGAGAGAGTATGTTTGATTAACTGAAAAATTTATGAATTAAATGATAAGATACCTGAGATTTGCTTTAAAATATACTTTAAGAAAAAAGTGAGAGATATGGCAATCAAGAATGGCAAAAGTTAATAATTGCAGAAGACAAATGATCAGTACATGGGAGCTCATTATACTATTTCTTCTACTTTAATGTACGTTTTAAAATTTATATAGTAATAAAAACTATGCTAAGGCCGGGCACGGTGGCTCACACCTGTAATCCCAGCAATTTGGGAGGCCAAGGCAGGTTGATCACCTGAGGTTAGGAGTTCGCGACCAGCCTGGCCAACATGGCGAAACCCTGTCTCTATTAAAAATACAAAATTAGCTGGGCATGGTGGAGCATACTTTTAATCCCAGCTACTCGGGAGGCTGAGACAGGAGAATCACTTGAACCTGGGAGGCAGAGATTGCAGTGAGCTGAGATGGCGCCACTGCACTCTAGCCTGGGCAACAAGAGAGAATCTCTGTCGCAAAACAAACAAACAAAAACTATGTTAATAATAAAACTTATCTATGTAATTTCCATTGAACAGAAATCTTAATTTGTTTTGTTCATAGATGTATTCCAAGCGACTAGTAAAAGAGTGTCAGCTGCAGTTACTTAATAAATATTTGTAAGCAGTAAAAGAAGTTAAAACACTCTTCAAGGGAATAAAAACTTGCTGAGTACCAGCACTTTGCATGTTACCTCACTTAATTTGCAGTATGGCCATGAGGAAGCCTATATGATTCTATTGCCTGGGTTCTTTCCACCACTATGTTTTATGCAATTCTGATATTATACTGCACTCACTTGCCAATCCAATGTGGAAAAAGCCTTTTTAGGAAAAATACTTAGTGGTCTGGCTGATTCTAAAGAAATCCTTTTTAACCACCATGCAGTATTACTTCCTACAAATTAATCATGTCTTCATTCTCCTTTATTGAACCTTTCCTGTGTGTCATACTATTACGTATGGAAGATGCACCTTTAGCTTTTACGGACACCCTCTAAAGTACATTGCAAGTTACCTAACAACATGAAAGTATCAAAACCAGCAAAAGGATTTGATTGCTATCTTTAGTTTGGTTGTGATATTCTAAAACAAACCATTGTTCAAAAAGATTTTCTGTTGATATCATAGTCTATTAAATTGATAATTGATCTACATGAGGCAGAGAAAAGAGACACTGAGACCAACCATCTCTTAAATGGTTAATCCTGCAGGCTAGAATGCCCATTCGACCACGAATTGAGGATCTCTTGGACTGGATATGTAATTTGTAGGACACAGTGTAAAATGTAAATGCTAGGGCTATTGTTCTAAAAGTAGAGGAAAAGGTGCCATTAACAGATACTAAAATATAAAACTTTTCCTTGTCTTCTGCAGTCTCTTTTTAAACTTCTCATGATGATTCTTATTTATTATTCAATGTCACTTTGAGCAAAGAAAATTTGAAATTTGAAATTATTAGCATGAATTTTACTGTTTTATCTTTATAGTTTGCAGGGCTAGTTTTAAGTGCAAACTTCAGAACATTTAACTTATATCCAAAATCATGGAAGCTACATTTTTGCATTTCCCTGAAGGATGACTTGAGCAAGCCAGAAGAGACAAACATAGGGGAGACTCAAGAAGGTTGGAAGGAGGAGGAGAAGATTCCCCAATCCAGACATGGAGTGGACCCAAAGGAGTGCTTCCTCAGGACAGGGATACTCATGGCTATCTACAGACCCCTACCAGTGCCAGCGTCCCTGTCCCTGAAGGCGGAACACATGCGGGCTTGATCAGGCCTGAAGACTGCTGGGATCCCCACCTGCCAGCTGCAGATTGACATATGGTATCCCAGTGGGGGCCAGGATTTAGAGAAATTGATTCAGGTGTGTCTGGGTCTTCTTCCCACAGACCCATTTCCTTCCCCAAAACATGAGGACAAAGTGACTCCTAAGGACATCACGCCCTCCATGCTAAGATTGCTTAGTACCTGAATCATAGAAACAAAAGGCATGGTCTTTATAAAAATGTGACTTCTGGCCCCTCATCAGTTGTGCCATGTTGCCCCAAGTTTGGGACAGCTGTTACCATGCCCTGCCCTGGACCACTGAGGTTCTGTTCACCCAGTGGGACCTTCCCTGTGAGAGCACCCAGGCCCCTGCCAGGGAGAAGAGTGGCAGTGGGGGTGTGTGTAGGGAGTGGAGAAGCAGGCAGCGAAGAGCCTGTTCTGGAGAAGCTGTAGGAGGAAACAGTGTGAGCTGAGGTACCACAGTCCCATTGTTCCACCAGACTTCACTTACAAGACACAGATTCAATGATAAAATCAGTAAGAATTTCAAAACTGTGATTGCAAAGTATTAAGCCCCAAGCCCAGGGCCCATGTAACTGCACAGGTCTCAGCCTATATAGCCAGTCGGGATTCCACATTCTAGTCCCTGTTCTGCCATTTCTGGTTCACTGGGCCTGGTCTTCATATGGCACTTTTAGAACTCAGTTTCCTCCTTATAACATGGAGATAGAGCCTATCATAGGCCCAGGCCCTATGCCCACAAGGGCCAACTGAATTTAATAGTCAAAAAGGTAATCTGACAGCATTGAAGGAGGATGTCAGCCAATTTTAAACTTCTAGCTATCTCTGAACCATGCAGTATCTAGAGTTTGTGAATTAATATTGAAAAAGAAATTCTGTAATTATAAATAACATATCATCTCAGGGTTTTAATGGTATTGGCAGTGTTGATTTGTTAAATATACATATTTTAAAAATGAGTTCTATGACTTTGTTTTCAAATTTTTCAAGTTTCTGTTATTCTCCAAGAGGATCTGAAAGGAGGAATTGCCACTTATCCCATGTACCTGGGGGAATATTAGAAGCTGACATTTACCGAGCACCTACTATGTGCTGGTTACAGCCATATGTCTCAGTTTCCTGTGCATTCCCTCACCCACTCCTCACACAGCTGTTTCAACTACTGTGGTTCTGTTCCTTCTTTATTTCCAAGTTAGGATTACCAGATTTAGCCTTATATAAAATATATTTACACTAAATAATATTATACATTTAAGCTAAGAAAACTATTTGATTTTTCAAATTTATCTGGGCATCCTGTATTTTATCTGGCTTCAAGTAGAGCATATGCTGTGCCTCTCACACAAAACTGAAGGCTTTCTTCTTTCTAGTGATTCATTCTTTCCATAAGAGTTTATTGCCCATTTATTTGTGCATTTATATAAAAATGTGTGGATATGTGTGCATAAGTGTGTGTATGCAGAGAGAACAAGAAGAACAAAGCAAGAAGAATAAAGCATAAGTGTGTGTATGTGGAGAGAACAAGAAGAATAAAAACACTTCAGAATGTTTTATATACCAGTCATGCTGCATAAGAGTGTCAGAACACTTTTCATTTTATTGTAATGGCTTCAATTTTTCCAAATAATTGCATAGTTTCTACCTCTAACATCAACTGTGTATCAAAAATATCACCAACATTGCTAAAAAGAAAAGTAATTTTCTCTATTGCCTCTACTAGCATCATTGTAAACTAAGGCAGTGTAACCAATGGAGCTAGCTGCTCAGCAACCTTCTCTGCAGTTAAATTATTTGTTCTTGGAGTCTCTATGGAGAAAGGACTATGTGAAAGATACAAGAGGGAATAAACCAATGAAGCAATTGTCTCTATGTCAGAAATGGACATTTGACACTTCATGGAGCTTACCATCTAATGAAGCTATTATATGGAAAGGGCTGTAGGAACACCGAGCTTCTCAAAGGAGTGAGGCCTGGGTCATTTCACTTATTAAACTAACCTAGTATGTTTTTTTTATAAAATGAAGACATCCCAAAATAGAGTTTCCAAAATTATGATAAAGTTTTAATTTTTACATTTAACAATTTAGCCATGAAAATTACAACTCAATGTAATCATACTATTCTGTGCTCAAAAATACGTGATTTATTTTTATAACATAATTTATTATAGATTCTGTGGTCATATAATGCAGCAAACACTCACCTTGGTATAGTATCTGAAATTCTCAACTGGAAGCCCACTGTGAACATTTGAAATAGAGTCCCATTCCCCTCAAGCACTTTATATTCCCTTGGGGCATGGCGAAGGTATTATCCAGCTCATCAGGGAATTTGTGGAAAATGATTGGAGAGTTCAAATGGAAGTGAGACAGCCTCCAGGTGAGCCTACTCATCCCCCCTCCCTCCTCTGCTTCGCTATTTCTGATGATTTCTGATTAATATCCTGAAACAGCATCCTATATTATGTTTGGCATAATGAACTTCCTACAACTATCTTTAAAAATAAACAGGTAATTTTTATTATTTCTTAAAACATTACATGTTTTTATGTCTGGCTAGCTTGATTAATAACAAAAGTAAAATAATTACCAGTAGTTATAAAGCTACTACTGTGTTCCAGGGTGCAATGTTATTTCTTTATAGCATTCCCCTGAATCTTAACAAAAACTCCATGAGGCCGGCAAATGAATGAATCTTAAGACATCAGAAGGTTTATGTCTACTCCCAGTGAGAGTTTGTCACTTTGATTTGTTTGATTAAATATATTTAGGCAAAAGAAGGAAACTCTTTGCTTTAGTCACTGAAAGCTTCGTTGAACTAAGCTACTGAAAGCAGGGTAAAAGTTAGGGTCAGACTCTCTTGCAGGATTCATGAGATGTCATGCTCACAAGAATGACATTGATTTGCTGTTCTTGTTGGCTTTGTTTGTTTTGTCTAATTTTTGTAAGCCTGGAAAAACTAGCTAATTATGTGCTTAGTAAGCCAATTCACTATCGATGTTGTGTCAAGCCTCAGGCTTCTTCAAAGGCTGGTATGCACACACGGTGCTTATTTAAGATCCTTATATAATTTGATATGCATTATGAAACAGAAAGTGCAAATGTAGGGTCATATTTTGCCTGGTTGAATACGTTTCCTCAGTGACTCATATCACAGATTTTCAGATCCTAGCATATGATGAGCCCTTCAAGATCAGTTGTCCTGAAATGACTAAAAATGAATGACTAAGTTATTTAAGGCAGTTTAACTACGGGCCCTCTGTAGACCACGACAAGCTACAGTATTCTTGGTTTCCTTAGAGATTTTTCCAAGGTTTCTCTAAGTCCCTGAAAAGCAGAGGTATCAGAAGAATTTATTACTAAATTCTCATAAGTATTCCTTTGTGCCAGGAGTTACAAATTGTTATTTGTATATGACCTACAGATATGTTTTTTGTTGTCATTTTTTGTCTTGCAAAATGATATATGTTTTAATAATTTAGCAGGATGTAAACATCAGGAGGTTTCATACACATATGTACATATGTATACATATACACACATACATATATGAATGAATAGATGCATTGATGGATGTGTGGATGGATAGGTGGATGGATTTTGATTTTGATTTTGGCTTCTTGTGAACAAATTTGAGGATGTAGCAAAAAAGTGTCTGCATTTCAGCATAGCAACAGTTAGCCAGAACTCAGGAGTGGGTTCCACTTCAGCCTGAGAGGGCTTTCTCCAACTCACGAGTCCTTACCCTCCCTCTTGTCCTTTGGTGCTGGGACAGATTATCTGCTGCCATGTATTATTGTATTCATATGCTTTGTTTGTCTTCTAAGAACCCCAATTGCTTGCACAATTGTGGTACTGACATTTATTCAATATTATTTAAGTACTTACTACATGCCAGCTATGGAGAATGATGAAAAAACCCCCTTTTTCCCCACTTAAAGCTCTCAAGCTTATGTGAGAGATACAGATATCAAAATTTATTCTGTTACAGCTCATGATATGCGCTTTCTTTAAAGCTTATTTAAAGAGCATTTTTCTGAATACGAGGGGAGAACTGGGGGAGACCTCACAGAGGAGGTTATTTAAATATGGTTTTGTAGAAGAAGTAAGACTTGTCAGATCAAGAAAGTGAGATAAAACATTTTGTGTATACAAAGTGTCAGAGAGACTGGAAATAGACTTAGGACCAGCAATTATTGGACTTTCATAGGAGGCTGAAGGGAAGATTGAGCAATAAGATAATGAGGCTGGACCTTGAATGCTATGGTTAGTAATTTTTTAATTGCTATCAACGGTTATCAGGAGAATTAATAACTGAAATCTACTGTGCTTCAATTTGCATCAATTTCTATTTCTTATTACAGTTTCCAAAGATATTTTCTCCCTTAAAAGTACTACTTATACAGGTGTTCATTTAGATAAAACTTCTCTTCTTCAAGATAAAGAACACTAATCTTATTTAAGACTTTCTTTTAGAATCTATTTTCTTTCTCCTAAATATCTTTTGTTCATCAATGGTCCCGTGTATCTAAAAGACCAATTGGTCTTTTCATGTAGTACAATACTGATTGCTTAGACTTTGGAGTCATTAGTAGCCCTTGGTCCCAGCGTGTTTGGGAAAATTAGCCTCAATTTCCTCCTTTAAAATGGGCTTAATAAAATTTTCCCTACAAGGTCGTGAAGAATTAAATACAAGTGCTTAGCCTAGTGCCTAGAACTCATTGAAAATTAGTGTTTACTGTTTGAGAATTTTAGCAGTAGAAATCCAATCTTAGTAATAATATTCAAGACTCCAGGCCGGGCGTGGTGGCTCATGCCGGTAATCCCAGCACTTTGGGAGGCAGAGGCAGACAGATCACGAGATCAGGAGATGGAGACCATCCTGGCTAACACGGTGAAACCCCGTCTCTACTAAAAATACAAAAAATTAGCCGGGCGTGGTGGCAGGCGCCTGCAGTCCCAACTACTCAGGAGGCTGAGGCAGGAGAATGGCATGAACCCGGGAGGTGAAGCTTGCAGTGAGCAGAGACTGCACCACTGCACTCCAGCCTGGGCAACAGAGCGAGACTCTGTCTCAAAAAAAAAAAAAAAAAGAAAAAAAGAAAAAAAAGAAAAAGACTTCAGATGACGATAACCACATTAACTTCAGAATATTTTTCAACTTCTAAATTACTTGTCTTTTTTTAACCCTGTCTACTAATTGTGTTCTGCATAACCTCCTAGTTTGGAATTTTCTTAATTTTTTTCTCAAAATATATTTAACAGACTCACTATTCATGTATTTCCTCTTATTTCTTTTAAAACATAATAAGGCATTCAGAATATGTGAAGAATTTGTATAAATCAATTGACAAGACAGACAATGCACATAACACAAATGGCCAAAGAATTTATTAAAATGTGGTCAACTTCGTCAGTTATCAGATAAATATAAATTAAAATCACAGTTTAACACATTACTACACACACACACACACACACACACACACCAGAATAACTAAAATTCAATAGACAAAACACACCAAATATTGGTGAAGATGTGCAGCATTCAGAAATTTCATATGCTTCCAGTAGGAGTGTAAATTGGTATAACAATCTTAGAAAACTATTTAGCTTACAAAAGGACCTGAATATACCACCATAGAAGTACTGTTTATAACACAGAACACGGGGAAAGCCACTTAAGTGTCTGTCAACATGAAATGGATAGATAACTGTCGACATATATACCCAGCGGAGCAACGAGTTATTATACAACATTGGTTATAAATAACAAATATAAACAAACTATGGGGAGAAGAAGTTAGAGTAGGAATTCCAGAATGGTAAAGTAAGGAAATTGAGGAACACTATTCTAGCAAATCAAAAATTTTTTAATTTAACTTTTAAGTCCAGTGATGAATGTTCAGGTTTGTTGTATAGGTAAACTTATGTCATGGGGGTTTGTTGTACAGATTATTTTGTCACCCAGGTATTAAGCTTAATACCAATTAGTTATTTTTCCTGATCCTCTTCCTCCTCCCACCCTCCACCCTCCAATAGGCTACAGTGTGTGTTGTTCCCCTCTGTGTGTTCATGTATTCTCATCATTTCGCTCCCACTTATAAGTGAGAACATCCAGTATTTGGTTTTCTGTTCCTGAGTTAGTTTGCTAAGGATAATGGCCTCCAGCTCCATCCATGTTCCTGCAAAGAATGTGATCCCATTCCTTTTAATGTCTGCATATTATTCTATGGTGTATATGTACCATATTTTCTTTATCCAGTCTATCACTGATGGCCACTTAGGTTGATTCCATGTTTTCGCTATCGTGAATAGTGCTGCAATGAACATATGAGTACCTGTGCCTTTATCACAGAATGATTTATATTCTTTTGGGTATATATTCAGTAGTGGGATTCCTTAGTTAAATGATATTTCTGTTTTTAGGCTTTTGAGGAATTTCCACTGTCTTTCACAATCGTAGAACTAATTTATGTTCCTACCAACAGCATATAAGCGTTCATTTTTCTCCACAACCTCACCAGCATCTGTTATTTTTTGACTGTTTAATAATAGCCATTCTGATTGGTGTGAGATAATATCTCATAGTGGTTTTGATTTGCATTTCCCTAATAATCAGCAATGTTGAGCTTTTTTCATATGATTATTGGCCACATATTTGTCTTCTTTTGGAAAGTGTCTGTTCATGTCTTTGCCCACTTTCTAATGGGGTTATTTTTTTTTTTCTTGTAAATTTGTGTAAGTTCCTTCTAGATGCCGGATGTTAGACCATTGTCAGTTGCACAGTTTGCAAAAATTTTCTCCCATTCTGTAGGTTGTCTGCTCACTCTGTTGATAGTTTCCTTTGTTGTGCAGAAGCTCTTTAGTTTAAGTAGATCCTATTTGTCAATTTTTGCTTTCATTAAAATAGTTTTTGGTGATTTTGTCATAAAATCTTTGCCCATTCCTGTGTCCAGAATGGTATTGCCTATGTTGTCTTCCAGGTTTTTTATAGTTTTGGGTTTTACATTTAAATATTTAATCCATATTGAGCTATTTTTTGTATATGGTGTAAGGAAGGGGTCCAATTTCAATTTTCTGAATATGGCTAGCCATTTATCCCAGCACAATTTATTGAATAGGGAATCCTTTCACCATTGCTTGTTTTGGTCAGGTTTGTCAAAGATCACATAGCTGTAGGTGCGCAGCCTTGTTTCTAGGTTCTCTACTCTGTTCCATTGGTCTATGTGCCTGTTTTCATACCAGTACCATGCTGTTTTGGTTACTATAGCCTGGTAGTATAGTTTGAAGTTGGGGTTAGCATGATGCCTCTAGCTTTGTTCTTTTTGCTTAGGATTGCCTTATCTATTTGGGCTCTTTTTTCATTCTATAATATATGAATTTTAAAATAGCTTCTTCTTTTTTTTTTTTATTATACTTTAAGTTTTAGGGTACATGTGCACATTGTGCAGGTTAGTTACATATGTATACATGTGCCATGCTGGTGCGCTGCACCCACTAACTCGTCATCTAGCATTAGGTATATCTCCCAATGCTATCCCTCCCCCCTCCCCCCACCCCACCACAGTCCCCAGAGTGTGATATTCCCCTTCCTGTGTCCATGTGATCTCATTGTTCAATTCCCACCTATGAGTGAGAATATGCTTCTTCTAGTTTTGTAAAGAATGTCACAAATCAACAATTTAACAGGTAAAAATTATTTTTAAAAAATCATGTAAAGTCTCAAGAAAATATGCTAAGGGCATATAAGGGCAAATGAACGAAAAAAGTCATTCAAGAAAATCTACTAAATCTTAGAACTGTAAGAGTCTATGGCATTTGAGCTTTTGGCATTTGGCATTCTTTTTTCCTCTCCCAGCTTGTGTTATGGAGGCTCTACCTCTGGTGCCCTATTCCAGCAAGTGAGGCCAAGAAAACCTGGGATCATTTTCCTCCTAGCTGCTAGTCTGAGGCTATGGTTTTATCCTGGGAGGGGAAGGAAGACTGCCCTGCCTTCCCTGCCCTCACTCAGTTCTGTGTTGCAGAAGCTTTGTTTCAGGCTGGCATGGCAGAGGTGATCAGGTCTACCTTCCTCCACCCAGTCCTCACTTGTGGACTAGTAGGACAGAAGCTCTATTCTAGCATAGCAGGCCTCATTACTCATGAGGCCCTGATTGCCTCTGCCCCAACTTGCTAGGGTGGAGGTTCCATGACAGGAGGGACAAGCTGAGAAGTCCAGGGCCTGTCATTTCCACAGTGTCCACTTCTAGAGCAGGGGGTGTCACTTCAGGAAAGCAAATCTCTGCCTTCAGTTCTGGTGCAGTGGTACAGGATTTCTGCCCAGGGGAAAGGTCAAGCCATAAGGAAGAAGAGCAGCTCTACCTGAGGGTAGTGACTTTACTTGGATAGAGTGTTGAGAACTCCATGACCAAATGTGTCGCCAAAAACTACGTACTCTTGGTGGAAAATAAAAAGGATGTTGGCGCCACGGTACAAGCAAAACAGCAGAGCACACAGAAGTTTAACATACAGAATCAAGGAAAGACAAAACTAAGAGCTCTGCTGGGATGACGTCAACATTAGGAGTCAGGGAGACTGTCTTGGAATGCACTGGGCTACACTCACACAGGAGCAGTCAGAGTAGGATATGGGCAGAATTGAAAGCATTCCTCAAGCTGCACATAGTTACATCTTAACAGGGTGGAAGCCTCACTGGTCAGCAGAGGCTCAACCCTCTGACCAAACTGTGACTGAACAACAAGTACTTTGACCCAAGGGGCAACTCTTGGAAAGCCAGGCTTAAAAACAAATTACACGCCTCTGTGGGAGAATGGAAGACTGTGTTCATGTCCAAGACTGAACCCTCCCAAGAAAGAGCACAGAGATAATCACCAAATCACTATTCCTTTGCTGAACTCTAGACAAAATGCAAACCGCACGAACTGTGATAGCAGCTTCCAAGCCACATAGACCTTAAACAGTAAAGAGTAAACATCTAACTTATTTGAACATAAGTGGCTTAAACCAACACTGGGGCAACCCCTAGGAAACAAGACTAAGAGAAACAGGAAGAAAAAGACTAAGCATGTACACTCTGTGTGTGGGGAGGGCAGTGGGGAGTAGAATTCCCATAATTAGTTCAGTCAAATCACTAAACACAGAAGCAAATGACCAAGCAAAGCATAAACTCTGGAGTGGAGAGAGCAGATCAGGCTCCCCAAATTGCTGCAATATTATCTACAATGTCTAGTTTTCAAAATATAAAAATGAAGTAGGAAAAATGATGTACCAAAGAAGTAGGAAGGTGTGATCAATGCACAAGAAAAAAGCAGGAAATAAAAATTGACTGTAGGGATCTAGGTGACACATTTAACAGAAAAAAGATTTCAAAGTAGCTATTATAAATATATTCAAATGATTAAAGGAAACCATCCTAAAGAATCAAGGAAGCTATAATGACAATTTCTTGTCAATAGAGATTATTAATAAAGATATAAGAATTATAAAAACATAGAAAATCTGGAATTAACAAGTAAAATAAGTAAAATGAAACATTCATAATTTTCCCAGAAAAAATATTGGGTCTGTGATTCAATTTGTTTTATTTCATTTATTGATTTATTAAATTCTTTTTTTGATTAATTTATTTAACAAAACAGTACTTATTTAACACAAGGAAGAGGTGGCAGATATTATGGGAGTTTATAACAGAAGACCTGCCTTTGTTTGGGAGCTCCAGGTAAACTTATCTGCAAAAGTGGAATTCGAGATGAAGACCAGGAAATCTTCCAGGTTAAGAGAGGGGGAAAAGCATTCCAAGCAGAAAGAAGAAGTTTCATGAGGTCCCTGATGCAGGAAAGAAGTTGACATCTTATAAAAACAAAAATACAAAGTCACCTAAAGATTGAATGGGAGACTGTTTCAAGATAGAACTAGATATATAGTCTCAAAAATGATATCCAGACATTTACAGGGAGTAGTTTTATCAAGAAAGTCTTTAAACAATGATTTCTGGCCCCAATTTTGTTTTATTTCTAGAATATATTATCCTCACTGTAACCAGAATAATCTTCATAAAACAAAAATCTAATTATACGATGCTTTCACTTACACCTCTTAATAGCTCCCCACTGCTGGCCCTTGACTACTTCTCCACAATCATTCCTTTTCTCACTTCCTCCCCCACTAGCTGCCCTCCAGAACTATCTGCCATCTTCAAACATACTTGCCCTCCCTCATGCCTCTAGGTCTCTGCACATGCTGTTCCCATTGCCCAGAATTCTCCCTACAATGCCCGGAATTCTCCCTACAATGCTGTTTTTCTCTCACATTTCAACCTAAATGATACCTCTTCTATGCAGGCTTCTTTGAATTTTTGTCTGTGTTAGGCATCCCTCCTCATTGATCCCAAAGCCCTTCATAAGTGATAACACAATTGTCTTTTATGTGGCTCTTTACCTCAACATTATAAACTCTCTGGGAACAGGTATCTGTCTGTCATATTCATCATAGTGCCTCAGCACTTAGAATGGTGTTTAGCACATATGAATGCCCAATATGATTTCATTTAATTAATGGATCACTGTGGCTAAGTAGTATTGATCTTGTCTAGAAGATACTGAAACTGAATGAATCAATTTTTGACCAGATTTTTCTAAGTAAAAGGAGGATGAAAATAAAACAAGTTGATGTCATGAATATACCTATGGTAGGCTGAGTAATGCCTGTCATCCCCCAGATGCCCATATCCTAATTCCCAGAACTTATGAATTTGTTACCTTGCATGGCAAAATGGACTTTGCAGATGTGATTAAATTAAGGATCTTCACGTGACGAGATTATCCCAGATTAGCTGAGAGAGAACAGCAGGAGCATCAAAGTCAAAGAAGACAATGTAATGGCAGAAGGAGAGTCAGGCTTTGAAGAGGGAGGATGGGGTCAGGCACTAAGCCCAACAGGTAGCAGCCTCTAGAAACTGAAATGGGCAAGGCAATGATTCTCACCTACAGCCTCCAGACGTGATGAAGTCCCACTGACAACTGATTTTGGAATTCTAACCTCCAGATTTATAAGATCATAAGACATTTTTGTTGTTTTAAACCACCATCATTGTAGGAATTTGTTACAGTAGCAATAGGAAATGACACAATATACTTCAGCCTTTCCTCATACAAAAGGTTTTCAGGAACAGGACAGAGTGGGTGTGAATAAATGTAATTCCTATTTGTGTTCCCATGTCATCTATTTAGAACTGACTCACCTGGCTTATTGGAAGATGTATCCTTTAAATAAACAACAAAATTTATTGTATCAGAAAATGTCTTTCTGATATTCTGATATTCACATGCAACTGGAATAATTACATGATATTTAATATGCAGATTTTGTGCACTATAATTTTTACTTCTTACACTGTCAGTGTTATGGGTTAAACACTATTACCTAATTCATATCTCAAGTGTATCAAAGAGAATAGATAGTAATAATAACATTGGAATTGATGGATATATATTTTTTCACTTTGGATGTAGAAACAGTTTTGAAAAATAAATTTGAATTGGGTTTATTCTAGAGGATTTGGGAGAAGGATTGAAGCAGATAGTAGCATCATCAGAATTTCTTACAAATTGTACTTGAGGTCAAAGTAGTTTTGTTGTAAATTAACGAAATAGTTTAATGAGTTCAACTGATACCAGAATTACACCAAATAGAAAATAAGAAATATAAATTAGTCACTGCCATATGTTTCAAATTTGGTAATATTTTAATTATGTGGTTGGCAGCAACATTTTACCATTTGTAAAAAAAAAAAAAAAAAAAAGAAAAGAAAAGAAAGAAAAAATAAAACCTTGATAATCAATTCTGTTTGCCTTTATTTGTCTAGCAATGCACAGTCCCGGCATCAATATATGGGTTTTTTCTGGCAGACAAACAATTGTCTCTTTTAGATCCATAAGGCATTTTTAAAGTTAACATGTAGTATGCCTGGTTGTTTTAATAAAGTACATTAGATAACCATCAGAATTTTCTAATAGCTGCCACACTTTTCTTGCTATCAATTATTCACCAAATGTGTCACGAAATCGCATGTTACATTTTATTATAAAAAATCCTGATGTGTTTTGTTAAAAACCAAAATGTGCTATGCTTTACCCAAAAGAAATCTGGTACTGTTTTCCATAATAATTTTATTTGGATTTTTGCTCTCTACCTTTTATATTTCATCATAGGTTTTACTGGGCTTAATTATAAATCCATATGTATTTGTTCAGAAGTGCTGGTTTGATATTTTTCTAGTGAGTAAAATTTGCAAGAGACTAACCCATTGTATGAGATGATTAATTTAATTCCAGATTTATGTGCACTTTTGATGAATGATTTCCCATAGTAAAATAACTTGAATAGTGTATTAGGCACCATTATTCATTTTAATACGTTTACACAAAGTGAATATCACTATTATTATAGATCAGCTGTGAAGATATGGCTTTCATTCCACGCTCATCAATTTTGTAGTCGGAAAGGCTTTCTTCTATGAACTTGGAGAAAGAGAAAATTATTCTGAGACTATTAAACCTCAAGACTGGTTTTACCTACTATCTAGGAGGAAAAAAACAACTGATCCATAATACACACAAACCTTTTGCTCTGTCAGTATTAGGTACCTATTTGTTTAGACTACTATTGTTGATTGCCATCAAAAGCTGTAGTGAGGTGTCTGTCTCCTTGATTGCCATCAAAAGCTGTAGTGAGAAGTGTCCCTATCCTCTACGTTACACCCCAAATTAGGAATAAAGTGACTTTTTCTATCTTAAAGTCATAAAAGTATCATAGTAGGATTGTAATCCATTTGTTGGAACAAATTAGCAGAATAATTCTAAAAGCTTGAATACAATTTTTTTGTAAAATTTCAAATTCAGGACTAGAATGTGTTTCGTAAAAAAATTAATGAAATGCATGTATCATCTGTTTGGAAAAAATAAATGAGAACAAAAAAAAATGAGTAGACAACCATGAGAGAACATAGAGAAATCCTTCATCAGGACGCCAATAGGTCCTGTCTAAAAAAAATTAGTTTACGGCAGGTAACTTTGCATATATTGTTCTTCTGTGAAGGTTGTTCTTGTACTAATTGTATAAAGTGCAATAAGGTATTTTAAACATTAGGTTCTTCTGAGTCCATCCTTGGCTTCCCCTGTGCTGTTAAATCTAACTCAAGCATTCTGGTCCACTTGACAGCCAGAGAGGTGGGGTTTTGAAAATCATATAACCTACTCTGTCATCTCCCACCCAATTTTTTACCTGAACCTGTTCACAGATTCAGAATTCCTTGAATAGAATGTAGGCCGAGTTTCTTTGAGGAAAGACTCAATATCCCAAGTCTTTCACCCACCTTTTCTTAAAGAAACCCAAGACCATTTTCCAAGGGAAAAAGAAACATCCCAATATTTGAAGGATCATTAGATATGGACTCTGAGACTATAGTAATCCTGAGAAATTAAAACTCCATTATAATTCCCCAGGAAAAATGTGGATTTTTTTAAGCTTAGTAATAAAAGGGTTTCTTAAGTCCATCTTACAGAAAACCAATGGATATAAGAACTCATCCAGGGTCATTTCTCAGTTCCTGAATGCATAGTAGAATCAGACATATGTGAATGTTGGATGAATCCCTACTTTCACTTCCTAACTTATGGGATGAGGGCTACTATGGTAGGAAGGACCAACTGAAGTCATTAGAACTGCTCCCCCAGTCCCCTGACCAAAGACATGCACACATATAATCACAATACAGTAAGCCAAAAGCAATACCATATTCCTAGAGAAGTTTTAAAGATTATCAGTTGTATCAAAGACTGAAATATAGAGTAGTGATGCCTACATCTCATTTAATTTACTTCTATTGCCTATGTTGTAGACAGACCTGTCTTGGGGAATTAGACTGGATTCTCAAATATTTAATCACATAGTAACCTCAATTTTAGCTGCTGTTCTAAGCATTGTCTCTTTATTTGAGCAAATCAACATAAATCCTAGCATTCAACTTGCAGCTATTAATCTGTCAAATTCTTTTCCTTTATACCAATTAGCAAAATCCACCAGACACAATTTTTCTCATCCTTAACAGGGCAAGCAGTTTACTTTACTATCTTACCTCAGGTTTACCAACTTTCTTTCAAAATTTGGCATGCAGAAACCTTGAGCACCCTGCCATCTCACATGGCATCCTATTGGTCTACACGAGGATGATCAGATCTACTAATCAAGAATGATATGGTGAAATTAATGTGCACCAGAAGGTAGGAGATGAAAATAAGAAAAAAATACAGTACCTGTGACCTCACTGAGGTTCTTAGGGGTCTACTGGTCTATGACATATCTCTGCAGTTCCTCTACTCTGAAGGACAAGTTGCTGCACCTATTATTTTCTTTAATATGAAAAAAAACATAATGCTTGTAAGACCTCTTCAGATTCTGAATAACTGGACACCACATGTGAATGTATTTCTTCAGCCCATTTCTGAAATGATCTGTAAAGTTGACTCTTTTGAGTGAAATCCAGAGCAAGAAAAAATGTCTGTAATTGTTCCAGGCTGGATTTTAAGGTGTTCTATTTGGGCCTGTGACCAGACTTACATTACTCATGGGTCTATTACTTAACAGAGTGCTGTATGGAACTTCTGATAAATTCTGATAGGAGATCTCCAAAGGTTGGGGGGAAACCTCACGAAACTATTCTATTGAGAAATAGCTTCTGTTGGCACTGGTAGAAACTATATGCTTGATTGTGGGACAATATTTGTAACTGACCCTGGAACCTGAGCTTCCAATCATTAACTGGGTGTTCACTGGTCATAAATTGGAGCATGGAGAGAAGTCCTCTATTTTTAATTTAAAATGGTAAGTATGAGGATAGGCTCAAGTATGTTCTTATGGTGCAAGTAAGTTAGATGAATATTGACTCTGACATGCATGACACTTGTGACTAATGCATTGCACTTCTCCATCAACCCACACCCGTGGCCTAATAGAGATTTTTCGTATGACCAGATTACTGAAGGAGAAAAAAAATTGGAGCCTCATTACTGAGTATATTATGTGATATGCTGGCACCGGCTAGAAACAGATGGCTGTAACATTAAAACCTCACTCAGGGTGGCCTTAAAAAACAGTTTGGAAAGGAAGCATTCCCAGGGAGCAGAATGTGGAGCAGTGATCCTGTTGGCCATTTTTTCTGGAAAGAAAGATGATCAGAAATATAGTCTAAAATGACACATGGCCAGTGAACAACAGTTTGATAATATGGCAGACACTTGGGAGTAACAAAAATGGAGACGTTTTTGTGGATAGACCTCTTAGAAATGGGCACGGACTGTGAGAATATTTGCATCTCATGTGCTCCAAGACCATCTCCTTTATAGAAGAATCTCAAAAATCAAATGCGCAAGATAACCCACTCTATGCATGTCATACACACCTTTTTCCCAAATGCCTAGTGTTTGATAAAAGGGTTTTTATAATAAGGTGTTTAGGACTTTTGTTACAGAGATATTGGCTAGGCATTCCCTCATGAAGCCTGATCTGGCTACCACTAGTACTGAGGGTCTAACTTGCTGATGACAGAGACCAATACCGGCAAATCATTTCTCTAGCATCAGGTTGCTCCTCTAAGCCCCCTTTCATCATAATTTATTTTAACTGAAATAAACATGTAGGACATGAATTTTTCCCAATACCACCATCTATGGATTTATTAATGCTTTATGCACCATCCTGATCTCATACACTTCATTGCCCTGACACAGGAACTCATTTTAGAAGTCAGGTAATGAGCTTTCTCTTTTGCTATTTACTTCTCTATGTTCCCCATCATCCAGAAGCAACAGACTGAAGAAAATGTGGAAAAGCTACTAAAGATCCAGTTTTAGTGCCAGCTGGGTGACAACACTTAGGATTTTTGGAAAGCTAACCCTATAAATTGTGGCATATGCTTTGAACCACTGACCAATGTCTGGTGTATTTTCTCCTATAACTATGGGTGAAAGAAAGAGTAACTGTTTTCACTATTCCATCTAATGGTAGATTCACACAACTTTTGCGTCTTTTTCTTGCATGTTTCTACACCTTTGGGCTCTGTGAGGTCTTGATTCTCAAGGCAAACAAACAGACAAACAAACAAAATCTATTTCCACAAGGGAATACAGAATGGATACAGAAGTTGAGAATATCACCTGGTCATTTTGGGTTCCCTATGCCACTAAATCAATAGGAAAAGAAGAGGATGCAATGAAAAATCCCAACTAAGAAGGGAAAACAGATTGTTTCAACCTAAGGGGTAAGTCTGGATATGTTTGGAACCAAAAGGATTATCAAGGTCTACTTTCATGTACAGAGGTAAATGTTAAGAGAAGATCACTGCAACCCACCAGAGAAGTGACTTCTAAGGAGTGAGACTCGAGGAATGAAAATTTGGGTCATCCTTTATAAAAACAATCATTATCATCTGAGGTGTTGTCTCTGAGCCAAGATAACATAAAATGGGAATTAAGAAAACTAAGGTATCATTGATAGTCATTTCTGTTTTCTTGATTGTTCTCTTATTGTTAAAATGATCCCTTTTGCTTTTCTTTTTGACCTCAAATTTCATAACATAGGGTACTTCCAGACATGTTCGAACGTGAAATAGTGCCATATATACTTGTTTTTGAGTTCTTCACCAGCTAAGCATGTGAACTGTGTGAAATGAGAACAACAGTAGTACTACAAGGTATCTATGAACTCTGATCCTGTTTTCCTACTTGTAAAATGAGACTTTTAGATTATGTTGAATTTCTTTTCCAGCTGTAAGTTTCCATAATATTTGGAGTATAGAAGGGGAATATCCGGTATAGAAAAGATCAGTATAGAAAAGCATTCACTTTCACTTTTCATTAAATCCCTTTGATTTGATTTTTTCCTTAGTTCTTGGGTGAACTTTTGGCTTCCTACTAAGTTAGAATTTTCACAGAGCTAGGATGCCAGCCAACTTGCTTAAATTCTTACTGGGATAAAACTGTATGGTTGACCCGTGGGGCTGACATAAAGTGAATGAAATTCAACACCTGTGTTCTAATCCAACAATGTTCCTGACAAAGAAAGGTAAAGATTAAAACCAAGTAAATGAAGTTAAAGCAACTGTCTTTCATTTTTGCAACTCTATTAGCAACCAATGTTGTAGGTTTCATGGCTTGGAACTTTTAAAATGGATTTTATTAACTGTAGGTGAGCATTTGAGTGTGAATAGAATTAGGCAGAATTGCATGAAGCAAAAGTAAAAATTGAATACTTTTACTTAAACCAGAGCCTGGAGCTCCATAAATACTTGTTAATTACTTTGTTCCTTGACATGAGATTTGGTATGTGAAATCATGATGTGAAAGGAGGTTATGAGCTTTGGACAGAAGCGTATTTGAAACGGGTATTTCTGTTTTTCTTTAACTGTATTACTGTGAAACTGTTACAGCTCCCTAATACCCAGTTTTTCTATCTTTAAATGATTTCTACTCTGGAGTCCGAAGGTTAGAGGAGATATGGCCTATAAGTGATTACCATAGTGCCTGCCATAAGTCCATTTTTTTTTTAAATCTACCCTACAGGGATTTCAAAGTGGGTACAGAGATAGAGGAATTAAAGTTGATTTGAGTTAGGAGAGAGTTAGACCTGAATCTAAAGTTGTAAACGTTTTGTTACCACAAACCAAGAGGGTGGAAGTGCAAAATTAGGCTAATGATAAGGCAAGCGTCACCCCTCATGGAAAAAAAGCCAGATTTTATAGCACCCAGAATCTCAAGTAGACCTCAATTACCAAGAAATTGTATGATCATCTGTAAGTCATCATAGAAAACAGAGGACATTTTGGTTGTAATTTCAGGTTTTGTTCAGATGTTTGTCATCATGTACTAATCAAACACACTATAACCCTACTGAGAAATGAATATGTTCCTGGCTAGAGCAATAATCAGTAAAGAAATTAAGTCAGGCTTTCTCCTTTTTTTCCTCTCTTGATCACAAGGCAAGGCCTGGAGATCTAAAGTCCTGCCAGTTAATTGGGTGTCAGCTAAGCACTGAGTTTGGAAATAACATTATTTTACAAATATTTATAGAATTATTTTTATTCTCTGATGTCCTAGGGATTTTCTCAGGAATTAGCTGAGCTCAGCCAATTACCTTCACCTCGTTTTATGTCTCCAAGATTCGATGGAGGCGGCAGGACTTGATGTTCAACTACTGACTTCATTCTCAATAAGATGTAATTATTATGGTTACACTCTTAACTTAGAGCTTCTGATTATTCATATCAGTTGAAGTTTCCTTTTGCTCCCATGTTGTATAAAGCAGTTTCTAAGTAGCTTAATAGCCCGAATAAAAAGGAGGAGTATAATCTAATTTAAATTTATCTTTGGCATCTTTGACCACTTAGTATCATCATTTACACTTCAACAATATAAATTATCAATTCCAGACTATTCTCTTCTCTCCTTTTTCTATATTCATTTTAATTTAATTATATGTTGTTTTCCAGATTGACTTTCTCCATTTGTCTCAAATTTGTTAAATCTGGAACTTAAAAAAGAAAGCTGCAGATCTTACCAAGGTTATAAATGTTATAAATAGAATTACTCTATTACGTGTTAGTTATACATATCTTATACTTCATGAGAGATATACAACTATGATGCAAATACCTCCCATTAGGTCTCACCTCTAACACTGGGGATCAAATTTCAGCCTGAGATTTGGAGGGGATAAACATCCAAACTATAGCAAGCACAGGGTACCATCCTCTAGTTAAATAACATTCTTATACATCTCAACAATGCTTAAGTTCTTTCACTCTATGCTTATGTGCACATGACCATCACTATGGGCAACATCCTGATACACCATAATCACTGAATCTGAGGACCCTAATTATAGAATCAGAGAAATCAAAGGTTGAAGGGAAAAAAATAAAACAATGCTTCATTTTTGCAAAAAAAAAAAAAAGAGTCTAGTTTATTATTCAACTGAACAATTCTGGGAGGTAAGTTGGTTTCACTCTCTTTCCTGTATTCCTAGAATTCACACAGGAAGATAGACAAAGAACTAGTATTAAACTATAAGTGTCCTAAGCTACTGTTCTGTCATTTGAGCCAGGAGACTTCCCAGGCAACTCCTTCTGTATTCCTAAAGCACCAGTTAGCTCGTGTGCAGTAAGTGGGGAAGGATTTCATGCCTCATTTGCTTCTGTGGCAGCACCATGGGAACTAGAGAATAAAATACATGTCAATTCAACAGCTGCTTTACAAGAATCTGGGAAACTATTCAGATGTAATCATGGGGACTTCAAACAGTCAATTTATTCAACATATTTTTAACAGTACATATATATATATAAATGATGCTTTCTTTCTATCATTATAAGTGCTAAGGAAAAGTAGTGATCAAAACAGACTAAGTCCCTTCTCTAGTGAAACTTAACATTTCAGTTGGGTAAAGAAGTTCATTAGTAAGTCAGAATTAATTCAGGTTAAATGCTATGAAGATAAATGCAATAAAAAGATAGAGTATGTTGTTTATCTTAAGAGTTCACAGAAGACATTTGAGCAAAGAACCTGAATTCAGTATTCAGCCATGGAGAGATCTAAAAAAAGATGTTCTGAAGAAATAAAATGCAAACATCTGGAGGTGAAAACTAATTTCATATCTTCTCAGAGCAACAAGATGAGGTCAGAGAGCAGGCCGGGGCCAGATTATATACATAAGGAGTTTATATTTTGTCTGAGTCAAATGGGAAGTCATTGCATGTTTTAAACTAGGAATTAAATGAATTAGATTGATCTTTTTTCTATTTTTATTAACAGTAAAATTTACCATTTAAAAAGTGTACAGTTCTCCTAATTTTGATGTACACACACAATTATGTAATTATCCCCATGATCAAGATATACAACAGTTCCATCTCACAAAAGAATTCCCCCATGTCTCTTTGTGGTCACCTTCACTTTCACTAAATTTGTTTTCGATCATAGTTTTTTGCTTTTTCAGAATATCATACAAATAAAATCATACAGCCTTTTGTCTTTGAGTCTTGCTTCTCCTGTTCAGCATAATGCATTATTCTTCCATGTTCTTGACAGTATCAGTAGTTTATTCCTTATTATTACTGAGTTGAGTTTTTATTGCTATAAATGGATATACCACAATTTATCTGTTCCACAGTTTCTTTCTAGTTTTCTTTGCCAATTACAAAGTAATGTGCTACAAACATCCATATACAGAGTAATCTGCGACAAACATCCACATATAAGTTTTTTTTTTTTTTTTTTTTTTTTGCTTGCTTCTAAGTGGTTTATTTCTACTTCTCTTTTTATGGGTGCAACATACCAACATGGCACATGTATTCATATGTAACAAACCTGCACGTTGTGCACATGTACCCTAAAACTTAAAGTATAATAAAAAATAATAAAAAAAAAAAAAAATAAACACATATAAGTTTTTGAGTGAACATAGGCTTTCATTTCACTTGAGCAAATGCTTATAAGAATTACTAGGTCATATGACGAGTATACATGTAACTCTAGAAGAAAGTACCAAACTTTTTTTCCAAAGTGGCTGCATGGTTTGGCATTCTCACAGGCAATGTGTAAGTTCCAGTTGCCTGGCATCTTCACCTGCAAGTGTTTCTGTGTTTTTGGTTGTTGCCTTTCAGATTTATTTTGAACTTATTGCTCTTGTTGCTGAATGGAAACTGACTGTGGCGGGTAAGAATAGAAGATAGAAAAGCAGTGAAGAAGGCTATTGCAGTGGTCAAGGTGAGAAATGATGGCAGTTTGCATGAAGGACTCACGAACATCATTGGAAATGTCAACTTTAAGGATACAACTTTCAGGGTTAAGTACAGATAAAAGGACTGGCTGAGAAATTGGGCATTACATGTGAGAGAAAAAGATGAATCTGGAACAGTGAGGTAATGGTAGTACCTCATATTGAGATAGTATATGTAGATTAAGAAAATATTTCAAGAAAGGTAATCAAGAAAGTCTTTTAGATGTGTTATGCTTAAGATGCCTCTTAAACATACAAGATATGATGTCAAGTAATTAGAAGAATATACAAGCTGAAGTTCAGAGAAGTGATTTGAACCAGATATATAAGTCTATGACTCAGGTAGGGCTGAAGATTTACACTTGGGAGTTACTGGGTCTCTGTAATATTTAAAACCATTGCATGGGTTGAGATTCCCTAGAGAGGTTATACAGAGAAGTGATCCCTGTGTCACTTTTACACTTAGAATTTAGGAAGAAAAGGGGCACCTAGCCATAGTGACTGGTAAGAAGTGGCCAATGAAATTTGAAGGCAATAAGGCAACTATATAATGCATTATCAAGTATGTGAACAAAAACTACACAAGTAAAGACAGTACAAGATGACATACCTCTCAGAGAATAATTGTCAGGTTTTGGTAGTAGGTGGTGGTCTTCCTCCTTTTTCCCCCTCAATCATCTGTTGCTGTTACTTTAAATATGAAATGAAAACATCACTCAGCCACAGGATCAGACTAGCATGTAAGAATGGGGTCCTACTGACCAAACATGACAACTTTTCAGTAGAATGATTAGAAGGCAGGACTGGGTGAGGAGGTTGATGATGTTGTGCACACCTGAAGAAAGACACTTCTTATCCATTCTCAATTTTTCCATTGCACAATGAATATTGTAGAAATAATGCAAGTTGTAAAAATGAAACTATGTGGAAGATATGACTCAGTGCAGTGAATAAGATCCCAGCTTTGGAATCAGAGAGGTTGGATTGAATATCCTATCCACGACCTCTAGAGTCTAATGGAGCACCAGGCTTACATTTTTACAATGTAAGTCAGGCCATGTCACTCTTCTGCCCAGAATCTTCTTTTGGCTCACCATCTTTAAAAAATAAAATTTAAAATCCTTGCAAGGTCTGATAGTACCCTACTTAAATGGTGCATTCCCATTACTTCTGATGTTATCGTCCACAAGTTTTTCCTCTCTCGTTTCCTTTCAGCCACCATATGTGTACTGACAATTGAGCACACTAGGTACATTACTTCCTCAGATTCTTTGAATACTCTCCATTCTTTCTAGAATGTTCTCTTCCAAGACATCCTCATGGCTCATGACCTCATCTTTTGTAGGTCTTTGCTCAAAGTTATCTTCTCAGTGAGCCCCATTGCCCCAAACTCTCTAGCATTACAGATCCTTCTATTTATTATACCTGCCTTATTTTTCTCTGTAATACTTTCCATCAACTGAAATACTGTTTATCTATCTATATCTATGTGAATTTCATGTCATTATTTTCCCTCTAATGTGTAATCTCCCTGATGGAATAAAATTTGTACATCTTATCTGCTGCAGTATCACCAGGAACCAGGACAGAGTCTGGTATGTAGTAAGCACCAATAAATATTGCATGAGAGAATTAAATGATGTACATAATTCACTACACACAGTGTCTAACATAAGACCACTGCAAATGACTGCATGGTTATTGTTACTGTTATGATTACTAATATTTTTCATTAAATTTCTTAAATGCAAACTTGAATTAAATTCTGAGATATCAGTACATATCCATTATATCAGTCTTTGCCAAAAGCTGAGTAGTCAGACTCTTTTAGCTTGGCCACCTAAAAGTCAGGGAAATTTCAGAGACCTGAGAGAGGCTTGTGAAGCCGAGAGCTGTAATTTCAATGAGCATGAACTATATTTAGCTGCAGCTGTTACTGAAGGACATTTCTCTCTGTGCATTAAATGAGTTGGGCTTGCAGAACTTTATATCTTTTGTGTAAACCAGTAAGAAAACCAGGCTGTGTTTCTAAGACCCAGAAAGCAGTATGTTACGACCCAGACAATTGACTGCTGAGCTGGGTCCCATCAAGGCTTCTTCCCTAGAAATCACTTGTTAAAAGGTTCAGTCCTAGTTCTAGCATTTGATGTTTTCCTTCTCCCTGATTATAATAGCTATATGCATTGACCAATGAAAACAAAAGTTGTGTCATAAAAAAAAGATAATAAATGAAAAACCTAAGATTTACAGTGAGCCAGCAACTCTGCTAAGTGCCTCTGACTGATCATGCTACTTCATCCTTGCAAACCCTCTGTTATGGGTTGACTTGTGTCCTCCCGAAATTCGTATGTTAAAATCCTAAACCTCAGTACCTCAGAATGTGAAAGGCCAATGCCACCTTTTTCTCACACTTCCCCAGCCAGAATTGGACCTGAAACTGCTATAAGAATGTTCTGGCCTACAATGAGTAATGGGCCATCAAGGCCATGAGCCACTGCGGGAAGAGCGCACAGCCCTGTGAGGAGTTCTTGTGCACTCTGCTCACTGAGCCCGGCAGCTGGGTGCAGCACTGGAACAGCATGCCGAGGATTGCACCTTTGCCAACAAGATCCAACTGCTCCAGCGTGCCCTCCTAGCCATTAGCCCTGGTGACCCCCTTCCTCCTGTTGTCTGCTAGATTCTGCCCCAGTTACACATCACCACCTCCCAATCTCTAAGCCACAAATAGAGTGGTTATTCCCGAAAAAATAAATAAATAAATAAACAAACAAATGAATAATGTGAAAATGGAATTCTTAAAAACTGAATCTAACTTTAAATGTACCAAGAGAGCTTGATATTGAAAGATGTCTAGCCATCTAATGCCTTTTTATAAGCGATGGTAAATCTAATGGTCTTTTGGTGTTTGGGTTCTTTATTTAGATTATGATCAACAGGCATCTATTTAGAATTCATTATGTGCTAGCAGGCAGGGAGACATGTTAGAGGTTATTGCTATGTTCTAGGTAAGAAACAATAATGATTTAGACTAAGGTGGTAGCAGTGGATATAAAGAGAAGTGTACTGATAAGATGTGTATTTTGAAGCTAGAGCCAATAGGTCTTCGTGCACATAGATTGGAGTTCTTTGTAGGAGTGGTGAGAAGTGAAGGGAAAAATATCCAATTGCAAACTGGTTACCATTTATTTAGATAAGGAAGTTTGTTTTATAAATATGAAACCTTATTATAGTCCCATACAGGTAAAATTAGCACAAGGGATTTTTCCTTCTTCTTTTCTTTTCTTTTAACTGGGAGTAGATCAAAGAGTTACTCTCAGTTTGAATTAGATTTAGGTTAAGTAGAAAAAAATCCAAGGCTTTTGGAATGAATTTTTTAATTTTTTAATAGGAAAGTTTCTCCTTTGGAAACACTAGCTAGATCTCTAGGTGGCAAGCAGATACAGCAGATGAATTAAAAGCCGTTAGTGTCAGCTCAAGCATGCACATGGATTGGGTCTCATGTCTCTTGACCCCATTCTACTCCCATTGTCAAAAAAATAAAAATAAAAAGCCTCAGTTACCAATTTATCATGATACAGTACATATCAGAAATGTCAAGGGAGTCAGGGTTGACATATTGCTGAAGGGACTGTGCATGAGGGTTTCAGTGACAAACACAACCATTTTGGAGGAGGAAATTTGGGCTAAAGAAGTTACGAGAAGGTCAACTGTCCATCAGAATTCTATAAAGGGGCAGCTACACCAGAATAGCATCTAGTTGTTATTAGAACTACCAAAGTAAGGCCATTCTGATGGGCTAACTCCAAATAAGAACCAAAATAACCCCAGGCAGCAATGAGAAAGTAACCATGAAGAGATGGGGCAGGGCATACTCTTAAAAGGCAGTATTTAAAATTCACCTTCTAGCCAGTGGTATGATGGTTCAAATTAAAAATTAAACACAGAGATATGGATGGGAAAAATACCTAAAAAGCTTTTAAA